>NC_000015.10:60151874-60776874 GCF_000001405.40 Homo sapiens
AACTACCAACCCTCCTTTCATAGGTGAAGAATCCTGAGGTGAACGGTGTGTCTGCACCATCAAGATCGTGTGCCTCTGGTCTAGACCATCAGTTCTCAAAATGTGGCCTCCAGGTTATCAACATCAGGCTGAGAACCCGTTAGGAGTGGCAATTCTCAGCTTCACTCCAGGCCTACTAAATCAAAAGCTCTGGGACTAGGTCCAGCAAGTCTGTGGTCTAGCAAGCCTACCAGGTGATTGTGATGCTTGCTAAGGTTTGAAAAGTATACATTATTCTCAATTCTGATCCTTCCAGAGGTGGTAGAGAACAGCGTAGAGTGTGGATCCTACAGCCAGGCTTTCTAACTTCTCACCATAGGTTTCCCACTAATTGGATGATGTTCCACAAGTTACTTCACCCTTCTGTGCCTCAGTTTACTTATCTGTAAATGAAGTTCATGGTAGTGTACCTACTACTCATTGGATGGTTGTGAGAATTCAATGGATTGTTTTAATTTTTGTTAGCTATTTTTATTGGGTTTAAACTACTTGTTGAGGTGACTTCTCCTAAGAGAAGGAAGACCTGATCTGAGTTCTGCCTTGCACAAACACCTTTACCCTTCTGAGCCTCAACAACTCCGTCTGTAAAATGGGAAGATTACATCTGAGCTACTTGCATCACTGAGCTGGCATGAAGACAAAGTGAGAAAATGTGGCAGTGCCTTGTAAACCGAAAGAGCTATTCAAGGCAAAGTAGTAAATACATGCCACACCCACCAACTTGGCTACATGACTTTCTCCCTCAACAGCTACAGTGTGAATCCAGCGAGCTATCTTTCTCAGTTTCTTCCCACCAGCCGATCACCCTACTCTCTTTTTAGGGCAATTCATATTGAGAACAGCTGCCACAGTCTGCAAGTTCTTTTTCTACTGTCTCGCGTAGTGTTTTAGACATCAGACATTCTGCCCCCTTTTCAATGACATTATTAACTCCATCTGAGTTGGAAATATGCCATAGGTAGGCCGGGTGCGGTGGCTCACACCTGTAATCCCAGCACTTTGGGAGGCCAAGGTGGGCGGATCACGAGGTCAGGAGATCGAGACCATCCTGGCCAATATGGTGAAACACCTTCTCTACTAAAAATAAAAAATATACCCGGGCATGGTGGCGCACACCTGTAGTCCCAGCTACTCAGGAGCCTGAGGCAGAAGAATTGCTTGAATCCGGGAGGCGGAGGTTGCAGTGAGCTGAGATCACGCCATTGTGCTCCAGCCTGCGAATAGAGCAAGAATCCATCTCAAAAAAAAAAAAAAAAAGATAAACAGAAAATAAGCCATAGGCAGCAGAATGACTTACTTGTTGATATCTTCCCAAGCTACAGAACAACTATGGCGAAGATGCATTACTAATACATCCTAATGATTGAATAACTATTAGGAACAAGGTACTGTACCAAGGCTCCACATACCTCATTTCACTTAGTTATCAGAACAACCAAGAAAGCAAGAACTCCAAATATTTCTGTTTTACAAGTAAGAAAACCAAGGCTGAGAGGTTAAGTAACTTGACCAATGTTTTCCAGCTAGGAAGATCTCTTGAATTCCAAGAGTTCTTTCAACAGATCCACACTGTAGAATAAAATCATCTTTTTCTGGAATGCTTTTGGCACTTTGAAAATTCAGCATGCTAAGGTGGGAACAAAGACAAATGAACCAGCTCATATCACATGGCTCTAGATAAGAAAACTTGCATTTGGGTAGAGTTCAAGTGGCATTTCAGAAATGAATGCTCAATAAGCATTTCATCATTCTCCAGGCACTACCTTTTGTCACCACGAAAATCAAGGCTGTGCTGTGGACGGCACCTAACATTCCCTAAGTAAGCCAAAATCAAATTACTGCTCGAATCGCATTTTACAATTATTAAACTTACCATGTAGGTTTACCTGTTTGCCTCCTCCTAGGGTACATCGTTTTTTAGCCAATAATCAAAATGACATGCGACAATATCTTTTATTGACTTTATTTTTTAAATACTTTTTATCAAAGATGCCAATATGTAGAGAATCGCTTAGAAAAGCTCAAGTATCTGTAAAATCTAAAGTTTATTTTAAAATGTGCGCTACATAACAGGATTCTGTTTACCCATAATATTATATTAGGATTTGAGATAAAAATGTTCAAAGATCACCAAATGGGTATATAAAAACCTAGGACTGCAGAAATTTAAATAGAGCCAGACCTTTCAATCAACTTCTTTACTTGAGATGTGATGTCTGACAGCTTCAGTAGACTCACCCATGCTTCTGCAACTAGTGGAAGCAAGACTCAAAACCTAGGTTTTTAATGGGGTTTTAAGCCTAGCATTGTTATAATGCCTTGAAAAAAAAAATCTATGTAGTCTCCCAAGCATACAGACCTGAGAATTGCCCTCCAGATATATTTGAATAAATTAATTTGCTAACTCAATTGCAAATGAAATGTAATTCAATGGATCTTTTCATCTCATGCATGAGTTCTGCTGAGGTTCAGAGTGCATTTGCTTCAACTTTTGAAGTAGATTTTGTAAAGTTCCTTAGCTGTTACCCATGGATGGTGTGAATTTATGGAGTGCTAGCCTGGATGAAAACAGCATTATAACATAAAATGCATCATTAATACTTTAAAACCCAGTATGATTTATATTTATATAAATAACATAAAGGAAGCCAATTAAACCAAAGTCACTGGAGTGTAAATAACATAAGAACTTATTGTTCTGTAAGCTACAGAAAATAAACTAATAATGAAAGTATTTATCATACATCTAAAAACTACGCAGGTATGAGTGGGTTAAGCTGACTGCAAGGGGAAAACGTTTTTGTTTTCCCAACATCCTCTAATGCAGGCCCAACATTTTATACAATTTAGATCCATTTAAAACATGACATTATATCTGCAAGTTACCTTTTGTCCATTCAAGTAATTAATAATTTAAGTTAACAAGGATGTCTTGATTCAAATGCTGTAATCTGACTAGGAGGATATTTAAAATTCATTACAGTACATTAAACTTGCAGTAAACAGTTAGCTTCATTGCAAAATAAATAAATAGCCAATTTGCTTTGATCAGCAGAAATTCTGATAAAATCAGCAAAACACCAATTAAAATGTGAAAAATATCACCTACCATAGTTACTCTAATGGAACATGCTCTTACAGGAAGGAACTGATTCAATGTTTATTTTCATACCAGCTGTGGCTTCCAAATGTAAATCATTTCACTTCTTGCTAGTGTATGCCGATCCTCCGTGGCCCCTGCATTGATCCTATGGTCGAATAATTTGCACGTAGTATTACATAACAAGGAAGCTCTACTGGGGCTGCAGTTGAATTCCCTTAATTGTCTGGCAAATCATCATTTTCTTTATGTGTTTTACTAGTATTCTCATTTTGGGGATTACTGTTAACTGATGGAGGGCAAAAGCCATCACCAAATAGCCACAGTTCTTCCTGGCACATGTGACAACTGTCCTAGGTTGAGACAATCTCTTTTACAATAATTCTGACACTTTGATCTTTCTTGTCACATCAGTCACTGGAGTCTGTTAGTACAACGCTATGTATCCACATAATTCAGACTTCTGTTGCAGCGCAAGTTCGAGTTCAGTACGGGTTTGCTTATTTCTAGGATTTAACCCAGTACCAGGAGCCTGCCAATGCTAGTAAATGAGCTCTGGATGGACTGAGGAGTCTCTCTTGAATCTCAGAACCCAGGAACCAGTTTTCAGGTCCTCAGTGCTTTCGAAGTGAAAGAATAATTAAGGTAAAAGCAGAAAAGGCTACTTAACACTTCTCTGCATGCCCCATTTATGGAATTTTTGTTAAAGAACAAAAATAGAATTGCATCAAACTGCAAGATGGATTTTCTTTCCTCATCTGCCTTTTCTTCTATGTAGGCAGTTTCTTCTTGACAGAAACCATGAATTCATTTCTAACAAGCACTGTGGAATCTCTGTCAGTTCGGCCACTTCAGAAATTAGTAACAGGAAAGGAATGTGCAAAAATGAAAACAGTTGCGCTGTGTCGTGGGTGCTGTTTTCTTCTTTTGAATTTTCTCAAAATGTTGCTTCATCATCTTTTCAATAATTAGATGCAATAGATATCAAGGAAGAAATGTTTATGATGAGACCCTCATTGTGGCCCATTTGCAGATACACTTGCTCATTATCTAGGAAGGAGATGGAGCCTGAGTTTAAGCAAATCCATAATTCGAGAACTCCAAAGTTAGATTTTAAAACCTTAGGGCAATCCATAATGAGTTTACAATGAAATGAAATAGAGTTTTATGGAGTTTAAAACAACTAATTGTTTGGGAGCTGCTTTCATTCATTTGAAGTTTTGTCCAATTATTGCCATTGCATTTCACTCCTTGAATTTATATTTTTCCCAGAGTTAGGGGGTTCTTTGGAATAGTAAGAGGATGTGCCAGCCCATTTGCCAATAAGATGAATCCTACATGTTTGCCTTAAACCTATACTATACCTGCAAAACTCAACCTTGAACCTACCCGTATGAATTTGAGACTGTATTGTATCCTTTAAAAAAAGTAGAGAGACCCATGATCCTACCCGCAACTGGTCATTTCCATGTGATTAGAAAAGCATAATGGTGATACCTAAATGACGAGTTAACAGGTGCAGCACACCAACATGGCACATGTATACACATGTAACAAACCTGCACGTTGTGCACATGTACCCTAGAACTTAAAGTATAATAATAATAAATAAATAAGTAAGAAAAGCATAATGGTGTAGGGGTGAAACCAGAATGGTTTTTATACAGACCCCAGCCACCACCACGTTTGTGTGATCTTAGGCAAACGCCTTAAGCTCTCCAAGCCTCATTTTCCAGTATTTCTACAATGGGATAACAATACGCTTAATTGACTGGATTGTTGTGAAGACTGGATGATCATAAATGTGAAGTATGTAGGATAATTCAGCAAGGCATTCTGTACCTTATCTGGCAACTCAGGGCTTAAGTTCTGGTATTTACAGACTTTAAAATTTCATGCTTTTCCTCAATTATTTGGGAATCAAGCAAAGAGAAGGTTAGAAGTAAAATATTTAGATGATTGCCCTAATTCTTCACTTTACGCACAGAGGAAGAAAGTTTCCACTGTCACTCTGGATGTCCTTGGGACACCATGACATGCAATCAACATCAGCTGTGCTGGCTGATAATTCAGAGGCTATGATACCCTTGTTTATGGCACCTTCAGTTCCAAAGACATTTTTACTTGACTAATTCACTGTTTCATACCAAGCAGGGGATGAAGAAGAAATCATTCAAACTAAATGCTACTTTGAAGTTCAGTTACTTGGCTGGAAAACAGCAGATAAATTGATAATTGCAAATGGTCTGAAATTTGAATAATTTCTTTTCCACTTCAACTAAATCTATTGAGCACACCCAAATAATTTAAAAGTGCTGAAAATAAGCAGTATTGGGGATTAATGAAGGCAATATATTCACTGTTGCATTTATTATTTCTAAATTATAGCACTACCACTTGAAGGAATGCAATGAAGTTGAAATGAAGCAATTTTGTTGTTAAATATTGTCATTTAGAATAAAACGCATGTGACTGTAGAACTGAAATCACACAGGCTGTTGCTGTTTACTTTTCATACTCATTTTCAAGTGAATTTTTAGAAAAAGTAATAACAAGAAAGTCCTGTGGTTCAATGACACCACGAAGGATTTACCAGACTTTGCTTAGAATGGGAGGCCCGGCCAGGGGCAGTGGCTCACACCTGTAATCCCAGCACTTTGGGAGGCCGAGGTGGGCAG
The DNA here is from genome assembly GCF_000001405.40 of Homo sapiens. Classification (NCBI taxonomy): domain Eukaryota; kingdom Metazoa; phylum Chordata; class Mammalia; order Primates; family Hominidae; genus Homo; species Homo sapiens. Next base: position 60,157,692 of record NC_000015.10, read on the forward strand.
ATCACAAGGTCAGGAGATCGAGACCATCCTGGCCAACATGGTGAAAACCCGTCTCTACTAAAATACAAAAAATTAGCTGGGCATGGTGGTGCGCACCTGTAGTCGCAGCTACTCAGGAGGCTGAGGCAGGGGAATCATTTGAAACCAGGAGGCGGAGATTGCAGTGAGCCAATATCACGCCACTGCATTCCAGCCTGGCAACAGAGCAAGACTCCATCTCAAAAAAAAAAAAAAAAAAAAAACCCAAAAAAAAACAAAAAAACAATGGGAGGCCCAAGGAGGTAGAGATGGGTACTCAGACCCTGGCTGCTCCTCTGGGGGTTCAGCTAGAAGTGGCTCTTCTTGCTTTTAGATTGGCTCTAACATAGTACCTCAAAGAACTTAGTGGGGTCATGTGAAACTTTGGTTTTGAAGTCAGAGGGACCCAGGCATCAGGAGGTTCTTTAGGGGCACAGACCTGTCCTCATAGAGCTTATTTTCTATTGGGGGAGATTAAAAATTAAAATATTTTACGTCAGATGATGACGGGTGTTATGGGAGGAAAATGGGCTTTTTGGCTGTGTGGCTTTGGGCAAATTACTTATCCTCTCTGAGCTTCAAGGCTCTTTTAAGAACTACAGATAACTTATGCAAGGGCACACAGTTCCTGAGGGGCAGAAGTGATAACTGCGATTGTTTTTATTACTCTTATTTTCACTATTATTTTTCCTCCATTTTGTTAGAAATGAAAACCAACAAAATTAGGGTTGCCAGATAAAACACAGGATGCCCAGTTAAATTTAAATTTCAGAAAAACAATGAATAATTTCTTAGCATACATATGTCCCATACAATATGTGGAATATACTTAAACTAAAAAAAATCATTTATTATTTATCTGAAATTCAAATTTAACCAGGCATTCTGTATCCTCTTCCCTCCCCAAAATATAGCAACCCTGAGGGAAAAAGCCCCCTCAGGGAAATCTGTTGAAATTAAGATCCTTCTGAGTCAAGTTCTCCTTCCCTGCTAATTTCTCCACAACTTTGATGTTTTCTTTATCTTTTAAAACAAATTATGTGTGGCCAGTTGCGGTGGCTTACGCCTGTAATCCCAGCACTTTGGAAGACCAAGGTAGGTGGATCACTTGAGACCAATAGTTTGAGACCAGCCTGGCCAACATGGTGAAACACTGTCTCTACTACAAAAAAATAAGTAAATAAATACAAAAATTAGCCAGGTGTGGTGGTGTGCACCTGTAATCCCAGCTACTGGGGAAGCTGAGACATGAGAATCGCTTGAATACAGGAGGCAGAGGTTGCAGTGCGCCAGGATCATGCCACTGCACTCCAGCCTGGGTGACGGAGTGAGACTCTGTCTCAAAGGAAAAGAAAAAGAAAAGAAAAAAAGAAAACAAAAAACAAATTGTGTGTAATAACAAATTCTTTATTAAAGAGAAAGGTGCACAGTCCTAGTATCTTCAGGGCAGCTCTGTATTCCTTAGAGCAGAGTTCTGTGCATGTGGGGCCACCAGGAATACAACTTCATCTGTGAAACAGGATGCAAAGTAACAACAGTGATCTACCTGTAGGGCATCATGGATGGCATGTGCTCAAGGGCGTGGAAACTCAGTGTGGAGCTCGGCACAAGGTAAGTGCACAAAACAGCAAAATAATTGTTATTATTCACTCATCCATTCCACAAACATTGACTGAGTTCCTCCTATATGATGGGTACTGTTTGAGGCACAGTGAACAACTTCCATTGTCTGGAGGTTCCACACAGCATAGACCCTACTGTCATAGAACTTACTTTCTAATGTCAGAGACAAATAAAATGCTGTACATCAGATGATATTAAGTACTATGGAAGGCAAAAAGGGAAGGTGGGGATAGAGTGTGACAGGAAGTTATTCTCAGCTGGGTGGTTGCAGAAGAAAGGCAGCACCAATGAATGACATTCGAGCAGAATCCTCAATGAAGGTAGACAGCAAGCCACACAGATATCTGGGAGAGGAACATTCAAGGAGGCAACAGCAAAAGCAAAGGCCCTAATACAGGTAAATGTTGATATGTTGGAGGGAAATCATTATTGATGAGATGGACGAGGAAATCCGTCACAACAAGCCAGTTTACCTGGAAAGACTAGTCTTATATAGACCTCAGGCTCTCATCTTCAACCCATTTGCAACCCCTGCTTGCAAAGCTTGATGAATCCCTGGTATGTGTCTGAAAAAGTGCCACACTTTTGAAGCCTGTGCTTAGGAGGAGCAAACACTGTCCCAGCTGCTGCCACTGGGTATCTACACAGTAGGCAATGTTCCCACAGCCACCTGGATGTGGAACTACACATAGAACCTTGCAATGGGAAGACAGCTTCCAGCTCATCACACCCACTTCCATTTTTGCTTTCTATTCAGCTATTTTTCTTTTCTTAGCTTTCTAAGCCTTGTTACATTGAATAATCACCACAAAATTCTGTCCCTTCAAGTGGCTAGTATAGAAGCCGACCTCTGGCACCTCTTTTTCCTAGTCATCATGCAGTGCATGTAAGTTGGTGACATCACCTTCAGGAGAAGTCTAGGTTATTTAAAATCTTTGAAAAATGCAGCTTGACTAGTTTTTTAGTACCTTCAAACCATCCTATCTTTAGAGCTCTTGAAAGTGCTTCCAAGAATAGAGCAGAATTATTTAAAATAATCAAATTCCTTTTAACATGCCAGTCCTATATTAAAGTGGTCCTTGGATTTAGTAATTGTTTCTCACTCTTAAGTAGAATAAACATTTCTTTCATTTACATTTCTTTCTACTTTTCTCCTATATAAAATATAAAGATACCCAGTAAATTAATGTGATAGGATCTATACATTCAACATTGTAAAGAACTTATTTGTAAAGTTCTTTTTATTCCTCTCAGTAAATATTTTATCACTGTGGTGGTGGGTAAAATAGATACTAGGACATTGTTCCTGCTGCTGCACCTACCAGAATGAACCCTGATATGTCCAGGATACTGAGGCATAAAAAATTGCCTCTGATAGAGCTTCTGAAAATTTGGTAGGTGCAGTTGAAGACCTCGGAACAATGGTTCCTTGAACTTTCTGCACAGGACATGTTTATTCCTTTTTGACTTTTTTTGAGACAAAATCTCACTTGATGCCCAGGCTGGGTGTAGTGCAGTGGAGCAATTACAGCTCACTGCAGCCTCAACCTCCCGGGCTCAGGTGATCCTCCCACCTCAGCCTCCTAACTGGGACTACAGGCACACACTGGCATGACCGGCTAATTTTTCGTATTTTTTTGTAGGGATGAGGCTTCGTTATATTGTCCAGCCTGGCCTTTTTGACGTTTATCAAAATGTGTGAGCAATTTCCAGTGCTACTGACAACACAGGAGCCCATAAAGGGGAAAAAGCCATTCAGGCTAGAAGTTCACTACATTGAATCCTTTAACCTATTAAGAAGTATGTATTGTAAGACAAAGAGTGTACTGTAAGTTATGTTAACTAGCTAAGTCATCCTTTAGGAAGGTGAAACCATTTGCTAAGATCCCTACCCCACGTGCTGACCAAGGATTTCCATTTCCATGACAAATGGCCACCCTCTCTTATCTCCTTGGATGAAGATCCCTGGCTACAGCTTCTATCACCCTTGGATCTGGTTATAACCCTCAGAACGAAAGTCTTTAAAAAAAAGGAAAAGATTCTCAGCCTGACACGCTGGTTTTGTCTGAGAGATTTGGCTTACAAAAATAGTGCTATATACTGACTGCATGCCCACTTTATAGAAGTGACTATTGTTAATTAAGCACCAACTTCTCATTGTAATTATCTACCTTAAAAAGAATTCTGCCTGAAGGCGGAAGGGCTCCCGAACATTTTATTTTGTGACATTGAAGATAAATCCCAACCTCCCAAAAGTTTTTTCCTTCCCACAACAAAAAATAGGATGTAGAACATTAAAATGACAACAATAACAATCCCCCTTCCACTCCCCAAAATAACCTGGAGAGGAAAACAGCAGCTTCCTATAAACAAACACCATGAAAACTTAATGTATTTATTAGTAAAGAAAAATAAACCTTCCTCTCCATGCTGGTCAGTTATCCCGTTCATTTCTTAATAGTCCTATATTCATAAAAGGCCGAAGGACTCTGCCCTTGACAAGCTAACTGAGCAGGAAAAGGCAATCATGTGTACAAGGCTGTCACCCACCCCACAAATTATGATAAAATATACCTCAGGATTGCAAAAAAGAGTTGCATATCTCCAGTGACATCCACAGTAGTACGTTTAAGGATTTGAATAGAACAGCAATTTATTTTGCACTAACATGTTTTATGGTTATCATCAAGCATTATGTCTTCAGAGACTGAAAGGTGATGTTTTTATGGACTCTGGCTCCTTGTTGCATTATCTTCACAGCTCAGAAATGATCTCTTGCTCTTTTTTTAGTTCCTCCTTCTCACCCACTACCTTTGCCCCTCCTTTAACAAAGCAGCGATTTTTGCAAAGAAAAGGGGAAAAAACAAAATAAATCCGCATTAGACAAAGGGCACAAATGAACAGATTTCCAACCCTGAATAGTTTCAGAATGAATGATTATCTGGCTAATTAGTGAAATAAATAATAATAATTGCCTGTCCCTCCTCATTAGAGCCCTTAATAGCAAATGGAACCCCAGTGCAGAGTGCCAGCAAGCTGGTTTCACAGCTCAGTGCTGAGTTGAGAAAAATAGACAGTCTGTATTGCAGATGTTCACATGCCAACCCTAAAACCAGAAAAGCCAGAAAAACTGGGGACTTCAGGATCTGTAAGGGAGATGGCTTGGGACATAGAGGGAATATTTCTGACTTCCTTCCATGCTTAAGAATTATGCTATGTTCTGGGCATCCAAGAAGTGAGCTAAGACCTATGAACATAGACCATGGACGCCAGAACACAGAAGAAGTTATTCTTATTGTTCAAAGTTTATCCAGTAGCAGCTAAGTTCTTAAAGTCCGATCCAATCCAACTGCAGCATTATTTATCTTGCTGCTTGTTAAACCCATGGGTTCCGGGCTCCCTCCCAGACCACCGACTCAGAAGCTCTGGGACTGGGCCCAAGGCCTGCATGCTCATCAGGATTACCGAGTGCTTCTTATGCCCCTGAAATTTGAGAACCTCTACTAGTCAACGGCTGGTGAAACTGGACAATGCTGTGAAATAAAGCATGTTTCGCCTGATGGAGAAGATGCTGTAGCAGGAAATCTCATGAGATCTGACCATCCTCTTGCAGAGATTTTTACCCTGGGGTTGAGCCACAACATCCTTATTGCCAGGGCAACTCTCAGTACCATCCTTGCCACAACATCTAAAATTAACATAAGACCTCCTTGCTGTTTTGATCCCTGGAGCCAGCCCAGCCAAACATATTACTCAACACTGAAGGCATTTGATTGGCTTCTAATGAGGCAGCAGATCAGCTTTTAGGGGTCTGTTCTCAGTGTGATGTATGAGTTAAGCTCCCGGTAATGTTAATCAGTTGGGAGTTCCCACTGCTCAGGCAACTGTCTTGTAAAGCTCTCACTACTTGACCGCCAACTTATCTTAGCCTATTCTTTCTGTTTTGAAGTCCACCAGTGTTCCGATGCCAGCAAGAATGTGAATAAAAAGACTGCCTTTAAACTTCTCCCACGTTCTGAATAAACCTCCTTTCAAGATGTCCTGAGGCTCCATCCACACTGTTCCCCACACCATGATACATTTACCCAGCCAAAGTGAGTAACTAGTAATTGATTCAACTATAATGCACTTAGCACTGAGGAGACAGGGGTGTTTCTTGAATTTGAAGAACTCAGAGTCTATCCTGGGAGGCAATCATAATACCCCCAGACCCACAAAACAGATTGGGTGGAGTCTCAAAGAAGAGGAGACACTCAAGAGGCAGAGGAATGATGCTGAGAGAAGATGTTTGGGAGAAGAGCATTTCAGCAAGGGAAGGATAGGCTTACACCTGGGGCCAACTTACCCAACAGGTTGCAACTTGCCTGAGCCTCCACCAGTAAGTGCCATGCCCAGGGGCCATGATTCTCTTAGGAGACCATAGAAATATTGTAGTTCTGATTTATTTTAAAGTCAGAAAAAAATGAATATATAATAATGAATCTAGCCTCATCTTTATACCAACACAGTCATAAAAAAAATGTATAGTCCTTTTTTAATAGATGAAGAGATCCATGAAGGCAAAAGTGCCTAGGGCCCTCAACAATCGTAATGCATCTGCACTCCCATGCTTACTGCAGCATTATTCACAGCAGCCAAGATTTGGAAGCAACCTAAGTGTCCATCAACAGATGAATGAATAAAGAAAATGTGGTACACATACACAATGGAATACTATTCAGCCATAAAAAAGAATGAGATCCCATCATTTGCAACAACATGGATAGAACTGGAGGACATTATGTTAAGTGAAATAAGCCAGACACAGAAAGATAAACTTCACATGTTCTCACTCATTTGTGGGAACTAAAAATTAAAGCAATTAAACTCATGGAAATAGTAGAATGATGATTACCAGACGCTAGGAAGGATAGTTGGGCGAAGGGAGAAGGTGAGGATGGTTAATGGATATAAAAACATAGTTAGATAGAAGGAATAAGATCTAGCATTTGATAGCACAACAGGGTGATTACAGTCAACAATAACTTATCGTACATGTTAAAGTAACCAAAAGTATAATTAGAATGTTTATAACACAATAAATGATAAATGCTTGAGGTGACGGATACCCCACTTACCCTGATATGATTATGCATTGTATGCCTGTAACAAAATATCTTACATACCCCATAAATACATACGCCTACTATGTACACATAAAAAACAAAGTAAAAAATATAATTCCCAATGTAAGTTGAAAAAACATATCTTAGATGTCTTTTGCTGTCATGGATAAAAGTCCATTTTCCTCCTACAATTAAACATTTATATTTTAAAAAGTCATAGTGCAGCCCCAGCTTATGCAAAGATACAAGTGAGTGTCTGGAAGTGCAAGTGACAATATTGAAAATATATGGAGCCTCACTCCGTAAGAGGTACTTTTCTACCAGTCCTGCAGGTATTAACCTCTGGATTCCTCACAACCCAGTGCAGTAGGCACAATTACCACCACCCCAACTTTACAGATAAATGAAGGCAGAAGAGGATAAAGCTCCCCAAAGCCATTCAGTCCTACAGATAACCAGGCCACATATCTGAGTACTATGGCTCTAAAATCTGCACACTTACACTCCATGTGGGTGTTCCCCAAATTGTCTAATTATTTGTGATGAGGGCCCATTTTCTTTATTTCCTATCAATCACAGACCAATATCTTTGTAAAATAAATAAATAAATAATAAATTGCCAGAAAAAGGAAATGCAAAAAGAGTACAAAAAACCAAGCCCAATTTTAAAAAATCAATTCAACAGACACAAAATTACATTCCAATAATTGTGCTTGACAATTGCAGCCATGTCAAATTTTTCTAAAATGTTCTCAGGGCTTATTCTCGATGTCTATTTTTACCTCACATCAGATGGGTAACAGCCTGCAGACCAGCCGGGGTCCTGGCCCACATGCTAGGCATGCTGCCCTGGCCAAAGGAGCTGCAGTTGGCTTTTGCAGTAGTGGAAGCAAGGAAGGGGGAAAAGGAAGAAAAATGCCACTTTGCCAAAATGTCAGTGAGAAGAACAAAGAAGGTGAGGATGGGAACTGAGTAAATTAGGATGTGTGCCTTTTCAACCAACCTGAGGTTGTGCTTTTGTGCCAAGCACCTGCCTATCACAGGCAGAGCTGGGGACCGTGGTGTCAGAGCCTCTATCCATGAAAGCCTCAAATTTTAGACTTTTGAGGTGATACATATGAGCACTGATGCAGACTCACGGGATCCAAAGTAGAACGTTCAACAACAAATGTAGAACTGTGACCCACGAACTGTCCACACTCCCAATGGTCCTCAATAAACTAATATTTTTAATTGAATCCTTCATTTGTCTTATAATTCATATAATGGCTACATTATAAAATTTTGTATCAAAAATTATGTATTGAATGTAAACATAACATATACCACAATTTTGCATTTTCTTTCTGTACTTTTCTTTGTATCATAAGTATCTTCCTGAACATGTAGGGGAAAATAGGATTTTGGTAAGCACAATCATATTTTAGACATCCCAAGAGACACACTGTATTAGATTCAAAAAAATCAGACTTTATGGTGAATTCTATTTCCTTGTCTGTAAAAGGAGAGCAATAACCTATAATAACCTGTAAAAGACTCTGAAAACCTTACTGTGATGTTTTTAAACCAGCGGTTGTAAGTAGTATTCTCTTTTGTTAATCCAAGCTTTCACACCAAGGTTTGTGAAAGATGCACCTCTATTTCTTGGTATAGCATTTAAGCCATGCGCTGTCTTCCATGTACATCTCAATCGGGAGATTGTAGGCTGGTAATTGTCCTAATATGAAAAGTAATCACTTCAAGGGCCTAAGGAAAGGAGTTTTGGGGTATTATTTAATTCAATCCCCTGCCTAGAAAATCTTAATATCTGGCTGAGTGCGGTGGCTCAAGCCTGTAATCCCAGCACTTTTGGAGGCTGAGGCAGGTGGATCACGAGCTCAGGAGATCGAGACCATCCTGGCTAACACGGTGAAACCCCGTCTCTACTAAAAATACAAAAAATTAGCCAGGTGTGGTGGCGGGCACCTGTAGCCCCAGCTACTCGGGAGGCTGAGGCAGGAGAATGGCGTGAACCCGGGAGGCGGAGCTTGCAATAAGTCAAGATGGCGCCACTGCACTCCAGCCTGGGTGACACAGCGAGACTCCGTCTCAAAAAACAAAAAAAAAACCAACCAAACAAACAAACAAAAAAAAAAAACCCAGAATAATCTTAATATCTGATCTTAATTCTACCACATTTTAATTCGTTCACTTACTTTCCATCAGAAATTTCCCCATTTGGTAATGGGGAAAGGAAATGAATCTTGCTCGTTTCCCACCGAAGGAGACGTGACCCCCTGAGATATAGAGGTTTAGAATTTCTTGTTAATGGCAAAATCGTGAACAGTGTTGTAACTCAGGCAGCTAGTCCACGATAGTCACTGTCCTGAGAGAAGAACAGCCTGCTCATAAAGAAGATAGAGCACATGAGCATCCTCCCAGAAATGGACCAACACAACCATTTTGATAATGCCAATATGGCGCCCCTAAGAAAGGAGTGGACCCCGCCCCTGGGAAGAACAGTAGCACCTCCTAAGAAGACAGAAACGCGTGTGTTCTCATCCTATCACCATGGAACCTGTGCAGCTTCCCAGGAGACTTGGAGACCTGTTATGCTGAGATAATAACTTCGCAGTGCTCTTCTAAGAGCTTTGCAGGTAACTACCTTATTTGATTCTCACAACAACCCTGAAATAGGTACTGTTGGTTGACAGAGAAACTGACGCGTTGTATTGGTGAGTAACTTTCTAGGAGTCACACAGCTACTTATTGGTGCTGCTGTGGTTTCAATCCGGCTGTTCAAATAAGTGTTGAATACAATGCATTATATTGATTTGACCCATATTCTTCCATGTAGAGGCTTTATTCCGCCCATTGGAGGGCTCTCTTTTTGAAGACTATCATCAGAAATTGAAATATAAGAGGCAGGGAAGCCAGTATTAGCAGTACTAAAAAAAATAGTTATAAAAAGCATGTACACAGTAAGAAACTTTTGCTATTATATTTACTTCTCTAACTGCAGTATTTTATTATACCTATAATTAAAGATGAGCAAAGGATCGCTCTGAGAGATTATATAGTTATTATAGTCACACAATTGATTTGGACTTGATTGGAGATCTTAACCCGCCACTTAAAAAGCTACATTGATGCTATTTCTAAGTCTCTGTTTTCTAACCACCATTCTTGTGGGTTGTCAGGGCAAACTATTTCTATCTGGTGCACACACTCTCTATTCCACCCCCTCATGAACAAATACAGTTTCTGTAGGTTTTCTTTACCCATCTCTTCTTTGTAACGCCTGAGGTCTAACATGCAAAATATTTAGACAGTTTAAAGCTTAGTTGCGGCACGGCGTGGTGGTTCATGCCTGTAATCCCAGCACTTTGGGAGGCCGAGGCGGGCGGATCACTTGAGGTCAGGAGACCAGCCTGGCCATCATGGTGAAACCCCATCTCTACTAAAAATACAGAAAAATTAGCCGGGCATGGTGCTGAGCACCTGTAATCCCAGCTATTTCGGGGGCTGAGGCAGGAGAATTGCTTGAACTCGGGAGGTGGAGGTTGCAGTGAGCCAAGATCACGTTATTGTACTCTAGCCTGGGCAACAAGACCGAGACTCCTTCTCAAAAAAAAAAAAAAAAAAAAAAAAAAAAAAAAAAAAAGCTTAGTTGGACATTTTAGGGTTGGGAAATACTCCCCTATCCCATGCAGCTCATTTCTCTGTGAATCAGGTAGTGAAAGGAGCTTCCCAAAAGGCACAGATGATTTGTATATGCTAAGCTTAAACCGAGGAACCCAACTCGTAGCACTAATAATTATTGCAATTTGTTGAGAATAACAATAGCTTCGTAAAGCCCAGTGTTTCCCTAAAGGGCAAGTATAATAGGCCTATAACTTCAAACGTGTAAGAATAATTTGTTATTCATGTTAATCCCCTCGCCATTGCCAGCCACATCAATCTTTTTCAAAAGGGGAGCACTGGAAAAACCACTGAAGTCTGAAGGGAAAAAATAAACATGTAAGGTGAACAGGAGCACACAGTAAAGCAACTCTGTGATTCTGCTGGTTGCTGCCAGGGACTCGTAATGTTTCATTAACGTTCACCCACCACCCCATACCCATTTGGCTCCAACTCTCAGTAAGGCAGGGATGTGAGCCAGGAGAAGAATACCACCATCAAGTCATTGCTGGCTATTCCTACGAGGATACTATTTTTCAAAATTTTTTGCCACCTGAGGCCCAGGCAAAATTACTGGCCCTTGTTTAAATCACTGCATTCTTTACTCATGTACAGGTCAGTTTCAACTCAGAAACAGTGCCTACTTTAAAAAATGTACACACACCCAAACAGCCACCCTTGTTTCCGGGACTTAGATTTCAAACCTACAGAAGTATTTCAAGTAAAAAGGATGCTTAGGAATAAGCAGTAGCTGACAATAAAAGAAAAGAAGATGCAATATGGATGGAGGTGACTGAAAACCAGGAATTCAAATGAACTGAAGGTACAGCCTGTGGACCAACATCCTCCTGGAATAGAAATAAATAGCATTGGTAGTTTCAATTACATCCCCTCCCCACTTTCACTTAAATCATGAATCTAGATTTACACAAGATTTATACACTTCTGACCACAAATGGGCCTCCACATACCTTCATTTTCTTGTGCCATGCACATGAAAGAGAAGGGAAAGAAAGATTTTTTTTCCCCTTTGGTTTGCCTGGACATGGCACGAGGAAACATGAGCATTAGTGATGTCTAGCTTTCTCAGTTCTTGGCCTTTGAGGGCAAACAAGGCTCCTTTCCAGGTAGACACTGACCAAAGGCCTTAAAGCATGAGTGTCTCAGTTTGTTTTGGCTGCTATGACAAAATACCTTAAACTGGGTAATTTACAAATAATAGAAATTAATTGTCACAGTTCTGCAGGCTGGAAAGTCCAAGATCAGCATGCTGGCAGATTCAATGTCTGATGAGTCCTCCCCCTTTGCTCCATAGATGGCACCATGTCGCTGCATCCTCACATGGCAGAAAGCATGAACAGCTCCCTAGCACCTCTTTTATAAGGTCACTAATCCCATTTATGTGGGCTCTGACCTCATGACTTAATCACCCCTTAATACTATCACATTGGCAAGTAAGTTTCAACATATGAATTTTGGGGTCGCACTCAGACCACGGCAATGGGAAAATTAATATTTGTTTTCATATAACAGGGCATTTGATTCTCCTCTCTGCCATTAGCATGCAACAAGCCATGTAACCTTCCAGGTTTACAGAAGGCAAACCTCAACCACTGACTCCTCCTGGGTGCTTTTTGATCCAGTAGTCTGTATGGCCTACAGGTAGACCGCTTCCTTCAATCACTGCTTGAGGAATCACTGGAGGAGGAGTCTTATTGCGATGAGAGACTGTCTGGGTCCCATGTTGTCAGGGGCAGGCCCAAGAGACAGAGAGTTGTAGGATGGGCATATAGAAGTAGGGCAGTTGCTAATAATTGTCTTAATAAGTTATTCTAGATTTGCCAGGCCTGCACCTCAGCAGTTGCAAGCCACTTTTACTTCTGGGGTATATTTTTTCTTTTAAATTATTTTTATAGTTTCTTAAATTAAAAAATTATAAGCTCATTATAAAATAGCACCTGAAGCACACAAATTAAAAGTAAGAATTTTTTTGATTTTTGAGGCAGGGTCTCAGTCTTTCACCCAAGATGGAGTGTGCAGTGGCACATTCACAGCTCACTGCAGCCTTCACCTCCCAGGCTCGAGCAACCCTTCCACCTCAGTCTCCTGCATAGCTGGGACTAAACGCATGTGCCACCATGCCTGGCTAATTTTATTTATTTTTTGGAGAGACAGGGTTTCCCTATGTTGTCCAGGCTGGTCTTGAACTGGGCTTAAGCAATCCTCTGGCCTCAGCCTCCAAAAGTGCTGGGATTATAGCATGAGCCACCATGCCCAGCCTAAAAGTAAGAATGTCTAAGTTTCTTTCCCCAATCATCCCATTCCTTCACAGTTAACACTTTTGCTCCCAGCATTCTTTACAAATTCTGCTTCTGAAACCTGTGTTACTCTGAATTTGTCCATTGTCTTTTACTGCCCTGGCCTCTAACTTTGGATACACCCTTAACTTGATGTCTGCCACAGGACCTTGAGTTAGGTTCCCATTCACAACAGCTTGGCCTTGACAGCTTCAGTTCAGCCACTTGCCATGTTTAAGCTGGGTTTTCTCCAATTTAAATACTTTCATTTTTTAAAGAGCTGCCTGGCCTTCCTCTCATCAGCTATAGAAGAGATTTAGTGGTGGTGGTTTTACAAGCTAAAATACAATCAAGAAGTTGTGAATAAGACATTCTAGCCTAGAAGGAATGAATGGTATCTCCTAAACTCTAAGGAAATATTGATTACAGTATTTAATCATGGAGAGTATGGAAGAAAATAACAAAATACTATATTAAGCATATTTATGAACTGTAACATGATTTTATGAACTATAAAACATTAACTTCATTTTCTTAAGGTACACTTTTGAGTCAAGAGGATATGATACTTTCACTCATTCACTTTTCACATTGTGAACTGAGATCCCTACATACCTCTCCCCCTTCTTTTGACATCGTCTGCCCTAATATGTTCTCTTAGGTAACTGTGATGTTAAAAGATAAATAGCCTCAAATACTGGATGTCTAATGTGAACATGAGTTGGGACATGAATTAGTCTAAATCATCTGGACATTTTGCACTGGCACACCCACCTTTGCTAACAAAAGTTTGTCTGGGATGATTTTCCCATTAGGAATCCTGCCCATGGCCCTTTAAAAATAAATCATACCTGTAGAAGATCCTTCTTTCCATGGTTATGGCAGAAAGCATGGGTCTTAGTTCCAAGTCTAGAATTAGATGACATGGATAGAATCTAGAAATACCAAGGCTGGGTAAAGAACATAAAACTGAGAGTGATCTCTTGTTTCAGGATGAGGTTCCCAAATGAGGTTATGTGATGAGACAACCACTCATATAGCAACAGGCATCACACAGACCACTTCTTAATATCTCTTCACCAGTCAACTGACATTCCTCCAACAGAGTTGTAAGGGCCGATCTATATGAGATGGTCAAGCAACAAGGCTGGCCTGATGAATGAGTGCAATTTGAGACCTTCCAGGTATCATGAACCCACCCACTCCATTATGACATCTAAAATTCTCCTACCATAAATTAATTTATTTGCATTTACGAGTCCCCGTTGAGTCACTAGGAAAAGCAGTAACTTAAGCTGTTGTCATTTAACTAAAGCATGCTTTGAAAGCTACCAGTACCCAAGGTTGAGGAATATAAAGGAAATACAAAGTAGGTGAAAATGGACATTTAAAGGGAAGTTAAGTTGTCAAAACCAAATTGCAGTCTTTTCTTTATTTTGCTTATGGTTTGCCCTCTTTTGGAAAATTTTCTTCCAAGCAGCGGAAAACCCTCAGAATGAAAAATGATGCACTGTAAGGAACCTGAAAGAGGATTAATTCTAAGCAGATACTTACATACTTTTGAACCAAAAGGAGAAGTATTTATGGATTCTAACCGTCCTGACCCTCTTTTCAACATAGCTGTGAATATCAATGACAGTGTTTAACACATATACATAAAGAAGGTCTATGTAGGGAAACCAGAGTTTGGATGGAATTCAACCAAAAGACACCCCCACTTGGTTTCAGGACCCTCCCTTCTAAGGAGCCAATTTCCAATAGAAAGCAACCAAACTTTAAAAAAAAATCATAGAGTAACCCATTAAATATTTCACAGAAACTCATTAAAACATTTTACTATTTGCTCTGATTATCATGTGGCTGCTTATACAGATGCCCATAAATCTGACTGCATTAGGTTCTCAGGCCTTTATTTCAGTTAATTTCTTCTCCCTATGTGGACTTGCCCAGGAAATGAGATTTAATGAGTCATCGTCCTCCCTGATAATCACAGGAGAGCTCATTAGCTTTTTGTCAGATTTGTACCAACTATCTGCCCCCAATATGCCTATGACTTCTTTTGAGTTAAATATGATATTACCAAAAGGGAGAACTGAAAAGAGCATTTCTGTACTGAATGCTGCAGACTTGAAACACTATATAAATATTTTTACATATGTTAAAAGGCATCTGAGAGCAAAAGGTAAGAAAATAACAAAAATACAACATTCCCTATTGATGGCATCACTATTTAGATGACACACATCATTAAAAAGAAATAAAGTTTGACATTTACATGTTTGGAAGTCTTTCTAAATCTGTTTAAATGCCTGAGCTGAGTCAATGCAAATGCAAGTTCAAAGAACAGAAGAAAACAATCTAATGGTTCTTAAAATTCGTGAAGTTTGAGGAGTTCTCCATCATGTATGTTAGGATACTTCACCAAGGTCTCCCAATCTCCTGACCTTCCGTTTTCACTGGAAATAACAAAAGGCTCTCATGTCACTTCATGGGAAAGGGGAAATTTTTACACTTCCCCCAAAGAAAAGCTTGAAGTAAACCTTCCATACTTTCATGGACCACCTTAGTGATAAAGTTGACTTGGCTTTCAGTAAAATTGCCCATAAAGGAAGATATGACAGTGATGGTAAAAACATCAGAGTGATTTTCTGAATTCTCATTTGAGTCCCTCAAGAGGTTACCATTTCCCTTCTAGGTACAGACAGAGTTACCTGGGCAAAGGTGTTGCTCCTGCATGGCTGAGTGACCACCACGGACCAGGGCCCAGCTCTTCATCAACATTTATTGAACGTTTGCAATCTACTTATCTGACAAAGGGCTAATATCCAGAATCTACAATGAACTCAAACAAATTTACAAGAAAAAAACCCCATCAAAAAGTGGGCAAAGGATATGAACAGACACTTCTCAAAAGAAGACATTTATGCAGCCAAAAGACACATGAAAAAATGCTCATCATCACTGGCCATCAGAGAAATGCAAATCAAAACCACAATGAGATACCACCTCACAGCAGTTAGAATGGCGATCATTAAAAAGTCAGGAAACAACAGATGCTGGAGAGGATGTGGAGGAACAGGAACACTTTTACACCGTTGGTGGGACTGTAACCTAGTTCAACCACTGTGGAAGACAGTGTGGCGGTTCCTTAAGGATCTAGAACTAGAAATACCGTTTGACCCAGCCATCCCATTACTGGGTATATACCCAAAGGATTATAAATCATGCCGCTATAAAGACACATGCACACATATGTTTATTGTGGCACTATTCACAATAGCAAAGACTTGGAACCAACCCAAACGTCCGTCAGTGATAGACTGGATCAAGAAAATGTGGCACATATACACCATGGAATACTATGCAGCCATAAAAAAGGATGAGTTCATGTCCTTTGCAGGGACATGGATAAAGCTGGAAACCATCATTCTCAGCAAACTATCACAGCGACAAAAAACCAAACACCGCATATTCTCACTCATAGGTGGGAATTGAACAACGAGAACACTTGGACACAGGAAGGGGAACATCACACACTGGGGCCTGTTGTGGGGTAGGGGTAGGGGGGAGGGATACCAATAGGAGAAATACCTAATGTAAATGATGAGTTAATGGGTACAACACACCAACAGGGCACATGTTTACATATGTAACAAACCTGCACATTGTACACATGTACCCTCGAACTTAAAGTATAATAAAAATAATAATAAAAATAAATATTTATTGAACTAACCAGGGGCCATAGAGCCTATCTGGAATGCATAAGATTATGCAGCTCTATAGTCCTTAGATTGAAACAAAGTCCTAGATTCAAACATCAGTGCTTCTGAACACTTTTTGGGTGGCATATCTTTTTCAGAATCTGATGGTAAAAATGGACTTTTGCTCAAGAAAAATGCACCACTCCACTACAAATGCACATACACACAAAATTTGGGGGACAGTTTCAGAGAGTTCTCAAACACTGCAATCTTATTTCTAGCCTTGCTTGGGGTTCCTGGACCTAAGATTAATCCTCTTATACAGATGACAATATCAAGGAATGTAATTAAAACTACTACTCATTGAGAACTTACTACATATCAGGCAATATTATCTCATTACACTCCCACAACAACCCTAAGAGGTACATCTGTTATTAACCACATTTTACGTATGAGGAAACTAGACAAAGATTTAAATTATAACAGCTTGTCAGAGGCAGAGCTGGAGCTTCAAACTCAGTGCGCCTCTGGCGTCTGTGCTCTGAGCCTCTAGAGTCTGCTGCCTGTCCTATAAAACATATTTTTATTCTAAAGCATGTTCACTTCTGCTTTCTCATTTAATCTTTGTAACTACCCTATAGTTACAAAGATTAGATTGTGATCTGATCTACCTAAGCTAATTCTAGGAGTTAGATTAAGTAGATATCTCCACTTTAGTAGGTGTTGAGGGCATTTCCAAAGTAGAGCGAGAGATTTGCTACCCACAGTCTTTTCAGACAACGAAGTCACAGTTGATGAAATTAAAAATTAAAAACCAAAATTCTGACTTGAGCCTTCTTTCTCCATTCACTACAGGTTTAAGCACTCTAGGAACACCATCTAATTTCTTTATTCATAGCCATCCACTGCCTTGAGGACTAAGTCAGCACGGTAAGGTTTTGAAGCCATGTGGTGATTCCTACAAAAACCTGGCTTCCTGTGGTTCGCAGAGCACAGTTTTGTTTCTACAAAGGCAAAGGCATAGGGAAGAACAGACAGAGGAGAAAAGTTGTCAATCTGCAGAATATAAGAATGTTTAATGTGCATATGATCATGCTGGACATTAGATGCATGGCCTTGTCTTTATATAGAACCCCAAATCTAGTTGAAATGTTAAAATATTTTTAAAACATTTAACCCTTCCCTTACCTGAACTCTACCTAGCATTCCTCAGTGCTCAGCTGTTCCCATTCCTCAGTGAATTTCTCCCTCCTGAAAACCTCTATCAGCTTGTACTGCCCATTCTGCACAAACATTCAATGTCAGTCATTTGTCCTGGCTTTCTGCTCCAGTGAAATGGCAGACTGCACAAACACAGCTTCAATTTACTTCTAAAAGCGCAGAGAAATACAGGGGGAAATGTAGCAAAAAGTTTCTGAAACAGAACCAAACTTGTAAGAAAAAATGAGAAAGAGAGAATAAAATAGAAATTCCCAGGTACAAGAAATGAGGAGGAACAACAGCCAGAGCTGCCATGGTGTCATCTGTGAACTCACGCTCTGGGGACTCAGCAAGGTGTGGGTCTAGATTTGGGCCATAAAGACCAGGGGCTGGGGTTGAAACACCCATTCAGCAACAGGAGAGGTGGAGAAGGCCTACGCAAGGTGGGGAATTAGAACTGACAACCGGCTATGAAATCAAGATCCTAGAAGGCACAGCAAAAAGGGAAGAGAAAGGAACTTTGTCTTTTCCCAGATCCAAGTGGTAAAGAAAGTCAGTTATGGGAAATCAAACCCCCAAGTCTATTTGACCATGCAGGTGTAGGGTCTAAACTCACATTATCCACCTGTAAGGAAATCTCAGTGAAGAAATTAAAGTAAAAACTGGATGCATACCAATAAAACCACTGAGATGCCCATCATAAGAAATGTAAAACTACTCTGTAGAAACATTTTCACAACCCCAGGAGCATGGAACATCCCCAAGATGGAGAAAACTCCTGCTAAGCTAATACTTAAAAGAAAAAAATTACAAATCACAAAAGAAAATAATTCTCTATAAGAAAGAGTAAGCAGATATAACAAACAGGAAGGTAATACACTAATAACTTAAGATAATAGAACAATCTGAAACCAGCAATAAAAATAAGTATATTTAAAATAAGTAGGCCAGGCATGGTGGCTCACACCTGTAATCGCAGCACTCTGGGAGGCCAAGGTGGGAGGATCACTTGAGTCTAGGAGTTTGAGACCAGCGTGGTCAGAATAGTGAGATCCTGTCTCTACAAAAAATTTTAAAAATTAGTCTGGTGTGGTGACACATGACTGTAGTCCCAGCTACTCGGGAGGATGAGGTGGGAGGATAACTTGAGCCTGGGAGGTTGAGGCTGCAGTGGGCTGCGACTGAACCACTACACTCCAGCCCGGGTGAAAGACCAAGGTCCTATCTCCGAAAAATTAAAAATAAAATAACTAAAGATATTAAAGAAAGATTTGAAGCCACGATACAAGAACAAGACACCCTATAATAAAAAATACATTTGGAAACAAATCATGTCATACTTTTGGAAATTGATAAAACACAGTGAATTTAAAACTAAATAAATAATGTATTAGTTTCTTAGGGCTGCCATGACAAAGTGCCACAAATTGGGTGGCTTAGAACAACAGAAATGTATTGCCAGAAATGTACTTTTAGACGCTTTTTTAAACCCAAAATCAAGATGTTAGCAGGGTCTTGCTCCCTCCCTCTGAAACTTGAAAGGAGAAGTTCCTTCCTTGTCTCTTGCAGCTTCTTCTAGCCCCCGGAGTTCCTTGGCTTGTTGCAGCAAAGCTCCAATCTTCACATGGCATTCTCCCTATGCCTCTTCACATAGTCCTCCCTCTGGGCATGCCTCTGTGTCCAAATTATCCCTTTTTATAAGGACACAAGTCATAGTAGATTAGGGCCACCTTAACGACCTCATTTTAATTTGATTACCTCTGCAACAATCCTATCTCCAAATAAGGCCACATTCTGAGATACTAAGATTAGGACTTAAATGTAACATTTTTGGAGGACACAATTCAATCCATAACATAACAGATACAACAGAAGAGAATCGATGAAAGGAAAGATAAATCAGGGAATTAACCACAATGCAGCATAGAAAAATTGATAGGAAATATAAAAGCTAAAAGTTATGCAGAATAGAATAAAAAGATTCAATATACGTTTCTTAGGAGTTCCAAAAGGAAGGAGTAAAAAGGATGAAAGAGAAGCAATATTCAGTGAGATCATGGGTGAGATTTTCCAGAATTTATGAAAACAGATCCGTAGATTTAGGAAACACAGAAAGTAAAGCAGGGCAAAGAAAAATCCACAGCTATATACATCCTAATGAAACTGCAGATCTTCAAAAATAAAATCTTAAACAAAGACAGATGAACTATAAAGATTAGGTTGGTGACAGATTTTTCTTTTTTTCTTTTTTTTTTTTTTTTTTTTTTGAGACGGAGTCTCAGTTTTGTTGCCCAGGTTAGAGTGCAATGGCGCAATCTCGGCTCACTGCAACCTCTGCCTCCCAGGTTCAAGCGATTGTCCTGCCTCAGCCTCCCAAGTAGCTGGGATTACAGGTGCCCGTCACCACACCCAGCTAATTTTGTATTTTTAGTAGAGACGGGGTTTCACCATGTTGGTCAGGCTGGTCTTGAACTCCCGACCTCAGGTAATCTGCCTGCCTCAGCCTCCCAAAGTGCTGGGATTACAGGTGTGAGCCACCGTGCCTGGCTGGCAGATTTGTCATCACCAAAATTAAAAACTAAAACAAGAGTAATCAGTGCTGGTAGAAATCTGGATAGTGTTTAACTGCTGGGGGACTAGCGGCTGGCAGGGGCCATGAGGGAGCTTCTAGGGTGCTGGCCATGTTTAGTTTCTTGACCTAGTTCTGATTACATTTCCTTGTTGATTACATGTGCTCATTACGTGTATCCATGATGGGTGTGCTTTTTCTATATGAATGCCATAATCCAATGAAGATTTTTTTTAAAAAGAGAGACCAGAAGACAAAGGAATAATGCCTTCAAAGTGCTGAGGAGAAAATAAGTCAGCAAAATTATCACTCAGGTAGATTGACAAGGTAAAGATATTACAATCAGATAAAGATTGTGAGACATTACTGTTCACCACCTTTGCTGAAAGAACCGCTAAAGGATGTATTGTAGGAGGAAGACAATTGAACCCAGAATGAAGGAATAGCATTGCAAGGAGCAATAGTGAGGCAAGAAATTGTGAGGCAAATCTAAAAAAAATACTCACTGAAAAATAGTAAAGATGACAAAGTTTTAACCAAGGAAGAATCAAAATCCTAGGGGAAAAATATCCAAGATGGTGAGAGAGACCTTTGGGTACAAAGTTTCTTGTATTATTTGAGAGAAGGGAAGAAGTATTGAATTTCAACTCTAAGTATATGTGTTAAAAATTGAATGGCCACTAAAAAGTAAGAAGTAGATATATAACTTTCAAAGCAGTATGAGGGGGGTGGGGCATAAAGAAAATTCAGTCTATCTAAGGGAAGCCAGTGAAGGAGGAAAAAAAAAAAAAAGCCAAGAAAAGTTGTTGAATAAAAAGTCCAAAGAAATTATGGCTTAAATCATGAATGGACCAAGCTAGTCAATTAAGAATAGATATTCTTAACTTTTTCTTTTAGAGGCAGGGTCTTGCTCTGTCACCTGGGCTGCAGTGCAAGTGGTACAATCATAGCTTGCTGCAGCCTTCAACTCTTGGGCTCAAGTGATCCTCCCACCTCAGCTTCACAAGTAGTTGGGACCACAGGCACAAGCGCCAGTGGCTGGTTAATTTTTTAAATGTTCTTTTTTTTTTTTTTTCGTAGAAATGAGATCTTACTATATTGCCCAGGCTAGCCATGCTAGCTTTCCTCCATCTGTCTCCCCCTCCTCAGGCTTTCCTATTTCCTGGCTTCAACCAATCCCCCTGCCTTGGACTCCAGAAGTGCTAGGATTACAGGTGTGAGCCACCACACTTGGCCTCTTAAATTTATAATAATTTAGTTATATGCTGTTTATAAGAGACAAGTATGAAATACAATGACACAAATAAGTTGAAAAGAAATGATTGGAAAAACATGTATGAGTCAAATCTAATCCAAAGAAAGTTTTTAAAGACTAAGATTAGAAAAAAAAAAAAAAAATAAGGGGAAAAATTCTTATTAGAAGAAGAGTCATTAGTATATGAGGAAAAAAAAGGACCAATTCACCAAGAAGATATAACAATCATGAGATTGAAAGAACCAAAGAACATTGCCTCAATCTATATGAAGCAAAAAATTTAGCTGAATTACAAGGAGAAATTGATCAATTCTCCACAGTGCTGGGAGATTTTAACATTGGTGCTTTAAATCTGATGAGTCTACATTTCATCTCCACAATCAAACTGTAAGGTTCTTGAGGTCAGAGTGCGTGTCTTATGCCATGTTCCCCCAATATATGAGATGCATTTCCCCTCCCTCCCAAAGTATCTGAACATATAAATGTCCCCGCTCATATAAATGGTTAAAAGACAGTGCGCTATAGGCAAGTGCAAAGCACAGAAAGTATGTACTAATAATTTATTACTGATAGTAGACACTTTTTGTAACAAGTAAGACTATTACAAGTAGAATAATTAATGAAGACATAAAATAATGGAGTCAAGAGAGAGAAAAGAAAATTGTCCCTATACTTCTTTTGAAGCATTTATGAGACACCAGGTTCATTTCTTAAATTATTCAAACTACTGTATAAACTAATTGGAAGATCATGTATATTCATTTTAAATGGGAAAAAAATGGACCTAGAAAGAATTTTAAAAGTGCAAACAGAATTTGCATTTGGTGGATATAAGACAGTAGCAATGATACTACCCCCTAGTGGCAGAGCATAGCAACCCCAACAGGATAATGAAGGTATGTGTTGTATATCCCATGGGTCATTTTCCTAACAAAAGTATTAAGCTGTAAGAAGTATTCTGTAGATCATAAAGTTGATTGTAGTAAATGTTCAATCAATGTCTGCTGTTGTTATTGTCATCACTACAGTGTCATCAGCATTTTTGTTATGCTCAGCCTATAGCTAAGTGCCTTTGTGACAGGTATCAATATCCAGGACATCAGCTGTGGCCAGGGCTACAAGGTCACACCACATAGAAAGGGCAATTTATATTAAGGGAACAGCCTTCAGCCACTTTTTTTTTTTTTTTTTTAGAGCGGAGCAGTGTAACCATCAGACACCAGGAGGCTTCCTGGCCTTCTCAGTACATCACGCAATGGCAGCTTTTTGAAGATCAGTAACATGAAGTCTGTCCTAAAGAACATTGAAGGTATCCCTCCTGGAAAACAATGCTATTTTCTTATGGTCCACAAGGAAAAGAAAGAAGGAATGTAAGTATTCCAGTTACAACTCACTAGGATCCATCCATGTGTAAATACATCCCACAAGGTGGATTAAAAGTATATAAATTTGTGTTAAAAAGAAGGTAAAATGGTTATTATATAAGATGCTGATATTAGGGGAAAATTAGTGAAGGATACGTAGGAACTCTCTGTACTCTCTCTGCAACTTTTCTGTAAGTCTAAAATTATTCCAAAATTAGAAGTTTCTATTTTTAAAAATTGATGG
The DNA here is from genome assembly GCF_000001405.40 of Homo sapiens. Classification (NCBI taxonomy): domain Eukaryota; kingdom Metazoa; phylum Chordata; class Mammalia; order Primates; family Hominidae; genus Homo; species Homo sapiens. Next base: position 60,180,734 of record NC_000015.10, read on the forward strand.
TCAAAAAGAAAAGAAGAAGGTAAAATTCTTATTGTATTTGTCAAGAGATTCACTGACAGCAAATGCCATAACCTATAGGTAGCAGACAGCAATTTTATTTTAGTTGGAAAAATGTGGGTCCAGAATGGAATTTCTTGAGAATGTCCAGAATTTCTTGAGATGTCCATTAGGCATTCTTCTAAACCAGTGCCCCAGTGCAGGCTTTGAGCAATCTACTTCTACAACAGAAAGGCAGTTGTAGAACCCCTGCATAGCTTGTCCTACAAAGAAAATAATACTCTTTATAATTTGGGCCATTTCCCGTAAGGTTTGGGTCATTTTTGTCATGTGCCTTTTAGACCAGTCAGGTGGAACACTTAACTATGTTAAATCATTTTTTCAAGAGTTATGACTAAACGATTGGCAAAGGAGCTGGAGTTGGAGGTAAACACTGAAGAAATGTGGTCAAAGGCAATTTGAAGTTGACCTGGTGGTCTAAAGTGCAATGACCAAACTATTCAGCTCTCAATGATTGATGTGTGGACTTCACACAAAAGCAAATGTGGAAATTGTGATTCCAATCTCAACACAAATCCAGTCAGTTGCTAGTCTAACCTGTTGGGTTATTTTTAAGTTTTAAAACATTGTTGATAATTAAAACCACAATGGGCTGCCAGGTCAAACCCATGAGAATGGCCAAGATAAGAGAACTGTACAATACTAAGTGTTGGCAAGGGCATGAAATATTTGGAACGCTCACACACTGCTGGTGGGAGTATAAAACGGAGTAACATGCTGAAGAACCATTTGGCAGCTTCTTATGCATCTACCGCATGACCCAGTAATCCCACTTCTAGGTACTTACATAAAACAAATGAAAACACAGGTCCACAAAAGCACTTGTACACGAAGGGCAGACTTTTTAATTTTTTTTGAAGTACTATTTAAAAATTGTTTATTATAGTTCATGTTTTTGGTGTCTTATCTAAGGAATTTTGTTCATCGCCAGGGTTATGAAGACTTCCTTTTCTTCTAGAACTTTTGTAGTTTTAGCATTTATATCTAGTCTATAATCCATTCTGAGTTAATAAAAACAGACTGATACCCAAAAGTTCATGGGAGCTTTATTCATAATGGCCTCAAACTGGAGACAATCAAATGTGCATCAGCAAGAGAATGGATAAATACAAAGTGGTATATCCAGACAGCAACAAGGAATAATACACATTGATACAATAGTTGATACACACAATGACATGAATCTCAAAAATATTATGTTCAGCAAAAAAATGTAGACACAGGAGAGTATTCTGTATGTTTCCATTTGTCTGAAGTTCAACAACAAGCAAATCTAATCCGTGGTGATAGCAGTCAGAAGAGCGGTTGCTGGGGCTGGCGAAGAAGGTGGTAATAACAGGAATGAAGCACCAGGAGACTTTCTAGGGAGATGGCAATGTTCCAAAATTTGTGGGGTTTGTTTGTTTAAGACAGAGTCTCGCTCTATCGCCCAGGCTGGAGTGCAGTGGTGCGATCCTGGCTTACTGCAACCTCTGCCTCCCGGGTTCAAGCGATTCTCCTGTCTCAGCCTCCCGAGTAGCAGGGACTACAGGCACCCATCGCCACGCACAGCTCATTTTTGTATTTTCAGTAGAGACAGGGTTTCAGCATGTTGGCCAGGCTGGTCTCAAACTCCTGACCTCAGGTGATCCACCTGCATCGGCCTCCCAAAGTGCTGGGATTACAAGCGCGAGCCACCATGCCCAGCCCCGAAACTTGTTTTGAGTGGTTCCACAGACATTTTGACAGTTACACAGAAATTCACTGGTCAAAAAATTTCCACCTATCTACACTCAGGAACTGCACATTTCGTTGTACGTAAATTATACCTCAATTAAAAAAAAAACTGCTGACTTCAGCGCTGATATTTGCTCTGCTAAATTTAATCCACTAGAAAAAACCTTCCAAGGCACAGGGCCACTTTCCCAGTAAAAGTATTTTCAGCTTTTGGGGCCTTGTCCTTGTGCAGTATTGTTGCAGAGAGAAGCTACAAAGCAGAAAGGTAAAAATCAAGGTGGTACAGAGTTACATCTCTGAGAGAGCAGCTAACTTTTCTGGTTCCTGTATTCACAAAATGACTAACAGCAGGTTCTCGAATCTCTGCCACTTGCCCTCTCTAGGAATAGTTGAGTGACAATGAACAGAATTCATTTTTTATTAACTTACTACCAAATAGTTTTATTTTCAAAACAGGAACATCCGGCAGAATCTCAGCTTTCATTTTGAATTCAGTGTTCCCGCTTCATCCATTATTCATACACACTGCACTTTCCTGGTTTGTGATTTTACTAAATTTCTTCATTTGAATTATGGCCTTGTGGTCAACAGCGGGCAATATATTATTCTTATATAATTTTTAAATACAAAGGCAAACGGCACGGAACAATTAGAATCGATGGCTTGGGAGTCTGGCACTCAGATGTCATAGGCAAATGCTGTTTTCTTGACTTTAACCTATGGGTTCCACTTCATGTGGGTTGTATTTTTCATACATCAGGAGTTTTTATAAATTTCCTATTCAATCCAGCAGCCCTACTTTGTTCGCAAAATATAAGCAAAACAAATATGTCAGGGTAATGATGCCAGGACTCTCCCTTATTGAAAAAAGCAGTTTATTAATACCTTATTGCTACAAGCTAGATCTTATTATCATCTTGGGTCATTTAGAATCTTATTAGGTATTCTGCTGGTGGATGAATAATCCTGTGATAAATTCTTTGCCATGTCCTTCACAGTTGTCATAGCAGGATCATAAACAGCATTTATAACAATCTAACCTAGAGGAAGCGGCTGACAATGGTCTGCTTAGCATGCAGGAAATATTCAGATCGGCAGTGTCTGGTTAGACACAAGCCCACAGGAGAGCTCCCAAAGTTAAATGTAGCATGGGTTTCTCTGAAGATTCCCCTTCAAAAACGGCAGGAGGTCAGGGACGTGGGGACCAAAAACATTTTGGAAGCCACAGATAGTTTCTTTCCATCAGATCTGCCGGGCGGCAGGGGAAGGCCAAAGCACAAGCCATTTTGTTCCTGACGGGCTATTCAGGTCTTGATTCCCAAACTCCAGATCAAGGTACAAAGTATTTTACGTCAACTGTTGTTTTATTCTCACAGATGAAATTGTGATTTGCCTGTATTACTACTGTGTGTCTAATTAGTACATTTGATGAGAAGATGAATCTGAAGGTGAACGAGATTATGGGTATAATTCCCAGCACAAACTAGGTGTTTTTACTCTATTCCAAAACTGTAGATCTCATCACTTATAAAAACCCATGATGTATACATACATACATATATATATATATATATATTCCTATTCACATAGCGAGAACCATGACTGGAAATCCGCCATGACTCTTCCTAGAAAAACCCATTCAAGAGGCAAATGAGCCAGTCCAAATTTCTCCAGCTTCATCTCCTATCATTTCCTGCCACTCACAATTAGTTCACAATTAATCTCTTATTATTTGCTAAACAAGTCTGGGCCTTTTATAAAAGCTGTTGTCTTTGTACAGAATGCCCTTGCTTTGTTTTTCTTTGTCAGACATCCTAAGTTGGTTTCTCCCAGAAGAACCTGAAACAAGGATTTGAGGGAAAGTAACTTATTTTGGAGGTGATCTCAGAAGCAGAGACAGGGAAGATAAGGAAACCAGTAATGTGAGCATTACTAAGCAGGTTGTCACTGTGGGCGACTGAGGCACAACCCCCCCGGGGGACCTCCCAGTGGGAGGATGGGGTATTTATTGATTTGCTCCCATCAGTCATGGATTGTGGGCTGCTCTGATGGGATAACTTAACTCCCTAGCCCTGCCAGCCTGCCAGTGAGAGAGAGCCCTCAGACAAGCAGCTGAGTCTGAGAACACCATTATGGTGGATGCCACAGCAGGGAGGGTAGGGCACCGACAACATTCACTCCCCGGCCTAAGTCCTCCTTCCCCTTCAAGTCTTAACCTCAGTGTGACTTTCTCTGGGTAAGCTTCCTTGACTCCGCCACTCTGACTTAGGCAGCCCTTGACTGGATTCTCATAGCAACACTCTGAGTCACGGCACTTGCCTGATCACATTGTAGCTTCCCCTCTAAATAATAAGTTCCTCTCGGGAGGGAGTCGTACCTAACTCACGTTCATATCACCAGTGTAGTCCCTGGCACGTTAAAGAAACTCAGTAGATTGATACATTCCACAAATATTTATTGAGGACTTACCATATGCCAGAAACTATTCTAGAAGCCAGGGGCTAGAGCAGTGAGCAATATATTCTACTCAGGGACCTTATAATGGACAGAGGTAGGAAAAACCCATATAACCAAATTGACATAATATGTTCAGGTGTTAGTAAATGCTAGAGAGAAAATAAGAGAGGATAAGGGGTAGAAAATGACTAGGGTGAGGAGAGGTTGCTATTTTAGCCACGCTGCTGAGGATAGGCTTTTCTGAGAAGGAAATATCTGAACAGAGATTAAAAAATTAATGGGCAGGGGCTAGGGAAAGGGAGGGATGATAAGGCAGAGCACAGAGGATCTTGAGTGCAGTCAAACTGTTCTGTATGATACCATTATGGTGGATACATGTCATTATGCACTGGTCAAACCCATAGAACATACAAAACCAAGAGTGAATTGTCATGTCAACTATGGAATTTGGGTGATGATGATGTGTCAATGCAGGTTAATCGATTTTAACAAATGTACCACTCTGTGCAGGATGTTGATAGTGGGGAGGCTCTGCGTGTCTGGGGGCAGAAGATGGATGGGAACTCTCTATACTTTCCCTCAATTTTGCTGTGAACCTAAAACTTCTCTAAAAAATGAAGTCTAAGCCACGTACAGTGACTCATGCCTGTAATCTCAGCACTTTGGGAAGCTGAAGGGAGCACATTATTTGAGACCAGGAGTTCAAGACCATCCTGGGCAACATAGCAAGACCCCATCTCTAAAAAAATTAATAAAGTCTATTTAAAAAATTAGTAATAATGAGAAAGACCTAGTCTTGTAAAGATATGGAAGAAAGACAGTTCCTGGCAGAGGAAATAGCAAGTGCAAAGACCTGCAGGTGGGAACAATCATGGCGTATTCAACAGTCAGAAAAGCTAGACTGTAGTGAAGGAGGAGGAAAAGGTCAGAAGAGCTCTGAAAGGCTGGCGAAATCCAGATCACATAGGGACTTTTGGGTGTTATAAACCATCTCAATCTAATATCCTAAAATCAACTAGAAGAAAACTCGAGACTACATTAAAAACCATTTCCCTCAATTATCCGGATATTTAAGCTCACTTTCACTTCTAAATTTACTTATTATGACAGCTGCCTCATTTTGTGTGGTACACCAGAGGGCTGCAATGTTGACTAGAGTGCTTTCCCAGCTATTCACTCACACATTTGAAATAACACCAAAGGTGCCATCCCTGAAATAGCCACAGCCATAAAAAATTAAGTCCCTTATGATGGTTGGCTTCTTGCATCAGCTCTGTTACAATTAACTTTTGGAAGTCCTTTACTATCGTATCTTCAGTTTCCTCTTCAGCAGAGTACAAGGATAGGGACTAAATGGCCTTCACAGTATTTGGCAGCCCTACAAGTCTATGAATCAAATTGTTCAAGGTGAAAATAGAAGATATGTGGCTGATTATTTTAAGTTTTTAATAGGAGCAATTTTTAAACATTCACAGACATGGAAAGAATACATAATGAAACTGCATGTAGCCATTTTCGATCATCAAAATTTATGAGCATTGTGCCATGGCTGGCTTATTTCACACATATCAGAATTTATGCAACTAAATATCCATGCTCCCCTTCAAGGTGGGCACCCTGAGAATCCATCCATGGATAGAATGATGCAACACATTCTTGTGCATATTCCAGCAGGAATGGGCTGACTTGGGAAAAACCTTATAATCAAGGCCAGAGAATAAGATAAAGTAGATGACCATTCATGTGGCCAATATTAAACATATAAAAAAAATAGGTTTTGAGCAAGGGTTTATTCACTACTGGAATACATGTTTTCATGTATTTATTCAGTAAATACAGCATACGAAGCCCAGGGATAGACACTATAAGGCAGGGGTCCCTAATCCCCTAGGCTACAGGCTGGTACTGGTCCGTGACCTGTTAGGAACTGGACCACATAACAGGTGGTGAGTGGCGGGTGAGCAAGCAAAGCTTCATCTGTATTTATAGCTGCTACCCATCCCTGACATTACCGCCTGGGCTCCACCTCCTGTCAGAACAGTGAAGGCATTAGATTCATATAGGAAAATGGACCCTACTGTGATCTGCACATGCAAGGGATCTAGGTTGTGCAATCCTTATGAGAATCTAATGCCTGATGATCTGTCACTGTCTCTCCCATCGCCCCCACATGGGACCATCTGGTTACAGGAAAATAAGCTCAGGGCTCCCACTGATTCTACATTATGGTGAGTTGTATCATTATTTCATTATATATTAAAATGTAATAATAATAGAAATAAAGTGCAAAATAAATGTGCTTGAATCATCCTGAAACCATCCCCCCAACAGCCCCTCATCTATGGAAAAATTGTCTTCCATGAAATTGGTCCCTGGAGCTAAAAAGTTTGGGGACTGCTGCTATAAGGGATACAAAAATTGAAGGACACACAGTTCTTTCCTCAAGGAACTCATAGCCCCGTAGATTCAGAATTTGCAGGTCTATGCTGGCTCTGATGCCCACATCCCAGGATGCTTGATCCCACAGCAGTCTCATCATCACACCTGGGTATTCTGACTTGCCGTTGCCTCCCTTTCCAAGGCAGCCTTTGTTCTAGTTCACAGTCACTTCTGTCTCCATCTTGGTGAGCAACATGTTTAACATGTTTTCCTTCTGTAGCACTGGGGACAGGGTGATCTGCTTTTCCTCAGACTCTACACACAGAAAAGGTTGAGCCTCCCGCGCACTTGACCCTCCCTTGATGGACATCACCTGCCATGGCCCTTTGGGACGACGGGAGGTTCTGCTCTGAGTGATTTCTCCTGCAGTGTCTGGTGCCCCCTGGACCAATCGTTCCCACAATTCCCAGGGAGTGAATGTGCAACTCTTTAACTGATTGACTTACCACCAGCCAATTAGAGCTTAAACTGTCTAATTAAGCCAGAGATGGAGCCATCAACTCACTGAATTCTGAGGCCTATTAACTTCACCTAAACAATAGAATGAGGTCAGGTGTGTATTATCATTGGGAATAACTAGTAAAACCAGCGTAAAGCACTTTGCAAATATAAAACACTCTGGGAATGTTGGTAAGAATAAACAAAAGATAGGTCTAGACTAAAAAAAAAGTCAAAACCTGTGCAAAATTCATATACAACCTCTTTTTAAATAGCCTCTCCTCAAATGCATAAACTTCTGAATTCACTATTTGTCTAAACAGCAGAGTAAAATATGCATCATTACATAGGACTCTACCATAAATGGTCTCCATTCTTATTTATTTTTCATAATTACCTTTGACCAGTGTTGTTTACTACGTTATGACTATCAAGACAGCTCTATTACACTGGTTTAGCCACAATTCACAATTCATATGTGCTTCTTTCTCAAATCTTATATCAATATCATAATTACTCCCCATTTTTCTCTTTTAAGACAATAAAACTGCTCACTTCAGAAACAGGGAAATCATCATTCTCTTGGAGGGTGAATAAGAAGTACTTACTGACTTGCTTTAAAATCAGGCAGCTCATTGTTCGTGTCCTTTGTAGGGACATGGATGAAGCTGGAAACTATTCTGAGCAAACTATCTCCAAGACAGAAAACCAAACATCCCATGTTCTCACTCATAGGTGGGAATTGAACAATGAGAACACTTGAACACAGGGTGGGGAACATCACACACTGGGGCCTGTCGTGGGGTGGGGGGAGGGGGGGAGGGAGAGCATTAGGAGATATACCTAATGTAAATGACGAGTTAACGGGTGCAGCACACCAACATGGCACATGTATGCATATGTAACAAACCTGCATGTTGTGCACATGTACCCTAGAACTTAAAGTATAATAAAAAAAAACAGACAGCTCATTTATGAAAAGATTAAAATTGTCCGCTCAAAACACCTTTTTTCACCGTAAAACTAGCAACTGCAAAGAAAGACAATATACACAGAGAGATTTTTGAACCTGATTTATTTAGCCAAGAACAAATGTTTTTGTAAACATCACCACACAGAGAGAACCCATTCTAGTCTGTTCCTAAAGCTACAGCTGCGTTGGACCCTGAGATCATATTTAGCAAAGAGACATTTTTAAGAAAGTCAGCATGAGAGAGAGAAAAAAATCTTCTCAGGTATGTGTATGTTATTAATCATAATTAAGGCAGGTTTGACAGCTTCCTGGCAATAGAGATGATAAGTTCCTTTTCTCTGACATCAAAATCCTAAAGGAATACTAGCTATTTCATTATCAACTTCACTGGTCTTTACACCTATGATATCCACTTCGAGAATATGAGGTCTTAGAGAAACCTGAGCTCTGACAATTATTGTTTGCCCACCACTGACACCGGGTAGGGTATAACACAAGCTGGGCTCTTACTGAGATCTTACTTTAGTACAGAGATCCACGCTGGGGTTAAAATATGAGTTTCAGGAAAACACATGGCCTGCTCCATAATGCATTTCCACTGAAGGGTCATCCTTCAGAGTTGTTGGTTTTTGTCTGTGCAGATGGCTCTGCACTTTTGATTTCCCATTAAATTGGAAAGGGAGCACTTGGTCCCCACTGCAATGGCATCCTGACAAGATATTGAGAAATGGGAGATGGATCTATTTCACGAGTTAGATTCATTTTCATAAAACCAAACAAGAGAATTGCCTCCATTTAATCACACCCAATTTCATTAACGTGCTTTCTAAAATACCTCCACTTTGGAAAGATTCTTACGATGGCTACATCTTAAAGGAAGCATCACCAGGATATCAGTTTGGTGCCTTTGCAGGTGATCTCAAGGAATTTATTCTAACCATCTACTGACCATAAACTCCAGCCGAGTTTCTCGGGCCCAGCAGGGAAATGTGGCCTGTAGTGTGGAAATCCTCAGCTCGCCTTCTACTTCTTTCACAGAAAACATGAGCTTAACAGACCCTTACCTATGTTGGCACCTACATAATGGTGTAGGTTGAAATTTGGATGATCCTCAAGCATCCCATGTTCCTCTTTGTGCCTGTCTTTACGTCTTTCGGCACTGAAACGTTTGTGCTTCCCAGGACTTACTCCAGGGAAGGAAGTGTTCACTAGGAGCTCTACTCTTCGGTAATCTATAGATAGTTCCTCATGAAGGGAAGTAGCAGAAAAGGTTTCACTAATTTGTTAGAAAACTATTTTATTGAAAAGAACAAAGAAGAGTCCTTCCCACACATTGATTAGGAAAAAGAGAAGCATGTTGGGGGGAGTTTTTCCAATGGCTTTTAACTCAAGATTATGTTTAAAACCAAAAACCAGAACAAAACAAAACTTAGCAAGAATAGTGAGAACCAAAAGCAAGGAAAACATGAACTAGTATTACCATGAAAAAAATACTGCGAAGATATTCTTCATCCACATCATAACCAAAACCTAGATTTAAAATCAGGGAAACAGCCTGGACAAGATAGCAAGACCCCACCTCAACAAAAAATAATTGCTTAAAAATTAGCTAGGTGATATACCTAATGTTAAATGACAAGTTAATGGGTGCAGCACACCAACATGGCACATGTATACATATGTAACAAACCTGCACGTTGTGCACATGTACCCTAAAACTTAAAGTATAATAATAAAAAAAAATTAGCTAGGTGTGGTGGTATGCACCTGTAGTCCCAGCTACTTAAAAGCCTGAGGCAGGAGGACTGCTTGAGCCTGAGAGTTCAAGATTACAGTGAACCATGATTGTACCTCTGTACTCCAGCCTGATGACAGAGCAAAATCCTGTCTCTAAAAAAATAAATTTTTAAAAAGTAAAGTCAGGGAAAAAGTAGGATGAAAAGCCAAACGATTGTTGTCTCAGAAGGAAGAACCCAGCACCGTCAAATCTCAACCATGATAGAAACAGTTGTCTCCACCAGCAAAACCATCTAGAGGAGCCAACACATGCTGGGAGGGGTGGGGGTAGGCTAAAGACAAATAATTTCTATTATGTCATGAATAGAAAGAAAATACATTTCTAAATCTTAATTACTCAATTTTCAGCTTATTTTGCCCATATCAATCTAGAAGTGCAATCTGTGATGTTCTGGAGTTAGAAGAGACCTCAAGGGAAAACAAACAAGTTAACGTCCCTCGTCATGACAGGACTGCCCCCCCCCACCCCCAAATCAGTTACTTATTAATGAAGGGTGTCTGCCTCTGCTAACTTAACCTCATGGCTATGATATTAAGTTAACATCATAACATACCTTTAAATATGGTCTTTAAGATGTTAAAATCACCACGTCTGCTGACTAGGCGTTTTATTGTCTATTCTTGGCTATATCTCATCTTAGTGAGATCCCATGGGATTTAGCAATTAGTATGGATACAGCAGTTTGATAATCAAAAGTAATTAATGGCATCGAAACACAGTCTTGCCTGTTTCTGAGGACTTGTTACACGTGTTTGGGTCTTTCTTTTTAAATAAGCCACTTGATTCCTGTTAGAATAAATGCCAACAGATAGCAAACACTGTAGTTTAATATACTGACATGTTTGAAGCGACACTGAAAGGCTGACTCAATGTGCCAGTTGGCGATAAGTTCTTAAGTCACTTATAATTCATGATTCTAAACACAAAAGAAACACCAGTGTTGCTCTTCGCAATGATGTATACCATATATAGTACAGGCATTTACAATCTTCCTTTTAAAAAAAAAGTAGAATTATAAAATAGAGACTGTCAACTGTCAAATGGAAATTTAAGAAAAATTATGGTTATTTCTTTCAGCACTGATTTAAATATTGCTGAGGAAAGTAAAAGGAGAGAGATACTTTATTGTAAGTGTTCAGTTTGCCATGAATCAAATGAAAAAAATTCCAAAATTTCTCACAGTAAAAGAGAAGCGTATGTGGGTTCAGTTGAAACAGACAAATGAAATTCTCATCCGAGAACTTGGTATTCCTTTTAACAAGCCACCACCCATCTTGTCACTGATGAAGTTGAATCTGTTTTTATATCAATAGGGTACAAGGAGTGAAGGTTTGGAAAGGGGAGCAGGTTTCCAAAGAGTCAAGCCTCCCTCTTCCCAGGAGAACTGAATTTTCCATTGATTTTCTTTTAAAATGTCCTCAGTTTCAGACAGACTGAAGCCCAACACACATGAGCCCTTTCAGTAGTCCACATCTGTAACTCATTTCCATTTCTTAAAAAATTGATGATGTTTGATTTAATGCCAAAATCTCCCCAAGCACAAGGGACGCTAGCTTCAGGCAGCTTGGTATCATTATTTATAAAGCTAACACTTGAACCTTTACTGGGAACCCAAAGTGAGAAGACCGAGGTGGCTGGCAGCTGCAGAAATAAGAAGCTCTGTGGAGGCTCTTCTGGAAGACTCCATGCTTGGCATTTCTCTTTTTAGTATCACTGAAGGTTGAGACAAACATCAAGTGTGGGCAATTTGAACAAACCTTTAATATCATCTGCTAATCTTCAAGAGCAAATGGAGTAAATGTAAAGTGTCCTGTCAAGGATTAAAGTCTCTTTGGTGTAGGATTATGCAAATATGCTAACTTGAAACCATACTTATTTTTTAAGGGCATTTTATTTTAATCATATGTGCGACCTGTTCTGTGCTCAAACAATATTTGAGAATAATTTCCGAAACTTTAAACAACTAAGAGAGAGTAACATTGAAAGGCAAAGGGACTCAGATGCCCTTTCTCCAATCTAGGGAAGGGGAAACATAGCAGATAACTTGCTCATCTCTTACAGGCAACTAGATAAATGTGCACCTTCTAGCTCACCCACATTACTTTCTACCAGTAACAATATACTACATTTTGTTTAGGCTGAAGACAATATACATAAGAAATATGGCATTTGTAGGCAAACTCATAACCTCATAACTATACCTCCCTTATAGCTGCAATCATATAAAATGAGCATTTATTAAGTTTCTGAGAAATCTCAAAGGTTATTTTTATTATGAAATATCTAGATAGAAAAATCATTTAACAATCACACATGTAACTAACCATTTATTTTTGTCATAGCTTAACATTTTGCTTCAGATAGCTTAACATTTGTTTCAGATCTTTTTCTTAAGGAAGTGAGTCATTACAGATACAGTTGAGGCCCCTCAAGCATCCCCACCTAATTCAATGCCCATTTCCCCTGCCAAAAAGAAAAATTGAAAATCAGCTCTGGTCAAGACAGCTGTGTTGTATAGATCACACTGGCCCCTGGAGTTGTGCCCCCAGCACCTCAATGCTGGGATTGCATCTTTTTTAGTTTTCCTCATTTTTTTTTCCATCACAGGTTCATTTCCATTCAAGCAAGGAGATGGGAAACAAATTCTAGAAATGCCTAAACTTTCCTAAAGTGAAGTCATATTCTTAACAGAGGCCAGTCTTTGATAAAACCAGAAGTTAGCTTTTGAAAGGAGGGACTCTAGGTAAAACTGTCCACAAAAAAGGTCTCTTCCTTTTCTGCTTTCTTCACTCTATTTTTTATTTTATTTCGAGGCAAGGTCTCACTCTGTCACCCAGGCTGAAATGCAGTGGCATGATTACCGCTCACTGCAGTCTCAACCTTGTGGGCACAAGCAATCCTCCCACCTCAGGCCCCTGGAGTAGCTGGCACTACAGGTGTGCACCTCCATGCCCAGCTAATTTTTGTATTTTTCGTAAAGACGGGGTTTCCCCATGTTGCCCAGGCTGGTCTCAAACTCCTGAGTTCAAGCAATCCTCCCACCTGGGCCTCCCAAAGTGCTGCGATTACAGGCATGCGCCACCATGCCCAGCCAGAATTTCATTTTTTGATTAAAAAATATTTCCATATTTTCATCCTTACCATTGATATAAAGTTCTCTACAACACACATTTAATAAGTATTATTTTTGCAATATTTGCCTCAAATTGTTGTGTTTAAGAAAATCAGATGTTACTAATAGAGCTAGTAGAGATAAGGTCACAACAGATTCTTTCTAAAGTGGTTGCACCATATGCTCTATTAGCAGCTTGGAAGAGGACCTAGTACTTCATATTGTAATGCATAATAATGGTTGATCCCCTCCCTTGCATAACACATTAGGGAATCTTTAATATTTCAAACCAAAGGAAGTAAGTTTTAAGCATCAGCAATAGGAAGATGTGGAAAGTTTAGGCAAGGGGTCTTTCAGTATTTCACATCGTGTTGTTACTTTTAGCACACTCCCATCACCTCTCTTGTTCTCCTACTCTGCACCCCATACTTTAACCAGAGTGCTCTTGAAAACCGAATCTGATCATGCCACTCCCAACTTACAACTCTTGGGTGCCTTCCCATGGTGTTAAGGAGAAACTCTAAGCCCCTTTCCCACCACAGGCTACCTGAAGAGGCCCTGTTCCCTCTCCTCTTCCTGTCTGCATTTGCCACTCTGACCTCCTTTCCATTTCTTAAAGGTGCCAAGCTCTTTCCCACCTCAGAGTCTTTGTATGTTTTCTTTGCCTGAAACACTCTTTTCCCTTCTCTGTGGTTGGCCAATTCTAAGCCATTTTTCACATCTCAGCTGACAAGTGCCTTTAATAACAAAAAATTTCCCTGGCTTCTCGTATATCTAAATCAGGACTCCCTTATGTAATCTTATTATATCTGTTGTTTTTTAAATTATAATTTACAAATGCATATTTATTTGTATGAGTATTTGTTTAATGCCCGTTTCTCTTGTTAGACTATAAACTTCATAAGGCTAAGCATCATGATCCTTTTTCACTTCTAAATTTACCAGCATAGTGCCTCTTATAGAATCAATCATTATTGCTTGACTAAATGATTGAAAATACCCTGCTCCAGACCTCAATATTTAAAGCTTCCTTTCCCAAACTTGCACAATTGCCCCAAGCCTTCCCTCTTCTTCTCTAACTTAATCTCCACTCCAATCTCTGCCCCCCTCCTTTTCCCTTTCCACACACGTTTGCATGTCTCCACCCACTTGGAAAAAGGAACTAAGGGCTGGTAACAAAAAGTATGCCTTATGATGATTACATGCATTCTAGTCTATTTCTATTACATACTGCAACATAAAATGTCATTATATGGTATACATGCAATGAAAGGTTTATTTCAAATTTTAGAAGTATGTCTTTAAAGACATCATGAGAACACCTCCATGGATTCAAGATGATTTTGGTAAGCACGAATGGTTAAATTAATAAGCCAAATAGCTACTTTGCAAGCATGGACTCAACCAAGAATTCTAAACTATAAGCTGGAAGACAATGTCACCCCATGAAGCAGCTATCAGGTTTTTAAAAGTGGTTTTGAACAGAATTGCAAGTATTATTAACTGTAACAGAATAGTTGTGTTCCCCCAGGTAGTTCTGAAAAATACTGCACATCATCTTGTCACTTAATATTCAGAGACAAATTTGGAGGTTCAAATTTGTATTTTTATCGTGTACATAAACATTTTTCCAGTCACACTAACAAGGAGGGGGAGGAGGAAGACGAGGAGGAGGGGGAGGAGGAAGACGAGGAGGAAGGGGAGGAGGAGAAGGCAACCAAAAAAGGTGGATCATCATGAAATTAAAGTCCCATGCTGAAAACTAAGTACTCTGAAGAGCACTGGTTTTTTTAACTGATAAATGTTCTTACATACATTTTTCAACCTTCTTTATTCACCATTACACGATTTCATCCAATGATTCCATGTTTCTTTTCCTTTAAGAACTCCGGGTATAACTGATGTAATTTTAGAGTTCATGCCTCTCTCCCTTCAAAACAGACTAGCAATGACTAGCAATACTCTAAAGGTTGAAATAATTGTGCCAAGAAGAGGACACAGCAGAGGCAAATTGTCCCCATTCCAAAAGCAGCTAAAGCTATAAACAGAAAACAGTGTTGAATCCAAAATCCAAGAATTTGACCTGGGGATGTTGCTAGCTGTGTTCTTCTGGGACTTTTTTATTTTGTTGCTCAGCAACCACAATCCCCATTCTTTGTTCAGACAGATGCTCCAGACCTCCAGATCCAGAGATGAGCAGGCTTGTAATTTCCTTCTTGAACTTACTTTCAAACTAGTGATTCAAGGTAGAAGGGAGAGAGGCATAAATAAAGAATCTTCCAATGAAATCTTTAAGACATTCATTTATTTACTCAACAAGCATTTACTGAGCTCCTATCATGTACTTAGGAATTGTGGCCACAAGGGATATGATGGTGAACAAGATTTCCCTTCTTCATGAAGCCTGTCTTGGGATGGGAAGCACCATGCATGAAACAATTACACAAATGAACATCAACTATTCATTGTGGTGAGTTCGTGGAAGGAAAAGTATAGGCTCCTGTTCATAATTATAAAAGAGGGAGCACGCTTTGTCTGGATTTTGAAGCTGATTATTTTTTTTTTCTCCAAGCTAATTTTGCATATTTATTTAGGAAGACTTTCAAAGATGGGCAAGGTTTAAAAATTTGTTTATTTAAACTTTTAGTATTTTAAGTTCAGGGTATATGTGCAGGTTTGTTACACAGGTAAATGTGTGTCTTGGAGGTTTGTTGTACAGATTATTTCATCACCCAGGCATTAAGCCTAGTACCCATTAGTTATTTTTCCTGATCCTCTCCTTGCCACCCTTGAGCTGAACTATTAATAAAAGAGAAATGAATAGGAATAAAGGGAAGGAAGGAGGGAACCCTCCTGGCACAGGGAGTGGCAAGCACAAAGGACTGGAAGTAAGACAGCACACAGGGCGGCACACCTGCTGCATAAAGGGAAGGTGGCAGAAACTCAGCTGAGAGGTAGGCCAGGGCCCAGTCACCAAGGGCCTTTTAGGCCACTGTAAAGATTGGGGTCTTTGTCTAAAGAGAAACTTGAAGTCATTGAAAGGATGTCACTAGTGACATTCATAATCCAACTGAGTCTTCAGATCACTCTGACTGCCACGTTGACATGTATTAAAGGAGGTAAGGACAGCAGCAGGAAGCCCAGTGGCAACACGATTTGATGTGTAATTTTTAAGATCATTGGCTATCATATGGAGGAGGAGTTGGAGGGAAGCCATAGTGTACGTGGGGACATGTATGTGGATCACTTGAGGCTGGAGGGCAGTGGCACAATCTTGGCTCACTTCAACCTCCATCTTCGGAGTTCAATCAACTCTCATGCCCCAGGTTCCTAAGTAGCTGGGATTACAGGCAGGCATCAGCATGCCTGGCTACTTTTTTTGTACTTTTAGTAGCGATGGGGTTTCACCATATTGACCAGGCTGGTCTCGAACTCCTGGCCTTAAGTGATCTGGCCACCTCAGCCTACCAAAGTGCTGGGATTGCAGGCGTGAGTCACTGTACCCCACCATCAACAACACATTTGAGGCCCCACCTTCACCAAGTTACCACACTTCTCAGCCTGCCTCTTTATGGCTAAACTCAGCCTTCTTCTCGGTTTACCTTTCCTATTCTTATTTTCTCTTTTAAAATTTTTTTTGTTTTATTGAGTGGATATATGTAACTTTGAACACATTGCTATTTCTCATTTTATAAGATTCTATAAGAAATTATTTTTAAAAATTATTCATTATATAGTAACTTATTCTCTTGTTTAAAATATGATACACATTCATTGCAGAAACAAGAAGAAAATAAGAATAATCTAGAATCCCACCCTGGGGAGATTGCATTAGTTAACATCTTGGTGTATAGTCTTCCCATCTTATTTCTATGCTTATCTATATACCTATATATATCATCTTCCAGTTTTTCCATAGAAACGAATGTGTGTATGTGTTTGTGTGTATGCATTTGTATAAGTCTCTTAGGTTCATTTTGGAATGAGAGAAATTGATATCAAGAGAAAATAATAAATAGAGCGATGGATAGACCAAAATTTTCTCTACATTTTGAGCCCTAGATGATTTAAATCCTAGGCTGGTTTTTTGACATTATCAAAATTGTTTCTTCCCAACTACTTCTGTCAATAAATAATACTCCTGCTTGCTCAATCAGAAACAATTGCTTGGCCAAGTGATGAATGATGACTTAGAGGTTATGTGATTCCAGTCTTTCCATCTTGAGTCCTAAGAGTATTCAGGTTGATGGAAGACTGACCACAGGTAAAAAGTAAACACTCCCTATGGTCATGTCACATAGTCCCAGACCATACAGCACATTATATTTTAAGTTGTTTATATAGCAAAACTAGATTGGCCAGTGGAAATGACAAATCTCTTAGCTTTCTTGCTTCTAGGGCCAATCTATGAAAAGGCAGAAATTTGCTCCCAAGTTTTATCAAGACTAGTTTTGTTTTGTTTTGTTTTTAATTGCAAACCAACCTGAATCCAGTTCCCAAAAGGGAGGAATAATCAAGAACTACAGCCATCTGTACTAGCTGTCTTAGGAAAGCTGTAGCAGTAACACCTAGAGTAGGCACCACTTGGAACTCATGCAGTAGAAAACTGTGAGCAATGTGCACTTTAATCAGATGTTCAACCTTGCCCAGCTCTCTCCTCTGATAATCAGTTGGGACTGTCCTGAAATGCAAATACCTAATAGCATAGTCTACATGGTTTCATCTGGGTCACACCTATGTGGCCATTTTGTACTGAAACCCATAGAAATTTGTGGCAGCTATATCATACCCCAACCCCAAACCAGAAGAGAATATTTAAGCGTTTAAACAAGTCTGAACTATATTGACCAGGAGGGACAAACTGTTCACTGCAGGACTTTCCCACCTGAATTCTTCCTCCTTCTCTTCCTCTCATCCTCCCTTCCATCCTGCCTTTATGTATCAAATAAATAGGCTCAATACTTTGAATGTTTTCTATTGAGATGAATACAGTTTTTAAAATTAATTCAGCAGCACATTTGTTTATATGTAAAAATCTTTACATTCTAGACTTACCACAAAATCCCCTTCCAGATGTCTATCCCTAATTAGTCAGGATGTGTTTCAAAAAGGTAACTTTATTGGAATATTAATTCAGTTCAATTTTAAAACTTTTATTGAGCATGAAACATATGCCAGACACTATTCCAGGCGCTGGTGACCTCAAAAAAGAGACATAAACCCATCCTCATGAATTGTCCAGTTTAGTAGGTACCTCATAAACCCTGAGTAAAATATCCTAACTTTAAAAAGACGATATACTTTGATTAACATTTTGAATGTTTACTTAGATTTTAATACATAAGTCCAATGGGTTCTCCTCTTTAAACTTCATCTTCTTTCTGATTACCCTGAAATGCCTGTTGCTCTCTAATGACGAGTTAATAGAATTCCTACTTTCAGGAATATCTGTATAGTTCATACACTCCTTTTCTACACACACACACACACACACACACACACACAGAGAGAGAGAGAGAGAGAGAGAGAGAACATGTTCCTTTAAAGGGACTAATATGTTTAAGAAATTAGATGGTATGATAGGGCATTTCAGGAGATAACTAGAAAGCTAATTTTTAAAATAACATATCAAACAGAAATTGCAAAACCAAAAACATAATAACTGAAATTAAAAATTCAATGAATTAAGAGCAGATTAGACATAGCTAAAGAGAATATTAGAACTAGAAACTTGTCTTTAAAAATATATACCCCATCTAAAGTACAGATTAACAAACAAAGATGGAAAATACAAAAAAAAAAAACTATGTGTAAGAATTTTGTGGATAGAAGTGTAGAACTGTTAAAAGACAGAAAATAAAACCTAAATGAGTAAAAAGCTGTGTAATGATTTGTATATATGATGTATAATGATTATGGAGGGAAAAGTCAATATCATAAATATGTCACTTATCACTCAAGTTTATCTCTAAATACAGTAAAATGTCAAAGCTCCCAATAGGGACATGGGTGGGTGTGTAATTTGACAAGCTGTCTCTAAAATCCATATGGAAGTAAAAGACTATGAAATAGCTGAAACAGTTTTAAAGAATAAGGACAAGCGGAACTCAGATTACCAGCTTGAAAGACTTTTATTATAAATTAAGGCTTTAAAGACTTAATATAAGTTAAGACTTCAAAGACTTATAAATCCACAGGAATTAAAAAGCATGCTATGGCTCAGGAATAAAGAGATCAGCAAAACAGAATAGCTAGCCAGAAATTGAGTACACCCTCCACCTCCCCATCCAAGTACATGGGAGCTTGGAGGCATAACCAGGCAATGAGGGAAAGGAAGTCATCAAATAGTATGAGGACAACCAGCTGTCTACATGGAAAAAGTAGTATTTATTTATACCGTAATTTAATAGTGTATATAAAATTAATTTTAAGAACATTAAAGACTAAATGTGAAAAAATAAAATTTTAAAACATTTAGTAAAAACACATAAGACAGAATATTTTTAGGACCTAATGGTATAGAAAGAATTTTCAAAGACACAAAATAACTAATTATATTGGAAGAGATTAATAAATTCTAGTACATTAAACTTAAATCTTTTAACAAAAAATCACAAACAAAATTTAAAGGGAAAACCGCAAACCAGAAGAAAAATCTTGCAATGCATAGAACCGATTAAGAAATACCCAGAATATATAAAGAACTTCTACAAATCAACAAGAAAAAGACAAACAATGTAAAAGAAAAATAAGCCAAGTCTATGAACAAGTAATTCACAAAAGAGAAACCTCAAACAGCCAAAAACATAGGAAAAGATGTTCAACTTCAGTAAAAATGAGGGAAATGCAAATTAAAACAACAATGAGATATCATTTCATACCATCAGAATGTCAAAAACTCTAAAAGCCTGACAATACAAATGTAGAGAATGACACAAGATGACAGGAACTCTCATTCATTGTGAGGAGAAGCATAAAGATGTACAATTCTGGAGAGTAATTTGTCAACATCTAATAAAGTTTAATATGTGCATGTTTTATAAACCAAAGATGTCATTCCTTGGTAAATAAGGAAACAAACCCTCACACAGGTTTATTATGTTCCAAGCCCTGTTCTAAATGTTTTATATATTAACTCATTTAATCCTTACAACAATTCCATGAGCAAGGTACTCACAGCACAGAGAGGTTAAGTGATTTAAGGTCACATAACTAGTTAATGGCACAGCTAACAAGGAAACCCAGCAAACTGACGCCAGAATTCATATTCTTAATTCTTATAATATGCGACCTCTCTAGACGTCTTCTTACATATGTGCAAAAGGGGACATGTACTAAGATATTTACTCAGTAAATTATTTGTAGTGGTAAAACACTGGAAATGACCTAAAGGCCATCAAGAGGAAAATGAAAATGAAATGTGGTATCTTCATTAAATGAAATAGTGCATAATATTAAAATGAATAAACTAGACTTAACCTGTATCAATAATGATGAATCTGAAAAGCTCAATGTTGGGAAATAAAAGAAAGTTGCAGAAACATAAGTACAGTATCTAGAATTTGTCAACATCCTATTGGAGCCAGAATTGCTCTCATCTAATCAAACATAAGCTTCAGGCCCCTTTCAAGCCCCTGGGAGGGGCTCTGGCAACATGTTCACATGGCCGTATGTTTTGTAATTTTTATAAGTAAAATATTTTAGCCACACTTGGTTAAGACAATTGTCGCTTCTCACACCAACTTCAACAATTTCCTGTCCCTTCATATCATGTAGCATTGGAGTGACCAGGGGCACTTTTTGGATCTGATTGAGGAGAAGTTAATTATGGACACATTTAGTTTAGGTTTTATGGGACACATCCATGTGCTTTATAACCCATCTAATGCAAGAATTGCCCCCAGAAATATTCCTGCTACCTATCAAAGGTGCGTTCCCTAAGGCGTGATCAAGACATAATTGTGTTCTACAGCACCAAGAACCGGAAGTGTGGAGATGATCCAAAAGAGGCCATATTTGAAATGGATGGAATCAGAAGCTGGTCTTTGAAAAACTCAGTCATCAGACATGTAAAATTTCAAATGGGAGATTCGGTTTTCACTGATGCCAATTGAAAACAAAGCTCTCTTTTTAGGAATGGACTCATAATATAGCATATACAATTATAAACACACTGCTTTTATTTTGTTTTGGGGAAAACTTTCCAAAATAGAATTTCTCATTATTCCTATGTTTGTAGGGCAAAAACTCGTAGCAGCACTACAAAACAAATGAGTATTTCTGTGTACAGACTCATCCTTTACAAATTTCTACTATTAAGAACAACAACGACAAAAAAGCCTGATGCTGCATTGTACACCTATAATCCCAGCTACTCAGGAGGCTGAGGCAGGAGGAATGCTTGAGCTCAGGAGTTTGAGGTCAGCTTGGGCAACATAGTAAGACCACATTTCAAAAATAAAATAAAAGAATATGAACGTTCGATCAACAATGCTAAAGGGAAAAAATTATCTTTGTATTCATATTGTTGTTACTTAGGTAATGATATTTGTCTAAACATTCAGGAAACAATATCTATTTAGAAAAAAAATTAAGAAAACTATACAGAAAATATTAAATCATTTCACATAAAGTATGCAGCCAAAAACCTGGAGAAAAAATTTAACAGGGGTATGTCAAATAGTTAATTAACACAAATACTATTATTTTTCCAAATTTTTGTGATATTTGTCAGTTTTTACAATTTGTAATTTATTTTTCTTATTATTTCTCATATTTTTCACCTTAAAATATTGCCAAAATTTTGTAAGTTTCTGTGTGTAAAACTGAAATCTGCCCAAATCACAATATATTATTTCCTTTTAACTTATAAACGGTAAAAGGTGAAAACACACGCGGGAAGAACATGCAGCAACTTTGGGATCCTGTTTACCTTAGGACTGGAAAGCGGGGCCTGAGTGATGGGCACTGGCACCCCCCACTGTGTTCAGTGCATTTTACATACTCCGTAATTGCAATCCCTGAAATCTGGTGTGGATAAGCATCAAGCTAAATCTGAGATATGGTCTCATTCATGGAATTGTTTTGTTAAGTGACTAGGTGGGATGAGATTTGCCTCATTCTATAAAACTGGATATCTGACCTCTATTTTTACAAAATAGATGCAGTTAAATTAAGTGAAATCATAGTAAGAGAGATTTGTACACATTATAAAAGTGTATAATGTTAGATAGTTTGCAAAATGGCAATCTATATTATATGCAAGTATTACTAATGTCAATATTATCTGACATTTACTGATTGCTCAATATATGTCAGGTACAGTTCTATGTGCCTTATCTATGTTTATCTCATTTAATAATCCCAATAAGACTGAGACAGCTATTACTATTTTATATATCAGATCAAATATGTAACTTCTGATGGAAATGAAAAGTATATTTGATAAACTACACAATGTTTACCTATATTAATTAATACCTATAAAATATTTAAATAGTTAGACAGTTGCCTTTCTCAATTCACTCAAAAGCTATTAGTCTAGGTATATGATGTAATGTTAAGAGTTGGGGAATGGTCAGTCAAGAATGCTACAAACAATTATTGAATCCATTTTTAGTTTTTCAGTAGTTATTGAATGATACATATCTAATACATGTCATGAAAGATCTCAGTTTGAATTTTGAGGAATAATATGAAGTAATGTATATAGGCTTTCAGTTTCTCACTCACATTTTAATTCAGCTTCCACACTATTTCTTCTAAAATCAAAACTCAGCAAATTCAGATTACTCTCCCATCAAACTCAGAAATTCTGTTTTGGTATTTATCTGTGGACTCTTAAAATGCCACAACTTATAACAGGAATTTGCAGCATTATGGAATCAAGAGTTCCATTAAATATCACGCATTCAACAACTATATTTGCATAAAGTAGAACCCATGTACCGCAAACGGGATGGGAGAGGGGAAAAATCCCCTGCCCTCGCCGAGTTCGCAGATCCCATCTGAACCAATCAATAACATTATCAATTGTAGACAGAGGCACCTACAGAGAATTCTAAAATAAAACCACATGTGCAGATACATAGATGGGGGCCTGAGGACACAAAAACTGAAAGGAAAAAAGAAACCCAGCAGACCAGATTCTTCGTAAACCTCACTGCTTCACTCCTAAATGGATCCAAAGTCCAACAGCTTCATTACAATGGCCTGACTCAGGAGCAGGAGCTTTGAAATATCGCATCATGGTGGCAAACGGAGGGGTGAAGGGGATCTTTGGTGAAGCTAATGAAAAAAAAAAAAAAGTTGGACAGAACATTTCCTGCTGGAACGTGTTGAGAGTGTGTGGTGTTTCAACCATGGGCTCCTGATGATGGAACTTTAGTTGCTGAACATGAAGATAATTTCAGCACCCTACAATTATGTGCCTAATTAAAATTAAGAAATTAGAACACAGTTAAAAGGAATAATATTTTGCTCACAGCTAATTTCATTAAAGTATTAATGAACAGGACTCTTTTTATGGCCAGAGGGCAACCACTTTCTACAGAGTACTTCCATGCTAGCTAATTTATTCATGCATGAAAAACAATCCAATGAGAAATGAGGGAGCTGAGAACTGCTGGTCCTAATTAAAATATTTAAAACACCATGTCTATTTTCTTCCATCTAGCCAAATACCTAAGCCTGAGCCAGCATGGTGCCAATTAACATGGAAAAAGCAAATACAAACACCCACGGTTTCTGATTAAAGTGCACATTATTGTACCATGCAATATATTGTTCGGCACATATATGTAAATGTTTAATTAACCCATGTCTAAATCTCAGCAACATTCAGAAATCGATACTTTAATCCCTAAACAAGTGGCAATCTGTGTAGGGAGACGCTGACTTATTTATCACCGTGTTTTATTCAAACCTCATTTGTAGCAGTCGTGTGCTGGCCATGCTAAAGCGTTTCTTAAGGGAAACGGGAGGGAGGAGATTCTTTGCTTGGCAGACTTCTTTTCAGATGGCAGCGAGATTGTTAGTCGCCAAAGACTCGTGAAAGGAACTAGGCTAGCCTCAGGTGATATGAAATTTTTCATTAATAATGCAGGGGGAAGTCTGGATCTAAACCCATTTGTCAGCCTGGATAGCAACAACAATAACAACACCTGCACATGTACACGCACACGCACACGCGCGCACACACACACACACACCCACCCCTCTTCTCTTTGTTAACTAAAGACCTATCTGTTGGAACAAACTCCAAGACATCCCTACCACGGCAGCATGTTGGAGAAAAATGTCTAAAACCCAGAAGTCGAAGATTTGAAAATCTTACAAGTACCCATCAGAATTTTATCATTATGTTAAAAGCAACCATAAAAGGAGAGTTAACATTTTAGCAGCTGCCAGAGTTAACAAGCACTTTCAGTTCAGTTATTTCTACTTCACAATCCTGGGAGGCAGGCTGAGCAAGGGACACCAAAGCTGAGGGCAGTAAAACGATTTGGGGAAGCCACACACAGCACACGCCAGAGCCAGAACTTGAACCCGCATCTGTGAATTCTATAATCATTCCACTCCACACCACATTGATTAAAACGGCTCTTAATTTTTTATGTAGAAGAGACCAAATCTTCAGAAACCCAATTACTACCTATTTAGTTATGAAAAGTCATTTATCCTTTGCTTTTTAGCATTTCTTAGGAGGTAGGGAAGGTGAGGATATATTAAACACAGTTTCTTCTTTCTGAGGTTTCTCATTGTTTTTAGCAACTAAAACCATGGGATTTTAGACTAAGATCTTAGATATCATTTGCCCAGAGCATTTCAAACTGTTTGTGGCAGCAGAATCCCTTTTTTTCCCCAAATACCATCTTTGTATATACAACCAATATATTGACACAGATAAAAGCAGACCCTTCTGATGGAGGGGGCTGAGGCACTGCCACAGAACCCGTTTTCTGAAAACCACTGTGTTCATCAAAGTGTTTATTAAACAGCTGGAGGAACTGAGGTCCAGAGAGGTGAGGACACAAGGGAAGTACTCATGCAAGATAATAGCAGACCTGGAATACACCTACAGTAATCTTGACCCTCTGCCCCATGCTCTTTCCACAGCATCATGGTCCCTAATGAAATCAACCTAGACTATGATGCAGTTAAAGAGCCAAATAGAGGTGAGAGTGTTTGTGCAAAATTACCAGCAACAATACAGGAATGTATGGTCATAAGGCAGGACAGCCTAGTGTACAAAGCAAGAGGTGAGATTCAGAGGCAAGAGACTTAAGAAAAAGATTTGTCTCTGTCCTACAGGCTCTTCATTTCCATTCCCTGGGGCCCAGATTCCTCATTTGAAAATGGTGTTGATATCTCACAGAATTGTATTAAGAACCAAACAAGAATCAAGGAATGTGCCCTTTCAAAAGTATTTTATCACACTGCATTGCAATTGCTTGTCTGTTTCTGTCACTGGACTCTCAGCATTATTCCGAGATAATGTCAATGTTTTACTATCTATTCATCCTCAGTCTAGAGTTGCTGCTCAAATAGCATTGGATGATGTTGAACTCATAATGACTAACATATATTGTGCATTTATTTACTATATGTTAAATATAATGCTAAGCATGTGACATTGATCATATATTTCATCTTGACACCCTCATAAGACATACTGTCACTGTCCCCATTGCACAACTGAGAAACAGAGACACAGAAAAGTGACTTACCTGTCCAGTGTTCCAGAACTATTATAATAAGCTGTGGAGCAAAAAACCGACACTGAGATGGTCAAACTTCAGAGCCTAAGCTCTTAGTCACTGTGTTATACAAAAGCAGCAAAATAAGGTAATAAACCAAAAGTTATCAGCTAGGGCATGAGGCAAATATCTTAGGTGGGAAAGCATGTGAAACACTGGGCATCCACTGAGAAACATGAAGTGCAAATTCCAAGAAGAGTTTTGTTCTCGATGACTGTTCTAAAAAGCAGAAATTAGGGAGAATAAGAGAACATTTCTAACCTCTAAGAATGATATTGGGAAAGAGATATTTCCACTGTTAAACTCTCAGAAAATGGTCTGATTCAATGTGTCTAAAAGAGAAAGACTCTCAAATACGCTATCCTTGTGATCAACAGCCTCATCGTTCTCATTTATAAATATACATACACACCCCCAAAAAATCATGCTGTACTGTGAAGTAGATGTTTATGGTCACAGTGCAGGTTGATGAGAGTCAACAGAAAGATGGCACTGGTCCTCTCATATGTAACCATGGAATTATTGCTTACAAATGTAAGCAGACTCAGCAAGTGTTCATGGAAACTCATTAATGATGTGTTCATACTTGCTCATGAAGGAAAGTTGTGCACACCCGAGACACATCCCAGACATTTTCAGGTGTAATCATAATTAGCATAATGGTCAAAAATTGAATAATGGGCCTGAACAGATCACTGGTCTAACCCTATGTAATAGTCTTCATGAGATCTTGACATTAATTGGTAATTAGTAACTACAGTCGTGTATGTAAATTCTCTCTTTGATGATGAGATGGGTTACATTTCCTGGGTTCCTAATTTTCAGCTGGCATTGACTAAACCCTTGCTGATTATAGTTTTCCAATTATTGAGAAGACTTCAAGGAGACAGCTCATATTCCGTCATTTTACACCTTACAGCCTATCTGCATCCTACTAAATTTCTCAGTTCTTTGGAATCTGAAGTAATCTAATTAAATATATTTTCTTATAACATACCAACATGTAAGTTAATATTTCAAACATTTGGTATTTTCTCCAAAACAGCCAGTATGAGATAACTAGATTTTTCAAAAGGTTTGTTTGTTTTTAATTCTCTTCCCATAAGCAAGTTTGGTTTTTGAAATTTTCCCTTTCAAGAAAGAAAAAATAAGCAACAAAGCAGATCTCGAAAACAGAGCCTACATTTTTATGCATCTTTAGCCAGATAAACATTAGTCCTTCCCCAGAACTGGCGCAGCTATTCTGAAGAATGTAAACTTGCTGTTTTCTCAGTATGCAGATAGCCTGTTGTCATAGATCCTCATAGTAATGAACAACTTCTCAATATTTAATAAGCCTGGCATTCCTGTCCCCAGGCGGAAAGCACAGACAGTTGGTAGCCAGCTACTAACTGACCATTAAAATACAGAATCTGTCTTTAAAATGTGCTTCACAAACAGGTTCCATCACCTGCAGTGGAGAGCAAGTGCTGTCCTCTGCAGTGAGGTGGCCTATTCTGCCTGGAAGAGAAGTGGCAGGAGCAAGCCAAGTTAGCCTGCTCAGTATTCAAACAGGGGCCATCAAGAACAGAATCTTGTTTACAAAGGGGAGGAAAGCCCATCCACAGCCCTTCTCTTCGCAGTGTTGTTAGCTCCAAGAACTGCCAAGCAAGTAGAAATTAGGAAAGCTCACCATGGTAGTTTTGTCAATGTACAACAACAAAACCATTCTGCAACTCTGGTTTTGTTTTTTTTTTTTTTTCCATTCTTTCCATGCTTGCTTATACACAGGAGCATTTTCTGCTGTCTCTGGTGTGCTGTGTGAGTATATATTGCAACAATAATGCTCACTAATTGGACCAAGATGCCACTGATTCCAAACAATATTTGAGCATTTCAGCATTGCCTTTTTTAAAATCCAAGGAACAAAAACTAATGTTATATGATTATATGGAAATTCAGGAAATCATTAATACAATTATATCATTTTCTGAATAATAGAAAAGCTAACATAATGAGTTCTCTTTGCTCTTATTGACCATTAAGAGAAGATGCTTGGCTGTAACTATAATTTCAGGTTAACACAAATATTCCCATGATCGCATTAAGTACAGAGTTTAAAAATTCTTGAGTAGGCCTACCACAACTCTTGTTACCAACACACTTCATAAGACATGATCGTCTTGTCTTCTCTTTCATCAACAGTGATAGGAATTACTGTGGCTTTTTTGGCCCATTTTCTACAGGGAAAAAAGGGAATTTTATTTCTTAACCATTTCAGGGGAATGGTTGCATGCGTAATTATGCAGGGAAAATAAAAAAGGTGTGGACGGTGGGTGGTTGACTTTCTAGCTGATGACTGGCTCTCATCACCATCCTCCAACAGTGTGTAACCCAAATCCATGTCTCAGCAATGCTAAAAATAACAACTTCGTGGCCCTTTTGGACACTTTCCAGGAGCATTCATTCTGTAAGCGTTGACAGTCATATACTGCCAAGCAGCAGAAGGAGCAAACCTGCTCTATGTTGCTGCATGAGGAGACAATATGAGGATAAGCAGTAAAAAATACAATGGAGCAGATTTAGAGCCTTCATGAGAACTTTCTAGCACAATTGTTCAGTAATATAATGAATAGGGTAACTTTCATGATAGAGGCACTCAAAGGCTGAAAGACTACCTATTATAGATGCCACTAACAATATTTTTAAATTAGAGTATTTTTCTCAAAAGTTTATGTAAAATCCCAGAATATAACACAAATA
Source organism: Homo sapiens (assembly GCF_000001405.40). NCBI lineage: Eukaryota > Metazoa > Chordata > Mammalia > Primates > Hominidae > Homo > Homo sapiens. The sequence continues at coordinate 60,209,224 of NC_000015.10, forward strand.
AAAATAGCACTGCTCTAGTTCAAGTGTGAGACAGAAGACCTGTGACCTGCAACTCCATTCACTCACATTGTTTTATCCTCCAAGGCTCCTCAGGCAATCCTAGAGGACTCCAGGGAACACAGTTTAAAAACCACTGCTGGCCGGGCACAGTGGCTCCCCCCTCTGTAATCACAACACTTTGGGAGGCTGAGGCGGGCAGATCGCTTGAGGTCAGGAATTCGAGACAACTCTGCCCATGGTGAAACCCCACTCTACTAAAAATACAAACATTAGCTGGGTGTGGTGGCGTGCACCTGTAATCCCAGCTACTCGGGAGGCTAAGGCAGGAGAATCACTTGAACTCAGGAGGCAGAGGTTGCAGTGAGCCGAGATCATGCCACTGCATTCCAGCGTGGGTGACAGAATGAGACTGTCTCAGAACAACAACAACAAAACACTGCTGTAGAAAATATTCCTAAATGACATGGGAGATCATACTAAGCAATTCTCAAGCTTTTCTACACTGGGAAACACATGGCAAGTGTTACCATAATTACTATATAATTACCATATACAATTTGATCTAATGTTTATACCCAGATTCAAATATCCCCAAAAAGTTAGTGAGGAAGTGAAGCACCACAAAAATTCTCAGGCTCTCCAAGTGTTAAAAGTACACACAGGTTTTGGCTATTGTGAATGCTGCTGCAGTAAACAATGGGGATGCAGATAGATCTTCGAGCTCTTGAAGAGAAATATATATCCAAAAGAAGTGGTATTGCTGGATCATATGGTAGCTCTATTTTTAGTTTGGTGAGGAGCATCATACTGTTTTCCATATAAGGCTGTACTAATTTATATTCCCACCAATAGTGTATAAGAGTTCCAATAATAACTATTCTAACAAATATGAGGTAACATTGTGGTTTTGATCTGCATTGTCCTGATGATTAGGGATGTTGAGTACCTTTTCATATACCTGGTGGCCATTTTTATGTCTTTGTTGGAGAAATGTCTATTCAAGTTCTTTGCTCATTTTTTAATCAGGTTGTGTTGATTTTTCTTTTTTGCTATTGAGTTATACAAGATCCTTATATATTTTGGATATTAGCCCCTTATCAGATAGGTGGTTTTCAAATATTTTTTCCTATTCTGTAGGTTACTGATTTGTCTTTTTGATTGTTTCCTTTGCTATGCAAAAGCTATTCAGTTAGTATAGCCCCGCTTGTCTATATTGAGGTTTGCTTTCTGTTCTTTTGGTGTCAAATCCAAGAAATCATTTCCAAGATCAATGTCAAGAAGCTTTTCCTCTATGTTTTTTTAAGGGGTTTTACCATTTCATGTCTTATGATTAAGTCTTTAATCCATTTTGAGCTAATTTTTGACTATGGTATAAGATATGAAAACAAAGAAAATTTCCATTGACAGATGAGTAAAAATGTGATAGACATACAATGAAATATTATTCACCTTTTATAAAGAAGAAAATCCTACCATTTGTAACAACATAGATGAACTTAAAGAACATTATGCTAAGTGAAAAGCCAGACACAAAAGGACAAATACTGCATGATTGCACTTATACGAGGTATCTAAAATAGCAAGACTCAGAAGCAGAGAATAGAATGGTGGTTGAAAGGGGCTGGGGAAAGGGGGGAATGAGGAATTGTTGTTCAGCGGGTATAAAGTTTCAGGTATGCAAGATGAATAAGTTCTAGAGATCTCCTCTATAACATAGTACCTGTAGTTCACAACATGATGGTGCATACTTTGAAATGTGATAAAAGAACAGATCTCAGATCTCATATTAAGTGTTCTTACTACAAAAGATACTCTCAAAAAGAATACAAGGACATTTTTGTAGGTAATGAATATAGTATCTTGGTTGTGGTGATGGTATCATGGCTGTATATGTATATATCTAAACTCATCAAAATGTATACATTAATTATGTGCAATTTTTTTTGAGATAGACTAGCTCTGTCACCCAGTTTGGAGTGTAGTGGCATGATCTTGGCTCACTGTAACCTCCACCTCCCAGGTTCAAGAGATTCTCCTGCCTCAGCCTCTTCAGTAGCTGGGATTACAGGTGCCTACCATTACACTGGGCTAATTTTATATTTTTAGTAGAGATGGGGTTTCAGCCATGTTGGCCAGGCTAGTCTTGAACTCCTGACCTCAAATGATCTGCCTGCCTCGGCCTCCCAAATTGCTAGGATTACAGGCATGAGCCACCGTGCCCGGCCCGATATGTGCAATTTTTGTGTATTAGTTATACCTCAATATAGGTTTTTAAAAGTTTAAAAAATAATACTTGTACATCTTGGGTAACTAACTATAATTCAGCATACCACATTCCCTCAAGAAACCTTCCAGAATACAAGAGAGTTAGAAAGACATTTTACCTATATAGCCTTGAATCTGCTTGAATTCGTAAAAGCAACAATTTTTTTTTTTTTAAAATTCTCAACTCTGAGTGCCTTATCAATAATGGTAAGTTCTTCATGACATACCTCACAACTGACCACAAAACATCAGGGGGTTGTAACCCTGGGTTTAAGAATCTGGATGACCGGATGAAGTGACACCCACACCCAAACCAATGCACTGGAACTGCTTCTGCATTCTAGCTAACATTGAAGTCAGGTAGACACTGTAATGTAATTATATAACCATTCCGAAGTAACCAAACGCTTAGAATTTTATGTATGAAAGCAAATTGGTCAATTTCTCTCTATTCAGCCGGAGGTTTGGCATCATAGAAAAACTACCGTGATGAAATGTTACTGCTCCTGGTAATTTTTTCAAAATACTCAACATCACCATGATCAGCAGCTTAGACCTATCTATGTAGCAGAGTTTAAAACGCTGGTATGTCTTTTAAATAAATAACTTTTTTGAGTATTGATGATGGGCCAAGCATGGTTCCGAATGTTTTACATGTGTTTCATAAGAATCTCATGATATAGGTATTATGGCTACGCCTTCCCCTTTTTTCACTGTGTAAACTGAGGCTTAAGAGGAGCTAAGTAGCTTACCAAACTCCACACAATAGCTATGTTGTGGAGCGGGGATTTGAACCAAGGCAAATCTGACCCCAAAAGCTCACAAGCTTAACCTTTACGCCCTGCAAGAAGCCAGCAAAGTCCTACTATCCAGAAAGAAGCCTTAGAGTTTGGTCACCAAAGACCTGATTCTCCAATTATTATATGAGCTTCTCATCTCTGCTCCATATCCTCCATGAGCCAAGAAGAAAAAAATAAGATGAAATAAGGGACAGAGTTGAGGAATTGGAGCAAAGGGTATGGCTAAGCTACTTCCACTGCAAAAGACAAGATATGCCAAGAATTCAGATTAGTTCATGAAAAGTCAAAACATGATTTTTTTTTTTTTTTGAGAAGATGAAGATGAACTGTGTTGGCTAGCCACGAGGCTGAAGAATAATTAGAAACACCCCTCCATATCTCATTGATGAGTCCAGGGGGCGCTGGCTCCATGCTAGACTCAACACAGTGCCAGGAGTCTCTTAGTGAGCCAGCCCCAAGCTGACACACAGAAGGCCTGTTGCTCCCAGCAAAGACTGTTGTCAGCAATGCGAAAACCACAGCAGTGACATCATTGACCAAGGATCCAGAGAATTCTTTAGAATTCCAAAAGCCCCACTATAAAGACACGTGCACAGGTATGTTTATTGCAGCAGTATTTACAATAGCAAAGACTTGGAACCAACCCAAATGCCCATCAATGACAGCCTGGATAAAGAAATGTGGCACATATATACCATGGAATACTATGCAGCCATAAAAAGAATGAGTTCATGTCCTTTGCAGGAACATGAAGCTGGAAGCCATCATTCTCAGCAGACTAACACAGGAACAGAAAACCAAACACCTCATGTTCTCACTCGTAAGTGGGAGTTGAATAGTGAGAACACATGGACATAGGGAGGGGAAAAGCAAACACCGGGTGGGGGTGGAGGGCAAGGGGAGGGAGAGCATTAAGACAAATACCTAATGCACGTGGGGCTTAAAACTTAGATGACGGGTTGATAGGTGCAATAAACCACCATGGCACATGTACACCTATGCAACAAACCTGCAGGTTCTGCACATGTATCCTAGAACTTAAAGTAAAATTAAAAGAAAAAAGAATTCCAAAAGCTCCTAGCCATGGTAGCTTTTAATCTTTACAACCAGCTATGAAGCACACGTTATCACCTGTGGCACAGAGAAGGAAACTGAGATGCAGAGAAGCCAAGTGACTACTCAAAGCTTCTCAGCTGATTGGGGCAGAGTTGAGACACAGGTCTTCTGATGCCCAGGCACCCTCCTCCCCTTGGCACAGACATAACTCATTCACTAGACTGACCATAGAGCCTCAGGGTTAGAGTGAGCAGGCTCCGATCTGAGCTCATGTCTTGGCTCCACTATTGACTGGTTTCCAGATGGCTCTTGGCAAGTTACTTACCCTTTTTAAGCCTCTGTTTTCCAGGCTGTAAAATGGGAATCCAAACAGCATATGCCTCACAGGGCTTTTATGGTAATTAACTGAAATGAGATGAGTTAATGTGTAGAAAGAATAATAGCAAGCATTCACAAATGGTAGTTTTTATTATTAATCATTCACTCACTGAACAAACTTTGATTAGATGGTTATTCCGTGCCAGGCCTGTGGGCTTGGACCTGATGATATTAACAAACCCTGCCCTGAGGTTACTCAAAGTCCTTCTTGGGTGACCAATACAAAGAGAGACTTATAAGGCAAGTGGGGAAGTATAATGATATGGTAAGTTAAGATGCAGGATAGTGTAACAGGCACATAGAATGGCTTTCTCTAGAGCAGCGGTCCCAACCTTTTTGGCACTGGGGACTGGTTTCATGGAAGACAATTTTCCCATGGACCTGGGGGCTTGGGGATGGTTTCGGGATGATTCAAGCACATTACATTTATTGTGCACTTTATGCACTTTATTTCTGTTATTACATTGTAATATATAATGAAATAATTATAAAACTCGCCATAATGTAGAATCAGTGGGAGCCCTGAGCTTGTTTTCCTCAACTAGATGGTCCCATCAGGGGTTGATGGGAGACAATGATAGATCATCAGGCACTAGATTCTCATAAGGAACACACAACCTAGATCCTTCACATGCGCAGTTCATGATAGGGTTCACGCTCCTGTGAGAATCTGATGCTTCCACTGATCTGACAGGAGGCGGAGCTAAGGTGGTCATGCTCACTCACCTCCTGCTGTGCAGCCCAGTTCCTAACAGGCCATGGACTAGTACTGGTCTGTAGCCTGGGGGTTGGGGACCCCTGCTCTAGAGCAGCAGATGCTCTAAGAGGGTTTATAAAACACAATCTTTTAGTAACAAAGAAGATACTACAAATGTAAACATTGTTCCAAATTCAGTTTCAATGTCACAAAACTTTAAAAAAAAAAACAAAAAACAAAAAACCCTGAGATTTAGAGGTGAAGACCCTTCATTGAAATCTCAATTCCATAAACTACCAACTACATGACTTTGAATTAAATAACCTAACTTCTCTGGACCTCAATGTACTCATCTCTAAAACTGGGATACAGTAGTAACACACCTCATGGGCTTGTCAGGAAGATGAAATGATGTAACATATGTGAAAGGGCTTTGTAAATGAGGAATTATTACTGATTATAGGGAAAGGGGAGAAGGATGAAGAAACAGAGGAAAAAGGAGAGAGAAGGAGGAAGGAGAAAAAGGAGGAAGTGCCCAGCATCTGCTGAGGGGACTGGGCAGCCATGCGGGCAGAAGTTCTTTCTCCCACACTCTCAGGTGTACACAAGGAGGATGTTTCTAGCTAAATAAGGCAGACAAGGATTTTGCCAAAATTTTACATCTACCCGATTAGCCCCCTCCCATGTGGTCAGCTTGCTCCTGATTCTCAGGCTCTATGGCTCTTCTGAGACTTGGGCGTCTTAACTTGGGGAAACCACGCTACCTGCCTGTGAGCGTGGAACTAGAGGCTGCAATCTGCCAGGGCTGCCGTCTGCCTCCAGCTTGGAGTCTTTGTGTCCCCTGTGGTTCACTCCCTAGTTGCAGAGAATGCCACTACAAGACTTGGGGTCGTGGGTGGGCAATCCATCCCAGCTATGTGCAGAAATGTTTCCCTTTACCACAATCTCTCAGAGGCCCAGTCAATACTGAACTGGGCCTCCAGGGGGGAATCTGAGTTTGCCAGCGGACAAGGACAGTGCATTGCATCTGCAGGGTACTCGGCATGGAAAAAGATGCAGTGCCATAACAGAGCCTCTGGGGGGGTGGGTGGGAGAGTAACAAGCAAGGCACAGGGTGTGCAGAGAAGGTGGAGGTGGAAAATGAAGGGCCACAGGTGTCAGCCAGGGAACTTCTAGTCTTTATCACGGAGAGTGTGGGAGACCCACGGGGGTGTAAACAGCGGAGGCATGTGGTCCATCTAAAGAGGCCACCCTGGCCATAGAGTAGTAGAGAACAGACCAGAAACTGGGGGCATGCATGGCAGAGAGATCATTATCTAAAAGGCTCATATGGAGGGCATGGACTCCACCCCAGTGTGCCTGACGAGAAAGGCAGATTCAAGAGCTACTTAAAGGCAAAATCAACAAGACTCGAAAACTGGTTTGACACAGGGGAGTGAAACAAAGAACGAAAGCAACAATGAATCTACTGTGGGTGGCTGGATTAATGAACTATGGTTTTACTAAACATTAGTCCATTTCAGTAAAAATAATATCTCCTTAGATTGAAAAGGAGGCTTATTTTTATTATATAAATCTCATTTTATATGCATATGAATTTGGTCTAGCTTGTGGGTTAGGTAATACCTCTTAGTAGATGATGGTCGAGGCTCAGAGAGACTAATGCCTGCCTAAGTTCACATAGACAGCTACAACAAAGAAGAGTCACTGTTCTCCCATTAACCCAGGCTTGACAAATAGGTCCCAAATTGTATGCCAACTCTGATGAATTGGTAATAACTACTGAAGCACAAAGTTTAGACTCTGGTATTGAGTCTGGCCTTGGAAAGCTAGGAACTGTAACAAATTGGCAATGCCTGCCCTGACACCTGGAAAGAAGAATGGCAAGACGACAGCTTTTTGCCAGCCCTGCACCAGAAATAGTGACTCATTAGAAACTGATAGAACAAGATGACAGATTTGATTTGATCCAGCATATGGCTCCTAAAAATATCATTGGATCAAACTTTGGGTCAATTAACAAAATAAATAGCAGAAGATTGTGAAGTGACCAAAACATGCCTAAGTGCCCTTGACCTCAGGTCTTCATTTCACCACTTCCAAATGGGAAGCTCCATTTCTTCCAGATGACTAGAATCTTGTTGCAGTTCTTCAGGTGTCAAAGTGCCCCACACACCACCACACCTTCCCTGAATTTTTGGGCAATGCAACATTATATTCTTGCCCCATTGGAAACCCTTTTCCTGGAAAGCAGAAAAGAAGAGAAGAAAGAACAGGACTGGGTTTGAGAACTTCTACTCTTTATCTATAAAATAGAGATTAATACCCCAATCTCAGTTGTCATATAGCAGGCATTCTATAAATACTTTAATTTTTTTGTTTTCATTATTTTTATTTATATAATAAACTGAAGAGTCAAAGGGTGGGGATATTTTAGACAAGATTTGGACAGGATCTTAAGGTCCTGCCTCTTCCTGCCTCTAATGACAAGTATTTCCAAAATCTGATTTCCGCATGGTTTATTTAAGAGAAAAAGAATCCGCACCTACTTTTACTGCTATTTAATGTTCTAAGTCAAAGATAAAAATAAAAATTGTTCCTAAGTCCAACTGTCATACGCTAAGGCAACTCAATCAACAAAATCGATGATAAAAGTTCTAAGCTGAAATTCCATGAGTCTATGAGCTGGAATTTTTGTTCTCTCAAAGAAGCAAATCCTTCCCTTGAGCAACGTGCAGAAGTAGGAGACTGAGTCTAACAGTGGTTTAGAGTGCACACTTTGGAATCAAACAGACCTGAGTTTGAATTCCAGCTCTGCCATTTACTAGCTATGTGGACTTGAGAAAGATACTCAATTGCTCCCAGCCTCAGCTGTGTGTAAATTGAGCACACTAATACCTACTTCAGAGGGTTTGATCAAACTAAAACGAAATAATGTGTATAAAACCCTTAGCAAAGTGCCTGGCACATAGTAAATGTACTTCCTATTATGTAGATAGATTACAAGTTGCACTTCTTATTATGTAGACAAAGCAATATGAAAATAACATTGAAATGTTTGAACACATTGTCTATATGGTCTTGCCTCCCCAAAGCAGTTGCCTAATTATAACAGTCTGTCTTCCCAGGGTGGAGAATATCAACTATAGACTTCTCGGGAATAAATTCCATCAAGCCAATCTATATATTTGATAATATATATAATAAACCTTAAAGTGATGGGCAGAAATTTGCACTGTGTTGGTGCAAACATCTTGGTATCATGTAATTATCATTAAGGGTGCTTCATAATTGTTTTAAAAATTGTTTTACAGTACCAACATTTTCTGTGTAACACAGTAAATTTAAGTTCTCATTTGACACTGAAAAACCCACTCAGTCACAGGGTTAAGAAACTAATAAAATTACTATTTTTCAAGTCCTTAGTACATATTTAGCATGATTCTAGGCATGGCACAGGCAGAAGAAAAGTATAAAATATAGCTTCTACATATAACTTACGGTTTTACTAAGGAGATGATTGGGTAAAGACAGTCCATTCAAATGCCATAATCAACAGTGCATAGTCAAGGGCCAGCCACCAAGCAGCTGGGAGAGAGAACATTGAGCTAATATTTGGAATAAACCAGGTTTGCCAGTCAATTATCAGAAGTACCTGGTTGGTAAGGAGTCCTGCAGAGAAGAGAAGTTGTTTTCTGACAGCCTTAAGCAGTTGATCATGCCTAAAGACAACATTATCAATGTCCACTAGGCTCTTTATCTTTACTGGCGCCATTTTTACAGACTTTTTTTTTATGGGAGGAAATATTTATTCTCATATAGAACCCCATTATAAAAACTTTCAGAAACCCCTTTCCTCCCACTATTGCAGTCACCACACAAAAAAGGAAAAAAATTGCAGATCTGGGATTCTTTTAAATTAATGTTGATTTCTACTGCTCAGTAGTACCATATGTGGAATTCTTGTTACAACTTGCACCAACTTTTTCTTGAGAGTCGAGTCTATTGCTCAACTCCTAAGTAGGCAGCGTTTTCCCTTACCCCACCTCCATTCAGCTCTCACAAAATCCATTAGACAACTTTCTGCCTCAGAACAAAAGGGCTTCCAGGATGTTTCACACGCTCTTCTTTGTGGGTTTGAAATTACACACAGCAGTGCCAAAGGTAAGGCATTTCTACAGGTTTTCTTTTTTTTTAACCTTTTCTATTTTTTTATTACAGTTCTGGGTGTTTTGTTGTTTTTGTTTTTCTCTTTTTTTTCCCCCCAACTCCCTCTGCCTCTTGTGGTATATATCTGTGGCCTACAGCAATTACTTTAGACTTTTTAGACACGTCCGGATAGAGATAGATGACACAAGTGATCTACTTATCTTCCTTTCCCATCACCAATAAAAGTGACAGCCCGCCTAATTAGGCCTAATAAAGCAGCCGCAGAAAGAGTGGCGCAGCAGCGATCTAAAGCGAGATGGCATTGACCCGAAGATACAGGTGCTGCCTTAAGGCGTTTGCTGCTATTACTCTCTCTCCAATACATTACATCTCTGCTCATGCCATATTCAAATGCAAGTAGCATGTTTTTCTCCTCAATTCTTAGATCAAGAACAAAAAAAAATCCTATCTAATCAAAAAAGGCACTGACAATTTTTCAGCCCCACATTAAAAGCAAAGAGTCATTCAGAACAGTGCACTCCATATTCTATTTTATAATATCACTTTAAGCTATTGCTTTGAATCTCAGACATTTCTTTGTTAAGAAGGAAAATCAAAAATTCATCAGAAGAAGTTCTTTCTTCCCCCCTCTCTTTTTTTTTTCTTCCAGGGCTAGCATGGGGTTTGGAGCTGGAACCAACATTTGTAGAAGTTAGGGGTCCTTAAGCAATTATTAGCGATGAGAGCTTGACACGCTTGAGAGTTGTCAACAACTGACTTTAAACAAAGTGGAAGGAAAGAGAAATAAATGGTGCTCTCAGCAAAATTAATATACAGGCCTGCAAATTAATGATGTCGTGTATTTTTTAAACAAGGGGAAAAAATCTGAACTTTGCATGAAACAGCATTTTAAGTACATCTTTGCAAAAATTATCAGATTGTCAAAGGGCATGAAAGCAAATTGAGTCTGCAACTATTCATAATATTTCCACATATGCTAAATACAAAATTTATCTTACTTTATTCACCTGTTCTGTAGCAATTATTTAAAGCTATTAGAAAGGGGGACATGTCCTTGATCTGAAGTGCCAGTGACTGCTCCACAGCATTTATTATAAGAAACATAACCTTCCCAGCCTTGCCTGCATACACACACACACACACACACACACACACACACAAATATGCATTCTTCTCTGCTTACTACTGACTAAATTCTACTTAGCCCTGTGCATCCTATCTCACATTTTTTAAACTTATTTCTGCAAATAATCCCTCCATTCACATTGTTTTAATTGCTGCCTGTATCCAAATAAGTTTCTAAGATATTACTTCTAACCCTCTTCTTCTGTGTCCAAAATGAAGCCCATTATCTTCTTCTCACCCTTGCCCAATCTGGGCCCTCTTAAAACATTCCTCCTCTGCAATGTTCCCCCATGACTAAGAGTAGTTACAGTTCCCTTGCTGAGAACCATTAATCCATCTCAACTTCCTCTCTCTCTCTGTTGGTCTTTCCAGAATGAGAATGATTTGCATAGTAGTCATAGCTATCATCTATGGAAGACCTCCCTGGTGTTACACATGATAACATGTATGTCGCGTACAGTAGTTAAGTGCCCTAACAATATTGAATAGGCCATTTTTTGGTCCACATGTTTTAACCAGTAAGGGAACTTTAAGAAGTAATTTGCGCAAGGCTACATAGCCAGTAAGTGGCAGAATTGGAATTTGTGCTTGCTGGCTATTGTAACAAATCTGTAAATAATAAAAATTTTAAAAGAGCAGGGCTTTGGAATTAGTGAACAAGTTGTCTCATTTCATCATGTGCATCCTCACAATTATAATTATGTCCCCTAACCACTTCTCCTTGAATAATGGAATAAGTCATTCGCTGAGTTTTCCCTCTCTGGTACCCACCCTAATCCATCATGTCAGAAGACCAATCCCCATTTCCTTCCACACAAAATTTCCGGCTCTGCCCTCTATCATCTAGGTCATACTGGGAGACTTACCTACCTTCCCTGAGTCACAGTTTCCTCTTACTGCCACTTACTGTCTGACTTCACCTTTATGAGTCTCAGGGTTGCCCTTGGAAAAATGGAGGTGATAATGATACCTGCCTCTTAAAAGGCTATTGAGAAGATTTAGTGAGATAATGTTTCTGAAATTCATAGCAGTGCCTGTCACATAGTAAGTGTTCAACAATATAAACTACTGTTATTAACAGCTGAATAACAGTTCAAGATAAAGGAGCCAGCACGCAATGGGGATGGACTTCAGTTTCACATAAAACAGAAATGGCAACAACATTGGGATTATCAATCTTATTGCTTTATTTGTGCCATCTTATATAAGACCGATAGGAGAATTTCTATTCCTTATCGTGAGAACTGGTTTATCTCACATTCTAACAGTAGGAAATTCTATCTACGATATTTCCGAATTTACCAGAATTCATATCCATAATGATAGCTTCGTGCCTTAGAAAATTCTGATGTGCCTGATTCTGAACAGAATTTCCTACAGTATATCTTGATGTAATCTTATTATTTGTGAATTGGCCATACATTTTGGTATAAAAATAATGAGAACCCCATTCCCTGATCATTCACCATAACTCAGTTCACCACCTTATGGAGCTAACACAAGACCAAATGGTTTAAACTTTCAGCGTTAGTTGATAACTATTCTAATATGAATTGGTTCATCAGCTCTCATTTCTTTCTACTAAAAGATCCTGAGGAAGACGGAAAGCCAAGATTGGGTATATAGAATACAATAAAACTTTGTTTTACTTGGGATGATGATGTTGTTTCAGGTGGTCCATTCCCAAAATATATTCATTCATAAACCCCAGATTAGACAATGGTGGCCACTCAGTCCTTCTTAATAGCAATGAATGGAAATGGGTTTTACCAAAAGATTTCAACATTTTCTTGCTTCCACATAAAGACCTTTTGATGTATTTTCTAACATTTCACAACTAGATTAAAACATAACAAGTAAGGGGTCTGTTGTCTCTCCTAAGTCCTTCTCCATTAAGAAACAATATATATATATATAAAAGAAATGTCAGGCTACACAACAAAGGGACCCCTTACATGAATGCACAAAGCTGTGCATGTTCTCTCATACACTCATGGTAGCTAATGCTGTGCACACAAGGGGGCTCTGTAAAAGTGATCCAGTGGGCCAGGCATAGTAGCTCATGCCTGTAATCCCAGCAGTTCGGGAGGCCGAGGTAGGAGGATCACCTGAGATCAGAAGTTTGAGACCAGCCTGGCCAACATGGCAATTACCCCGTTGCTACTAAAAATACAAAAATTAGCCTGGTGTGGTGGCACATGCCTGTAATCCCAGCTACTCAGGAAGCTGAGGCAGGAGAGAATTGCTTGAACCTGGGAAGCAGAAGTTGCAGTAAGCCAAGATTGTGCCACTGCACTCCAACCTGGGCAACAGAGTGAGACTCTGTTTCAAAAAAAAAAAAAACAAAAAGTGGTCAAATTACAAAAATAGTAGATTGTGTAACAAAAGCAGCACACACTAAAATGATAATTCTCATATTCACAAAAGCAGAGGCAGGCCTTCTCTTGTGACTATTAGAAGTCCTGTATGGATAAATGCTAGGTCAATATCAGAACTGTTTTCCCATCTGTTTTGCCAACCACTCCCTGCTATTGGTTTAGCATGTTTTCAATACCTCAGTGACTCAAAGGTCCAATGTTTCCTTCCCAGGTATATTTCCAGCCTCCATAGTAAAGTTTTTAAGCTCACATGTCTCATGAGGAGTTTAATAAATTCATTGTTTTGTTTAGTCTGATTATCTTAGCCAGAAGCAACTAGGGAGCTGTATTAGTATTTGGTTTATTTCAAAATTAGTGGGCATGCTTTGCATTTTGAAAATCCCTATGTGATAATTCTTAGGAAGAGCCCTTCTGGCCACTCAGAGGCTTATCTGCAAATGGGTGGGTGTCCTCCTATACCCTTGGCTACTAGAGCAATGGCCTGACCCACAGTTATGTTAAATACATGACCAATCTTTTTGAAGGACTGTGTACAGTAAATAGTACTGCCTTTCTTTTCTCCATAATTCACTGGCATCTGTTGTAATTGGCAACTGGCTTTTGCATTTCCCCCTTTGGCTTTCTGCTGTGTTTTGAATACACCTATTTAAGTAACAGATCAGCAAACTAAATGCAAAGAAATACTCTTGCTCAAAACACTTATGGACGTTGCTGATTCAGCATGGCTCAGTATTAACTGGTAATAAACTAAAGCTCTTAACCCTCAACAAAATTAAATACAGTTCATGTGCTTTTCTCTATAGGCCTGTATCTGTCCTTCCAAGGAAGGAACACCTAAACACACACACACACACCCATACACACACACACACACACACACACACAGAGAGAGAGCAATTACATTTTTCATCATCCCTTTTCAGTTAAAGAGAAATAATAAAAGCTATTACATGAAAACAAAACAAAAACAACCTCACCTGTAAAGCAGCACAAGATATTCCATAGTAAGACTGAGTCTTTCCCAATGATGAAGGCCATGTGTTCAGAAATCCCAAGTTCCAGAGCTATCAGTGAGCTCCAGAGCAAAATCAGAAACAGGCAGTCGTGGGGTTTAATCACAAAATCATCAAGCGATTTCACATCGAGAACATCTCACATATCACAAAAGCAGGTTCCATCCAGCCTGTCATGCCTCCCTCCTTCCAACACTGACATCACTTCTTGCCAGAGGGGAAAAAAATTGCTTTTTAAATATTGACTTTCTCAGTCACTGCCAAGGCCAACCAGTCAGCCGTGAACCACATTTGTTGCTGCCATCTTATACAGATCTTGAGCACTGCTGCTTGCCAAGAAGCATCTCCAGGGCAATGGCAAAGCCGCAATAACTATCCCGAGCTGAGATTCCAGCCATTGAGCCAGGAATGCAGGGGATAATTCCCGTACTTCAGATTAGGAGTCAGCATTCAACCTCCTAGTGACACCCCTAATGACCCTCAACCCTCTGCATTCTGGGTCCTTACTTTTCACTGCAAGTCTCCTGATCCAACCTTCCTATGGAGCTAGTAATAATCACTAGCATTTATTTAACAGTTACTACAGTATGTGCCAGGCACTGTTCTAAATTATTTTAAATTTATTACTACTACCACCACTACTAATAGTAATAGCTAACACTTGTAGAGCATGTAGTATTTGTCAGGCACTGTTTCAAGAATTTTACATATTCAATCCTCACAACACACCTAGGAGATAGGTACCATTATTATACCTGTTTTATAGAAGAGGAAACTGCAGCAGAGCGCTTACCTGAGGATACATCTAGCATGTGGAGGAGCTGAACTTCCAACACAAGCTGCCCGACTCTAGAGCCTGCTGTCTATACATCCTCTCTATAGGAGAGGCACGCCTTTAACAAGTAATCATAATTCCAGGTTCCTTTAGAGAGGGACCTCAGAAGAAGTTTCTGAGATCTGGGCCAGATCTGGTCTCCACTTCCTGGAGAAAGTGATTATTAAGTTTTGAAGAACCAGAAGGAATAAGCCAGGGAGCAAAGAAAAAGTTTCCTAACGTGTCTGTGCAGACACAGACCCAGTGGGGAGATGGGTGAGGGTGTGTAGAGAAGGCTTTACTCAGAAGATTTCAGGGAGCTCTATAAAGTTAGAGCAGAGGATGCAGAGGGAAAGGACTGAGAGATAACAGTGAAGGGATCCTGAAGCCAGTCCATGAGGGGCCTTGATTATTCTAAAGAGTTAGATTGTGCCCTGAGAGTAAAGGCGAGCTTTTAAAGGACATGAAGCCAAAAGACTGTCTGTCATACATGAATTTCCTTTCCAGAAGTACCCCTCAGCAGCCCTGTAGTCATCCCATTACACACAAAGAAAGACTAGTTAGGAAGCTATGAGCATAATCTAGATGAGAAATTATGAGAGTCTGAACTAACACAATGGCAATCATTATAAGCATAGGAGAAAATACCCACTGTTGAACATTTTGATATTAATGAAGAATGCTTGTCTAGAAATGGGATCCTCAAAGTTATTTCCCCTAGAGGACTTGACTATAGTCGACCTATTCTCCACAGACATCCTAGGTGTAGCACCATACCTTGTAATCAAACATGAATGAGCTCACCCTTTCAAGTTGAATTCAAGTATGCCAGAACTCATTTTCATTGCATAATAAAATATTTAATTAGCCAAAATATTAAAAGCCCGGGTCTAATTAAAAAATCTTTCCCATCATCATCCTCCTCCCTTTTTACATTAAGCCATTTTACCATAGTAACTTAAAGAACATCTCTACTATGTCTTCCCTTGGGCCGTGATTCCTAAAGTAACGTCCATAACCCACCAGGAACCCACAGGTTAGCTCGCCTCTTGTAACATATGTGCAGGTAACTGACACCACACCTGGCTCACAATAGATGCTCAAAAAGCTTTATGTTAAAAAAAATCGATGAGTTTGTGAAACCTATGATTTGAACTCGGGCACAAACAATTTTCATTTAATATTTCACAATTGTATGTCTTATCACATTCTCATGAAACTCTATGCCATTTTGCTTTTTTTCCTCTGGCAAAGTCTCTTATGGGATATCTTGCTATAAAAACAGTGGTGTAGGTGATTATATGGATTATCATCCATTGACCAAAACAGTTTGAGAATCACTGCCAAGGGACTTATGGAGACTTATGGAGATTTCACAGAAACCACTCCTAGTTAGCTTTATAATCACAAGGAGCTGAACCGGGAGTCATCTAAAACAGTAGCTAACTAAAAAATATTCTATGGCTCACTAGGATTTTAGAGCTGGAGGGAACCAGCACCCAAAAGAGAAGTGATTACGTGAAAGTCACATAACCAATCAGTGCCAAGTTCAGACCAGGACGTATGACTCTTAATTCCTAGATCTGTATTCTTTTCACTAACCCATGCTGCTGCTTGCTCATTTAGTTTTCAAATATTACTAAAATATACTTGAAGTTTAATGGTCTACAAGCCAAAGATGAGCATGTAATGTTAAGATGGAAAACAAGCTTCAGAAATCCTAGTGTTTAGTCCTAATGTGCCACTTGCTAGTTGGGCAGTTGCTTAATTTCTTTGAATCTCAGCTTTCTTGTTAGGCAATGGCAGTAAACTCACCAGTCCTCCTTCTCACTATCCATGAAGATCAGCAGTTCCTTCTCCACGACTGCTCCCCCTCTTCTTAGAAGCCTATTTATGGCATCTTGGTCTCAAGGGCCTGTTTCCACCTCAACCTACTACCTGGTTTCCTCTTCTTTCATAACCAAAACGAATCACAGTCATAGCCACCACACACTCTGGATCAGAAGTGGCCCCACCAGTTGTTAGCTGTGTGACTTGTGTCAAGTCACTGAATCCCTCCAAGCCTTGATTTTCTCATGTGTAAAATGGAGCTATTATTAGTTCCCATTTCCAGATTGCTGCAAGACTTAAATGAGATATTTGAAGTAAAGCACCATGAGTATTCATTCAACAAATATTTATTCAGCACCTGTTATTCACCAGTGAACCCAAAGTGATTCAAGCTCTCGTTCTCCACAAGGCCTGGGTGTTTCACCTCTGAGAGTTTTCCTGCATCTTCTTATTTCACTTTGGAGGCTCACAATAAAGCCTGTTACTTTGAGGTCAACAGAGCATGTCTCTTTGCCTTAAAACTTGCAGAAGCAAAGCACGATAACATTGGTAAAACTACCACAAAAACTTTAAAAACACAATTGGAAGGGATTTTTATGAGTACTTCCAAGCATAAGGAAAGATTTGGCAAGTGAAGCCCAACATTGCCTTTCCTTCCTTGAGAAGCTGGAAACTGAGGAACTGGAAATCTTCCTCAGGTGTCTCACTAAGAAACCCAGGTGCTATCCCAGTCAATTATTTGTACTTCCTTGAGAACAAATTTGAATTTGCAATCTGTTGGGAATGAAGTCTGTCTCAGTGGAGTTTCTTAACACTCTTTGGATCTGTCTTCTCACACTTACCTTTTCCCATTTTGTGCTGTTTTTATACATATCTCATCACTCTCAGGAGGCTATAAGCCCCTGGAAGGCAAGATTAGTGGGTGGTTACCCATGATATCATGTTTCTCCTTCCAGAAACCCAGCCTTGTGCCTGACACAGAGTAGACCCTCAATAAGGTTTATTGCTAACTGTTGAAACAGATACTGGGAGTGATTCAAGGGGCTAAGCCCTCCAGAGAGCAGTGCATTTTGGTGGCCATTCCTTCTGCAATACTCTCTACATTTTTCTTTTAAGTCCACCCGTGTGCTTTATAAGTAAATAGAAAATGCTAACCTTAGCATATTCAAAAGAACGTTTAAGCATGCAGCAATTAGGTTATCTCTTGGTTATTTATTTCTTCGGCTTGTTATTAGCTGTGTGCAGAATATTATTCTAATTATGTCAGCCCAATCAGCAGTATTGCATGTCCAGGCTCATTTCCATTAGTTTGAGCTTTGTCTTTCACACTGTGATACTAATTCAATGAGACATCAAACATTTAAATCGACCCGGGATGCCGAGGTCAGGCAGTTTTGCCCTTCCACTCTATTAGCACTCGGGTGTAAATGTGTTTGTCACTCCCCACATGACGAATAGTATCAGGGTGACTACTGAAGCACAAATGAGCAATGCACTATTATTTTGTTCTATAATATCAATATGTGTTTATTCAGTGCTCATGTTAGCCAACTGGAAACAGTCATTTTAATACAGTCATACAAAGTGCTCTATTCTCACCGAAGCATTTCTTTAGAACATTTGCTGGACTTGCAATGCAATTGGGCCAAAGGGAGGAAAATAAAAATGGTTGCTGGAGGTAGAAGGAACCATGAAGTTCTTAAAAATCAGAGCTTCCAGTCACACCAGCAAGAACTTAGAAACCACAAAAACAAAAGGTAGAATGCAACTACCAGCTTTTCTGTGCGCTTTGTAAAACTCTTCGACTCTCTGGTTAACAGTTTAAAAATCAAGGTGCAACATATAGTATTTAAACAAATATAAATCTACCTTGCAGTTAGCTGAAGTTTCTCCTTCTGACTCTTTTTGAGAGCAAATAAATTGGTAAGCAGAAACAATAAAAGATTTTGGGTGTTTTTCCCTCAGTTTGTTTGCTTGATTTTGTTTCCTCAATAGCGTAGATACACGACAATAAATTTTACCCGAGGTTTCAACAAACCCCATCTCTGCTACTGTCATATGATTTACCCTCGTTATTATAAGACTTAAATCTGAATATTAGTATAATAGAGTGTTACCCGTAGTCTTTTAGTTTCTTATTTCACATTTTAACATCTAAAAAATCACTACAAAAACTGATTCAGTGAGAAGCCTAAGCTAAGATGGTGTACTCTCATAAGTAGGCACTGTCGGTTCTAATGGGAATTCTATTTCTGGGTCTCATTGCCTTTTCACAATTTCCATAGCACAGGCTTTGTGATTCCCATGGTGCACACGAAAAACTCACCCTAGAGAAGTAGATGTTCTAGCTCAAGATTCCACAGCTCGTCAATAATGAAGCCAGAACCAGAGTCTGGGTTTCTAGATTGCTGCATGGTCATGACCTGCTCCAAAACCTCAAACTACCCACCCACATCTTTAAACTGCTGGCCCAGAGTGTGGGTCACTCCTACTGTGGTATCATTCCTTATCCAGGCTCTACTTCAATCTTGGCTCCCAGAACATTCCATATAGCCTGTGCTTGGCAATCTGCCCAGGTTGTCTTATCTATTTTCTCCAAATCATAAACTCCTCAACTAATGCTTGCATGTGCAAAGATATGCATTGGAAGAAAGTAGGAGGATAAATCATCCCTAACCACTGCCAACAGGTTCAACGAATTAAACCAATGTATGTTAATTGAAAAATCGTTCTTTATAAATATAGATAAACTTTAAAAGACACGATTAAGTACTTTTTAATAGCTTTAAAAAAATCGCCTTTACTTTAAATGACCTTTAGATGTATTTTTTGTTCTATTGATTTTACTATTTTAACTGCAGATACATCTTTTAATTTACTCCAAGGGAATTAACCGACAACCTTCCATTTTCTGTTTGGGTCTCATTTTAAATGCCAGAACTACCCCTAATGTAGCTATCATCAAAACTTAAAACTCCACAGTTTAAGAAACAAAGTTCTGACAACTGGTTCCACTGTGGGGGGAAATGGAACTTTTTATTCTGATACTATAATTAGACCAAGAAACTGAAAGCACACTCCAAAATAAGAATTTGCTGCTATGACTAGTCAATGTCATTTATGCTCAGGGAAGAGAGAGAGGTGTAATAAACTTTGACAACTTATTTGCAACATTTTATATTTAACATCATTATATCTACATTTTGAAAGCAGCACATCAGACTTTTGTTCTCTAAAATCGAAGCTGAGCAGAATTGCAAGTAGAAATAAGTGACCAACTCCAAAGCTGAGGACCAGCCCCTGTGATGTGGATGTAACCCTTTGAGAGCACAGCATTCTGGAAAGATGACAGGCACGATGTAGGGAAGCCAGAGATCACCTCCAATCCTCCTTTCAGCTCTTGGTGGGATATTCAGCTGGATCTGAATACTGACACTAGGAAGATGAATGAACAAGAGAGAAGTACACACATTTCATTCATGTTGCATGTCCATGGGGATCTGCATAAGAGAGTAAAGTCTGAAGAAGTGACCAAAGCAAGATGGAGACAAAGAGCAATAAATTTGAGGAAAAAATGGCAAGGCAAAAAAAAAAAAAAAAAGAAAAGAAAATCTGGCTAAGGATAGCAAATTTTCTAGGGGAATCACTAGGAGATATAGCAGGGGTGAAATAGGTGGAAGATAGCGTTGCTTCAGGAAGTATGTTAATTCAGGGTCCATTGCAGCCTCCAATCACCAGTCTGTGGGTAATAGGAATATTTTCTCACCATGGTATAGTGAGGACTCCCCTCCTAGAGGAATCTTTGTCCCTTGCTGCATGCAGGAAGAGACAGCTCAGCTCACCCTCTCTGAAACAATTTCTCCAATGTTTTCAACTTGAAATAATCAATATACTAATCTGGCATATTTGGGATGGCACATCCTTCACTCCTTCAGTGGTAAATAAACCACTGGATGAAATCAGGGCTGGCAACCTTCTGAAAGGGGTGTACTGAAGAGCCGACTCCTCTCCTCTCCCTCTGGCATGCTGTTCCCTTGCCAACCACATCTTTGCGAAGTAGAAGAGGCCTATATCCACCTGCCAATTGTCACGTGGGAAGGGCCACTGACCCTCATGGGCATGGTGGCCCAGCCACCCAAGTGTGTGTTGAAGAGCCATGGCTTATGCACCATCTCAGGCAGTGACCAGACAGGCTCACTCTCACCAACTCTGCAACCATCGATCAAAGAAGTGGGATTCATCAGGTATCCTCCAAGATAATTCTGATGACATAAGAAGTATTGGTAGAATAAAATAATGAGACCAAAAGAAAGAGAAAAGGTTAACAGACCAGACACCAGAGAAATTAATGATTATGTTCTTCCCTTTCTTCCCCTCCTATTAAGAAAAAAAAAATTTAAAAACCAGATAGGGGAAATAGTGAGCAAATTTTCTAATTGGGAGTGGAGATGAGGAAGTGGGGGAGACATGGAATCATCATAGCAGACTAGGAAAGAAAGGGAAGAAAAAGAGAAACCATATTTAATGTAATGTGCAGAAGTAGCCATTTATTTACACACCCTTTCCATTTAGAAAAGATGTGTTTCGGCCTCTGGCTGAATGTACATACTAATTAGTGCTAATGAATATAAATGATACTCACAACTCAACCTGTTTACAAAGTCCCCCCATGTCATTCAGGGAAGAATTGAGTTTGGAAATGAGATATGTGTTGTGTTCTTGGGCTTGACGATGACCTAGAGGTTACCGAAGCTAAGGACAATGAAATCAATTAGCAATTAACAAGGCAAGAAAGAGTCAAACCCACAAAATTCAGTACCTCCAGCGGTAGGCACTGTTACAGAGGAAGACACACTCTTCCCATAGGGTAACATGTTTAGCTCGGCACAACCAGCAGCTGTTGAGGGTGGGAGTTCAGGGAACAACTTTAAAATCATGAGAGGTCTACCGGAAAAAAAAAAAAAAAAGTAAAATAAGATGAAAAGAAGTATGCTTTATTAAGCTTAGGGAGACATTACCCTACAGGAAAAGGAATAAACTACAGGGCTGTTTGGTGTTCATATGCCAAGCTGAAGAAGTATCACCCATACTGAGGTCATATCACTCTTCAGAGAGGGCGTGGAAGCTCTGCACCCTGCCGCCCCAGCCCCCATGCATCTCTTCCATTTGGCTGCCCCTGAGTCATTGCCTTTATAAGAAACTAGCAATAGTAAGTAAAATACATTTCTGGAGTTTTCTGAATTGTTCTAGCAAGTTATCAAACTTGAGAAGGGGGGCCTGAGAAGTCTCAAAAGTGCAGTGGCTCGGCAGAGGTGTGGTAGCCTGGACACCTCATTTTCAGCTGACATCTGACATGGGGGCGTCTTCCGGAACTAAGCCCTTAACCTGTGGGGTCTGCATTAACTCCAGGAGTTAGTGTCAAAAATGAACTGAATTCCTGAACACCCAGTTGGTGTCAGATAGTTGGAGAAATATCAAGGGGCCATGTAGTACAAAGGAAAGCAGCTTTATATAAGCTCAATAAATGTACCGAGAATTTTACAAGACAAAAATGAGCTGGATTAGAAATGAAAAGATGATAACTGGTATGCTCTGTTTAATAAGATAAGAAAGAAAAAGTGCAACATGTTAATAAGATCTCTGTTTTTAGTTCTGTGAAATAAAATGTGAGGTTTTCAAAAGGCAAGCCTCAGATATTTGGAAAATTCACTTACGGGATGCCTCATTACCCGGTGGGCCCAGGATCCGATGCCTGGTGTTCCGACATTCTTGGAAAACATTACTCCCTTACCATTAGATGCAGCTCCTGCCTTTGAAGACATTGCAGTATAGTATATTTTACAAGTGCCAGAGTCCTAAAAGAGCAGCGACTTTCTCCATCTGCAGAGGCAAAACCTGAGCCGAGGCAAGGAAAGTGACTTTCTCAAGGTCTCACAATAATCAGGGGCAGAGACAGGCCCCACCGACAGCCCCTGATTCTAGGCCTCCTGTTGTTTCTGGGAAATTAAGCCCAGTCCCAGAGAATAATAATAAATTTGGCCCCTGCAAACTGCCTGTCTACCTAGCTCACCCTTGTGAATAGAGGAGAAAAGCCAAGACCGTTGGCAAAAAGGACCTAGGGAATTTGGGAGTGTGCCTAATAAGAGGAAGCTGAACTCACCTTGCTTGCTAGATCCCACAGCCCTCTCTTTCACTAAAACCATGCCTGCCTCATCCAGGAAGCCCACCAGGCTAGTTTCACCTACTTCTGACCACTCACAGCATCCCAATTCTTCCACCGACTAGCCAGGTGATATTTCCCTGATAACTCTAGCCTCAGTCTCCTCATCAGAAAAATCAAGATACTAAGACCTACTTCCTTGGATAGTTGTGAAGATTTAATGAGATAATGTGTATAAAGGGGCCACCCACAACATCTGGCAAAAAGTAAGTACTTAAAGGAAGGTCTTCACACATTATTACAACAGTAACCTCGAGGCCTTGAGCAAATAACTCTCAGCCAGCCAAGTTGCTGGGTGGCTCTCTGTGGTCACTTTAGTATATATTGCATTTAATTTTGTGACTTTGGTGCCACGGCAGCCTTACCCACCATGAGCTCCTGGAATTCAGGGCTGATGCATACACATGCATACATGTGCTCGCCTCTTTTGCCTCCCTTCTCTTCCTAGATTGGAATCTTCTTCAGAACAGGGACATCTGTGGTCTCTCAGGAGTGTGGTTGGCACAGACCAGCTCCCCTGCAGCTGACTATGTCTGAGCTGATAAATAGTAACTAACACTTTAAAGGTTGTTAGAATCGTTTAAAGGCAATTTCACATATAGAATTTCATTTGATCCCTGCAATTACCCTGGAAGGTGAGCAGGACACTTATTTTTATCCCCATCTTAGAGGAGAAAACAGTGGCTCAGAGAGGTAAAATGACTTGCCTCTCACCTCAAGTGGAGCTGATCCATTTTTGGAATCAATAGCATCCTTGTCTGGTTCATCAGCTTTCAACAGAGGATATCAATCCTTCCCCCAGATGACCATTAAAACATGAACATTGCTGTACAGTGTCCACTCAATGAAGACTCGCTGAACACATTTTTCTATGATTTTAGCATCTACGGCTTTTGTGTCTCCCTAAAGCAACTTGTTTTTAACTTATTGAAAGTGAACATCTATCCAACACAGGTCAGTAAGCTATGGTCAAATCTGGCCCATAACTTGTTTTTGTATGGTCCACAAGCTAAGAATTTTAAAGAGCTGTGAAGAACAAAATAAAGCAAAACAAGCAAAATAGAAAATGCAGTGGAGATGGATGTGGCCTGCAAAGCCTAAATTATCTATGGACCGAGTGCAGTGGCTCACGCCTATAATCCTAGCACTTTGGGAGGCCGAGGTGGGTGGACTGCCTGAGCTCAGGAGTTCGAGACAAGCCTGGGCAACATAATGAAACCCCATCTCTACTAAAAATACAAAAGAAATTAGCCGGGTGTGGTGGCGGGCACCTGTAATCCCAGCTACTCGAGAGGCTGAGGCAGGAGAATTGCTTGAACTCTGGAGGCGGAGGTTGCAGTGAGCTGAGATCGCACCACTGCACTCCAGCACTCTAGCCTGGGTGACAGAGCAAGACTCTGTCTCTACAAAAAATAAATAAATAAATAAATAAATAAATAAATAAATCTACGATCTGGTCTATTAAAGAAAAGGTTTACTGGTGCCTGATTTAGACTGTGGTTCCCTTTTGCATTGTCAGCTCAGAAGCTGACAGCCCAGCATGGGACCCTTCTTCAGCAACTGGATAGGACTTCATGCAGTGTATTTCAGGAACCCCACTCTAAGCTCCGTTTTGCTTTCAAAATAAAAATTTGGCTGGGTGCAGTGGCTCACGCCTGTAATCCCAATACTTTGTGAAGCCAAGGCAGGTGGATCATTTGAGGTCAGGAGTTCCAGACCAGCTTGGTCAACATGGTGAGACCCTGTCTCTACTAAAACTACAAAAATTAGCTGGGCGTGGTGGTGCATGCCTGTAATCCCAGCTACTTAGGAGGCTGAGGTAGGAGAATCGCTTGAACCTGGGAGGCAGAGGTTGCAATGAGCCGAAATTGTACCATCGCACTCCTGCCTGGGCAACAGAGGGAGACTGTCTCAGGAAAAAAAAAAAAAAAAAAAAAGAAATAAATATTTGATGTGACTCTTTTGATGCTGAAGAAATTGGGACTACCACTGATGATCCTAAAATACAGACTATTAAATACTCTGGTTCCTTTATTACCAAGCAGTATGTGTAACTGACATCCACACTTTATCCTTTATCCAAATGTCCTTGAACCTTTTCCCTTTCATGATTCTTTCTTAAGGTTGCCTCCAAGTGTCCTAACTAATGTTTCCTTCAATTTTTAAACTTATTTTTACTGTTTTGTCTTGCATGGTAATAGTTTATCTTGCACCATAGTCATTTTTGAAAATTATTAAATCTTTTTGGGAACAAGAATTTGCAGACCATGCATTAAATAACTTCCTTAATGTTATCTAGGTACACTAAGCTGGCTTGAACCCAATTCACCTTATTCCACATCCAGGGCTTTCCCCCGCCAGACACTATGCCTAAAAGTCAAAATTCATGTTTCTAAATGGAAACAGTTGTAGGTGAAACCCTGTGACTTTGTGATGCCCCCCAGCTGTATCCCACTCTCCCAGAAGGACCATCCTGAAGTAGCCACTTGGGCTTTCTCTTATGTTACCATAGGAGGCATACACACAGATCAGGAATACTCCTGATTGTTTTGAATCCAGCTACCTACCATTCCAAAGGAAGAGGTGTGGGCCAAAAATCCTGTCCCAATAATATAGAAGGAATCACTGGGAATCATGTGGGACCAAATGGCAGGGTTTGGGTCCTGCCCTCCCCAACCATCAGTTACGTGACTTTGAACCAGTTGTCTACTCTCTCTGAATCTGTTTCTGTATCTGTAGAAGGGGGCCCATACCTGACTTAATATCCTCCTGGAGTTGTCAGGAATTGCACAGGCAAGAGTGAATAATAAAACACCTAGCAACTTTTAGAAGCCCTGTACAATTCTAAGATTATTACAGTGGCAGCTCTTCTACAAACCAGGCTAAGAGGCTCGGAGTTCATCAGTCCCCTCCCTACCCCCACCATCAGCTCAACTGCTCTAAGAATTTGGGCAAACAGATTTTTGGGGGAAAGCAAGGGAGTTTCGCTTTTTCCGTCACTTAGTCCCATAAGCTACATGGCCCTCCAGAGGCTAGAAGGACCCCTTATTTACAGAGGAAACAGAAGACAATGCATGCACCCCCAATAGGCTTTAAATGACACTCTATACACTTCCATGGAGAATCTTCAACTTAAAAAATCAATGGCAAAAGAACCCTAACCCATGCTGCCAATTAGACGAGACGGAGGAGTCTGGAATACAAAGCAACAGTGACCCCAGTCTGGCTCCAGGGAATGGCTAGGCTAACCCTACGCATTACCCACTTCAAATTTTCATGATTCTGTCATGCATATATTATACAACCCCACACAGAATAAACATATTATTTTCGTGTTTTATTTTCCCTCCCCAAGATGAGTAATTAAGCCCCTGTGTATTGCATCTATTCACTTGAGAACATGCTTTTCATTTGACAGATCAGAAGATTAAGCATATATTTTTCCTCTTCTTTCAAACCAGCCACTGACTCTGTGAAATGCTGGATTCCTTCCTTCCTTGAAAATGCTGTTCTTTCAAGTGGTTTTCACCTTGAGACTAAGGAACACCTTTCACCCTCAGTCTTGATCATAGCATAGGCTGGTCCAGGAGAGATGTGGCTTGAAACCAGCAGGGCCAACATTTTTTGCAAGTAGAAGAGGCAACACGAATCCATTTCAAGACTGCTCATGGGGTAAGAGGGAAACCTTCTAGCTACCAACAAAGGCTTTTCCAAGACCTCTACCGGCTCCATGCACTCTTAAGTTTTTTGGAAGCCTTACCTTACCCACATTGTATCAAATATCCTACATCCCACTTTATAGGAGATGCACATAAAATCATATCAGTTGAAATGAGTTGCAGTTGATTGGGAAACATGTTTCATTTTGTAAAAGCTTAAACATTTATTAATATGAATTTTATAGTTTCAGATTTTTCATTAGTAATTTCCTTCCAGGATCCCAACATTTTATTAGGCTCTTGCAAAGTCCAAGTCCCAGGCTCTGTGTTTATGGATCCAATGGTTAAATTACCCTGTTGCCAACTATCGCCCCTTAGGCTGTAAGAGAAAAGTTACACTGACAGTGTATGGCATTCTTACCTGGGGCAGTTCCTGTCCCTTCCACACCACAGTTCCATGACCAGTAAGGTATTACCAGGGCTGAGTTAGCCAAGAGAACCAGCAGACTGCTGTCAGCAGGTGGGGTTTAGAGGTTCAGGAAGTGGCTGGATTTGAAAAGGAAGTAGAAAATCTACTCAAGGCAGTGAGACAGAGCACGGACCTCCTCTTAGGGCCTGCGGGGGCCCCCTGCAAGCCTGGAAATAAAGGAAAACCTTGAGTTCCTGCAAGGGAAGTTCTAGAGACAAAGCTATCCCCGAGAAGTAAATTCTCACTTGCTAATCAAGAAGATAATAGCCTCAAACAACAGCCAAGGAAACTGGAATCACCGGATATTTAGTTCTCTTATAGAAACTAAAGATAATAACTCATATCTCCAAGCTGTTTTCAGGAACCTGGATTCCAACTCAACAGACTCGTCATAGGCCTCAGAGAAGGGGGAACTGGAGACTGACCTCTGACCACCATTCTTTATTTTAAATATTTTCCTGAGGGGCCTGGAGAAAGTCATACCCATCAGCCAAAGCTAACATTATTGCCTGCGGGCCCAAATTAAGGAAGCTTCTCTTCCTTAACCAAGTGCAAATCAGAAAATCTTTGAATGTGCCTATGTTCAGTAAGCCCCCACTTAAAGAATATCCTGCCCTCTTAGGCCAAAATCAATTTGTAATCTCTATGTATTGATTTACAATTTTGCCTGTAACTTCTGCTTTTCCAAAATTTACTTCTGTCTTTAAAAACCATTACCTGTAAGCCATCAGGGAGGTCAGGATTTCAATGTTAGCTGCCTGTTTCTCCTTGCTTGGTGGCCTGAAAAATAAGCAACTTCGTTTCTCCTGCAGCACACTTGGTATAGACATCTGGTGTCACTGCACCAGGCGAGCAGACTCCAGTTCGATTTGATAGCAGCAGTAAATGGGAAATGCTAGCATCTCTCCTAGTCTTAGGTTATGGTCCCAGTTGGAGAAAGCAGCCAACTACAGGAAGGGACAGAAATGTAACAGACAGATCCTTGATAAGCTTCCCACACAGCCTAGGCTGCCTGACTGGCTGTACTCCACACAAGGAAGACCACACGAGGCCTGAAAAAGAGTGAACACTGGCGTCGCTTCCAAGATGGACGAATAGGAAGAGCTCCAGTCTGCAGCTCCCATCGAGATTTATACAGAAGATGGGTGAGTTCTGCATTTCCAACTGAGGTACCTTGTTCATCTCACTGGAACTGGTTGGACAGTGGGTATAGCGCATGGAGGGTGAGCCGAAGCAAGGCAGGGCGTTGCCTCACCCAGGAAGCACAAGTGGTTGGGGGATTTCCCTTTCCTAGCCAAGGGAAGCTGTGACAGAATGTATCTGGAGAAAAGGTACACTCTTGACCAAATACTGCGCTATTCCCAGTCTTAGCAACCGACAGACCAGGAGATACCCTCCTGTGCCTGGCTCGGCAGGTCCCACGCCCACGGAGCCTTACTCACTGCTAGCCCAGCAGTGTGAGATTGACCTGTGATGCTGCAGCTGGATGGGGGATGGAGCATCCACCATTGCTGAGGCATGAGCAGCTCACAGTATAAACAAAGAGGCCTGGAAGCATGAAATGGGCGGAGCCCACCACAGCTCAGCAAGGCCTACGGCCTCTATAGATTATACCTCTTGGGGCAGGGCATAGTAGAACAAAAGGCAGCAGACAGCTTCTGCAGACTTTTAAACGTCCCTGTCTGACAGCTCTAAAGAAAGCAGTGGTTCTCTCAGCACAGCATTCAAGCTCCAAGAACAGACTGCCTCCTCAAGTGGGTCCCTGACCCTCGTGTAGTGGGACTGGGAAACACCTCCCAGTAGGGGCCAGCAGACATGTCAAACGGGTAGATGCCTCTCTGGGAGGAAGCTTCCAGAGGAAGGATCAGGCAGCAATATTTGCTGTTCTGCAGCCTCTGCTGGTGATACCCAGGCAAACAGGGTCTGGACTGGACCTCTAGCAAACTCCAACAGACCAGCAGCTGAGGGGTCTGACTGTTAGAAGGAAAACTAACCAACAGAAAGGAATAGAATCAACATCAACAAAAAGGACATCCACACCAAAACCCCATCTGTAGGTCACACACATCAAAGACCAAAGATAGATAAAACCACAAAATGGGGAGAAACCAGAGCAGAAAAGCTGAA
Organism: Homo sapiens; assembly: GCF_000001405.40. NCBI lineage: Eukaryota > Metazoa > Chordata > Mammalia > Primates > Hominidae > Homo > Homo sapiens. Next base: position 60,238,225 of record NC_000015.10, read on the forward strand.
GATTCCAAAAAACACAGCACCTCTTCTCCTCCCAAGGATTGCAACTCCTCACCAGCAAGGAACAAAACTGGATGGAGAATGAGTTTGACGAGTTGACAGAAGTAGGCTTCAGAGGGTCGGTAATAACAAACTTCTCCAAGCTAAAGGAGCATGTTCTAACCTATCGCAAGGAAGCTAAAAACCTTGAAAAAAGATTAGACAAACGGCTAACTAGGATAAACAGTGTAGAGAAGACCTTAAATGACCTGATGGAGCTGAAAACCATGGCACAAGAACTTCGTGACCTATGCACAAGCTTCAATAACTGATTTGATCAAGTGGAAGAAAGGATATCAGTGACTGAAGATCAAACTAATGAAATAAAGTGAGAAGACAAGATTAGAGAAAGAAGAGTGAAAGGAAACGAACAAAACCTCCAAGAAATATGGGACTATGTGAAAAGACCAAATCTACGTTTGATTGGTGTACCTGAAAGTGATGGGGAGAATGGAACCAAGTTAGGAAACACTCTTCAGGATATTATCCAGGAGAACTCCCCCAACCTACAAAAGCAGGCCAACATTCAAATTCAGGAAATACAGAGAACGCCACAAAGACACTCCTCGAGAAGAGCAACCCCAAGACACATAATTGTCAGATTCACCAAGGTTAAAATGAAGGAAAAAAATATTAAGGGCAGCCAGAGAGAAAGATCTGGTTACCCACAAAGGGAAGCCCATCAGACTAACAACAGATCTCTCAGCAGAAACCCTACAAGCCAGAAGAGAGTGCGGGCCAATATTCAACATTCTTAAACAATTTTCAACCCAGAATCTCATATCCAGCCAAACTAAGTTTCATAAGTGAAGCAGAAATAAAATCCTTTACAGACAAGCAAATGCTGAGAGATTTTGTCACTACCAGGCCTGCTTTACAAGAGCTCCTGAAGGAAGCACCAAACATGGAAAGGAACTACCAGTACCAGCTATGGCAAAAATATGCCAAATGGTAAAGACCATCAGTGCTATGAAGAAACTGCATCAATTAACAGGCAAAATAACTAGCTAACATCATAATGACAGGATCAAATTCAAACATAACAATATTAACCTTAAATGTAAATTGGCTAAATGTCCCAATTAAAAGACATAGACTGGCAAACTGGATAAAGAGTCAAGACCCATCTGTGTGCTGTATTCAGGGGACCCATCTCACATGCAAAGACACACATAGGCTCAAAATAAAGGGATGGAGGAAGATCTACCAAGAAAATGGAAAGCAAAAATGAAAGCAGGGGTTGCAATCCTAGTCTTTGATAAAACAGACTTTAAACCAACAAAGATCAAAAGGGACAAAGAAGGCTACTACATAATGGTAAAAGGATCAATTCAACAAGAAGAGCTAACTATCCTAAATATATATGCACCCAATACGGGAACACCCAGATTTATAAAGCAAGTCCTTAGAGACAAACAAAGAGACTTAGACTCCCACACAATAATAATGGGAGATTTTAACACCCCACTGTCACTATTAAACAGATAAATGAGACAGAAGGTTAACAAGGATATCCAGGACTTGAACTCAGCTCTGGACCAAGTGGACCTAATAGACATCTACAGAACTCTACACCCCAAATCAACAGAATATACATTCTCTCAGCACCACATTGTATTTATTCTAAATTTGACCACATATTTGGCCAGTAAAACACTCCTCAGCAAAAGAATAGAAATCACAGCAAACTGTCTCTCAGACCACAATGCAATCAAATTAGAACTCAGGATTAAGAAACTCACTCAAAACTGCACAACTACATGGAAACTGAATGACTTGCTCCTGAATGACTACTGGGTAAATAACAAAATGAAGGCAGAAATAAAGATGTTCTTTGAAACCAATGAGAACAAAGACACAACGTACCAGAATCTCTGGGACACACTTAAAGCGGTGTGTAGAGGGAAATTTATAGCACTAAATACCCACAAGAGAAAGCAGGAAAGATCTAAAATTGACACCCTAACATCACAACTAAAAGAAGTAGAGAAGAGCAAACAAATTCAAAAGCTAGCAGAAGGCAAGAAATAACTAAGATCAGAGCAGAACTGAAGGAGATAGAGACACAAAAAACCCTTCCAAAAAAAAAAAAAAAAAATCAATGAATCCAGGAGCTGTTTTTTTTTTTTTTTAAAAGATCAACAAAATAGACCACTACCAAGACTAATAAATTAGAAAAGAGAGGAATCAAACAGACGCAATACAAAATGATAAAGGGGATATCACCACCAATCCCACAGAATACAAACTACCATCAGAGAATACTATAAACATCTCTTTGCAAATAAACTAGAAAATCTAGAAGAAATGGATAAATTCCTGGACACATACACCCTCCCAAGACTAAACCAGGCAGAAGTTGAATCTCTGAATAGACCAAAAACAGGTTCTGAAATTGAGGCAATAATAGCCTACCAACCAAAAAAAAGTCCAGGACCACATGGATTCACAGCTGAATTCTACCAGAGGTACAAAGAGGAGCTGGTACCATTCCTTCTGAAATTATTTCAATCAATAGAAAAAGAGGGAATCCTCCCTAACTCATTTTATGAGGCTAGCATCATCCTGTTACCAAAGCCTGGTTGAGACACAACAAAAAAAGAGAATTTTAGACGAATATCTGTGATGAACATCGATGAAAAAATCCTCAATAAAATACTGGCAGACCAAATCCAGCAGCACATCAAAAAGCTTATCTACCACAATCAAGTGGGCTTCACCCCTGGGATGCAAGGCTGGTTCAACATATGTAAATCAGTAAACATAATCCATCACATAAACAGAACCAACGACAAAAACCACATGATTATCTCAATAGATGCAGAAAAGGCCTTTGACAAACTTCAACAGCCTTCATGCTAAAAACTCTCAATAAACTAGGTATTGATGGAACGTATCTCAAAATAATAAGAACTACTTATGACAAACCCACAACCAACATCATACTCAATGGGCAAAAACTGGAAGCATTCCCTCTGAAAACCGGCACAAGACAGGGATGCCCTCTCTCACCACTGCTATTCAATATAGTGTTGGAAGTTCTGGCCAGGGCAATCAGGCAAAAGAAAGAAATAAAGGGTATTCAATTAGGAAAAGAGGAAGTCAAATTGTCCCTGTTTGCAGATGACATGATTGTGTATTTAGAAAACCCCATCATCTCAGCCCAAAATCTCCTGAAGCTGATAAGCAACTTCAGCTAAGTCTCAGGATACAAAATCAATGTGTAAAATCACAAGCATTCCTATACACCAATAATAGACAAACAGAGAGCCAAATCATGAGTCAACTCCCATTCACAATTACTACAAAGAGAATAAAATACCTAGGAATCCAACTTACAAGGGATGAGAAGGACCTCTTCAAGGAGAACTACAAACCACTGCTCAATGAAATAAAAGAGGACAAAAACAAATAGAAGAACATTCCATGCTCATGGATGGGAATAATCAGTATCGTGAAAATGGCCATACTGCCCAAAGTCATTTATAGATTCAATGCTATCCCCTTCAAGCTACCAATGACTTTCTTCACAGAATTGGAAAAAACTACTTTAAAGTTCATATGGAACCAAAAAAGAGCCTGCATAGCCAAGACAATCCTACGCAAAAAGAACAAACCTGGAGGTATCACACTACCTGACTTCAAACTATACTACAAGGCTACAGTAACCAAAACAGCATGGTACTAGTATCAAAACAGATATATAGACCAATGGAATAGAACAGAGGCCTCAGAAATAACACCACACATCTACAACCATCTGATCTTTGACAAACCTGACAATAACAAGCAATAGGGAAAGGATTTCCTATTTAATAAATGGTGCTGGGAAAACTGGCTAGCCATATGTAGAAAGCTGAAAATGGATCCTTTCCTTACACCCTATACAAAAATTAACTCAAGGTGGATTAAAGACTTAAATGTTAGACCTAACACCATAAAAACCCTAGAAGAAAACCTAGGCAATACCATTCAGGACATAGGCATGGGCAAAGACTTCATAACTAAAACACCAAAAGCAATGGCAACAAAAGCCAAATTTGACAAATGGAACCTAATTAAACAAAAAAGCCTTGGTACAGCAAAAGAAACTATCATCAGAGTGAACAGGCAACCTACAGAATGGGAGAAAATTTTTGTAATCTACCCATCTGACAAAGGGCTAATATCCAGAATCTACAAAGAACTTAAACACATTTACAAGAAAAAAAAAACCCATGAAAAAGTGGGCAAAGGATATGAACAGACACTTCTCAAAAGAAGACATCTGTGCAGCCAACAGACACAAAAAAATGCTCATCATCACTGGTCACAGAAATGCAAATCAAAACCACCATGGGATACCATCTCACGCCAGTTAGAATGGCAATCATTAAAAAGTCAGGAAACAACAGATGCTGGTGAGGAGGTGGAGAAATAGGAACACTTTTACACTGCTGGTGGGAGTGTAAATTATTTCAACCATTGTGGAAGACAGTGTGGTGATTCCTCAAGGATCTAGAACTAGAAATACCATTTGATCCAGTAATCCCATTACTGGGCATATACCCAAAGGATTACAAATCATTCTACAATAAAGACACATGCACACATATGTTTATTGTGGCACTATTTACAATAGCAAAGACTTGGAACCAACCCAAATGGCCATCAATGATAGACCGGATTCAGAAAATGTGGCACATATACACCATGGAATACTATGCAGCCATAAAAAACGATGAGTTCATGTCCTTTGCAGGGACATGGATAAAGCTGGAAACCATCATTCTAAGCAAACTATCACAAGGACAGAAAACCAAACACTGCATGTTCTCACTCACAGGTGGGAGTTGAACAATGAGAACACATGGACATAGGGTGGAGAACATCACACACCAGGGCTAGTTGTGGGGTGGGGGGCTGGGGGAGGGATAGCATTGAGAGAAATACCTAATGTAAATGACGAGTTAATGGGTGCAACACACCAACATGGCACAGGTATACCTGTGTAACATACCTGCACTTTGTGCACATGTACCCTAAAACTTAAAGTATAATAAAAAAAGAAAAAGAAAAAGAGTGAACACTGAGGCCAACCTGGAAACAGCATTAACATTGAATGTGCTCCCCATCCCATGCATGGATCAACTGGCAGGGAAAGGAAGCCTAGGTTTTGCGCAAATTTTCTGACCAATCACTGGTTAGCCATATACAGACCCACAGGCACCCACTAGAAGGCCAGACTTAAAAATAAGAAGGATTGAAAGAAATCAAAGCATAGCTATCACTGGCAGCATGCATACCACAAGGAGAGAGATTCCACAGATTAAGTCCAGGAAAGGTGGTTTTTGGTTGTTTTTTGGGTTTTGTTGTTGTTATTGTTTTCTCAAAAGACAGTTTTCCACTCCAACATTTAAAGAACTCAGAAATCACCACTCTGTCCTCACAAGAGAAAAGCCGGACACTCTGAATGTCAAAACTCTTTTGATCCATCACAGAATTGAGCAAAGAGGGCAAACCACCATCCCCAAAACTGGAGAAACAGGAGAATATACGGAATCACAGATGACCAGAAACAGAGGTCACAGGAAGTAGTAACTGGGAAGAACACTTGGATGCTAATAGACGAATTGCTGGAGGTGGAGCAAGATCTGGCTTGAGAGTTAAAAACTCCTGGGGGCCCACTCATAGGGATACTCCAACACTTTCATGAGTTTCACCTCCAAAAGCCCCATCAGATTCTCACACTGAAGATGCGAGAAAAATGTCTGGCATCCAGCAGGGAGATAAGGAAATAACAATTTTGAAATAAACCTGGGGTTGGAGGAGTAACCATTATAATTTGTTAACTGAGCATTCCTTTCTCTGTAATAAAATCCTGCCCTCAAGAGAAATTTCTTTACCAGACTCTTATCCGACCTAGGAGAATGGCAATTAGACAACTTGAGCCCTTTCTGTCCTATTTCACATCAGGGGACAAAAAAAAGACTAAGACACTCTCCTGAAAAGACTCAGACCCACTTTAAAAAACCCTGAAATTTAATCATATTATAGAATGCTTCAACTCCCTGATACTTATCGCCACATCAACAGGGCTCTAGTACAGTGACAGTGGATTACAACTGAGAGAGCTGCAAGATACAGACTCCATCTAAGAAAAAGTAGATAAACATAAAACCTCGCCCTAATAGCCTATTTACCTCAGTTCCCATGAACTGATACATCATTTCTGGCTTTCAACAAAAAAATTATAAGGCATGCTAATGACTGGAAAAAACAGTCTGAAAAGACAAAGCAAGTGTCAGAACCATACTCAGGTATGACAGGTATTAGAATTATCAAATGGGAATTTAAAATAACTGATTAATACACCAAGAGCTCTAATGAAAAAAGTGGACAACATGCAAGAACAGATGGGTAATATAAGCAGAGAGATGGGAACACTAAGTAAGAATCAAAGGAAACACTAAAAATCAAGAACACTAAACCAGAAATGAAGGATGCCTTTGATGAACTCATCCTTGCTTGGTGCCCTGACCCATAAACTGGGTCAGGCTGAGAAAGAAGCAGTAAGCTTAAAGATATTTCCATAGAAATTTCCCAAACTGAAAACCAAAGAGAAAAAAGAATAGGGGGAGAAATGAACAGAATACCCAAGAACTGTGGGAAAATTGAAAAAGGTATAAATATGCATAATGAGAATGCTAGAAGGAAAAGGAAGACAGAAAAGGATTTGATATATGTGAATAATAATGGCTGAGACTATTCTGAAATTAATGACAGGCTTGAAACCACAGATCCAAGAAGCCCAAAGAATGCCAATGATATTTAATATCAAAAAATTTACAAACCACATATAACCAAATACAAACAGAAAATTATGAAAGAAGCCAGAGGAAAAGCATTACCTTACCTATAGAGGAACAAGGAGAATAATTTCAATGAACTTTAGAAACCATGTAAACAAGAAAAGAATGGAGTGAAATATTTAAACTGTTGAAAAAAACTCCACCAATCTAGAATTCCATACCCAGTGAAATAATCCATCAAAGGTGAATAAGAAATAAAGACTTTCTCAGAACAAAAAAAGAGGGAATTTGTTGCCAGTAGACCTGCAAGAAGTGTTAAAAGGAATTATTTAGAAAGAAGGAAAATTATATAGATCAGAAGTTTGAATCTACATAAAGCAAAAGAAAGAACATTAGAAAAGGAACTAATGAAGGTAAAATAAAATGTGTTGTTTTTCTTATTCTTAACTGGCCTAACAGATAACTGTCCAAATAATAGCAATATATTTAATAATTATAGCTTATGGACAAGTAAAATGGATGACATTAATGGTATAAAGAGATGGGAGGAAGAAATTGGGAATATTTTGTTATATGGCACTTACACTACTTGTGAAATGGTATAGTATTATTTGAAAGTAGACTTAGATTATGTAAATAAACATCACAAATGCTAGAGCAACCACTAAAAAATGTTAAGACTTATAATCAATATGCTAAAAAAAGGAGAGCAATGGAATAATAAAATGCTCCATTAAAACCAAGGCAATAAGAAAAAAGAAGCAAAGAACAAATATAAAGCAATTACAAAAATGGTAGATACTAACCCAACTATATCAATAATAGTTTTAAGAATGAATGGTCTAAATAAACCAGTTAAAAGACAGAGACTGTCAATGTGGCTGAAAAACAAGACCCAACTGTATGCTATCTATGAGAAATCCACTGTAAATATAAAGACACAGATAGGGTAAAAGTAAAGGGATGGAAAGAGATATGCCATGTTAGAACTAATCAAAAGAAGCTATAGTGGCTATATTAATTTCAGAAAGCAGACTTCAGAGCAAGAAAATTATCAGGATGAAGGGTATTTCATAATGTCAAAGCGATCAGTTCTGCAACAAGATACACGGTGCTTATATGCACCTAACAAGAAAATGTCAAAATAGGTGAGACAAAAACTGATAAAACTGCAGGAAAATATAGGGAAACCCATTATTATAATTGAAGACTTCATCACACCTGTCTCTATAATTGACAGATCCAGCATGTAGAAAATTAGTAAAGATAGAGTGAACAGAATAGCACCATCAATATGAATTGACATTTAGAGGATAGTTTATCTAACAACAGAATATATAGTCTCAACCTAGAGCATACAAAAAGATGACCACATTTTGGATCATAAAATACACCTGTTTCAAAGCTGGCCTTTGGGATTGGATCCACTCAGGACAAGACCAAGGATCACATCCTTCTCAGGCAGCCAGTGTGACAATTCTACAGAGCATTTTAAGCAAAGCCAACTAAATTCATCATTAAGTAAGATATAGGAAAACTCCAATTAAACAAAGTGCTTCAGAAATAGGTTGTCCTTAGATGTCCAAGACTACAGGATTAAATAAATGATGGGACATCCAAATAGTGCAATACACAAGAGTTATTAAAAATCATGTTCAAGAATGTAATTAACATTGGAAATGCTGTTATGTAAAATCTTATATGAAAAACTGATCAAAAAAAGTAGGAACAATTTTTTAACCTATAATACAGATGAGAAAAAGACATCAAAAAGCTATCAAGATTATTTCTGTATAATTTTTTCTTCTTTTCTAAATTTTCTCAACTTTGTACAATAAACATTTATTACTTTGATGTGAGAAAAATATTGTGATTGGAAATTGATTAACCTGTTTAATTATATTTTTTAATGAATGAAAAATTAAGTAAAATACTTTTGGATGGTTTAAGTATTTTAGTGCATACTGTGAACTAAAGCACAACACAAACCCAGTGGTCTGATTATATTCAGTGAAATCAGTCAATCAACCAACCAATCCAGAAAAGCACCCCTGGCATATTTAAGCCTATTAAAAACAAAAACAAAACCACTTGTAAATTTAAGACAAATGAAAAAAATTGCATCTTTTCTTCTTATGTAAGCATCTCATAGGGCCTACAGCTTATAAAGCAAAACATCATTAATCATCACCATAGAACCACGAATGCAGGTATAGGGGGTTTAAAATCCACTGATTCAGGTATCATAGCTTGGAACAGCATTTAGTGACTGAACTCCTGGATTACATATCTTGCATATGTGGTATTTTTTTCAAAAGTTCAGTGCAACACAAATTCCAAAGAGCTCAGCTCTTTGGATTCCTGTTATAATCCTGTTGTACTCATTTTTGGGGTGCCATTTCAAACATGCAAGTTTTACTTAAGTTCTTACACTCATATTTAGATTTAAAAAATTATTCATTTATTGGTTTTAGTAGGTAAAATAGTCAGGTGGTTCAAATATCAAAGAGCACTAAAGTGCATAGTCTGAAAAGCCTCCCTGCCATCCATATACCCATCTACACAGTTCCCATCCTTCTCCAACGAACAACCACTATTGTTAGTTTCTGGTTTATCCTTCCAGAGACTTTAAATATATATATACAAGCACAGTATATGATTTCCTTCCTCTATTTTATCCAAAATATTATGCTATTATTCACCTTCCTTTTATTACCTAACAGTGAAACATATCTTAGAGATCTTTTAAAATCCTAATATAAACGATATGTTATATGGCACTTACACTACTTGTGAAAGTATTTACTAGTAGAATGAGAACGACATTCTCATTCTTTTTTACAGTTGCATAGTATTGTTTTGTAGGAAGTTATCATAAGTATTAAGCAGTCCCCTATGGATAGATGTCCAAGTTTTCCAATCTTCTGACAAACAACTCTGCAATAAGTTATCTATTACATAAATTATACAAATGCATAGGTATATCTATAAGGTAAATTGCTAGATGTTGAAGTGCTGCATAAAAGGGAATATTTTTAATTGTCATTCCATTGCCAAATTGCCCTCCAGAGGATTTTCACCAATTTATACTCCCACAAGCAATTTATGAAAGTGATCATTTCTCTACATCCTTGCCCAGGACGTGTTAGCAAACTTTTAGCCTTTGCCTAAGTGGTAAAAAAAAAAAAAAAAAAAAAAAAGATTACTACAGTGCAGTTTTAATTTACCTGTCTCTTCTATTATGTGCAAGGTGGAGCATCTTTGCATGTATTTAAGTTTTATCTGTGGCTCCTTTTGGTAAACTTTCTAATAAGTATTTTGTTATTGACATTTAGGATCTCTTTATATTCTAAAGAAGATAGTTCTTTGCAATAGGAGCTTAAAATATTTTTCCCAATTTATCATCTTTCTTTTGATATTGCTTTTTGGGGGGAGTGGGAGGAGACAGAGTCTTGCTCTGTGACCTAGGCTGGAGTACAATGGCACAATCTCGGCTCACTCCAACTTCTGCCTCCCGGGTTCAAGCGATTCTTGTGCCTCAGCCTCTTGAGTAGCTGGGAATATACGTGCATGCTACCACACCCGGCTAATTTTCGTATTTTTAGTAGAGACAGGGTTTCACCATGGTGGCCAGGCTGGTCTTGAACTCCTGACTTCAGGTAATCTGCCCACGTCAGCCTCCCAAAGTGCCGGAATTACATACCTGGCTGTGTTTGATTTTTACTATGTAAAAAAAAACTTACAGATATGCATGTAATATAAACACACATACTTGAATCTATTCATCTTTAAGACTTCTAGACTTTAAGTCATAGTTTACAAACCCTTTCTTATTTTGAGATTTAAAAGCATTCTTTCATGCTTTCTTCTTTAATTCAATGTATTCATTTATTTATATTAAAATTTTTCTCCATTTGGATTTTTCTTTGTATACAGTGCGAAGTATGAATTCAACTTAATTTTTTCCAGGCTGTCCTTTGTCTCACATCACCAGTTTTTAAATAGTTCATTTTTCCCACTGATTTGCATTGCCACCCTTTCATATATTAAAATTGTGCGTATTTTAGATTTCTAGACTTTTTGTTCTTTCATTTCTCTGACATGTACTAACAATACACTAACAATAGCTAATGCTGTATAACATACAATAGCTGCAACATCTATTTCTCCGAATTTTTGTTCTTCTTCAAAGATCTTTCTAGCTCTTAGAGAAAAAATTTTCCTATATGTTGCATGTAACTACATACAACTAATTTTGCCTGGTTTTCAAGAGAAATAAATAATCTTTCTGGTATTTTTGAGGTCCTGTCTTAATGTATAAATTAACTTAGAGAAGATTGACATCATTATGATGTCGAGTCATTTTTGACAAGAACAGGATAGGCCTTTTCCCATTTTTTTCAATTATTTTAAGGTCTTCGGGAATGTTTTCAAATTTTCTTTATATATGGACTTTTACTTTTATTAAATTTATTCCCATGTATTTTATCTTTTGGTTGCTACTGCATATAGTTTTTTCTTTTGTCTTCTGTTTTCCTTTTACCCTTTTATCTGATTCCAGATCAGTGGGAAAAATGAACTGTTCAAAAACTGGTGATGAGAAAACAGGGCAGCCTGGAAAAAATTAAGTTGAATCTATACTTCATGTTGTACCAAAGAAAAATCCAAATAGAGAAATTTTTTTTTTTTTTTTTAGATAGTCTCGCTCTGTCACCAGGCTAGAGTGCAGTGGCGTGATCTCGGCTCATTGCAACCCCTGCCTCCCAGGTTCAAGTGATTCTCCTGCCTCAGCCTCCCAAGTAGCTGGGACTACAGGCATACGTCACCACACCTGGCTAATTTTTGTATTTTTAGTAGAGACAGGGTTTCACCATGTTGGCCAGGATGGTCTCAATCTCTTGACCTTGTGATCCGCCCACCTCGGCCTCCCAAAGTTTTGGGATTACAGGCGTAAGCCACCATGCCTGGCCCCAAATGGAGAAAATGTTAAGGGCTGTTTAAGTCATAGTTAGACTCCCAGATCCAGGCATGGCACAACCCCTACTCCAACACAGGATTGAAAGGTTTTTGTTTTGTTTTTTGTCTCATGAAGGTAAAGCAAAGAGTATTTCAAGTAAAAACTACTAGGTACAGTTGACGGTGGAGGTACCATTCACAAACAGGGAGAACATGTGAAACTGAGTCCCTCCCGCTAGCCTTGCCCCACTTAGCTTAGGGAACCCTAGCAGCCAGGCAGTCTTACCTACGCAGAAGACTGAAAGATTCTTTCATGGAGGTCTTATCAGTCCAAGAGCAAAAACTAATGCACACTGTATTGAGGGGTTCCTCACTGAAGTCTCAGCCTAATTACTCTAAAATAAAACACTCAAGTCCCACTCATGTGCTCCCATATTCCAAACAGATTTTTAGTCTCTTCGTCTGCTCAAGCTGTCATAACAAAATACTACAGATTGGGTGGCTTAAACAGATATTTATTTTCTCACAGCTCTGGAAGCTGGGAAGTTCATGATCAAAGTGCCAGGAAATTCAGTTTCTGGCTTGCAGATGGTCGCCATCTCACCATGGGCACACATGTCCTTTCCTTGGTGCTTATGGGTAGTGAGGGGGAGAGAGAGTGACAGCATGCACGAGCTCTGATACCTCTTCTTATAAGGATCAGCCCCCTCCGCTTGACCTTATTTAACCTTGACTACTTCCTTATAGGCTCCATCTCCAAACACAGTCACATTAAGGGGTTAGGGCTTCAACATGTGAATTTGGGGTTGATAGAAGTTTTCAGTCCCTCTGACATTGTCAAACCAAACTGTTGTCTACAGGATTTCAACCTATGGACAGTGATTAGCAAGCATCAGCTCTGCCCTTCTTATTTGACTGTTGCACCTCTGGGTGTGCCCACTGACTTTCCATGCCAAGGTATAACTAAATGGGAAAGTACTTCCTGTTTCAGAATCAAGATATTTAGATCCATTGGATCTACAGTAGATAGGATCTGGTGTTACCTTCTGTGGACACCACCACACCTTTCTAAGTCTGTTAGAGGCTTCTAAAACTGGTACAGATGGAGAACTGAAGACTCCCCATTTTTTCTTTTCATTGACTTTAAACATGTTCCATTTTAAGGCCTTGTTTGAAAATATCTATTGACTGGTATATAGAAATGTACATCTCTGTAATAATTGTGCTTTTTTGATATACAAACGCTTCACCCCCTAATAATCCTTAAGCAAACACAGGTGGGATTCCCATCACCAGCAGAGGCTGATAGCAGCTTCTTATTGGAATGGGTGAGCATTGCAAATGAGCATTGCAAAACAGCCCAGACTGGGACAGCCACATACCACTCTGTCACCAAGACATCCCTTCCAAGCACTGCCACCTCTACTACTGTGAGCTCTTTGCCTCCCTCCCATCTGCCTATAGGGCCACAAAGGAAACTCTTATCCTTCATCAAACCCAGCTCTGAACAGTGAGTTTATGTGAGATATGTTGTCCCTTTGTTTGCTCCTGACAAGCGTAAAGAAACACTTTCACTGCTGATAATAATGGTTAATTTATCACATCCAGCCGAGGCTGACCTCTGGGCGTCCCAGCCCCTCCATCACCTTCACACCTGCTCAAGCTAATTGTTAGAGCCAAGTGTAAATGAAAATCAACTGGGCTAATAATGAATGGAGCCCATTACTTCCAAAAGCACATTGCTTTACAAAGGTTTATCAAGAAACATTATAACCAGTTCCCCCCACCCCCTGCGCCCCCCCATCCCCCGTCACAGTTCCCTATTTTATAGATGAGAAAAAAGTGAGCAAACAAGGAGGGACCAGCCTATGAAAACAGGCACAAGCACAGAGACTGGAAACACATTTGACTTTGGCTTCCTGAGCTCTACAACAGCTATTCCTGTGTGTTACCAAAATTCACTCAATGTATCGAAAGAGTGAGGTTTACAATATTTATCCCAATGTTGTTGTCATCTGTTTATATAAGTAAATGAGATCATTACTGGATGTGAAGACCTTAATTAATATGCTAATCTCATTCCTCCACCAAAACCATTTTTTAAGGTGGCCATCTTCATGTCTTCCCCAGTCACTGTCACCTCCCCTAGAACTGCCTTGCCATTCTCATCTGAAAGCACAGACCCAGTTCCCAAATCACTGATATGACATAACCAGAACTCCTGTTAAAGACAACTGAGTGTCTTCAAGGGGCAGCTATTAGATTGTCAGGAATTATCAGCTGTAGTTAGAAGATATAGCCCTAAGGGGGTTTGAGAAATCCCTTCCCATCACCAAATTGGGGGTTTAATGTGTCTGGGAACATTTTTAAACTTTTTTGTATTGTAATATATTTGTTCATTTTTAATTTATTTGCAGTACAAGCAGTTCACATCCCCATCTCAAGCCATAAATCAAAAAGATTATTGATCTCCCAGCACATTCACTGATAAAAGGAAATACCAGCAACTCCATGCATCTGAGCATACAACTTATATGGACTTCTAGCAAGTGATCCCCTGGACTTAAAAACATGTAAGACCTCCAGATCACCAGTTTGAACTTAATTTGGACCAAATATTGAGTCATTCTGTGTTAGATTTGAATCAATTGTTCATAGGATGCAAATAACCAGTTTACAATATGAACAAGTGCGACTGATTACCCCAAATTTTGACTTCCTTGCCTAACTATCCAGAAAATTACTCTCAAACCCAGTAGAGGATTCCATAGCCTTGCACTGACAAGGCCTTTATTAACTACCTTAATCTGGGCATCTTACTTACCCAGGTTTTCTAATACTTCCTAGAGAGACATACTAATCAGTGACTTCTGCAGTATCTGCCTAATAGCCTTAGATTTTGAGGGCACCAATAAAAACATATGCTGCACAGCATCTGCTTGTAAGGTGGAAAGGCCAGTTAGGTGAGCACAAAGCCTCTGAATAGCAGTATCAACTTGCTTCAGAGGAACAAGATATGAATTAGTATTCTACAAGAAAAGAGGATAGGATCTATGGTTGTAGTAGTCCGTTTTCATACTGCTGTAAAGAACTTCCCAAAGATTGAGTAATTTATAAAGGAGAGGTTTAATTGACTCACAGTTCAGCAGGGCTGGGGAGGCCTCAGGAAACTTACAATCATGGAGTGACGCAAAGGAGAAGCAAAGCACCTTCTTCAAAAGGTGGCAAGAAGAAGTGCCGAGTGACGAAGGGAAGAGCTCCTTATAAAACCATGAGATCTCGTGAGAACTCACTGTCACGAGAACAGCATGGGGAAACTGGCCCCATGATTCAATTACCTACACCTGGTCTCTCCCTTGACACGTGGGGATTATGGGGGTTGTGGGTATTACAACTCAAGATGTGATTTGGGTGTGGACACAAAGCCTAACCATATCAATGGTCAAATAAGAATGGAAAAAATATTGGGTTTAATTACATTCAATAGACTCCTTTCTTTCAAGGCAGGGATTCTCAGAAGTAATACATATGTCAGCCTACTTTTCATTGACATGAATATAAAATCCTCATTTCACAGAACACCTGTGAATATATTGAATAACATTAGTATTCAACAGAACAGGATCAGGAAACTTCCTCTAGAAGGCGCTTTCCAAATAAAGACCAAATACACTGCTGCAGGAGGGAAGAATAAATTCATTTACATATATGTCTGTGGTAAGGGATAAAATCTTAAATTTTTGCTGGCTTCACTTATATGAAATAATTCAGTGATTTGGGATTTTGTGTTAGTTAGCTCTTGTTGCAATAAGTCTACATAACAAACAATTTCCATATCTCAGACATTTATAACATTAACTTCTCATTCACAGGTCTGAATCCTGGCTGGGACAGTTTGGCTTTAAGTAGTACATCAAATTCAGGTGTGTTCCATGTGTTTTTCATTCAGGAATCCAGGCAAAAAAGCTGTGGCTACCTCAGTGTGCTTTTCTCGTGGTGTAGAACAGGTGCACAAAATTGCTGGCAAACATTTACCAAACCTCTTAAGCCTCAGCCTAGAACTGATCACCTATCACTTTACCACATTCCATTGGTCAAAGAAAGTCATATGGCCACACCCAAAACTAGTGGGGCAGGGTGGTATATTCTACCCACAGAGAAGACAGGCAAGGGCAGGGAGAGAAGGAAGAATGGTAAGTAACTAATAATATTCACTACATTGACCATAAATTCAAGATTTAACCATGTGTGGGAATTCAATCATATTTTTATTTCCTTTAAACACAAATGTCCTGGTCAATAATTCAAACGTGCACATTATTAGACTTAATAATAGGAATATAGAGCCCACTTCTTTTCTTTCTTCTTGTTCTTCCTTGCTTTGGAAAAGTCAGCATTCAATGTGTATGTGTGCCAATCCAGGGAAGTCAGAAGACTATGGCATCTTCCATCCAGATTCCTGGGTGGATGTCCTGAACACCAACACCATAGTCAAATGTTTATTTAAGAACACTAGTGTATGCTTCTTTAATACAGTGTAACAAGTTACCACAAATTTAGCATCTTAGAACAATACACATTTATTGTCTCATGGTTTCTGTGAGTCAGGAATCCAGACACAGCTTTGGCTGAGTCCTGTGCAAGGCTGCAGTCAAGGTCAGCCAGGACTGACTTCTCATCTGAAAGCTCATGTGGAGAAAGATTCACTTTCAGGCTCACTGGGGTGTTGGCAAAATTCATCTTCTTGCAGGCATAGGACTCACGGCATCTTGTGTCTCCAAAGCCAGAAAGGAGAGAAAAACTGTAGAGCAATTCTGCTAGCAAGGCAGAGTCTTCTAAAATGAAATATAATCACAAGAGTAGTATTGCATCACCGTCTCCATACTCTGTGGCCTAGAAATAAGTCAGGGGTCCTGCCCACACCCAAGGGGAGTGAATATACAAAAGCATAAACACCAAGGGGCAGGAATCATGGAGACCACCTTAAAGTTTGTCCACCACAACTAGAAACCTAAAAAATATGTTTATGTCTATTAAGAACACATGGGCACAGGGAGGGGCACATCACACACCAGGGCCTGTCAGGGGGTGGGGGGGCAAGGGGTGGGATAGCATTAGGAGAAGTACCTAACATAGATGACACATTGATAGGTGCAGCAAACCACCATGGCACATGTATACCTATGTAACAAACCTGCACATTCTCCACATGTATCCCAGAACTTAAAGTAAAATTTATATATATATATCCTGCTTTTCCCAAATTTTACCAGTGGAGAATCACTCTCCATCATGTTCTAGAATTGCATTCACACTTAGGAGAACTCGCATTCACTGGCTAATTCTATATTGCGTGCTATTTTAAGATCTTTTCAGGAAGGAAACTTCTGCCATCAGTTGGCCAATGCTGTTCCATCAGTGAGTATTCAGTGTCACTAACCAACAGAATGACCAAGAAATCATTCCAGTCAGAAAAGGCCCAAGTACCAACGATTGGACAGTCGTGATTTATATTTGTGCCTGATATGACCAACATAAGTCACACTGGTTATGCATGGAAATGCAACCATCAGCTGACAAGAACTGAAACTTATGACTCATGCTGTGTCAACTCTGAGCCAAAGCAGTCAGTCAACTCAAAGGGAGTAAACATCAGTCAAACAGATGATTTGGCAGCCTAACTATTTAACAACTGATGATGACTGGAATTTTCACTTTTCCATCAGTCACATAGACTTGTCTCAGGAAGAGAAATAACTGAAGTTTAGAGTAGTTTTCTTTTGATTTTTCATAAAAGTCATTCATCCCAAAACATTTGCTGAATGCCTGCTGTGTTCTAGGTACTCTATTTAGTGCTTGGAATATAGAGATGAAAGACTGAAGTAGTGTTAGAAATGAAAAATCATTGTTAAATTCTTTCTCTTCTAATACGATTATCTATGCTGCTAAGCAATTTTCTCAGTGATCATCAGCCATCAGCCATCAAAACCCGGGACCTTCCCCACAGCTCCTCTTTTAACCCTAATATTTAACCAAAAATTGCTCTGCTGCGGCAAAACCTCAATACGTATACACTGCCTTGGTTCCAAAGAGTAATTGGAATGGGCTTACTACTTTCTAGTGGATTTATAGAAAAAGCCATCTGATAAAAATATATTTACTATGATGCCCATTATAACATCTGAGGTTAAGAATACTTTGTATTCTACAAACATTTGAAAGCCAGAGGTCACGTAAAACAAATGCAGGTTTAATACAAATGCACAAAATTACACATAAACAGAGAACGCTACAGAGAGAGAGATAACCTTGGATAACTTGGCTCTTTCCTTCCCTATTCTCTTTCTGGAGGTAATCGTATACATTCCCATGGCTTTTATACACTAAAGCTTTTAGACAGCAAGTAGATGACAAACTCACTTTAATAATCAGTTATCATAAGCTTGGTATTGGGGTTAAAAATAAACTCTTGACAAAGGACTCCTTTATTCTTAAATCCCTTTTATTGTCAAGGACTCCTTTATTCTAATGCAGTGGCTCCTGAAAAACTTTCCTTTCCAAGGATACTTTTCCAAACACAATCAATAATCTACAATCAACTTTGTAATCTCTTTAGAAGCCAGGACCTTCTCAGCTTTGGAGTTTTGATGATAAAATGCATAGCTGGATTTCTACAAGCCCAAGATCTAAAAACTGTATTTGTTGGTTATTAATCAGATTATTAATAATCTGGTGTTTGAGACATACTGTGAAGTCAACAGTTATAAAAATTATTAATTTTAGAAATTCAGAGTTATAATGGGTCTAAAAATATAGTTAGAATGAATGAATAAGGCCTAGCATTTGATAGCATAAAAGGGTGACTGTAGTCAATAATAATTCAATTGTATATTTTAAAATAACTGGAAGAATATAGCTGGATTGTTTGTAACACAAAGGATAAATGCTTGACAGGATGGATACTTCATCTTCCGTGATGTGATTATTACATGCTGCAGAACATCTCATGTAACCCATTAATATATACGCCTATTATGTACCCACAAAAATTAAAAATTAAAAAAAGAAATTCAGAGTTAAAATGAAGTTTTGTTTTGTTTTGTTTTGGCTGAGACAGAATCTCGCTCTGTTGTCCAGGCTGGAGTGCAGTGGCGTGATCTTGGCTCACTGCAACCTCCGCCTCCCTGCAACCTCCACCTCCTGGGCTCAAGTGATTCTCCTGCCTCAGCCTCCCCAGTAACTGGGATTACAGGCGCACATCACCATGCCCGGCTAATTTTTGTATTTGTAGTAGAGATGGAGTTTCACCAGGTTGGCCAGGCTGGTCTCGAACTCCTGACCTCAAGTGATCTTCCAGCCTTGGCCTCCCAAAGTGCTGGGATTACAGGCATAGAGCCACTGTGCCTGGCCTGAAATGAGTTGTAGCCTGAAAACCAGATGTGTTTCACATCTGGTCTATCCCCTCTCCAGAGCTCAATTCTCCACAGCAACATCTGTAGCAGGTAGTTTGTCCAGCTCTTACTCAAACAGCCCCAGCCAAATCGCCCCAGCTTTCCAGTGGGGAGCTCACACCTTCTGAGAGTTTATTTCATCTTCTCACATCACCTTAGCATATATTCCTTATTTTACTCAGTGTTTTTGTCATATAGCTTTAATCCACGATCTTGGCTATACCCCTTGGAAAAAAAATCTTTGAAAAAAACATTAGTTTTTTTACATTGTATGTAATGCCTTCATACAATGGTTCTCCAAATATTGGAAATCCCCTGCCATGTCCTGAATACTCTCTTCCAAAAATGCCTTGAGTCATTCCTCGTTGAACATTGTAAAATCAAATTTAGCCCAAAGCTGCCTTCTTACGAATTTTAAGTTCAGCCTAAAGGTTTCTCTGTTACATAGTGAACTATAACCTAAATGGAGGTGTAAACAGACTGTAACCTACTCTTGTGCAATCACCACGTTTAAGCCAATCAGGGAGGCCAACTGTTCATAAAAGCAAACTCCGAGCTGTCAGCAATCTAGCTATTTCTCTACCTCACTTCCATTTTCTGTACATCACTTTTCTTTCTTCCTTTTTCCTTTTTGTTTTTGTTTTTTTTGTTTGTTTGTTTTTTTTTTGAGACACTTTTGTTCTGTCACCCAGGCTGGAGTGCAGTGGTGCGATCTCGGCTTATTGCAACCTCTACCTCCTGGGTCAAGCGATTCCCCTGCCTCAGCCTCCCTGAGTACCTGAGTAGCTGTGACTACAGGTGTATGCCACCACGCCTGGCTAATTTTTTGTATTTTAGTAGAGATGGGATTTTACCATGTTGCCCAGGCTGGTCTCGAGCTCCCTAGCTCAGGCAGTCCACCCACCTCAGCCTCCCAAAGTGTTAGGATTACAGACATGAGCCACCACCCCTAGCCTTTCTTTTCCTGTCTATAAATCTTCTTCCACAACATGGTTGTGCCAGAGTCTCTTAGCCTACTCTGGCTAGGAGGCTGCCTGATTCACGAATCGTTCTTTGCTCAATTAAACTCTGTTAAATTTAATTTGACTAAGGTTTTTCTTTTTTAACAACATGATTTTGGTTTTACTACCATCCTGGTTTCTAATCTCGTATCTATAGATTTTATCCATGATTTTGTAACACAATCATTCTTTTGATCAACAAAGGGTAAATTACTACAGCAACTGCACCTACAATTAAGGATAACTTACTTTCTGCATTATTTTATGCCATACTCTGAAAAGCAATACAAAGTTCCCAGGTAGAATACATTGCTCTGGAAATGTAATCAATCACAGGATCCATGGTGGATTAAAGGCTGAGAACCATTGCTTTAAATAATCCCCAGTTTGTTTATATTCTTTGAAAAGTGTAGTAGCCAGAATTGAATGCAAAAACCAAGAGGTGGGTTAGCAAAGGCAATCCAGACTTGTTCACTAAATCAAAACTTTCTTCTCTTCCCACTCCTACCTCCCCTTCAGGGTTCAGCTAAAGCTTTGCCTCATACATGAAACCCTTCAACTGGAAGAACAAAATTTTTAATTCCCAAAGTGCTCCCATTGGACACAGACCTAGGCTGGACTCTTGAGATCCTCCACTCCCAGCCATGTGTCCTTGGGCAGCCTTCCTGATCCTCCCTGAACTCAACTTCCTGAGGTGTAAAATAGGGGTTGTTTCACCTCACCAGATAGCTTGGAATTTCTAGCACCATACTTTGTGATGTTATTTCATTGCCTTTCTTCTATTCCACTCTAAACTGTGCTCAGAACATTGAGCTGCTAAGCTTCAAATACAGGGCATACCCGCATACCCAGAATTATCATACCAGGAAAGAAGATAGAGTGCTAAGAAATTGAAATTAATAAAAGTCAACACAGAATTATTGCACTGGCCATCAATGGAAATCATCCTAGAATGCTACCCACAATTAGAGATGACTTGTAACATAAGACTAAGGTGCCACCCAAAAATGTTCTCTGCAATGGGTCAATCTAAACAAGAACTCTTGCCAGATGATCTATAAACTAACCACAACAAGTTGCCTTACATACATGTAACAACACTTCTGCTAATCTGCACAAGTCTAGAAAAAGAGGAATTTACAGTAATTTGATTGTCCACAAGACTGTTACTCTAGGTCTAGGTAATCAGTGCTGACTCCTACCACAGACACTAAAGAAGAGTGATTCATCAAGTTATCACTCAAGAATATTAAACTCCTCCACTGAACTATGGGACTCACTGGGAACCTTCGAACCTGTGACATAATCTCCTGAGTGAACAAACATACAGAAGAGTGTGTCTGGTGTGGAGAATTGACACCAGTCACATTCTCCCATTGCCAATTAATACATCATCACTCCAGCTTATGCACTGGTCCCTCGTGGGATTTCTGCATGTCAATTGATTTCTCAGCCTAATCCCCCCTGGGGAAATAAACTGAGTTCTCTTCTTAAGCTGAGCAATACAAGCTGCACTATGAAGAAGATTCTCATGCTGACTCTAACATGGCCTCGTTCCTCTAACAGCAACACATAGATATTGGTGCCTCATCAAACATGTGGGGGTTGGGGACTCTACAGCCCCTTTTCCCTCATAAGATCCTCCTCTGCCCAACTTTCCAGCTCTGCTCCCTCCAAGAAAGAAGGAGTTGCAGCTCTGGTCAGATTGAAAGACATTCATAAGGCCACAAACAGGAAAGGACAGGATAGCTGTTGTTAGAGGCCCAGTCAATGCTCCCTTTCCTCCATGATCTGGGTCTCAGCTATGGCCTTCTCCTCTTCACCTCTTCTGAGATAGGAATATAGCTGGGACTACAGACCCAGTTGCCTTCCTCTCTTTTCCCACAGGCTCAGCTGAACATACTATTTTCAATATTCAATTTGGTGGTAGGATAGAGGGTTTTCAGTGGAATAAGATGTACCATTGGACCCCAAGCCTAAGCCACATTCTTCTTTCTAATTTTTGCCATAGAGCTCTAGCAAAAGCCCCACCCACTTAAGCCCTACAAATGCCAACTGGTTTTCTTTATTAGTCTAATTTTCTCAAATAGAATGCAAGCACCCTGAAAGTATGATTGATATTCTAGATTCTTCCTGTACCATTTTCTCCCCTAGCACCTAGTACTAAATATTTGCAAAGTGAGGTTATTTGCCTTTCACTTGGTGTATGGATTTACTATTTACATCCTGAGCCTCTGAGCTTTTCTTATTAACCCAAACCAATCAACATAGTTCTATTCTTTGTGCCGACACAATTATAAATATTAAGATGTTCTAAGATTTTCTTAAAATCAAAATAAATGGGAAATTTAAATTTCTGGAGAAAGGGCATAGCTCCCCTAAAATTTATTTGAAAATTCTAGTCTGAAAAACATTGACTACTACACAGAGTGACTCGCAGAGACAATGAATAGTACAGACAATGGAAAAGGGGTGTCAGGTATTCACATGCTCAAAACACACGCACTATTTGTCCTTCAAGGACCAAAGTGTGTTAACTTTAATGATGTAGAGATAGCCAGATTGGGGAGGGGGTCAGAAGGAGAAAGAAAGGAGCCCTGAGTCAGACTTCTTGCCGTAGCTTCCTGAAGCTTCCTAGTTCTCACCTCAGTCACTAGCCTTGCCTCCCTGATGCAGCAGAGAGTGTGGGTGAGAGAGCAGGTGCTGCAGCGTGGCTTTCTGTGTTCGAATCCCAGCCCTGCCACTGCCAGCTGTGGCTTTGGGAAACTTACTTGGCATCTTCAAGCCTCCCTTTCCTCATCTGCAGTATGAGGATTGCAACATTTTGTCTATGTATGTGAGTAGCCATGCCTGGCACCTACTTAGCACACAGCAAATCATCCTGGGTTCTTGACTCTTGCTTCCCATCCTGTTCTTGAGCCATTCTTCAGTCTTCCCTCCCAGCCAAAAGGGAAGAGGATTCATCGTCTTACTTGGGCTGATCCTCCCATCTCTGCCCTGGACTATGCCACTCCTGCCTTGCCTTGGAGACTTGCTCAGCTGAATGCAGCCTCCCTTTCTAGTGGACACACCCAATCAGCATCCTAATGCCCTCTTAAACCTTAAAACCTCCTCCCTCAACCCCAAGTCCCTACCAACTACTTCCCTACATCCATCCTCTTCTTCAGAAAAAGTCACCTATTTTTCAAAGGCCAGCTCCTAAAAGGTGATCTGTAACTCTTACCCTTTCATTCACTTCATGACCCCTGCAGTTGAGAGTCTGACCACACCCCAACAAGGCTGATAATGCTTCCTCCATGCTAAATCCAATAGACATGCATCACTGAAACTTATATGCTTAGCAGCAACATTAGACCACATTGTGCTCTCTTTCCTTCTTGAAATGTTCTGCTCCCTAGGGTTTCAGGACACCACATTCCCCTTATTTTTCTCCTGCCTCTTTGGCGAGTCTTTTTTAGGTTGTTTGTGTGTTTTTTTGAGACAGAGTCTCTCTCTGTCGCCCAGAGTGAAATATAATGGGGTGATCTCAGCTCACTGCAACTCTGCCTCTCAGGTTCAAGAGATCCTCCTGCCTCAGCCTCCTGAGTAGCTGGTATTATAGGCCTGTGCCACCATGCCTGGCTAATTTTTGTGTTTTTAGTAGAGACGGGGTTTCACCATGTTGTCCAGGCTAGTCTTGAACTCCTAGACTCAAGTTATCCACCCACCACAGCCTCCCAAAATGCTGGGATTACAGGCGTGAACCACCATCCCGGGCTCTTAGTCTTTTTTGAGAATGCCTTCTTTCTGCTGGTCATCCAAATATTGGTATTTTTCAGGGCTCAAATTTTGGCCATCATCTCTTCTATCACTTTACATGCTGCCTTCACTCTCCTGGATGCTGATGATTCCAGCCCAGGTTTCTCTCCCGAACTCGAGACCACCAGCACCCCACCCCGCTCTAGCCAAATGCCTACTATATATCTCCATTCAAACTTCCTATAAACATCTCAATTCAATAACACAAAACTAAATGCGTAAGAGCCCTCCTCAAATCTGGTACTCCCGCTGTCTTCCCTATGCTCACATCTGGTAAAACAAAAGTGTGTGTTTTTGCACAAAATTGAATAATATGGACTTTTGAACCCTAAGCACACACAAATATACATTCATCAAAGTCTTTGGCAGACTTAATCAAAAGTATTTGAAGTGTTTTTTCAAGAGCCTAGGGAAGGAAAAAAAATCTCTTTCTCCCTTTCCCTTTGCCCAAAAGCAGGCTTTCAGCTCCTTGTCAGTGAGACTCACCTTTTTTTTTTGTTTTTGGTTTTGTTTTTGGTTTTTTGAGACAGGGTCTCCCTCGCCCAGGCTGGAGTGCTCACTGTACCTTGACCTCCCAGACTCAGGTGATTCTCCCACCTCAGCCTCCTGAGTACGAGGACTACAACCGCATGCCACCATACCCAGCTAAACTTTTTTTAATTATTTGTAGAGATAAGGTCTCACTATGTTGCCGAGGCTGGCCTCGAACTCTTAGACTCAAACAATTCTTTTGCCTCAGCCTCCCAAAGTGCTAGGATTACAGGTGTGAGCCACCATATAGAGACCCACTTTTTCATCATGGCTAACTCAAAGCTCATCCCCTCATATCACGTCTTCCCAGAAGCTTTCCTCATATTACTTCTTCCCAGAAGCCTTCCCTAAGTCCTTGAAAGCAAGTTAAATGTCTCTTCTCCGTGCCCTCAAAGTTTCCTGTTTCAACCCTTACACTGAATACTTAATACCACCACCATCAGGGCTGGGTTAAAAGCAGGGCTTTCTCCTCCACCAGGATCTGAGCTCCTTAGAACTCTGCTTTAGTTATCTTGGTAACTTCAGTATATGACACAAAATAAATGCTCAATAATGTTGGTGGAATGAAAATGGCAAATATTGCTGATACACATCAACTAGGTGGGAGAGTAAATGGCTTGAATTAGAAACCCAGCATTTTAGCCCAGATTCTAACCCTGACTTCATCATGTGACCCTGGGCAAGTTCCTTCACTTCTTGAGTCTAGATTTTTGTATCTTTCAAGGAAATCAGAACAGCAATATCACTTTCTTCATAAGGCTATTGAGACATTTAAATGAGATGAGGTTCATCAAGTGTCTTAGCATGTAAAAGGTTTTATAACACTATTCTGCAAATCTATTGGGAATGGATAGAAGATAATGGAGCTGGGGAGAGGGAAGGCAGAGGAAATTTGCAAAGTTTTACTCAAGTGATATAAATTCAAGTTTGCATGTATCCCCATTTTGAAAATGGAAATAGTGTCAAGATAACATAAATAATCTAAAGAGGACAGTTTGCTAATAATATGACCAGGGATTAGTGGGATGCAGGTGGGGTTGGCTGTGTTATTAGCAGACATATGGAATACTGGTGTCTTTTCAAACGTGTGGAGACTGGGCTCTCTCAAGAGTTGGAAAGAAGGGTACTATCATTTATTTTCCCCTTGAAAAACATCATGATGCTATAAGTAATCCAAATGGAACTAAAATGGTTAAAGTCACAAAGCAGCTCAGCATTTATTAGCAATTCAGGCTAAGGCAACGCACAAGCACTAATATTAACTATGGATCTTAGCCCTTGGAGTTGGAGAGCTGAACCCGGCTTCCTACAGACCAAACACTTACGCTAATAGAAGAGAAACTTTCTGAAAAAAAGGCAGCCAAATCTAAGAGACCTGTCAACACCAGGGTCATCAGCGTAGAGCTAACCAGGAAAGAGCTGAAATCAAAGGCTGTCTCTGCCTCCCCTACACACCCTGTTCAGTGGGAGCCCATGGTGGCCACAGCTCCTTTAACAATATTTATAATGAAGGAACAACGCTGGAGATGTCAACCCTGATTATTCATAAAGCTTCCTCCTGCTCAGATCCACCCTGGGGCTAACAGTAAAAGTACCTGATTCCCAATTCTCAAACACAAAATCATACAGAGCTTGAAAGAGGAGCTGACTAATAAAGTTTGCATATCCCTAAGAAAAAGAGCATACAAGGAAGAAGAAAAGGAATGGCAAGATTAAACAAAAACAGTAAGCTTGGATGGGACATGATAAAAATTTTAAAAGGCAAGAACGTAAATCTATTTTTTTCTTTTTCTTTTTTTTTAAATGTCCTTCTTCATTTACATTTCAGTATAAGCCATTCGGAGGGAACAGCTGTTTTATCTCCTGACTAGAACACAGAGGTGCTTTGAACATTTACTGTGGGAGTGTAATGTTGCTAAACTCTGTTCTGGAGAGTGGTCTAGTGGCTTTAAACTGTAAGGAGAGGCAGAGGGAGGGCTTCATCTCTGGTTCTATTAGATAAAAAGGTCGCCAAAGCTAAGGCTTTGAGAACTCACTGAGGCGGGTTGTGTGGGAGTAATGGTGCCAACCAGCTCCAAAGTCGAAGCCTGGGCTCTGTGGCCCCCTTATTTCATGGCCAATTTATTCACTGGAGCTTTTCTTCTTAGTTTTCTCACTTGGGAAACAAGAATTATAATACTACTTTCCTTCTAGGATTGCTGAGAAGATTTAATCAAATAAGGAAAATAAAGTCCAGGGCCTGGATTAAGTGAGCACTTAACAAATGTCACTTATTTGGTGTTATTGTCAATCTTGACAAAATTTGTCAAGTAGAAATCAAACTTTTTTTAATTTGGTGATTGTAATCAAGGAATGGCTTGAAATTATGGTGTTTACTAATGTTGTTTGCCAAATATCCCAAGTCTTCTTTCCTCCCTGGCAATGCTAGGCTAGGACAATACTTCCTAATCCCTTGTGTTTGGGTGGAGTCATGTGACTAGCTCTGGCCAATAGTTGTGAGAGAAAGTGCCCCTGTGTCCCTCCTAGGCCAGAGCATTTAATTGTCAGAGCAAGACCCTCCCAGGGCTCTCTTCCCATTGCCATGATACCTGCAAATGTTCAAAATGATGACTGTTCCCAACCTGGGCTCTGAGGTTAAGAGAAAGAGAACAAAGATCCTCTTTCCCACCTGCAATGGACTTGAAGAATTGGGGAGAAATAAGCCATTGTTGTTTTAAGCCACTGAGGTATGATATGGGAGTTTGTTGCTGTAGTATGGCCTAGCCAGTGCTGACTGGAGCAGAGCTGTTCTAATTTTGGTTGTTTTAGAATTAAAGAAATTTTGGCAAGCATGTACCATAAACTAATCCCTATGCTACATGTTTTCATATGTATTATCTACTTTAGTTTTTTACAAAAAAAAAAAATGTTTTAAAGGCCCTGAAATGGAAATCATCTCCATTTCACAGATACATATAAAGGAGACAAGAATGATTAATGAGTGCGTGTTCGTCTGCCTCCCTCCTCCTAATCTCCTTTTCTTACTCTCCTAGGTGTTCTGGCTTTGCCAGCTTATTCTCCCATCTTCTAATTCAGAATCGTGCACACACACTCACTCACACAAATGATGTTTAAGAATGGGTGGTGGCCGGGCACAGTGACCCACATCTGTAATCCCAGCACTTTGGGAGGCAGAGGCAGTTGGATCACCTGAGGTCAGGAGTTCGAGACCAGCCTGGACAACATGGTGAAACCCCATGTGTACTAAAAATACAAAAAAGTAGCCAAGCTTGGTGGTGGGTGCATGTCA
This sequence comes from Homo sapiens, assembly GCF_000001405.40. Lineage (NCBI taxonomy): Eukaryota > Metazoa > Chordata > Mammalia > Primates > Hominidae > Homo > Homo sapiens. The sequence continues at coordinate 60,266,078 of NC_000015.10, forward strand.
TTCCAGTTACTCAGGAGGCTGAGGCAGGAGAATCGCTTGAACCTGGGAGGCAGAGGTTGCAGTGAGCCAAGATCAGGCCACCGCACTCCAGCCTAGGTAACAGAGTAAGACTCCATCTCAAAAACAAAACAAAAAAAACAAACAAAAAAAACAGAATGCATGAAGATGCTTGTACAACAATGTGCAATGCCATTTCATGTTTTTAATGTACTTAATGCTAGTAAATTGCATACTTAAAAATTGTTAAAATGGTAAATGTTTGTATATATATTTTACCATAATAAAAAAATATAAGATGAATGGGTAGACAGAGAGATGGACAGATGAGTAAATATGTGACAAGGATACATAACAATATGTTAATTATAAAAAAAAACAGATAGTGGACATCTGGGTGTTCACGGCACAATTTTTTCAATTTGTTGTATTTTTGAAACTACTTATAATAACATATTAGAAAAAAAAGAATGGGTAGAGAAGAGCAAGACTAGAGGGGCAAAATTAAATGTGGAAGAACATAGATGCTGAAAGCTAGATCCACCTACATAATAAAATGTGAGGAGAAAAGGAGGGGAAACTGCAGACTTGTTGTGAGGGGAGTTGGGTGCTGGGGTGAAAGTCGTGGGGTGAAGGTTGAGGAGTGAGATGCTCCAGAGCAGCTTCAAGGTGGAGAAGACAGAAAGGAGGGAGACAGGAGTTAAGGAAGTGCTAGCGGCTTTGAACTGTATCCCTTTTAACATTCGTTGAGCCATGAAAGTAAGTATTGGAGTCCTTTTTCGTTACTTTTGGATCCTGGACTATTCTTTATATGTAACTCCACAGTGGAGCTGAAACCATAGAGAGTGCTGATTTTCTGAGGGTTTCACAGTGAAACTGATACAGAAAGATTGGATAGTGTGCCAAAAAGAAGAATTCCCAGCCAGGTAAGGTGGCTCCTGCCTGTAAGCCCAGCACTTTGGGAAGCCCAGGCAGGAGGATCACTTGAGCCAAGGAGTTTGAGACAGCCCAGGCAACATAGTGAGATATCGACAAAAAAAATTTTTTAATTAGCCAGGTGTGGTCATTCATACCTGTGGTCCCAGCTACTCAAGAGGCTGAGGCAAGAGGAATGGTTGAGCCCAGGAGTTCTTGCACCACTGCACTCCAGCCTGGGTGACAGAGCAAGATCCTGCCTCAAAGAAAAGAAGAAGGAGGAGGAGGAGGAGGAGAAGAAGCAGCAGCAGAAGCGGGAGAAGGAGAAGCAGAAGCAGAAGAAGCAGAATCAGAAGAAGCAGAAGAAGAAGAAGAAGAAGAAGAAGCAGGAGCAGCAGCAGAAAAAGCAGAAAAAGAATTCCCACTATAAAACAGCAGATATCTCATCTCTGGGTTGGCTGCCCTGCAATCTTCCCCATACTCCCTTGTTGATACTTTTTTCTTTTAGAATCCCACAACATCTGAGCAGTGCCTTCCAGAGCACACAGCACTCAACTGGATTGGATCCTCATTTCTGAAATGAAGAGACTGCAGCTCAGTGAATATAAGCAACTTGCACAAGGGTCTAGCCTGCAGTAAGTGGCAGAGCTAAAGCCTATGGTCTTTTCACCACCCCATGCTACCACATCTCTCAAACCCTGTCTCCCAGGAAAACTGTTGCCTATCATTTAAGGCTTAAATGAAGTCAAAATCTTTCACAAAACCTTCATGGAGTACCTTAGCCTTAAACAAATCCCTTTCTCCCTTCCCAAATTCTATAGGTCCGTACAGACAGTACAATGCCATTTATATTGTCCTAGATATTTCACTGTTGTTTTGTCCGTTCAAATTTTATCTCTCTGACAAGATTACAGGGTCGTTACATAGAAATTTGTGTTTTTTCTTTATTGCTGCAAAATCCACTTAAGTTCCAAGCATAGATGAGGCACTCAACAAAGGCATGGACAATTGATTCTAATTTCTTTTGGGTTGTCACCAAAGTTAAGGATCTAAAAAGTTCGACTCGTAAGGACTGTTGCTTTGGGATCAGCCTTAGGACAAGTCTTAACTTAAGACTTGTGGCTTTGATATTTGGTGGTCCAGAAAATCATAATAGGGAGTTAACCAAAAGGAGGAAGACAGTACAGACTATAGCTTATGTACTTCACTGATCAAAACTTACCAAAGCTATTTCCATTACTGATTCACCAACTTTCAGACGTTTGCTAAATAGAGCTGATTCTTGTCTATAAGTAGTTAAAGAGTTGTGAAAAAATATAAACAAACATTTAAAAGAATTGGGTAGACACATTATCCTAAACTTATTGAGGAAAGTATGTTTATGAGACTAAAGTTAAAGGAATATTGGACATTGATAAATATCAAATTACATTTAATTACCAAACTACTCTTATTTTTTAAACATGTAAACGTTGTTAAGTTCACATAACTGAGCAAAATATGAAATTTGAGTGTTTGAGTTTCTGTTTTTCGAGGTAACATGTCACTCACTTAGAAACAAACATATTCAATTTGTGGTAGCTTTTTGGATGAATCTTTAGGGTTTTCTAGGTAAACAATCAATCAGTGAATAGCAAAAGTTTGACTTCCTCTTTACTGATTTGGATACTCTTTATTTCTATCTCTTGTCTGATTGCTCTGGCTAGGACTTCCTGTACTATATTGAATAGAAGTGGTAAAAGTGGGCCTCCTTGTCTTATTCCAGTTCTCAGGGGGAATTCTTTCAACTTTTCCCCATTCAGTATAATGTTGGCTGTGAGTTTGTCATATATGGCTTTTATTACCTTAAAAGGTTTTTCTTCTATACCAATTTTGCTGAGGGTTTTAATCATACAGGGATGCTGGATTTTGTCAAACGCATTTTCTGCATCTATTGAGATGATCATGTGATGTTTGCTTTTAGTTCTGTTTATGTGGTGTATCACATTTATTGACTTGCAAATGTTAAACCGTCTCTGCATCCCTGGTATGAAACCCACTTGAGCATGGTGGATTACCTTTTGGATATGCTGTTGGATTCATTTAGCTAGAATTTTGTTAAGGATTTTTGTATCCATGATCATCAGGGATATTGGTCTATAGTTTTCCTTTTTTGTTATGCTCTTTCCTAGTTTTGGTATTAGGGTGATACTGGCTTCATGGAGTGATTTAGGAAGGATTCCCTCTTTCTCTATCTTTTGGAATAGTGTCAACAGGATTGGTACCAATTCTTCTTTGAATGTCTGATAGAATTCAGCTGTGAATCCATCTGGTCCTGGACTTTTTTGGAGACAATTTTTAAATTACCATTTCAATCTCGCTGCTTGTTATTTGTTCAGGATTTCTATTTCTTCCTGCTTTAATTTAGGATGGTTGAATATTTCCAGGAGTTTATCCATCTCCTCTAGGTTTTCAAGCTTGTGCACATAAAATTGTTCATAGTAGTCTTGAATAATCTTTCATGTTCCTGTGGTATCAGTTGTAATAGCTCTCACTTCGTTTCTAATTGAGCTTATTTGGATCTCCTCTCTTCTTTTCTTGATTAATCTCGCTAACAGTCTATCAATTTTATCTTTTCAAAGAACCAGCTTTTATTTTCATTTATCTTTCGTAACTTTTTTTGTTTCAATTTCATTTAATTCTGTTCTGATCTTTGTTATTTTTTTTTCTTCTGCTGCGTTTGGGTTTGGTTTGTTCTCATTTCTCTAGTTCCTCGACGTGTGACCTTAGATTGTCTATTTGTGCTCTCTGAGACTTTTTGATGTAGGCATTTAATGCTATGAACTTTCCTCTTAGCACCACTTTTGCTGAATCCAAGAGGTTTTGATAGGTTGTGTCACTATCATAGTTCGGTTCAAAACTTTTTAAAATTTCCATCTTGATTTCATTGTCGACCCAATAATAACTCAGGAGCAGATTATTTAATTTCCATGAATTTTCATGGTTTTGAGGGTTCCTTTTGGAGTTGATTTCCAATTTTATTCCACTGTGGTCTGACAGAGTATTTGATATAATTTTGATTTTCTTAAATTTATTGAGACTTGTTTTGTGGCCTATCATATGGTCTATCTTGGAGAATGTTTCATGTGCTGATTAATAGAATGTATATTGTACAGTTGTTGGGTAGAATGTTCTGTAAATATCTGTTAAGTCCATTTGCTCTAGGATATAGTTTAAATCCATTTTTTCTTCGTTGACATTCTGTTTTGATGACCTAGTGCTATCAGTGGAGTACTGAAGTCCCTCACTATTATTATGCTTCCATCTATCTCATTTCTTAGGTCTAGTAACAATTGTTTTATAAATTTGGGACCTCCAGTATTAAGTGCATATATATTTAAGATTGTGATATTTTCCCGTTGGACTAGTCCTTTCATCATTACATAATGTCCCTCTTTGTCTTTTTTAACTGTTGTTGCTTTAAAGTCTGTTTTGTCTGATATAAGAATAGCTATTCCTACTCGCTTTTGGTGTTCGTTTGCATGGGATGTTTTTTCTACCCCTTTACCATAAGTTTATATGAGTCCTTATGTGTTGGGTGAGTCTCTTGAACACAGCACTTATTGGTTGGTGAATTCTTATCCAATCTGCCATTCTGTACCTTCTAAGTGGAGCACTTAGGCCATTAACATTATGCATTAATTTTGAGATGTGAGGTACTATTCTATTCATCATGCTAGTTGTTGCCTGAATACCTTGGTGTGTTTTTTTTTCCCCCCCACTGTGTTATTGTTTTATAGGTCCTGTGAGACTTATGCTTTAAGGAGGTTCTGTTTTGGTGTATTTCGAGGTTTTGTTTCATGATTCCTGCTCCTTTCAGCAGTTCTGGTAGCGCTGGCTTAGTAGTGGCAAATTCTCTTAGCATTTGTTTGTCTGAAAAAGACTATATCTCTCCCTCATTTATAAAGCTCAGTTTTGCTGGATACAAAATTCTTGGCTGATCATTGTTTTGTTTAAGGAGGCTAAAGATATGACCTCAATTCTTTCTAGTGTGTAGGATTTCTTCTGAGAAATCTGCTGTTAATCTGATAGGTTTTCCTTTATAGGTTACTTGATACTGCCTCACAACTCTTAAGATTCTTTCTTTTGTCTTTACTTTAGATAACCTAATGACTATGTGCCTAAGCAAAGATCTTTTTCCGAGGTATGTCCCGGGTATTCTTTGAGCTTCTTGGATTTGGATGTCTACATCTCTAGAGAGGCCAGGGAAGTTTTCCTCAATTACTCCTTCAAATAAGTTTTCCGAACTTTTAGATTTCCCTTCTTTCTCAGGAACACTAATTATTCTTATGTTTGGTCATTTAATATTATCCCAAATTTCTTAGAGGTTTTGTTCTTTTTTTTTTTTTTTTTTTGAGACGGAGTATCACTCTTGTTGCCCGGGCTGGAGTGCAATGGTGTGATCTCAGCTCACCACAACCTCCGTCTCCTGGGTTCAAGTGATTCTCCTGCCTCAGCCTCCCAAGTAGCTGGGATTACAGGCATGCACTGCCACTCCCAGCTAATTTTGTATTTTCAGTAGAGAGGGGGTTTCTCCATGTTGGTCAGGCTGGTCTTGAACTCCTGACTTCAGGTGATCCGCCCACCTCAGCCTCCCAAAGTGCTGGGATTACAAGTGTGAGCCACTGTGCCCGGCCTTCATTTTTTTTTTTTTTTTTTTTTTTTTTTTTTTGCGACAGAGTCTGGCTCTGTCACCCAGGCTGGAGTGCGATGGCGCAGTCTCTGCTCACTGCAACCTCCCCCTCCCGGGTCCAGGTGATTCTCCTGCCTCAGCCTCCTGGGTAGCTGAGATTACAAGCACGTGCCACCATGCCTGGCTAATTTTTGTATTTTTAGTAGAGACGGGGTTTCACCATGTTGGTCAGGCTGGTCTCGAACTCCTGACATTGTGGTCCACCTGCTTCAGCCTCCCAAAGTGGTGGGATTACAGGCGTGAGCCACCACGCCCAGCCCTGGCCTTCATTTTTTAATTCTTTTTTCTTTGTCTGTCAGATAGGTTAATTTGAAAGCCTTGTCTTAGAGCTCTGAAGTTCTTTCTTCTGCTTGTTTGATTCTATTGTTGGAATTTGCCAGTGTATCTTGCATTTCCCCAATAGTGTCCTTCATCTCCAAAAGTTGTGACTGTTTTTTATTTATGCTCTCTATTTCTCTGGAGATTTTTCCATCCATATCCTGTACCATTTTTAAATTTCTTTAAGTTGATATTCACATTTCTCTGGTGCCTCCTTGAGTAGCTTAATAATCGACCTTCTGAATTCTTTTTCTGGCAATTCAGAGATTTCTTCTTTGGTTGTATCCATTGCTGGTGAACTAGTCTGATCTTCTGGGGATGTTAATGAACCTTGTTTTATCATATTATCAGAATTGTTTTTCTGGTTTCTCTCATTTGGGTAGACTATGTCAGAGGAAAGAGCCGGGGCTCAAGGCTGCTGTTCAGATTCTTTTCTCCCACAGGGTGCTCCGTTGATGTGGTGCTCTCTCCCTTCCCCTAGGGATGGGGCTTCCTGAGAGCCGGACTGCAGTGATTATTATTTCTCTTCTGGGTCTAGCCTCCCAGTGGAGCTACCAGGCTCTGGGATGGTACTGGGGAGTATCTGCAAGGAGCCCAGTGATGTGATCCATCTTCAAGTCTCTCAGTCATGGATACCAGCACCTGCTCCAGTGGAGGTAGCAGAGTAATGAAGTGGACTCTGTGAGGGTCTTTGGTTGAAGTTTTGTTTAGCGTGCTAGTTTTCTTGGATGCTGGTTGTGTTGGTAGTAAAGGTGTCACGTAGACAGAATTAGGACCTCTGGTGGTAGCCAGGATGTTGCAGGTGGTGGAGTTAGCTGCTGCTTTCTCCTTTCTTGGGACAGGGTTGTTCTTTCATGGGTTGCTGTAATGGTTTGTGTTAGTTGGCCTCCAGCTAGGAGGTGGCACTTTCAAGAGAGCATCAGCTGTGGTAGTATAGGGAGGATACAAGCTTGCTCTAGAGTCACCCAGATATGTATTCCCAGGCAGTGGGCAGGGTCATAGAGCTTTCAAGAGATTATGTCTTTTTTCTTCAGCTACCAAGGCAATAGAGAAAGATCGTCAGGTGGGGATAGGGTTATGGGGATCTGAGCTCAGGCTTTCCTTGGGCAGGGCTTGCAGTGGCCACTGTGGGGGATGGGGATGTGGTTCTCAGGCCAATGGAGTTATGCTCCTATGGGGATTGTGGCTGCCTCTGCTGCATCACACAGGTTGCCAGGGAAGTGATGGAAAGCCAGCAGCGACAGGCCTCAATCAAAGCCCACACAGACAGAAAGGCCAGTCTCACTCCCACTGTGTTCTCCAACAGCACTGAGTTTATATCCAGGCAGCTGGTGAGCAGGCCTGAGATCTTGACCCAGGCTTCAAGCCTCCTCATTGAGAAAGCAAGCACGGCTTTCAGGCTTCGCCCTTCCCCACCACTGCTTCTGCGCTTGTATCTGCACTTCCCATTCAGCCCCCAACTTCCAGATTCTGCCCTGGAAAATTCACACATGGTCAAAATTATTACAAATTTCAGCTGGAAGTTTCCTTCTCTCTGTGGTCTTTCCCCAGTTCCACTGACAACCCTCCCCAAGGGTCCCAGTGAGATAAAGTCAGAAATGGATTCCCTGGGCTTCCTTAGGGGCTGGGAGTGCCAAAGGCCTGAGAGCCCCTGGCAAACCACTGGTGTAAGTCCAAGAGTCCAAAAGCTGAAGAATTTGGAGTCTGATGTTCAAGGTCACGGAGCATCCAGCATGGCAGAAAAATGAAGGCCAGAAGACTCAACGAGTCTGCTCTTTCCATTTTCTTCCGCCTGCTTTATTCTAGCTGTGCTGTGCTGGCAGCTGATTAGATGGTACCCACCCAGATTGAGAGTGGGTCTGCATCGCCCAGTCCACGGACTCAACTGTTAATCTTGTTTGGCAACACCCTCACAGACACACCCAGGAACAATACTTTGCATCCTTCATTCCAATCAAGTTGACACTCAATACTAACCATCACAAAAATCAAAGATGTTCCTAGATACTGCATGCTCCCCTGTGAAGAAGTAAATGCCATTAATTCGATGGAAGGGAAATCACAAGACAATTATGATCTTGGCAACAATACTGATTTAACATTTTAAAAACACCATTCCCATTACATGTTTATTATTTCATATAATTCTCACACTGAAAAAAAATTTTCCCATTTTGGTGGGGAAGAATTGGCTTTAGGATGCACCTTGCCAATAATCACATGGCCAATAATTAATGGCAAAGACAGGATTACAACCCCTGTTCTAACTCCAAAGCTGGAATCCTTAAACACTCATAGAACTCTATTTTGACTAATCATGGTATTAGTAAAATAGAACCATAAAAAGAATATTAAAATTCAGACCTAAGGCTCAGTCCAGGCCAGGCACGGTGGCTCACACCTATATTCCCAGCACTTTGGGAGGCCGAGGCGGGCAGATCACTTGAAGTTGGAGTTTGAGACCAGCCTGGCCAACATGGTGAAACCCCGTCTCTACTAAAAATAAAAAATTAGCCAGGCATGGTGGCAGGCATCTGTAATCCCAGCTACTTGGGAAGCTAAGGCAGGAGAATCGCTTGAGCCCAGGAGGTGGAGGTTACAGTGAGCCACGTTCACACCACCACACTCCAGCCTGGGCGACAGAGCGAGACTCCATCCTCAACCCTTGATATACAGGCCCCACTGCAGACCAATTAAATAAAATTCTCTGGGAGTGGAACCCAGGTACTGGTGCAGCCTAAAAGTTCTGCAAATGATTCTAACTAATGTCCACCCAGGGTTAAGAGCCATACCAGTGTTTTATTTTCTCCTCAGCCTTTTCCAGTGCTTCTGACAAAAAGCACAACTGTCTGGTTTTGCAAGCTTGTGCTCTATTTAGGTATCGCTGCCAAGGTGAAAAAGGTAAAACAGTTAAAGACAGGCAGTTTGCAGAGGAGATAAAAGCAAAAGGCCCTAAAATTCAGAATTAAATCGAGGTGATAAGTTATGCAATACTAGAAAGGGCCTTAAATTGCTAGTGTTCAAATTCATTAAGCTTTCTGAAGATTACATGGACTCTTTTAGAAAATATCAGCTGGTAATCTGTTGTACCTGATCATATCAATAAATAGATGCCTTTTGGATTCTGTCTCTACACACAAATCATTTGAGGCAGAAGACAACAAATTACTTCAAAGTGCACGATATTTTTAATGTAACCAACCACTTAACTCATTTTTTGCCTGATTTTAATTCATTCCATCCTTACCCCTCCAAAATTGGTACATGTATGCAGATATGATCAGAGTCATTTTAATAAATGTCTGGCATTGATCAAAGGAAATATCTGGTGACTTTTGTTAATTAACTAAAGTCCGTAGTTTAAGATTCACACCTTGTGTTGTATAGTTTTATGGGTTTTGACAAATGCATAATGTCATGTATCCACCATTACAGTATCACATAGAATATTTCCACCACCCTAAAATTCCTCTCTGTTTTACCTATGTATCCCCGCTCCTCTGACATTTTCCCCTCAAACCCTCTGGCAAAACTGATATTTTTACTGTCTCTGCAATTTTATCTTTGCTAGAATGTCATGTAGTTGGAATCATACGGTTTGTTGCCTTTTCACACTGTTTTGTTTCACTTAGGAATATGCACTTAAGATTCTTCCATGTCTTTTCACAGCTGGATAGCTCATTTATTTTCTTGTTCCTCAATATATAATTCCGGAATGCTCCTATTTCCTTTCAGTACTTTAAAGACCTCATTCCATTAACTCCTGACTTCCATTATTCATGCTGAAAAGTTAGCTGTATGTCTTATCGTTGTTTGTTGAAATAATTTCTTTCTGTAGTTGCTTTTAAGATTTTTCTCTTTGCCTTTGGTTTCTACAGTTGTATTAAGAGGGGCCTAGATGAATTTTATTTAAATTTATTCTATTTGGGGATTCATAAACCTTTTTAATTTTAGCTGACTTCATATCTTTTCTCATTTTTGGAAACCTTGCTTGGTAGCTCTTCAAACATTGGTTCTACCACATTATCTCCCTCTTTTCATTTATAAATTTTAACTGAAAATATTCCACTTTGTTCCATATGTCTCTTACATTTATGCTTTATTTTATACATTTTTTCTCCATGTTCTTGTCCGAATATTTTCTATTGACCTGTCTTCCAGTTCATTGCTCATCTCTTTCACAGTCTAATGTGCTGTTAAATCCATATATGAAGCTTTTAATTTCACTTACTATATTTTTATTTTTATAATTTCCACTTAATTATGTTTTATAAATTCTCATTTTCTGGTAAAATTTTCAATTTTAATATCTGTTCTTTAACATACTAATCACAGTAATTTTTAAATAAACTTTTTCATTTTAAAAGTTTTAGATTTACAGAAAAATTACAAAGATAGTACAAAAAGCCTCCATATACCTCACACTATAATTAACATCCAACATGGCCTTGGGGTATAGAAACATTTCTTAAACAAGATTCAACAAGCAGAAATTATTAAGAAAAAGTGATCCATAAATTTGACTATACTAAATTTTAAATTTTGCATAGCAAAAAAATACCAGGAGATAAAAACATAAGATAAAGATAAGGAGAAAACATTTTCAAATATAACTAACAAGGAATTAATAAATTATCTTTCTTTAAAACTTCCTCAAGAATGCTTATACACTATACTGCTCAGGTGATGGGTGCACCAAAATCTCAGAAATCACCACAAAAGAATTTGTTTATGTGACCGACACCACCTGTTCCCAAAAACCTATGGAAATAAAAAATTCAAAACATTATAAAAAATACTTATACACCGTTGGTAGGAATGTAAATTAGTTCAGCCACTGTAGAAAACAGTTTGGAGATTTATCAAAGAACTTAAAACAGAACTACCATTCAACCCATCAATCTCATTACTAGGTATATATCCAAAAGAAAAGCCATTCTACCAAAAACATGCATGTGTGTGTATGTTTATGATAGCACTATTCACAATAGCAAAGACATGGAACCAACCTAGGTACCCATCAATGATGGACTGGATAAAGAAAATGTGGTATATATACACCATGGAATACTAAACAGTCACAAAAAAGAAAAAATCATATCCTTTACAACAACATGGATGCAGGTTAGAGGCTATTGTCCTAAGTGAATTAATGCAGGAAAAGAAAATAAAATATCATATGTTCTCACTTCTAAGAGAGCTAAACACTGGATGCTCATGGACATAAAGATGGCAACAAGAGACACTTGGGATTACTAGGTGGGAAAGGATGGGAGAGGGGCAAGAGTTGCAAAACTAACTATTGGTACTATACTCACTACTTGGGTGACAGGATTAATCATACCCCAAATATCAGCATCATGCTGTGTACATGTAACAAACGTACACATGTACCCCCAAATCTAAAATAAAAGTGGTAATTATAAATTAAATAAAATAAATCTCCCTTAAATTAATAATAAAAATTAATTCAGTTCACAGTTGAGGGGAACAGAATGGTCAAGTAACAAAATGATGCTTAACTTTGGTAGTAATCAAAAAATGTAAATTTTTAAAACTCCTCAAATAGACAAAAAATTTAAAGCCCAGCAATATCACATAATGGCAGAGATGTAGAACAATAGGAGCTCTGATATAATGCTCATTTTTATCTTTTAACAAAAAGGCTTTGGAGAGTAATTTAGCAAAATTCTGTAAAAGTGGAGCTGTGTATATTCTAAAACCCAAGAGTCTCTAGGTGTCTGTTCTACTGAAAATCTTGCATATAAGCACAACAGACATGTACAAGGGTTATATAGCAATTATTTATAATAGTTAAAAATTAGAAACAACCTCAAGATGCCTCAATAAGAGGATCACTGAATCCTGTTATTTAAGTGGAATTATATTCTATATAAAATTGAATTCTATTCATTCAGTGAAATGGTACATAGTAGTTAAAATATTGATCCCACCATATGTGAATCAACAGACAAATCTCAAAAACCAAATAGTGACTGGAAAAAGTATGCTGTTTTTTGTAAATGTTTTTTGTGTTTAAAACACACAAAAATGTTACAAACATAACATGTTATTTAGTTTAAAATGGAAAGTGAAGAGAAATGGAAAAGAAAATATATGAAGTACATATCACAAAAAATATCAAAATTGTGTGTGCTTGAAATGCTTCATGATTTTTTAACATAAGTGTTTAGGTACAGTCTCTGCAGAGATCTGAAACTACTATGGGTCAGACAAGGAAGCTTTCCTTCCATGTTCACAGTCAATGGGCTGGTGCCCAGGCTAGTGGGGCAGTTCTGCCATGTGCAACTGAGTGTTTCCATCTCTAACACCCACCACTACATCTACAGAATATGCAATGTAGAGCAGGAAAATGTCCAGGAGGAAGTGCGTTATGCCTTTTAAGGGCACAACCTGAAATTGCCACACATTTCTTCCTCTCACTTCCCATTGGCCAGAACTTTGCCACTTGACCATATCTTGTAAGAGAATGTGAGAGATGTTACCTCTGGCTGGGAAACCGCATGCCCAACTAAACTCTCCAGTTCAATTATTAAAGGAAGAAGAGAAGAAGGAATACAGCTGGACCATTAGCTTCCTCCACCACAGGGTGAATAGGGTGGAACCACGACATAGGTGCAGCACTGGCATTTATAGAGAGGTAACTTGTCCTTTTGCCTTAATCTCAGGATGCAGCCCCACAGCGTCCCTGCTCATCTTTCTTCTCATAGCTTCCTTGTCCCTAGTCTTACTCAGCTCCCCCTCATTCCAAAAGCACCTTCCACAAACAAGACACTCTGAGGGACTGGTGGTTCAAAGATGGCATGACATGGACCCTGGCATCAAAAGAAAATCACTTTTATGATAACCATGTTCACCACAAAAATGGCAGCATACGTGGTTTAATCTAAGCATTGGGAGGTCCCGTGAGCCAGCCATGGGAGTCTGTGAAAGCTGCCCTGTGATGCCTTTCCAGGCTTCACAGAGAAAGTAGCCCCGGAACTGAGGCTAGGAAACTGAATAGGGGGCTGTCAGGGAGATGAATGGGGTTCTGACCAAAAGAAATAAAATACGAAAAGGTAAGAGAATGAGAAGCATAACACGTTCAGAAAAACAAAGAAGTTCAGTGTGGATGTAAATTAACAAGGCAGTGAACCGGAGACAAGGCTAGCCAAGTTAGGTGGAGGTCAGATCATGGAGTTTTTCATTCATGCAGAGAAGCTCAGACTTTCTCCTGCATATGTGGAGGGAACCATTAACAAATTTAGAACGAGGAAGGGACAAAATTAGATTTGCTGGAAAGATCACTCTCATTGCAATGTGGAGAATGAACCAGAATAGAGACAAAGGCAGAGGAGACCATTCCAGGGATGCAGAAAGATGAGTTCAATTTGTGACTTGTCTGGTTTGAGGTCCCTGTGGGACACCCAGTGGGGATGGCAGTAAATATAGTGTTGGACATCCAGGCCTGGAGCTCGAGAAAGAAGTTCTGGCTTCCACAGTGTGCCATTCCTTCAGTTTGTAGTTTCTGGCACAGATAAAGAGTTTTTAAGCCCTAGCACTCTCTGCTTCCTCAGTTCATGGTGGCTGCTCTGCCACTCCATGACAGTCAGAATCCTGGTATTGGGGCCTGTCTACCACTCTAGTTAAGTGGCCCTACATTATACAGCACTGATGACAGCATAGTGCTAGGAATTCATACCTAGTTAAACACCTTACTAATGGAGCAAAGTCAGCCAAAGGGAGACCTCTGGAGTGCATACCAATCTCTGTGTTTGGCCCTGTCATGTTTAGCAATTTTATTAGACAACATGAAGACAGACAAGCCATCTTTAACCAATTTCCTGGTGATGCAAAGATAGAAGAAGCAAGTTTGTGGATGCCAGAATAAGAATTCAGAGAGAACTAACTATGCTAAAATCAACAAGATAAAATATAATGGGAAAACATGAAAAAGCCTGTCAAATTTATTCAAATAAATGAATTGCAAAGTAAACTCAGGAGGAAATCCAACTAAAGATATTTGGTACCCAGAAAACCTAATTCTTATAAAAGTCCCTGGAAAACTTTATCCTGAGCATGAGGACCACCATTTCCAAGAGGTTGATAAGCAAAACAGATCTGAATACATTTTAGAGTGTGATGGCTACCACGTTAAATAAAGTAGGTGGCATAATCTTCCCTCCAAGTTACTATTCTGTTCTTCAGGGACTTCCACATGCACTCACCCTGTATTCTCTGGACACTCAGCTACATTTCCCTCTGCAAATATATTTCTAGACATGCTATTTCAAAGTACATGTTAATCTATCTATTTTTATAGCTACTAAACAAGACTAAATGCAGCTTCCAGACAATAATCCGATCATCCTTATTCTTAATAGGTCTCCCCTGAGTAATGTTCACACAGCACCACTGTGCTTATCCCTCAGATTTCCATCACCATTGTAATTCATTATTTTAATAATTTTCGATGGTTGTAAGCTCCATGTCTGATGGCTTCACCACTCTATCTCCAGTGCCTCATACAGAGCTGGCCCTTAGTGCAGACAGAATAAATATTTATAGAAGGAGTAAATAAATGAATGAAAAAACAAACCATAGACACCCAGCAAGAAAGATAACCCATTTTAGTAATGCAAGATCATTTCAAAGATCTTTCTTGTGCAACTGTTACATGGTGGGAAAATAGATTCTTTTAGCCACTGTTTCACTAATTAATCAGAATAATTACTGGTGTCTGAATCATTACTTGTTTCTAGTCAAATAACCTATATACCTGTAGTCATCTGCAGCAAAGGGCTTGCCTGGTAGAGAAAAGTAGCAAAAAATGAAATAATATTGTCACATTTCTCCCTACATCATCAAGTTTCCTAGTATAAGATAGATACTCTAGGTGAGAAAACATTTAGTCTTTTCTCCCCTTTACCTTCTCTCACATCCATTTTCATTTTTTAGCTGGAAACAAATTATATTGTTAAAATCCCAAGCAAAGTCTTGATGCATAAGGCATGAAAAAATGATGATTTGTTATAAAAGGACTGATTTGGCTATGAATAGGAGAAAGATGGAAAGAGAGAGGGTTAGGAGGTAATTCAGAGAATGCCAGCAGAATATGGGTGAAGCTAATTGCGTCAATTCTCTTTGAAGCAGCACCTGCCCATTTTATTACAATTCCACAGGCAGCTAGTGATTTGGCTCTGCCCTTACACTCAACTACAGCAAATCAAAAATTCTCTCTGCTGAACTTTCATTGAGGATTCCATATCATGTAAGTGCAGGCCATTTCATTTTTGCAGTGGCCTAATTAAGGTGTTTCAGTTCACATTTGTACTGTAAACCATACCATAAAAAGCTACCATTAAAAAATTTTGCAAGCAATCAATCCCACTGCTTTAATAGGGGGGAAAATGTCATTTTGAAATTACTGTCATGCAGGATTATTGAACTAGTTGTCAGCAACCCACTTCAAAATTCATTTAGGAGAGACCAATCTAGACGTTTGCCCATGTAAGAACTTCACACATTAACTGAATTTCTTAATTTTCAAAATGCCAAAAATTTAGCCCTCACCCCTAATCAACAGATCAAACAAATGGTTTCAGAAGATAACCAATTCCACTACTACCAACAGATGTAGGCAGTGGGAGAGGAATCCTCCCACCCTTAAGAGGATGCACCTGCGAATTGAGCATTGAAAGCTTCGTATCACAAAGGGAGAGCTTCTTTGCTCTCACTGTATAATTAGCTTTGCACACCTTTAATGTTTTGTTGCTTTACACATCTGGAAGGTAATATCACCCTATTCCACAAAGTTTCTAAAAAATCCATCTCACTTCCAGATAATTCTAATTCTTAATTTGTGGGAAAAGAGAACTTTCAATGTAGTTGCAATAAACAATTTATTTCTGATTTCAAAAACTCTCCCTCCTCCACTCCCTTTGAACTTGTCTAAAATAAGAGTTGGTTTTTTTGTTTGTTTGCTTGTTTTTGTTTTTGTTTTAAACTTTCTGGCCAGGCATGGTGGCTCACACCTGTAATCCTAGCGCTTTAGGAAGCTGAGGCAAGAGGATTACTTGAGGCTAGGAGTTTGAGACCAGCTGGGCAACATAGCAAGACCCCATCTCTACAACAAATATTTTTAAAATTGCATAAAACTTTTCTTATGTTGTGAAGTAGGAACAGTGTTCCAGAACTGACATCAGGTAAAGCAAGTACATCTTCCTCCACTGTGTGAGGGCTGTGGGGCAAAATTTTCAACTGCTTCACTGGAAGCATAGATTACAAAGCCACTCAAGAGATACAAAGAAGAGCCTGATTTTCTTACAAAAACATCTCAGGCAGTAATGCAAAATTAGGAAATTCTGCTAAGATCCCAGTGACTGCTCAAAAATAAAGTACCACATTCACAACCCAAAATGGGAGACTTGTTTCCTTAAGGAAACACATCACATGAACATTGTAAATAGCCTAACAAATATTTCAGATGAGCTTTCCAGAACTTTGACCTGCTGATTAAGAGGTTTGACAGTTATATTTAAGTTTTATGTCCACTCTACATAAATGACCATTCTGAAGGCAAAAAACAACAGCAACAAAAAAAATATGGTGGCAAACACAAAATTAGTTGGTTGTTAGCTTTAAAAATTGGTTTTTTGGCCAGGGCATGGGTGGCTCACGCCTATAATCCCAACTCTTTGGGAGGCCAAGACAGATGGATCACCTGAGGTCAGGAGTTTGAGACTAGCCTGGCCAATATAGTGAAACCCTGTCTCTACTAAAAATACAAAAATTAGCTGGGCCAGAATCGCTTGAGCCCAGGAGGCGGAGCTTGCAGTAAGCAAGATCACATCACTGCACTCCAGCCTGGGCGACAGAACAAGACTCCATCTCCAAAACAAAAAAAAAAAAAAAAGATTAATTTTCCCACTTGGGAGGCTGAGATAGGAGGACAGCTTAAGCCTAGGAGCTCAAGGCTGCAGTGAGCCATGATCAAGCCACTGTACTTTAGCCTGGACAACAGAGATAGACCCTGGTTCAAAAAAACAACAAAAAAAATGTTTATAGTGCCTTGTGAAAGGCATATGTACACTTAAGGGACTTTCTCCACTGTTCCTCACCTCCTCTGATTCCCTAAATGTCAACAACCCAGGAAATAAAATGCTTAAGTTATCACATATTAGAATCCTTCCAATCCATTCTTCAACCCTTTGTTGATCATAAGGTGCTTATTACTACTGAAGATTGCATACATCTTCATAACTATAGTTTCCAATCGTAACTGCATCTAAATGGAACATAAAATATATTGGGATTGAAGAAAACAGTACAAATTTAGATTTCTTTTTATATGCATTATGGCCAAGATATGTGAACGATATCCTTTGACATTTTAAATCCCAGTTCTCTAGAAGCCAAATGTGTATTTATAGCCGGAACAAAGAAAGCAAATAAAAAGAATCATTTCACACCACAACTATTATTATAAGCGATAAACTGACTAGTCAGGAGGCAATGTATACTTTAACCACTTTTGGAAACAGATGCTTCTAAATGTGACTAATTTTCCTCAACATTTAACAGCAACATCAGAAATTAAACATGTTACAGCAACCATTAGGTTCAGTCCCACCCCTGTTCCTATCAGTGTTGTCTATTAGGGAAATCATATCCTATTAACATACTTACATTAATTGAGGAAGGAAGCTTGAAGGAAAGAAAAGAACTGGCTATCACTAAACACTGGTATCTACTTGCTGGCCCCATTGCCCTTCTGACCAAGAAAGTTGGTGGATGAAGTTGAGGCTTTTTAAAATAAGTTTTCTTAGCTAGAATCCTTGATCCATTCCCAGAAGCTGTAGTACATTTCTACTTCAAATGAAATATCCTACTTGTAAATGTCTTAGACTATTGAATAATAAGAAAGCTTGGAGCAGCTATCCAACTCCAATCCTGGTTTTGTCTGAACCTACAACAAATAGCCAAGGAAGAATACAGAATTACACAAAGAACTTCTCCTGATGGCTAGCTTAGGCAAGGTTCAAGGTACAAGACTAGACAAGTACTGACTTTATCAAGCATTCTCAACTAGACAGTTGGGTGAAAATCCTTTCCCCAAAGCTCTTTGTTCTGATGTCTGACTTAGATGCTACAAGAATGTGAAGTGTTTACCAATGCTTTTTCTGAAACCTTTGCTCCAAAGATATGATGATCATTAATATGTCCTGTCCTGCCTTCTTGAGGAATGCATTACCAGTGCTTAAATATGAATATTGTGCTTGTACCTCAAAATGACAGCTCAAGAAATGCAAGGGGACTATGGTGTCAACTGCCAATCCCAACAAGTCATCCTTCCATAACTGGCAGCAAATCTGCAGTTGTACAGGTCTGCAGCAACCTCAAGTCTTGCCTCCTCAGAAGAAAGAATTTGTCTGAGGAGCATAAGGTAGAAGGAGAGACTGAAGCAAGTTTTATAGCAGAAATGAAAGTTTATTAAAGAGCATTAGAGGAGCAGGAACAGAAGGAAATAAAGTACACCTAGAAGAGGGCCAAACAAGTGCATGGTTTGACATTTTGACTTGGGGTTTTATATGTTGGCATACTTCTGGGGTCTTACATCTATCTCTTTTCCCCTGATTCTTCCCTTGGTGTGGGCTGTCCGCATGTGCACTGGCCTGCCAGCACTTGGGAGGTGAGCATGTACAGTGTGTCTACTGGAGTTGTATGAATGCTCACTTGAGGCATTCTTCCCTTACCTGTTGAATGTCCTGGGAGGTCATATACCAGCTAAACTCTGCCATTTTGCCTCTGAATGTGCATGCTTGAGCCCCCTAGACCAACTCCTGAGATCTTATCAGGAGGCTGCTGATCACCAGATTCAGATGTTTCTATCTATTGGAAGACTGCCTTTCCCTGGCACCAGCTGAGACCAATTATTATTTTAGAGAGACAGTATGACAACTGCCTGACCATCACCTGATGGTTTCTTGACATTCCTGGTGGGGTGGAGGGGAGCCGTTTCCTGCCCTGCTCATGCCTGACGAGTGACCTACTATAACACTTCAAGATAGGCAGAAAGTCAGGGAAAGTTCTAAAAAGGTTGACTAGAGTAAGGGAGAGGATGGGGAGCCTGATACACTAAAAATCTTAGAGTGCTTTAGTCTGAGAAGATGGAGAATGAAAGGAGAAATAACCAAAGAGAGACTTTTTAAAATCATAAGAGTAGAGGTAACATAAACATAAGTTTTTTCACAAAAAGCTAGAATAGGGAGGGTGTAGAGACATGAATAGAGGGGCAATTTCAACATTACAAATGAATATGTTTAGAATAAGAAACTGCTTTCCATTGTAAATTGATGCAACCAATTTACTCAATCTCCCCATTGCATGTCTCTGTCACTTTAGGTGTAACCCATTCTTCTCCCAAAATGTGGTTAAAGTTACAAGCACAGTCATAGGAAATAAAACCATATCAAGGATTGTTGTGGTATTTTTCTGTTGTTCTTGTCAACAAAATGACTCAAACTCTGTAAAATATTTGAAGAGATTTATCTGAGCCATGTATAAGTGACCAATGGCCCGTGACACATCCCTCTGGAGATCCTTAGAACATTGCCCAAGGTGGTCAGGCTATAAGTTGGTTTTATACAATTTAAGGGGACATAAAACATCAATCAATGCATGTAAAATGTACATTGGTTTGGTCTGGAAAGGTGGGACAACTGGAAATGGTGGGTGGGGGTAGTGGGGGGAGGCTTCCAGGTCTTAGGTGGATTCAAAGATTTTCTGATTTGCAATTGGTCGAGTTATTGACTGAAGACTTAGAATCAATACAAAGGAATCTCTGGGTTAAGATAAGGGGTTGTGGAGGCCAAGGTTTTATCATGCAGATCAGCCTCCAGGTAGCAGGCTTTAGAGAATAGATTGTAAATGTTTCTTATCAGATGTAAAAAGTTGGTTCTATCTGTCTTAAGATCTCTGTGCTGATGTTAATGCTGGTCAACTGTGAGACATGTCTGACACCCACCCCCTTCCTATCATGGCCTGAACTAATTTTTCAGGTTAACTTTGGAATGCCCTTGGCTGAAAGGAGGGGTCCATTCAGATAGTTGTGAGGCTTAGAATGTTATTCTTGGTTTATATTCTTTAATTTGAATGTCTCCTGAGACACAAGCACTCATTCTGCTACCTAGAGCATGCTGTCTCTTTCGGTCCTTCCTGGTGAATATCTTTCCTCATGAAACAAGGGGGCAAGTTCTACAAAGAATATGTTCAGGTTGCAAGTTTCGGTGACTACAGGTGTATTATTATAAAACATGTTGAGAAGGAAGAGCAGGTATTGGAAGGCTCCTCCCAAAACTTGGGAGGACTTGTAAGATATTCAGCAGATGATATCAGGGGCAATGATCTTAGAATTGTGGCAAGCCCTTTGAGTACCATAGATATGCACCATCCACTCCCTTAGTATGAAGTAGTCCAAGTAAATCACATACATTTGTACCCACATTTTCTCGCTGCTGCAACTTGGGAAGGAACTTAAGGAATTCCCAGGATCCGGAAATGATTAAACACATTCTCTGGTGATTTTTGTGATTTGGTATAAGTTATAAGCAATTATAGATTGGACTACCTATCCCTACTGCCACCTGGAGACTGATGCACCCAAAGTGGTCAGGATAGGTAACAAGAGGGACACCAAAATGTCACTTATTTTAAATCAAGAGTCTTACACAGACTAGGAAAGTGTCTACTACATGTTGTCTATTGTTCAGTGGTAAGAACAGTAGAAGAGAAGAAATCACAATATTTAATCACAGAAAATCCACTCATTTATTAATTCAGTCACACCGACTGGAGGCTTAGCACCCAGAAAGAGAATCATTAGTGTTCTTACCTAAGGTAAAAAAGTGTCGAGGACAGTGTGGCCTTAAGGTGGTGCTGAAGTCAAATCTAGGAAAGTCCAGTAGTCCAGCTAGGACACCATCAATCAGGACACCCACAGAACCAAGCTGGAGGAGATGGGGGTGGCACTGAGGAATCAGGAAAGCCAAGTGCCAGGTGAGGCAGGAGCAGATGAACCTGAGGTTGTCTGGATCTACTCCCCAAGACCGACCAGGCAGAGGGACGGAAGAGACATTAAGTGTTTGAACCAGGTGGTTCTCAAAACTTTTCAGTCTGAGTCCCTGTTGCTTAGCAAAAGAACAAATTACCTGCCTCAACTCCTCCTGACTGCTATGGCTAGGAAGAAACCCCAAAAATACATAAATAAATGAGAAATCTGGTTTTTTAAAAATATTTTTAACATATTATTAATTATACCAGAACTAAAATTGTGGACACAAGCATTTTTAGGGTACAACCCATGAAGCATAAAGAGACACCATGAATGTTCATGGCAATGAATATTTATTGAAAACCCAGATTGACCAGAAACTGCCAGGTATTAAAATGACAATGAGGCCAGGCGCGGTGGCTCACGCCTGTAATCCCAGCACTTTGGCAGGCCGAGGCAGGCGGATCACGAGGTCAGGAGGTTGAGGCCATTCTGGCTAACATGGTGAAACCCCGTCTCTACTGAAAATACAAAAAAAATTAGCCGGGCATGTTGGCGGGTGCCTGTAGTCCCAGCTACTCAGGAGGCTGAGGCAGGAGAATGGTGTGAACCCAGGAGGCAGAGCTTGCAGTGAGCTGAAATAGCGCCACTGCACTCCCGCCTGGGCAACAGAGTGAGACTCCGTCTCAAAAAAAAAAAAAAAATGACAATGAAAAATGAGACAAACATGGTTTCTACCTCCAGGGAATTTAGATTCTAACAATTTACAGATCACACTGGATAGCAGCCACTCTAACCAATACAGACTATCAAGGCACATCGGACAACAGTGTGCACTAGACCTCCATTGATGAGCGTACCTGTGGCACCAAAGGATTCCTTGAGCCTGCAGGAATTTATAAACCCAGCTACCTTGCATGAGATTCATTGGCTTTGAGCTGTAATCAGGTTGCTAGAATATATAATAAGGACAAAGAGATCATCTCCACCAGCCATTTGGAGAAATGCCCTTTAAACACTTCAGAGCTGAAAAAAATTGACCGGATTTCATAAAATTGAGTGCTGTATTATCACATTGATATGGATGGAAATACATCTGAATTTTTGATCATTGGTATACAGTCTGGACTAGTTTACCTCAGCTTAATTGACCTGTTGAAAAGACACCAAATAAAGCTTACATGCCTTAGCCTGACATTCAGCCCCTCATAACATGGTGAAACCCCATCTCTACCAAAAATACAAAAATTAGCCAGGCCTGGTGTCAGACACCTGTAATACTAGCTACTCGGGAGGCCGAGCCAGGCAAATCCCTTGAACCCGGGAGGCAGAGGTTGCAGTGAGCCAGGATCGTGCCGTTACACTCCAGCCTGGGTGACAAGAATGAAACTCAGCTTCGAAAAAAAAAAAAAATAGAGAATTAAAGGCCCCCACCTAATAGGATTTTTTGTAATGATTAAGCAAGCTAACATCTGTAAAGTTCTAACACAGTAAGTGATCAATAGGTACTCATTATTATTATTATCCCCATCATCATCATCATTAATTCCTGCTACCAAATTATAAGATCCCTAAAGACCAGAATGTATCCCACTCACATTTTAATTCCCCTACAGTGTCTATAGCTCAGTAACCTTTTGCTTAGGTGTGTATGTCCTGGCAAACCTTTAACAACCAGCTCTCTGGGGATGGAGAAAACCCTGATTTATAGTAATTGCCAGTTTCTATGGTGTAAATACTCCCATCATGGCCAATGTCAAGCACACGAGATGATATTACTGAAAGTGGCATTAGGAAGAGATGCATATAATCAGTTCTTGGGAGTTGTAAAAACCACTTCAGCCCACACTGGATGCACTTGGTAAATAACGATGGAATTGAAAATGGGACCAAACCTTAAGTAATTTTATACCATGGCCAGCAAAGAGCCAGGTGCATGGCCACTATGAGTAGTAGGATCTGTTCCCCATCACCTGCATTATGAGTAAAATAATCAGGCTTCTCTCCCAACAAAGAATTTTACCTCGTCATCTCTCAGATTTCACTATTGCCAAAAAAATTCTAAGTGTAACTTTAACAGAAAACTTCGTCACTTCAGGATACATGTAAACTATGTATCAATTTTAAAAAAAATGAGAGTCAGCCAGGTGCTCATGCCTGTAATCCCAGCATTTTGGGAGACAGAGGTGGGCGGATCGCTTGAGCGCAGGAGTCCAAGAAGAGCCTGGGCAACATGGCAAAACCCAATCTCTACCAAAATAATAATAATAGTACAAAAATTTGCCAGGCATGGTGGTGCATACCTGCAGCCTAGCTACTCGGGAGGCAAAGGTGGGAGGATCGCTTCAGCCTGGAAGGTTGAAGCTGCAGTGAGTCATGATCACGCCACTGTCCTCCAGCCTGGGCAACAGAACAAGACCGTATCTCAAAAAAAGAAAGAAAAAAGAGTCACAGTATTTATCATTACCAATAAAATGTGCACTGTTGATTAATAAGCCAATAATACTAAGAAACTAATAAATGAAATAAATGTGAATCACTTGAGAGAAGAAATCACAAAGCATTAGAACACTTATTGGATTCTCAATTAGTGTAACCTGTTATCTTGAAGGAGCATTTCTTTCATATAGGCCCATAGCCTGGTCGGCCCTGACTGGTCCAGCATTGACTACCTCCTCAGCCAAGTCCTGCTTCAGGCCCCTCCCAAGACGAGCTGCCCTCAGCCATTTCAGCCACCCGAGGGAACAGATAGCTGCGGTGGTTCTCTCCCCTGCCTCTCTCACTGAGCTCTTCCTCTCCCTTTCCGTCAGTATTCAGAAGCATAACTTATATACTTCTAAACTCTTTTCGACTGAGTAAAATTAAGCCTCTGAAATAAAATCTTTACTTTATCTTCGTTTTCTCTCAAAATCAGCCTCAACTCTAGATGCCTTCATCTGAGAGGATGTTTTTTCTCATCTCCATTTCAAATTGTTGTCTTTCACTGTACATGTCTCTCAGACTTCAATCCCTCCGTGTCTCTCAAATCTGTGAGTGTGGAATGAGTGTGTGTATCTTCTTAATAAAAATGTCTCTTTTGACATGAGCTGTACTTGTCATAAAAACTTCTCTCAGTAACTGCCTAATTTACTCAACTCTTTCCTCCTAAAAATCTCCATACTTTGGGAAGAAATAGTCACTGCATGCCGTATGTCTCTCATAGTTCTAACCATAACCTCTAGACACCTCTGTCTGAACACCTCTCCCCTCTCAGTAGCAGTCAGAATGGCCCAGACCTCTGTTAAAGAAAACACATAGCTTTTCTGGGTATCATAAACAAACAACTAAGACTGCAAAAAACAAATCTGCCAACTTAAGCAAGTGCAATAAAATGTTCACATAGCTGGGTTTGGATCAGAAGCATTCAATGAGTGTTATCTTCAGCGTCCTTATTATTCTAACACCAGGTGCTAATCATCAGTAGATCAGTCTACAAATCATTAAATCTCATCAAGGAAACTTCTACACTTACTTTCCTTGGCAGAAGTGAATCCATTCTTTAATATATGTGTGGAGACAAATTAATTCTTCTCCTTCTAGATAATTCCTACCTGGGAGAGCTCTATCATAACATACATCATACAGATGGTCTAAAAGTGATGTCTTCTATTTAGCAGTTATTAAGAGCATTATTTAAATTGATTAATCCTGAAGTCTGCACCAAACTAGGAGGAATCATGGAACAATCTGATGAAGAGGGTTTGACAAGGGAAAACCCAGGCTTTACCATATAATTTGGGAGGCCCTATTTATGAAAACACAACAACAATGAATACAAAATTAACTACAAAAGGGGAAGGTTTTTTAAAAAGAGGTGTGTGCAAGTGAGGAGTCCTGAAATTTAAGTTTCATAAATTTCACAGTAAATCTGCCTTCCACCTTGGGGGTTTTCCTAAGAAGTGCTTTCTACGTGGGCAGCCCACTTAATCCTCACACTGGCCGAAGAAAGGTACGAGTTCCAGCTTCATTTTGTGATTGAGAACGCTGAGACTGAGAAAGGTTGAGCAACTTGCCAAGGTCACACCACCTTGAAGAGTAGAGCCAGGACCCAACTCCTGCACCCCCTGTATTGTGTATTGGCCAATACACAATGCTGCCTGCTGAGATCAAGAGAATATTTATAAGTCTTACTTCTATCATTTCTCTCCTAAATTTCCTAAGAAAAAGAGGCAAAAGTAAGTGTGTTTATTTTAAAGTGAACATAAATTTGGGCCTTGAAGTTGCACAGAGAATACTCCATCTTAGGTCTTACGTTTTCATCCCCAGTTGCTCACATCCAATCCTCCCAAACAAAATGAGTCTCTTCATCAGTCATGACCAAATGGGTTTTGAGTGGATGAAAGTTATTGCTGCTGGTTGATTTTGGGTTCTCCAAATCACAAAGTTCAGATCATTTCGAATGTCAAACTGGCACTTAACAAGCAACAGCTGAGAATCTGACTTGATTTTATTTTGGAGTAAAATCCTTTCCAAGCTAAAGTATTATTCTATAATTCCTCACATTACCTAGAAGTGTCATCAAATAGAATATAAAGATATTTTTCACATCCTTAAGTAACTCAAAAAAATTGGGGATGATCCTTCTAATATGGAAGGCTCAGGAATAAAGTTGCTCATTTTCAAAGAGGGCATTAACTTCCGTAGGACCCAAAGGCCATTAGGTGTAGTGAAATAGGTGATTTGACAAATAGATCCCTAAGAGGCAAAAAGAGTTAATGTACCTAACATATTCACCACCAATGTCATTCAAAACTTTGAAATTAAAGCCACAAAGGACTGCACAACCATGAATTAAGGTAATCAAGAGTATTTATCAAATAAATACACAGTACTTCACTTACACACACACACACACACACACACACACACACACACACACACACGGACTACAAAGGTAGTACTGCCACATACCAACTAAGAAGAGATAGCTCCAAGACTAATTTGTTGACTAACATCCATATTTTCAAAGCAGTTTGAAAAGAGCTAATTTGTTTAACAAATTAATATCCGTTTGTTAGCAGTCAGTAATTAGGAAAAACAGAAATCGAAAGAGAGAAGCCTTGTCTTCCTATGGGCTGGCTGGCACTTACATTTGGAAAAATTGTCCAGGAAAACCAAGAACTCTACTACCTTAGCCTCTTCTTTTCTATACACGCTTTTCTAGCTTTGGTCTAGACGCTAGCTCCATGGAACACTATAGCACACCAAGAAATTTGAAGGGACTAATGAGGGACGAACCCAAAGTCAAGCTTGTGTAAGACTGTTTGAACTGGATAGGCCCCAAATGCAATAGAATCTCAGAGCTATGTCACTCATCAAGGAGCTGGATCAGGTATGGAGTTGGGTGTATTTGGGGACCCATACAAAGGTATTATTTATTTCTAGGATCCAGAAGACCTTCTTGGAGGTCACTGAAACTCTGAGCATCACTTTTCTCCCTTCAAATGTTTATTGAACACCTACTTTGTGTCAGGCACTGAGATAGGAGTTCTACGTAGACCGTCTGTAATCTATGACTGACTTGTTCATCTTTTTGTTCTCAGGACCTAGTACAGGACCTGGCACATAGTAGGTGGCTCAATAATAGAAGTCATTATCATCATCATCATCATCATCATCACTTTTGTTACTGGTATATAGGTTCATTGGTGACATAGAGATGAACATTTTCAGAGGTGTGTTCCTGTAAGATTGGTGGAACCCATAAGTCCTGGTCCTGGAAGCTGTCAGCCACCAAAGTGATGGTTTGCAGGGGAGTGGGACAGAATGACTGCTTCAACAGGGCTTCCTCTCACACAATTCACCACGCACATGATAAGTTCCCATGAGGCTAGAAGGGGTTAACCCATTAGTGGTTAGAAAAATCATTTTTGTATTCCTCATCAGAAATCTACAGGGTGAACTTTTCAAAGAGGCTTGCATATTCCACACGAATTGCTTCTAAGTCAAACTACAAAAAGAGACTTAATGAGATTGTTTTAACCATGACATCTTTGAGCGCCTCTGTGCAAGGCAATACTTTAGGCGACTCATATTCATCAACACGCTTAAAGCTCATCTAGTCCTCTCGTGGCATTATTGACTTCATGTCCCATTTTAGACATGAAGAAACTAAGTCTCAGACAACCAGGAGGACAGGGAGCCTAGGGTGACACCTGCCAAGCCTTACAAGAAGTCCTCCTTCAAGAAAAGCAGAGAGCTAGGAAAAGTCTAGAGAAGGGCATTGGAGTGAGGGAGGAGACAGGGAGTTTGCTGGCCTAAATCTTAGGACCTTCAGTCTGGGAAGATGGAGAACAAAAGGCAGAACTATCAAAGGCTGTGAAATCACAATGAATAGGGAGATCATAAACATGATTTTGTTCACAAAAAGATATGTTAGACATGAGAAATGTGAGAAGTGAAGAGTGCTAAAGGACTGCATGCAATTACCTACGAGAATAAAAAGAAAAAGATGAAGCCCAAAGTCAAGATATAGAGATAGGCCAAGAAGAAGGCATTCCTACGAGACATGTTTTTATTGATTCCCTACTAAGTTTCTAGCTTCATGCTAAGATCTTTCTCATATATGATCTCATTTGATCTTGTAACAGCCCCTCGGAGAGGGTATTAAGTTTCACATAACTGCTCTAATGCTTGGCAATTTAAATTCAGTGCTTGTGACTGTGTTCTATGTTTTGAGTAGCCAGACTGTTTTCAAGTTTTCATGATGTCTTCAAATTCATAGTCACAGTTGCTCAGTCGTTGTGTTTACCTGTTTCTCTTTTCCCATTTCACTCTGTTGTTAAATTGGGAGTAACTCTGCCATTTGAACAAGTGTGCTCACTCAGACTCTTTCTTCTCCTTTCTAATGAACCCTCCATTAGTCTCCTCATCTTGCAGAAATCTAGGATTTCCCTCACAAAAAAAGCTCAAACCATTAAACAAAGAAGGTCATTTCCATGGGCCCAACAACAAAGCACAATATGGATGAAACAAAAAGGGGAACTTGAAAGCTAGAATAATAAGCTGCAGGTATTAAATAAGATGTAAATTAGCCATGATAAACATAAATGTCTTTACTTTGTGTATTACTCCATGTTCACACTGCTGATAAAGACATACTCGAGACTGGGAAGAAAAAGAGGTTTAATTGGATTTACAGTTCCACACAGCTGGGGAGACCTCAGGATCATGGCGGGAGGCAAAAGGCACTTCTTATATGGTGGCAGCAAGAGAAAATGAGAGTGAAACAAAAGCGGAAACCTCTGATAAACCCATCAGATCTCATGAGACTTATTCACTATCACAAGAATAGCACTGGAAAGACTGGCCCCCATATTCAATTACCTCCCCCTAGGTCCTTCCCACAACACATGGGAATTCTGGGAGATACAATTCAGTTGAGATTTGAATGAGGACACAGCCAAACCATATCATTTGCTCCTGGCCCCTCCAAATCTCATGTCTTCACATTTCAAAACCAATCATGCCTTCCCAACGGTCCCCCAAAGTCTTAACTCATTTCAGAATTAAGCCAAGTGTTCACAGTCCAAAGTCTCATCTGAGACAAGGCAAGTCCCTTCTGCCTATGAGCCTGTAAAATCAAAAACAAGCCAGTTACTTCCTAGATACAATAGGGGTACAGGTATTGGGTAAATGTAGCCATTCAAAATGGGAGAAATTGCCCAAAACAAAGGGGTTATCAGGCCTACACAAGTCTGAAATCCAGCGGGGCAATCAAATTTCAAAGCTCCAAAATGATCTCCTTTGACTCCAAGTCTCATATCCAGGTCATGCTGATGCAAGAGGTGGGTTCCCATGGTCTTAGGCAGCTCTGCCCCTGTGTCTTTGCAGGGTATAGCCTCCCTCCCAGCTGCTTTCATGGGCTGGTGTCGAGTGTCTGCGGCTTTTCCAAGTGCACAGTGCAAGCTGTTGATGGATCTACCATTCTGGGGTCTGGAGGATGGTGGCCCTCTTCTCACAGCTCCACTAGGCAGTGCCCCAGCAGGGGCACTGTGCGGGGGCTCCAACCCCACATTTCCCTTCCACACTGCCCTAGCAGAGGTTCTCCATGAGGGCCCCAACCTTGCAGCAAACTTTTGCCTGGGCATCCAGGCATTTCCATACATCTTCTGGAATCTAGCAGAGGTTCCCAAACCTCAGTTCTTGACTTCTGTGCACCCACAGGCTCAACACCACATGGAAGAAGCTGCCAAGGCTTGGGGCTTCCACCCTCTAAAGCCACAGCCAGAGCTATACATTAGCCCCTTTCAGCCAAGGCTGGAGCAGCTGGGACACAGGGCACCAAGTCCCTAGGCTTCACACAGCATGGGGACCCTGAACCCAGCCCACAGAACCACTTTTTCCTCCTGGGCCTCTGGGCCTGTGATGGGAGGGTCTGCAGTGAAGGTCTCTGACAGGAACTGGAGACATTTTCCCCATGGTCTTGGGGATTAACATTAGTAGTTCCTTGCTACTTATGTAATTTTCTGCAGCTGCCTTGAATTTCTCCTTTAAAAATGGGTTTTTCTTTTCTACTGCATCATCAAGTTCCAATTTTCTGAACTTATTATGCTCTGTTTCCCTTTTAAAATTGGAATGCTTTTAACAGTACCCAAGTCAGCTCTTGAATGCTATGCTGCTTAGAAATTTCTTCCACTAGATACCCTAAATTATCTCTCTCAAGTTCAAAGTACCACAAATCTCTAAGGCAGGGGCAAAACGCCACCAGCCTCTGCTAAAACATAAGAAGAGTCACCTTTGCTCCAGTTCCCAACAAGTTCCTCATCTCCACCTGAGACCACCTCAGCCTGGACCCTATTGTTCATATCACTATCAGCATTCTTGTCAAAGCCATTGAACAAATCTCTAGGAGGTTCCAAACTTTCCCAAATTTTCCTGTCTTCTTCTGAGCCCTCCAAACTGGTCCAACCTCTGCCTGTTACCAGTTCCAAAGTCCCTCTACATTTTCGGGTATCTTTTCAGCAACATCCCACTCCTGGCACCAATGTACTGTATTAGTCCGGTTTCACACTGCTGATAAAGACATACCCGAGACAGGGAAGAAAAAGAGGTTTAATTGGACTTACAGTTCCACATGGCTTGGGAGGACTCAGATCCATGGCGGGAGGTGAAAGGCACTTCTTACATGGCAGTGGCAAGAGAAAATGAGAGCAAAGGAAAAGCGGAAACCCCTGATAAACCCATCGGATCTCGTGAGACTTATTCACTATCATGAGAATAGCACTGGAAAGACTGGCCCGCATGATTCGACTACCTCCCTCTAGGCCCCTCCCACAACACGTGGGAATTCTGGGAGATACAATTCAGTTGAGATTTGAATGGCAACACAGCCAAACAATATCGCTTTGGTAGAAAAAAATTATAGAAGTATACGTTTATCCTATTAAAAAAGAAACAGAGGACTGGGTGCAGTGGCTCATGCCTGTAATCCCAGCACTTTGGGAGGCTGAGGGGGGCAGATCACCTGACGTTGGGAGTTTGAGACCAGCCTAGCCAATGTGGTGTAACCCCATCTCCACTAAAAATATAAAAATCAGCCAAGGGTAGTGGCATGCGCCTGTAGTCCCAGCTATTCGGGAGGCTAAGCCAGGAGAAGTGCTTGAACCTGGGAGACAGAGGTTGCAGTGAGCCAAGATCATGCCACTGCACTCCAGTCTGGGTGACAGAGGGAGACTCCGTCTCAAAATAAATAAATAAAATAAAAAATAGGCAGAAATTGGCCAGGCACAGTGACTCACACCTGTAATCTCAGCACTTTGGGAGGCCAAGGCAGGCGGATCATGAGGTCAGGAGATCAAGGCCATCCTGGCCAGCATGGTGAAACCCCATCTCTACTAAAAACACAAAAATTAGCTTAGCATGGTGGCACGTGCTTGTTATCCCATCTACTTTGGAGGCTGAGGCAGGAGAATCGCTTGAACCTGGGAGGCAGAGGTTGCAGTGAACCAAGGTTGTGTCACTGCACTCCAGCCTGGCGACAGAGCGAGACTCCCCCTCAACAGAAAAGAGATTTAGTCAACAAGAAACCCAGTATTACTCACCAGTAAAATGTAGATAATGTGACTTAGATCTCAATAACAGCTACTATGCTCTACACACATCAGAACCCACTCCACACTCACTGTTGCTTGGATCCTACTTTCACTTCTAGGACCTGTGGCTAGAAGAACAAGCTATAACTTGTTTGAAGCAAGTGACCACAATAGCGAAGAGACTCAAGCCCTGTCATGTGAGGAATGATTCAAGTTAATGAGAATATTTAGCTTAAAACATTGGGAGAGCTATTGGAGGTCAAGGAGAGACAACAGTAGTGTGCAATTATGCAAAAGGCTTCCATGCGGAAGACACCTTCAATGACAGACCGAATTCTCATCTTTACGGAATAATTTACTTATTTACTTTATTTTTTTTTTCAGACAGGGTCTTACTCTGTTGTCCAGGCCAAGTGCAGTCGTGTGATCATGGCTCACTACAGCCTCAACCTCCCTGGCTCAAGTGATCCTCCCACCTCAGCCTCCCAAGTAGCTGGGCTACAGGTGAGTACCACCACACCAAGCTGATTTTTTATTTTTAGTAGAGATGAGGCCTTGCTATGTTGCCCAGGCTGGTCTCAAACTCCCAGACGCCAGGAATCCTCCCATTGCAGCCTCCCAAAGTGCTAGGATTGCAGGTGTGAGCCATCAAACCCAGTCAATTTCTTTCTTGGTCCCTTATAATGGAAAAAGTGATGAGCCCTTGAGGCCATGTGCATTCTCCCAGTTTTGTGGAAGAACTTCAGGTGAGGTGCTGACTGACTTCTCTGGATTCTCTCAAAACTTGATACCTCACAAATTCTAGAACTCAGCAAAAGGGAAGCCTCCAGATCCCCATGGGTTCTAACTTCTTCAAGCTGCTATTTCTCTCATCATTGTAACTACTAAAATTTGTGTATGTCAAAAAGGCCTCCATTAATTTGCTAGTAAACAGCCTCATGTACTCCAAAAGGGCTTAGTCCAAAAAATCCTACCAGCAGCAAGAAGAGCTTTGGGAAAATGAATAAACTGAAACTCTTAAAAATAGTAGTCAAATATTTTGAATATTTATGGCAAGATCTGTGATCACATCAAGCTTTCATAAACCACCTCCGATGCCTATCTTTGTGCTTCTTCCTGCTTTTTGTGTGCTCTTTGGTTCAAGGTAGCAATTGGATATATTCTCAAAGATGTATTTTCTATAGGAAAGGAGGAAGAAGGAAAGGAGAAGGAAATAGGGAATGGGAAGGCAGGAGAGGATGAGGAACTAAGTGGAATATGGAGGGGAAGGAGGGAGAAAAGAGAAGAAAGATACAATCACAGACAGATACAACAAGCATGGGGTTGCACTTCCTTAAACACAATAAGGGGCTAATGGAATGATTACAGTTGAGCAGCTGGAATGTGGGAGTCAGTTCTACATGAAGCAGCTCAGACGGCAAGCGAAGGGCAAATGTCAACCATCACCAAACACTGCTTCCTAATTCTTTCCTCGAAAAAATACAAAGAGAGTAAGGGAAATTAACATCAAAAGTTAACATCAGGCCATGCGCAGTGGCTCACACCTTGTAGTCTCAGCACTTTGGGAGGTCAAGGTGGGAGGATCACTTGAATCCAGGGAGACCAGCCTGGGCAACATGGCGAAACCTCGTCTCCACGAAAAAGTAGAAAAAATTAGCCAGGTGTGATGGGGCATGCCTATAATCCCAGCTACTTGGGAGGCTGAGGTGGGAGGATCACTTGAACCCGGGAGGCAGAGGTTGCAGTGAGCTGAGACAGTGCCAGTGCACTCTAGCCTGAGTGATAGACCAAGACCCTGTCTCACAAAAAAAAAAAAAGTTAACATCAAAAAGCCTCCTAGACCAACTTGTTCCCATTCGACTACTCCAGCATGTCAGCATGTCAGGTACCATTTGTGCACAAGGAAATGAGCTGGCCTGGCCTGTAGATTTGTCCTAGGAAGGCCGGATTCCCATCTGCTAAATGATGTTTCCAGAAGAAACCCTGGCTCTTGAGCAGCAGCAAAGGGTACATGGAAATTCAGTACAAGCACCGATCCTCTCAAAGCAGTTTTTCTAAGTTCCCTTGCATAAAGCAGGTTTTTTTCTCCGCTTAAACAACAACAATTTGTTTTACTTTGATAGGTCCTTCTGAATAATGGTTTCATCATTAAACATCTGGCTTCTTCTTAGCAGATTAGGCCTCCAATGAGGAAAGTGTGTTTATAATTCTAATTTGAAACACAGCACATTAATACGCTGATTCTCATAATGTTTGCCTTAACCTGTTTGGAGAAATTATGACTACAAATATCTTGTATACAACACCTGTAACTACCAGCTTGTACAAACAACATAAGAGCAGGAGCCGCCTCATCCAGACGATTGGAACCACTTCAGAGGCGATCATGATTAGTGCTTTGGCTGGAAGCCATATTTTACACATAAACTCAGCATCTGCCTCCGATATGCTGTCCCAGGCTAACAGACCCACCTTCCCTGTTACTAATAAGCACATTCACGAGCGCCAGATGGTCTGACGGGAAGAGCTCTGCCTTTTCCTGAGCTAGGCACACTGGAGGGAGGCAGCCTGAGCCGGCTCCAAGTCATATTTCCTCGGGCTCTAGGTTCCTGCAATGCTGCGTGCAAACAGGCGCCACTAAAAAAGAATGTAAATGAGGGTGCTATTCATTATTTACGGCTGGCACCTTGCCATCCCCTCCTCCTCTGGGCGACGCCTGCCTGTAGGAACAGGAAAAGCATCTGATGAGAGCAGGGCCATCGTGGAGGAGTCAAGCCATTGCGAACCAGTTTCTTACATTTCGCTGAGGATCCTGCAGGCTCAGCATTTCTGGCCCACGGGAGAGCTGAGCTTTTCACTTTCTTCCTAACAAAGCACTAGAGTTCCTTGGCCTCATGTCTGTACCAAGGGTGTTCATTTACAGTCTAACCTGAAAAAGCTGGCTAGCTGCTCTAATCCCATTCATTGCTGAGGTCGTTGGCCCCATGCCTGGGTTTGAGCCCAGGCAAAGAAGAAAGAAAAAGAGGGGTTGGGGGGAATGATGGTCTACACAGAGGAGACTTACAAGAAAGTTCTAGACTAAACCGGCCAGAAGTTGCACCCAAAGAATAGCTCACTTCTTTGGGTGAGTGCCTACAGATCTTATGCTATATAATGAAATGTTTCACAAGTTTATATCATCTCTCCCTAACTGATCTTAAGCTACAGGAGGGCATAAACTATACATTATACTTATTCTGAATTTCTTCAAGTGCCAATCTAACACAGTGTCCAGAAGATCATCACTAAACCCTAAACGTGGTTTTTAACTCTTTAAGTATAATTTTTTATTGACTCTAAAATGCATAACTTGGCATTTTGAATTGAATCAAAGTTAGCTGAGCACAAACAGCAAAAACTGACCATTCTTACTTCTGGGGTTGACACAGTGTAGCTCCATATCCAGCATCAAACCATCAGGTTACTTTTCAGTCTCATCTGAGAGATATTTCAATACTGTAATCCCTATTGTTTAAAAAAACTTAAGATTTGATCATTAGACATTGTATTTATGTATCAAATAACACATGTACCCCATAGATATAATTATGTCTGTATGCCATCTTCTCGAATGTGGAAAACTTTTTCTTGCCTAATACAAAACATGATCGCTACTAGGATTGGTCTGAACCCTTTGATTGCAAGTGACAAAACTCCAACTCCAGCTTTGTCAGAAAAGGGGGGGATGGATTTGTTGGTTTCTGAATTCAAACTATGAAAAGGGCAGACATGAAGCGAGACTCAGGGTGAGCTGAGGCCATTCTCCCTGCAATCCTCTTTCTCTTCTTTGTATCTATCTAAATATTTGCTTCAACTTCTCTGAACAATTGACCTCACACAATGGAAATATGGCTACAGGTGGTCTAGGCTTTTATCTCTCTAGCCACATGGACAAGAGTTCAAAACAAAACAAAACGAAACAAAACAAAAACCCTGCTCTTCTCCAGCAGTTTCAGTTGGAAAAAGAAGGGACCTAATTGGCCTTATGTGAGTCATGTGCCCATTCCTGGGCTAGTCATGTGACCAGGGGAGCCTAAATGATGATTGGCTCAGACTCAGTCATGTGTCCATCTCTGTGGCCCAGGAAAAAGAACCATGAAGCATCCATCAGTATTGGTTGAAATCTAAATAAAGCCATTTCCAAAAATAAGATGTGCTGTTACCAGGAGAAGGCAAGAAAGGGGCCTAGGTAAACTAAACATATATTCTCCACATTACTTTTGGGGGAAAAAAAAGCTATGCAAGGCCATAGGAATTTTTATTATTTCAGATATTCGCAGCAACAAACTAGTTTACTTCTTTTTTATTATTATTATTATTATACTTTAAGTTTTAGGGTACATGTGCACGATGTGCAGATTAGTTACATATGTATACATGTGCCATGCTGGTGTGCTGCACCCATTAACTCGTCATTTAGCATTAGGTATATCTCCTAATGCTATCCCTCCCCCCTCCTCCCACCCCACAACAGTCCCCAGAGTATGATGTTCCCCTTCCTGTGTCCATGTGTTCTCATTGTTCAATTCCCACCTATGAGTGAGAACATGCGATGTTTGGATTTTTCTCCTTGCGATAGTTTACTGAGAATGATGATTTCCAATTTCATCCATGTCCCTACAAAGGACATGAACTCATCATTTTTTATGGCTGCATAGTATTCCATGGTGTATATGTGCCACATTTTCTTAATCCAGTCTATCATTGTTGGACATCTGGGTTGGTTCCAAGTCTTTGCTATTGTGAATAGTGCCGCAATAAACATACATGTGCATGTGTCTTTATAGCAGCATGATTTATAGTCCTTTGGGTATATACCCAGTAATGGGATGGCTGGGTCAAATGGTATGTCAAGCTCTGGATCCCTGAGGAATCGCCACACTGACTTCCACAATGGTTGAACTAGTTTACGGTCCCACCAACAGTGTAAAAGTGTTCCAATTTCTCCACATCCTCTCCAGCACCTGTTGTTTCCTGACTTTTTAATGATTGCCATTCTAACTGGTGTGAGATGGTATCTCATTGTGGTTTTGATTTGCATTTCTCTGATGCCCAGTGATGGTGAGCATTTTTTCATGTGTTTTTTGGCTGCATAAATGTCTTCTTTTGAGAAGTGTCTGTTCATGTCCTTTGTCCACTTTTTGATGGGGTTGTTTTTTTCTTGTAAATTTGTTTGAGTTCATTGTAGATTCTGGATATTAGCCCTTTGTCAGATGAGTAGGTTGCGAAAATTTTCACAAACTAGTTTACTTCTACCAGCTCAGAAGAGTGAAGGCGAGAATTTGTCTTCCGAAAGTATGTTTTGTTTTTTTTTTTGAGACGGAGTCTCGCTCTGTCGCCCAGGCTGGAGTGCACTGGCACTATCTCCGCTCACTGCAAGCTCCGCCGCCTCCCAGGTTCACACCATTCTCTTGCCTCAGCCTCCCGAGTAGCTGGCACTACAAGCGCCCGCCACCATGCCTGGCTAATTTTTTTGTATTTTTAGTAGAGACGGGGTTTCACTGTATTAGCCAGGATGGTCACGATCTCCTGACCTCATGATCCGCCCACCTTGGCCTCCCAAAGTGTTGGGATTACAGGCATGAGCCACCGCACTTGGCCCTGAAATATTTTTAATCTTTCCCCAAACAACTTTTCAGAAGTTGAGAAAGCTTGCTGTCCCAATTAATGATACCTCATTTCTATTGTATTTTCATTGTTGTGTTTGTTTTTACCTTAATTGAAATTATATATGCAAACAGTTTAAAAAGCCATATAGTTCTACAAGGGCTATTTATAATGGAAAACAGTTGTTCTCCCGCAACCTTCCCTCCACTCCAGTAAAGACTTTTAGCTATTTATTTTGGTATTTACCTCTTGTAGTGAATTCTTACAATTTTATGTTGCCTCAGCATACATTTTGCGTTCTATTTTTTTTGTTTTTTTGTTTTTCTTATTTTTATTTTTGATTTTTGATATGGAGTCTCACTCTGTCACCCCAGCTGGAGTGCAATGGCATGATCTTGGCTCACTGCAACCTCTGCCTCCCAGGTTCAAGTGATTCTCGTGCCTCAGCCTCCCAAGTAGCTGGGATTACAGGTGTGAGCCACCATGCCCAACTTCAGCATCCTTTTGAATATAAGTTGGACATTCTCACACCAGAGGCAGGGCTTAGACACCCTTGACAAAGTTTCCTGTTCTCTACCTCTTCCCAATTCCTCAATGTGGTTGATCCAAATATCTCCCTTATACCACCACCTCCTGGTGACCACCTCCCTATGGGACAGCCAGATACAACCTACTTGACTTGTTCCACTGACCCTCTCACCCCACATGACTGCAAAAATATGCCACAGTGACCAGTTTTAAGTCATAATGTGACCCCAGGGAATTTGTGCTGGTTGCTCTAAACACACGAATTAGAACTCCCCAAGAGAAACCAGCCCGGGTAATACCTTGAACCCCGGTACCAGCTTTGGCCCACAGATCTCTTGCTCTTTCTCTTTTGCTCCCCATCTGCTAGTTGAGCTTGAGTGTCCTGGATGCCTCCCCACTTCTCCCACTACCCATTGGCCCCACTAGTCATGCTTCCATCTTCTTTCTGGGATCTGTAAGTAATGAACTGCCTGTTATTTCATGTGTGTTGTTCTGCTTCCTCTTCTGTGTCGCATGTAACTGACACACCTGAGCTTCTTTCCCAGTTAGGGCTCTTCTAGGGAATGGCTATCTTGTAGGAATAAACTGGACATAAGTCAAAAAGCCACCAGGTTGTTTACACTGGTGTCTGCCAGTGTAAAGAAGTTTTCTATGAGAGGGACACCTGGTCATGGGTCAGACACTTGGGCATTAGGTCATTGCCAGGATAAAGAAGTATCCCTTAAAAGGAACATTGTAATCATCCATGACCAAATCCCTAGAGCCCCATCAGGGCAGGGCTAGAGTTTATTGCCACTCTCATGAGAGAGACCTCAGGACCAAATTAGAAAAAAATAATAATAATACAACACCTTCATATTTCTAATAGCAAGTAAAAATTTCTCTTTTGAGTTTTTATTTTTAGGCATTACCTATTGGTTTTCCCTACTGAAAATATGCATTTAGCTCTCTCGCTGCCCCTATTTCCCAACACACACACACAGACCATACATGGGCATACATGCCATGCCTCTATTCCCCCAACATTTTTATCGTAATTTTGATTTTATCATTATTCAATGTTTACATTATGATTATATGAATGATATATTTGGCTTAGCAATGCAATATATCAGAATAATTTTTTATTTCTCCCGTTTTTGTTTTCTCTAGAGTTCATACTTATCTGGTTTTCTTGTTTTGCTTTTTTTCTGGTTTGCTTTGTTTTTTATGAACTCTTGCTACATCATCTTCAGACTCTTTCCTGATTTCCTAATTTTCCTTTCAATATACTCAGATATTGCCAGTTCTCTATTTTGGAATTATCTCTTTCTAAACTCTCTGACCTGCTCCAATCTTCTGGCTGCTCTCTTGGTCTATTACACAGATTCATCTAGAAGTCTCCCTTTACCATCATCCTGAAAATTGTGTTCACACCCCTATTATAATAAATTCCGTTTTTCTGACATGCTATATCTTCATAACTGTGTTGGTCAGAGTTCTCTAGAGGAACAGAACTAATAGGATATATATGTACATCCTATAATATAGGGGAGTTTATTAAGTATTAACTCACATGATTGCAAGATCCCACAATAGGCTATCGGTAAGCTGAGGAGCAAGGAAAGCCAGTCCGAGTCCCAGAACTGAAGAACTTGGAGTCTGATGTTGGAGGGCAGGAAGGGTCCAGCACAGGAGAAAGATATAGGCTGGGAGGCTAGGCCAGTCTACTCCTTTCACGTTTTTCTGCCTGCTTTGTATTCTAGCTGTGCTGGCAGCTGATTAGATGGTACCCACTCAGATTAAGGGTAGGTCTGCCTTTCCCAGCCCACTGACTCAAATGTTAATCCCCTTTGGCAACACCCTCACAGACACACCCAGGATTAATACTTTGCATCCTTCAATCCAATCAAGTTGACACTCAGTATTAACTAACACAATAATCATTTATTTACTTCTTTGTTTTGAAAGAACATTTCTTTCAATTTTTTATGAGAAAGAGCTGTAGGAGAGGTAAAATATTTGAGGCCATTCATGTCTGAAAAAAGTTATTCAACCCTTACACTTACTTGATATTGCGGCTGGGTATCACATTCTAGGTTGGAGAGCACATACAATATCCAAAGTGACTCAGATTTCTGATTCTTTGAATACAACCTTCCCTTCAGCTCTCTGGAAGCTTCTAGGACCTCTCCTTTGTCCTTACTGTTCATAAATATTATCATCAGGTAATGTATTAGTCTATTCTCACATTGCTATAAAGAAATACCTGAGACTGGGTAATTTATGAAGAAAAGAGGTTTAATTGGCTCATGGTTCCACAGGCTGTACAAGAAGTATGGCAACATCTGTTTCTGGGGAGGCCTCATGAAACTTATAGTCATGGCAGAAGGCGAAGGGGAAGCAGGCCCATCTTACATGGTGAGAGCAGGAGAAAGAGAAGGGGGAGGTACCACATACTTTTAAACAACCCAATCTCATGATAACTCCATCACAAGAACAGAACCAGGGTGATGGTGCTAAACCATGAGAAACTGCCCCCATGATTCAATTATCTCCCACTAGGTTCCACCTGCAACATTGGAGATTACATTTCCACGTGATATTTGGGTAAGGACACAGATCCAAACCGTATCAGGTGAGTTGATATGGATCTATTTTCATCCATTTTGCTAGGCACTTGGTGGTTGTTTTCATTCTGAAAACTCATGTCCTTCAAGTCTAAGAAATGTTCTTGAATTATTTATCTGATAATTTTCTCAATTCTCTATTTGAGGAATTTGTGTTATTCAGGTGTTAGACTTCTTAATCTGACCTAATTTTCTTATATTTTTATCCTAGTTTACATTTCTTTGCCATCTGATTCTATCTAGTTTCTAGAAGATTCCCTCAATCTTATTTTCCAAATTTTATATGGAGCTTCTGATTTGTGTCACTTTTTCCCAAGACCCTTCTAGTTTTTGTCCTTCTGATTTTTTTTTTTTTTTTTTTTTTTGAGACGGAGTCTCGCTCTGTTGCCCAAGCTGGAGTGCAGTGGCGTGATCTTGGCTCACTGCAAGCTCCACCTCCCAGGTTCATGCCATTCTCCTGCCTCAGCCTCCCGAGTTGCTGGAACTACAGGTGCCTGCCACCATGGCTGGCTAATTTTTTTATATTCTTAGTAGAGATGGGGTTTCACCGTGTTAGCCAGGATGGTCTCGATCTCCTGACCTCATGATCTGCCTGCCTCAGCCTCAAGAAGTGCGGGATTACAGGTGTGAGCCTCCACGCCTGGCCTTCTGATTATTTCTTTATTATAGCATTCTATTCTTGCTTTGTGGATGCAAAATCATCTCTTATCTTACTTTAATTTTTTTCTTCTCTCTGAATTCTCTCTATTTTCTCAAATTTATTTTTTTGTTTCTTTTCTTAGGTGTTTGTATTTCCTTTCAGAGTGAAGATATCCTCAAATGTCTAGTGATCCTTAACTGTCTGTTCACCTTTAAGACTACAGCACTAAAAATCTGATTGGAAGTTCTGATATATGAGTTGGGTTGCCAACTCTGGGTCTTACCCCAGGTAATCTGGCTGGATTGTTTCATAGGACAACTCCCAATGTTAACACAGGGTCTTTTCTTTTGGACTAGTCAGATTTATCAGATACTAAATTCCTAATCTCATACCTGGAAGTAGAAACTGGCTGCCAGCATTTTGGAAGTCAATTGGGAGAAGAGCAGGTTCTCAAATTCAAGTAATGCCCCTCTTTTCAATATGATATCCCTATCCTCTTACCTTCATGGTGCCCCTTAGTTCAGAGAATAAACCGCACAACTCTGTTACACTGAGGGAGGGGTAATCATCCAGCCATTCCAAGTGGGGGAAGGAACAGAGGATGTAACTCTGTGCTCTCTGATACAGTAACCACTAGCCACTGTAGCTATGTACTTTACATAAATTTACATAAATTAAGTAAAATTTAAAATTCAGTTCCTCAGTTGCAGTAAGGAAATAGCCACGTTTCAAGTGCTCAATAACCACATGTGGCTGGTAGCTTTTGTATTGGACAGTGCAGAAATAGAGTGTCTTCATCATTGCCAAAAGTTCTGTTCAACAATGCAGGTCGAATTGCTTCTCAAATAGTCTTTTCAACCAATGCTTATGTTTCAGTCCTACATTCACTGCCACTTCCAGAAATATCTGGTATCACCAATTCATGAGCCCACTGGAGGTTTTGAGGTGCAAGTCTGGATGATGTATTGGCTTTTCCTGCCAGAATAGAAACTCCACAAAAACAGTGATCTTGGTTTTGTTCATTGATGAAATCCAAGGACTTAGAAGAGTGCCTGGCACATGGTAGGTACTCCATAAATGTTTGCGGAATGTTGAATGAATGGCTTATTTGAGAACCAAATGAAATCTACAGCTTAAGGGATTCCATCCGTAAGGGGTCTGTAGTGAATAATTGTCATTCATGTCAGCTGCCCATATCTGAACCCTTTTACTATTCCTGGGGAGCTCCACGCCTGGGGAGTCAGAGCCTTCTCCACCATAGGAGGAGATACTCACTTTCTCAGCTTCCCTTGCAGTCAGGGTGCAGGAACAGGTCAAGCTTTATACCTGACCTAGATCTGGAATTAGAAGCTAGTGACCCAAAGAACTAGGGATGGCCCAGGATCCATCTGGCTGAATCATCAGCATTGCTGTGTTTTCGTTGATCAGTTCTGCAGCCAAACTGGAGGAACCATTTCTGGCTGCATAGATGGCTCCAAGCCCATTCTCTAATCATACCCAATATCCTTTTAACTGATTCCTTTTTTGGGTTTGAAGAAGCAAAGTTAGTTTCTGTGACTAGCAAATAAGAACTCAGATCGATAAGGAATTCAGACAACCCATGTTAGGAACCTCTGATTTGGACACAGAATAGAATAAGAAACGTATAACCCAACATTTTAAACAAAGAAAACTAATTTTCTAAAATTTACCTAATGGTTTCTAGGAAATTTTGGCAAAAATTCTATAAGATTATTTTAACAGAACTTTTCCTCAACATTGATCCTGGGAGTTAGTATAGACTCACAAGCTCATAGTGTAAAGGCTTTTTTTTTTTATGCCAGGAAACCCTTAAAAGAGTTTGCATTGTAAGTTGGAGGTATTCTTGGCCATTTTCTTCATTTAGAAAAAATATGGACAAATTTCAGTGTCCCAAATAAGCAAAATAAAATTGTGAATAGATATCATCAATGCTTATTAAATAAGAGAAGGAAACCATCACTGGAGGTTATTCACAGAACTTGGTTATGAGGGAAGCTTACTTTATCTACATGTGGGTTTCAACTGCTCAACTTCTGAGTGAAGAGAAAGGCCTGAAAATAAACAGTAATTACTTTATCACTATAATAATGTTATTACCTTCAGTAAAAAATAAAATAAACTACTTTTATCAAAAATTTATTTTGACTAATTTCTGTTCTTGGGGTTCTGAATGTTCTATCTTCTCTCTTATAGTTAAAAAAACAACTTGGAGAAAAGGGACATATCCATAGCCTGAAAATATCTCCCCTAAATATTTATTAATTGCTGTAGTGATTTTAATATATGTCCACAAATTCTCTGATACTCCTCATTTCAGGAAGTGGAGTTTAATTCCCTTCTGCCTGAATGTAGGCTGGTCTTAGAGACTCAAATCTAATGAATAAAGTACAGAAAGGGAAAAAATGTAATTTTATAGTGGAGAGATCAGGCAGACACCGTCTAAACCAAGTGATCAAGGGTAACATCACAGTGATCAGTCATTTTATTTTGTATCCCCTCGCATGATATGATAAGGGAAGCTCACATCTGTGGTCTTCTTTCCAAACCAGTATAATTACGGGAAAACGTCAGACAAACCCAAATTGAGAGACATTCTACAAAATACCCAAAAAACATCATTTAAAGGGACCAAGTCATGAAAAACAAGGAGACTGAGAAACTGTCACCAACTGGAGGAGCCTATGGAGACAAAACAACTATGTCTACGCAGCGTGGTATTTTGGTTTGCATTCTGGAAAGAAAAAGGACGTTGGTATAAAAATTGGTGATATCAGAATAAAGTCTATAGTTGAAATAGCGTTGCATCAATGGGAATTGCTTAGTTTTGGTAAGTGTACCATGGTTATGTAAGATGTTAACATTAGTGAAAGGTGGCCGGGCATGGTGGCTCACGCCTGTAATCCCAGCACTTTGGGAGGCCAAGGCGGGAGGATCACCTGAGGTCAGGAGTTGGAGACCAGCCTGACTAACATGGAGAAACCCGTCTCTACTAAAAATACAAAATTAGCCGGGCATGGTGGTACATGCTTGTAATCCCAGCTACTCAGTAGGCTGAGGCAGGAGAATCACTTGAACCCAGGAGGCAGAAGTTGCAGTGAGCCGAGATTGCACCATTGCACTCCAGCCTGGGCAACAAGAGCGAAACCCTGTCTCCAAAAAAAAAAAAAAAAAAAAAAAAAAAAAAAAATTTAGTGAAAGTTGAGTGAAGGATATACAGAAATTCCCCATAGTATCTTTGCAACTCTTCTGTGAGTATAAAATTATTTCAAAATAAACAGGTATTCTAAAGAGCCAGTTTATTAAA
The DNA here is from genome assembly GCF_000001405.40 of Homo sapiens. Lineage (NCBI taxonomy): Eukaryota > Metazoa > Chordata > Mammalia > Primates > Hominidae > Homo > Homo sapiens. The sequence continues at coordinate 60,309,913 of NC_000015.10, forward strand.
TAAGGCTTGGATAACAGGGAATACCTAAAATACTGGTTTATGGAGAGGTATTTCAAAGAACATGATTAAATTCATGTCTTATCTAAACTTATAACCTGCATTTGAACAGGGCTTAGCAGTGCTAGGCTACACAGAAGGTCCATCTCTGTCTCTCTCCCACAGTAGCATTGTAAATTTGTGATCTTTCACAACCATTCTAGCAGCATTAGGCTCTCCTCTGTTAAAGACCTATATACTCCAAGCTCCAGAAGAAGATGACAAAGAACTCACATTCCAAGGCAGCTTAGCTCCACAAGATCTAGCCCCTCAGCAATCTATAATTACAACTCAACGGCTCCTTTGGGATCAGAATATCAATTTCTAAAGGATAGTTGGGACCCATTTTGCTCAGCAGGTTCTACCTGCTTCAGCCATAATTCTAACCGGGTCTTCCAAGAATCCTTAAGTGGTATAAGACATTACCATTGTATCACTCCTGTCATTATTATTATTAAAATACATCTTCTGATGCCAAGCCTACAGGCCCATTCTACAGGCTACAGTTGGGGTGGAAAGAGTGCTTGCTTTGACTTTATTGCCCAGAACAATTTATAGACAAAGACTGTCACAACATGCTGTTTGTGGTTCTACCTTCATTCAATAAGTATCTATGGAGCAACTGTGCTTGGCCATTCATTGTCCTAGGTGCTAGCGATACCAGGATAACAAAAAAGATACGACCCCTGGTACAACTACTTTAGGAAACATTTAGAAATGCCTCATAAAGGGGAATCTGCTGATACATTCTACCTGGGTGTCTCACTTCCAGCTTTATCTAGTCTATTGCCAATCTTGCATGTGTGGCAGAAGTTATGGGTAAGAATGTTCATAGGAGCGTTGTTTATAATTGCAAAACCTAGAAACAAGTCATCAACAATAGATTCAGTAAATAAAATATAATGTATTCACAAAATGGGATTTATACAACCATGAAAAAATGAACGAACCGTAGCAATACATATCAACAGAATAAATCTCATAAACATAATAATGAAAAAAAGAAGCAAGTCAGAAATGAATATAAACAGAACAATTCCATTTATATAAAGTTCAGACCCAGACCAAATTAAACAATTTATTGCCATGGGATATATACTTAGGTGGCATTTTTTAAAACTATAAGGAAAAGCAGGTTAATAATTAACATGAAATTCAGGATAATAGTTATTACCTATAGGAGGTAGAGAGGCAGAAGAGATCAGAAAAGAACACAGGGAATATCTGGGGAATTAACAAAGTCCTATGTCTAAGACCTGGCTAATGAACGCATATGTGCTTGATTTTGAGGTCATGGTTTTTTAAACTGCACATATACATTTAAACAATCTCTTGTATATGTCTATATTCATTAAGATATGTTTAACATAGGTTTAAAGTGTGCTAAAGTGAAAATCAAAATACAAATATTGCAATAATAATAATGGTATGTGGGAGCCTTTCCTCCAAGCACCTGTTAAAAATAGGTGCAATACATATACACCATGGAATACTATGCACTATGCAGCCATAAAAAAGAATGAGTTCACGTCCTTTGCAGGGACATGGATGAAGCTGGAAACCATCATTCTAAATGAACTATCGCAAGAACAGAAAACCAAACACCACATGTTCTCACTCATAGCTGGGAGTTGAACAATGAGAACACTTGGACACAGGGCAGGGAACATCACACACCAGGGCCTGTTGGGCAGAGCGGGGCTGGGGGAGGGATAGCATTTGGAGAAATGCCTAATGTAAATGACGAGTTGACGAGTGCAGCAAACCAACATGGCACATGTATGCCTATGTAACAAACCTGTACATTGTGCACATGTACCCTAGAACTTAAAGAATAATAATAATAGGTTCAATAAGGCCGGGCACAGTGGCTCAAGTCTGTAATCCAGCACTTTGGGAGGCCAAGGCGGGTGGATCACCTGAGGTCAGGAGTTCGAGACCAGCCTGACCAACATGGAGAAACCCCATCACTACTAAAAATACAAAATTAGCTGGGCGTGGTGGCACATGGCTGTATCCCAGCTAGTCGGGACGCTGAGGCAGAAGAATCACTTGAATTCGGGAGGCAGAGGTTGTGGTGAGCCGAGATCGCCCCCTTGCACTCCAGCCTGGGCAAGAAGAGCGAAACTCTGTCTCAAAAAAAAAAAAAAAAAAAAGGTGCAATATAGTGTCGCCAGTGCTTTACAAAGTCAAAAGGAGGGAGCATTCAGGGAAGAATCCAAAAAGGAGGTGACCCTTAAGGTGAGAATAGTCATCCAGACAAAGCACAGTAAAAAGAAAATGAGGAAATGGTTTGCACAAAGGCCCAGAAAGTTAAGGGAATATATCAAATTTGGGGAAATTAAAATAATGTTTTCTAACTTGTTTCTAGCTAGAGGTAGGCAAGGGAAGATTAGTAAAAATATTGTATTCCTTCCTAAAAGAAGACTTTGGACTTGATTCTGGGAAGCAATAAAGTTGATCCATCATAGCAATGTTTGATCTGTTCTAGGAGTTTTGGGCAGGACTGATGATCCAGAGTGAGACCAGAGACAAAAAGAACTGACAGGAAACCACTGCAATCCACATAAGAAATGCGGTAGCTTGAACCAGGGCCGAGACTGTGGGGACGAGGAAGGGAGAGAGTCTAGAGAGACTTGAGATACAATCAACAATATTTAGTGAGTGGTTGGGTGTGGAGGTGAGGAGGAGAAAAGGGTCTAGGATGATTTTCAAGAATCTGGTTTGGATCAATAGTCTTCATTCAGAGGGAGGAGCAGGGATGTTGGTAAAGAGGGTTTTTCCTCCATCCTGAAGAAGTAGGAGAGAGATAATGAGTCCAAGTTCATATCTAATGACTCAGTTGGCATTGAAGCTGTACAGATGTTTCTAGCTTTCTGATGCTCATTGGCCTATACCTAGAGTGGAGAGAAGGAAAATTAAAGGGGAAAACACCAGCTGATTTAGCTCTGTATGTACACTGTGGAAAGAGACAGAATCCCATAGCAACAATGCAGTTCTTAGGTTGTTTCTGGTCTTAGGTATTGATGTCATCCTTGATCACCGGGGTCAACCAGAGCATGGGGCAGCAAACCACAGAAGAGATAGCACAAGCCTCTTCATTACCAGGAGAGAAGTGGTGCTCTCACTGGGTACAACAATGCAATTGTTTTTCTCATGAGTTGTCAAATTACATTGACCAAATTATGGTCTTGATTTCAGGTATTTCTTTTCTTTTCTTTTCTTTCTTTTTTTTTTTTTTTTTTTTTTTTTTTTTGAGACGGAGTCTCGCTCTGTCCCCCAGGCTGGAGTGCAGTGGCGCGATCTCGGCTCACTGTAAGCTCCGCCTCCTGGGTTCACGCCATTCTCCTGCCTCAGCCTCCGGAGTAGCTGGGACTACAGGAGCCCGCCCCCACGCCCGGCTAATTTTTTGTATTTTTTAGTACAGATGGGGTTTCACCGTGTTAGCCAGGATGGTCTCGATCTCCTGACCTCGTGATCTGCCTGCCTCGGCCTCCCAAAGTGCTGGGATTACAGGCTTGAGCCACCGCGCCTGGCCTCAGGTATCTTTAATACATGCGAAAGTATGGAGAATTCATAGGCACTTTGAGCGAGTAAATCCTTCAGTTAATCTTTGATGGATGATTTCAATTTGGGACTTGCAACGTAGCTATTATCATTCAACCTCACCCTCCTTCAAAAAGTAAAGCATCTCATCCCTATTATAAGGACTCGGAATGGTTTCCATGCACTGTGGGTTGTTTTTTGGTGGGAAGATGGGCAGGGATGGGGAGGGCTACAGCACCAGCTGCATGGGGACAGCAAGGTCAGAAGGGAGGGAGCAAGCAGGTGCTAACATGGTACCTAAGGCTCAAGGATCCTGAGCCTGCATTTCCCCCACTAGCATCAGGAGACAAAGCAGCTGGAATTAGACATGCCTATCTTCCTGTCATTTTTTGATGTTTAACATATTAGCTATATAAAAATAATTTGGGGTGTAATATAGTTTAGTTGTATGTCCCTGTTCAAATCACATATTAAAATGTAATCCTCAGTGTGGGAGGTGGGGCCTGGTAGGAGGTGATTGGATCATGGGGGCGGATTTCTCATGAATGGCTTAACACCATGAATTGGTTTAGCACTGTCCTTGTAATAGTGAGTGAGTTCTCATGAGATTTGGTAATTTAAATGTATGTGGCACCTCGCCCCTCCCTCTCTTTTGTTCCTGCTTTCGCCATGTGTATTAGTCCATTCTTGTATTACTATAAAGAACTGCCTGAGACTAGGTAATTATAAAGAAAAGAGGTTTAATTGGCTCACCCTTCTGCAGGCTGTACAGGAGGCACGGCTGGGGAGGCCTTAGGAAACTTACAATCACGGCGGAAGGTGAAGAGGAAAGAGGCATGTCGTACGTGGCCAGAGCAGGAGGAAAAGAGAGATGGGAGAGGTACTACACAATTTTAAACAACCAGATCTCATGAGAACTCACTCACCAGCATGAGAACAGCAAGGGGGGAGTCCGCCCCCATGATCTAATCACCTCCCACCAGGCCCCTGCTCCAACACTGGGGCCTACAGTTTGACACGAAATTTGGGCAGACACATAAATCCAAACCATATCACCATGTGAGATGTATCTGCTCCTGCTTTGCCTTCCACCTTGAGTAAAAGCTCCCTGAGGCCTCCCAGAAGCAGATGTCACCATGCTTTCTGTACAGCCTGCACAACTGTGAGCCAATTAAACTTCTTTTCTTATAAGTTACCCAGTCTCAGGTATTTCTTTATAGCAATATGGGAAGGGACTAATACAGGGTGTGAAAAAAGGATATTGAGACCTTGGGTGAAGAAACGTTTGCATTTACTCTAAATACTGGGAACTAATAAAAGAAACTGAGAAGTTAAGAAGCTCTAGTGAGCAGATCAAAGTAAAATGATTTTCCCCGATCCCCATCCAGCCATAGATTCAATAAAATCTCTGAAGAATTGGGGTGCAGAAAGATTGAGGACGTTGGGGAGGAAGGAAGGTTCTAACGATAAGGCCCATGACTTCTTTACACACTTGCATACACACACAGTTGCACACATATTCATTTCCCCATGCTATCAGGACACATGGCCATCTATCTACAAGAGAATTTTCTTTTTACCAGGCACCCCACTCCCTCAAAGAAAGCCTGCATCGAAACATCTCCCACTTCTGCCCATTGTGGAAAGACTATTTTTTTGTTGTTGTTTGTTTGAGTTCTTGAATGTGCTACAGTGCAGGTGTACTTCAGGAAAAAGGAACATGCCAGCATTTATGGGGCAGGGGGAGGAGAGGGTATTAAACAAGCATGGAACACTAAACCAGATAAATTTCACCCATGACCTAGTTGTGCCTGGGGCCAGCCCAGAACACAGTAATGCTGTTACCAAAGAACTCTGCATAAGTCATGTCCTTTAATGATTGCAGTAAACCTCTGTTAACTGCATTATTCCTATTTTACAGACCAGGAAACAAGCTCAAGTGTGGTTAAGTCCAGAACTTGGCCATGATCAGCAAGTAAGAGGAAGAAGCAGGACTCAAACCCAGACAGCCTGTCAACTGGCCACCAAGCATAATTATCATGCCTGCTTGGTTTCACATCCTCAGAGGTCAAGATGTTCATACCCACAGAGAACGGGAGAGAACACCAGGTGCATCCAGATAAATCAAGACAATGGGGAACAGAAGATATTTCCAGTGCTCTAGGAAATAAATATTTTCACCTAACCTAAACACTGAGTCGCAATGGTGAAGAATGTTGGGAGTGGGGGATTAACTCAGAGGAAAACTTCCAAGCCATCAGTAGTCAAACTTTAGGAGCCAGACTCTCCTGGGAACAGGGCATATTTGAGAAGCCATCTGTTCTCAGAACTAAAGAGCATACAGGGACAGAAATAGGTCAAGCATCAACTAGATTTACTGGAATCAATACTAAGCTTTGGAGCTCAAAAATATCAGTCAATAGAATCAATGACCTTCCCTGTCATTGGTCCATTTTTCACACTGCTGATAAAGACATACCAGAGACTGGGCATCACAAAAGTGAGAGGTGTATTGGATTTACACTTCCACGTGGCTGGGGAGGCCCCACAATCATGGTGGAAGATGAAAGGCACGTCTCACATGGTGGCAGACAAGCGAAGAGAATGAGAGCCAAGCAGGGGTTTCCCCTGATAAAACCATCTGATCTCATGAGACTTATTCATTACCATGAGAACTGTATGGGGGAAACCGCCCCCATGATTCAAATTTTCTCCCACCAGGTCCCTCCCACAACACATGGGAATTATGGGCATACAATTCAAGATGAGATTTGGGTGGGGACACAGCTAAACCATATCATTCCCCAAACCTGCTTTCTTCCATGATTGGGAATAGAAAGAATGTTCAAGTAGGATCTAGAAGATTGAGTTCAAATTCTTGTTCACTTGTTTTCTGGCTGTGTGTTTTTAAGCATGTAGCTAAACCTCTCTGAGACACAAATGTGGCAACTAAAAATCAAAAGTTTTTTAAAGTACTAGACATCAGAACACTGGTCCAAATCACTATATGTGTTCAAGTCACAGCTGAGCCGTGTGTCAAATGGGGATCATAATGCCCCCCTTCCAGGGATGCTGCAAATGGGCAAACACATGCAGAGGTGCCAGGTTAACTATGAAGGCTACTTAAAATGATCACACTTGCCTCCACCAAAAAAAGAGGGAATCTAACCAGGAGGTCCTTCAAAATTCCTCTTGGTTAAGCTTTGGTCAATGATCCTTTGGTGAAAAGAGCTAATAAACTGCTTACTAGGTGACAAGAAGGGCCAGCTTCATGGGGCACAACCTGTGCGGTCACACAGGGCCCTGCTGTCTCTATCTTCAGATTCATACTAATGTTTGAACAAGGAGCCCCACATTTTCATCTTGCACTGAGTCCTGCAAATCATGTAGCAGGGCCCGGTGCATGGCACTGTGCTTAGCATCCAGAACACAGCAATAAAACAGATTGGCATCTTTGAGGAGCTCCAAGCAAGTAGATTACTTTGGGAGCAAATCCTACAAAGCAAACAGGACACTTACAGAAATAAATTAACTTGCATATTTTATTCCTCAGTCCAATCTTAGACTGAAAGCTCCAAAGACTAAAGCAGTTATTTATCCTTAGGACAAGCCCTGGCTTGTTTGCACATGAAACACACCTGAATACCTACAGACTCACCCAGCCCCACCCTTCTGAGCTGAGAAGATGTTTTCTAGGACTCCTGCAACACCCTGGGGCATGTCCACCCACCTATGACGTAGGTAAATGAGTACCTAGAGCAGTGGTCCTCAAAGCACAATCTCTAGACAAGCAGCACAGCATCACCTGGGAGCTTGTTAGAACTGCAAACTCGGGGCCAGGCACGGTGGCTCACGCCTGTAATCCCAGCACTTTGGGAGGCCAAGCAGAAGGATCACTTGAGGCCAGGAGTTTGAAACCAGCCTGGGCAAGAGTAAGACCCCATCTCTACAAAAAATACAGAAAACTTAGTCAGGCCTGGTGGCTTGCGCCTGTAGTCTTAGCTGCTTGGGAGGCTGAAGCAGGAGAGATCACTTGAGCTCAGGAGCTCTAGGTCACAGTGAGACATGATCGCACCACTACACTCCAGCCTGGATGACAGAGTGAGACCCTGTCTTAAAACAAATGCAAACTGTATTAGTTCATTTTCACACTGCTGATAAAGACATACCCAAAACTGGTAACAAAAAGAGGTTTAATTGGTCTTATGTTCCACATGGCTGGGGAGGCCTCAGAATCATGGCAGGAGATGAAAGGCACATCTTATATGGCGGCGGCAAGCAAAAATGAGGAATAAGCAAAAGCAGAAACCCCTAATAAACCCATCACATCTGATGAGACTTATTCTCTATCACAACAATAGCACAGAAAAGACTGGCCCCCATGATTCAATTACCTCCCCCTCGGTCCCTCCCATCATAACACATGAGAATTCTGGGAGATACGATTCAAGTTGAGATTTCAGTGGGGACACAGTAAAACCATATCACAAACTCTCAAGCCCCACCCAAGACCTGCTGAATCAGAAATCCTGGAAATGGGCCCAGAAATCTGGGTTTTAACTGGTGCTCCAAGGGGCTTCCTCTGCGTGCTAAGGTTTGAGAACCACGGGCCTACGTTATCAAAACTAATCACTTTGAAATTTATTATCTTTCTTTCCTTTTTTTTTTTTTAATGCTATGAAGGGTGTGTTGAGGAGAAATTAGCAAGGCTGGGCCTTCCCGGCATCGTCCTCTACAACACAGTCACTGGCAATTCCCAAAGACCAGAGTCTCTTTGTGTGTTTCCTGCAAAATTCAACATAACTCACATACTTTGTTTTTGCCTGTCCATTCAAGACACAATGTAACCCCACAGTCCCTTGTGAACACACATCCCATTTGCACATGTCAAGTATCTGATTCATTTAGACTTATCCCAATCGCTTAATGTGCGCAACAGAAGCCTCCTGGTATTCTAGCTCTAAACAGTTGAGTTAATACCCTTGGACAAAGCGGGCCTGCTGTTTGGGTGAGCTCCCATGGGTCTGACAGCCACAAAGAGAAGCTTGTTGAATGCTCACATAAAAAGAGAAGAGATAGGAGGCAGATACTCTGATCTTTATGACCCTCTGATTATTCTATCAGTTAGTTAAAACATAAATCCATCCCCTGACTTAACAAAATACTATTTTACTTCCTTTTACCCCATATTTTATCTTTTATAGGCAATAAAACATAAAAACCTTACAAAGGTTATGTTCTCATCAATTTTTGCACTAAATGACAATAAATTAAGTGTAGGTTACTGCAGCAGCAACATAGATGTCAGCTTAAAACTTCCTTGAAAGACAACCTCCCACCATTAGAGTTGAAAGCTGCTAATCAAAGATTTCTTGATTAAAATTAACACCCGATTTTAAAATGGCAATGCTGCTCTATTTCTTTAAGTAGTTAGGGAGTCTCTAGCCCTTTCTCTTGTTTCTTAAAATCTGTTTTAGGAGTCCACAAATAAAAAAGAATGTAAAAAAGTGAAAAATTTATTTATTGGGCACACACAAGAAACACTTTGTGGAATCACTTTGAGTTTAATGTCTTTCAGCTTTTATTATAATAAACAGCCTCCCAAACCTTCACAGCACTAAACAGGTATCAGATGTATAAACTAAAAATTTATTTTTTATTTATATGAAAGTCATTCAACCAATATTTGTCAAGAGGTTACATTAAATTAAGGTTAATTAAACGAGCTGGTAAACATAAAGCATCTAGAACAAAACCTGGCACATAGAAAAAGCCCAGCAAGTATTAGTTATCCCTTGTGCATTATTATTGTCATTGCTGTTATTATGATATGTGCTATTATGTGCTATGTATTAGAAATACAATGACAAGCTAAACAGATATGGCTCTCCCACTCTCCTGAATTTCAAGTGCAAGTGGCAAAGACAGACATCAATCAAATAATCACACAAATAAATGTAAGTTACAAATTGTTACAATGAAAACATAACCCATTTCAGGGAGGGGGCACTAAAAACTCAGAGTAGTTTCATATCGTTTTGATTTTGAAATCTCTTGGATATTAGGGAGGCTGAAGTGGGAGGATCCCTTGAGCCCAGGAATTTGAGGCTGCACTGAGCTATGATCATCCCACTGCAGTACAGCCCGGGCGACAGAGCAAGGCCCTGTCTGGAAAGAAGGAAGGAAGGAAAGGAGGGGAGGGGAGGGGAGGGGAGGGAGAAAGAAAGAAAGAGAGAAATCTCTTAGATAGTAATTTGGACCAAATCATGATTCTTCCTCCATTGCTTTTCAAGATCCTTCTATATTACTATGCAAATTCCAAATGGAAAACAGCCAAAAAGATATGCAAACAAATATTCACATTACATTACTGTATCACTCAACTCCAGAAATGTTTTCCACAAATTTGTAGATTAAAACTTACATTTTTTATACTGTTAACATTTTCAAATACAGAAACTGGGGTATCCCAAGAAACAAGCCAGTGGTCAGATACATATATTCAATGAAACTTTCATGAATTTTTCAGAACTTTATGAATAAATCCCAAATTAAAGCTAGGGTTTACCTCTTAGTTTGCAATCCACTTGCTTGAATCTTATGACTATTTCTAGATTGTAAGTTACTTTGTTAAAAATATTTTTTATTCCCTTCATATGTTTTTTAAGCCTTAAGATAGGTTTTCTGGTGACTTCACTTAGAGCCAAAAGCAGGAAAGAAAATACGTGATCACAGAATGTGGAGGACCCATTTTTTTAATAGACCCTATTTGACAAGAGAACTGGGAAGATTCAGAAAGGCCCAGGGACGTGTTGACTGGCAGAGTCACACCACAGAGGGTGGAGCCGGAAGGAAACCCTCAGACCATCCCCTCAACTTCTGTAGCACATGGTGGAAGGGCCAGGATCGGGGTCCACGGGTCTACATCTGGATCCCAGCTCCACTGCATCGTGTCTGAACTTGGGGCAGGTAGCTTTACCTTTTTCAGGCTCCTGCTCTATGAAGTGGGTAGCCACCTCATTAGGAAGCAGTGAGGATGAGGTGACAGAATGCATGCCAGTGCTTCTCAGCAGAAACCGAAACAGTGAGTACTAGTTAGCATCAGGGCAAGCTTTTCAAAACCCTGCCTCCTGATGAGATAAGATCCAAAATTACAACTACAAAAACACAAACAAACTGAGACCTGGAAAGCCAGTTTCCACTGTCCATGAACTGAGGCAGAAGAACAGACCCCTGTGCTTCCCATGAGCTGACCATTACCTGTTCCAGCCAGGCTGACTTCTTTCCCCTAGGGCCACCTGGAGAAGTCAGTGTAGTGGTCAGCTCATAGGGAAGCACATTTCCTCTGAGCCTTTAGAGGCCTCTATGCCCTGACCTCTCAATTCATTCTACCCTGACCCACACCTCATAGGGTTATTTATTACTAGACTAGAAATTGTAGCTAAACCAATAGCTCAATTAGAACTTTGCAATCAATTTCTGTGTGCCTAGGAGTTTAATTCCATAGGCTAGTCATACGAAGGAAAAAAGACAGTCATCCAAAACTCTTTCATTCATCCATTTAAAACATTTATTAAGTACATGCTGTGTGCCAAGCTCCAGGCTAAACCCTAAATATAAAGGTGCATAAGAGAGTCTTTGTTGTTAAGGTGCTCACCATCTTGGGGGAGGAAGGCACTTAATAGATAATGATAACATGGTATAATGACAAAGTTATACACAAAATGTTAAAATGTTTTTAGTTTTAGGAATTTGGTCTGGAAAGTAAAATATTCAGAACTTAAAGAAAAAAATACCATTCATCAATAATAACTATTTTATCTTCTTTATTAGCTAATTAATACATCAGTTGTAATAGAACCATAAAATGAAGATAAGCAAAAAGAAAAATATTACCTATATTCTTACCTATATTATTTATTTACATTCTAAATAGCTACTGTTAACACTTAGCTGCATGGCCTTCTGCAACTTTAAATATATATCTTTTTCTAAACAAGATATAAGACCATTTTATGCATGGTATGATAATATGAGTTTTTCACTTATCAGTTGATATGGTTTGTCTGTGTCCCTACCCATTATCCTAGGTGAAGTAACTCAGAAACAGAAAGTCAAACACCAGGGTCTTGCTTATAAGTGGGTGCTAACAGCGTACACACATGGACATACAGAGTGGAATAAGAGACAATGGAGATTACAAAAGGTGGGAGGGTAGGAGCGGGGGACAGTTGAAAATTACCTCTTGGGTACAACGCTCATCATTTGGGTGATGGGTACAGTAAAAGCCCAGACTTTATTAATGTGTAATATGTGCGTGTAAGAAATCCACCCTTGTATCCTCTAAATATATAAAAATTAAAAAAAAATAACTTGTCTGTGTGGGGAAAATGGTGTGGAGAAGGTCTCTCTCTGTTGCCCTGTTGCCCAGGCTACAGTGCAGTGATACAATCATAGCTCACAGCAGTCTCAACCTCCTGGACTCAAGCAATCCTCCCATCTCAGCCTCCAGAATAGGTGGGACTACAGGCACCAGCCACCATGCCCAGCTAGTTTTAATTTTTCTTTTTCTTTTTTTTTTTTTTAGAAACAGGGTCTCACTATGCTGCCCAGACTGGTCCTGAATTCCTGGTCTCAAGCGATCCAACTGCCTTGTCTTCCAAAAGTGCTGGAAGGACTTGGGGCAGAGCAAGGTGACAGATAGAAGGCTCCACTGACCATCCACTCAGCAAGCCCACCAATTTAACATCTACACCAGCAGCATTGGCGTCAGTCACTGCACCTGGCTGGGATTACAGGTGTGAGTCACTGCACCTGGCCAATTTATCATTTTAAATGATTGCCCAGCATTCTACTATTGATACCAGAATTTCTTTAGCTACTCTCTACTGTTGGATATTTAGACTGCTTTCAATCTTTTGGCTGTCATAAATATTACAATATTCTATTCACAAAGCTCTTCAACCTAGTCCAGTTATTTTTCCAGAATAACTTCCTAGACGTGGAATTGTTGGATCAAAGGGTGTGCATCTTTAAGACTTTGATAACTATTACAAAACTGCCCTCCAGAAAGCTTGTACCGTTAAATACCACCATTTCCCCCTATCATCACCCTCACTGCATAGCAGCACTCTTTTTCCTCTTCGCATTTAGTATTTTTACATTTCAATGGGCCTACTGTAGCTAAAAATATCGTTTATGGCAGCATCTTTTTTAGAAGTAATGACACTTGCTGAAATTAGGCAGTTTTGAGCTGTGCCATAATCCTAGTTTGGGTGTGGGGCATCAGTGCTTCTCAGACTCTACCATGCATTGAGGATCTTGTTAAATTGCAGATTGATTCATTAGGTCTGGGTTAGAGATTGAGTTGCTGCATTTCTAACAAGCTCCAGGGAACACCGATGCTGCTGGTCCAAAAACTACACTTTGAGGAGCTTGAGCAATTCACTGAACTGCAAAGGGCCTCTGTTTACCCATCTGTGAAATGAAAAGCTTGGAGTAGCCGGTCTTTGAGTGCCTTCTTTTTCCACTCCACCCCCCGCCCCTGAGACGGAGTCTCACTCTGTTGCCCAGGCTGGAGTGCAATGGCGTGATCTCGGCTCACTGCAACTTCCACCCCCCGGGTTCAAGAAATTCTCATGTCTCAGCCTCCGGAGTAGCTAGGATTACAGGCACCAGCCACCACGCCTGGCTAATTTTTGTATTTTTTAGCAGACATGGGGTTTCTCCACGTTGGTGAGGCTGGTCTTGAACTCCTGACCTCGGGTGATCCACCTGCTTCAGCCTCCCAAAGTGCTGGGATTACAGGCGTAAGCCACCACGCCCGGCCTAAGTTCCTTATCTCCAACAGTGAAAGAAGTTGTCCCTTGAGCAAATATAACTAGGTGCATCCTGAATTTTTCACTAGGACAGTTGTGAATATCTTCTTCCCTTCATCCCGCAGGACTGCACGCAGGTCCACAATGAGGAAACAAAGTGTGAGGCCAACCAAGCAGCTGACATTCAAGCAGCCACTTCTCAAGGGAAAAAACACCCCTGAAAGAGAACACTCTGCTCCAACTGGCATTTCTCCTGGTAGTGCATGATTATAACGATGTACATCATTTTCTTTTCCCAAAAGGAATAGATTTAGCAAGAACCTGAGGCTAATTCGCCCATTAAGGGAACAAAGAGTGAAATAAGGGAGGAGAATTGACAGAAATATTGCATCCGTAAATACCTTGCCAAAGAGCTTGCAGAAGTCAGCTCTCGGCACAGGGAGTCTCAGTGTCTTCGACAGAATTTGACTTGTCCTGGCTACTCCCTTCTGTTTGTTTCTCCCGCATGCTTTTCTGCAACACTAAAAGGTAGGCAGAAGGACAATATTAAAAGATGGGCAGAAGCAGCTCAGAATGCCTGGGCTGACTCCAGTGGCCGCCTAAAATAATGGGGAATCTATAGACATCTTTTCTTGTTTACCAGTGGTGGGCAAATGCTGCCACGCTAGTTCTGTAAGAACATGAAACATGTGTTATTCACCCTGATAGAAGAAAAACTGTAAATGCGCTCTAGTTCAGTTAGGGTATCAGATAAGACCGTGAGTGGCTGTTGGGTTCAATTCTCTATTTTTGCAAAACTGGGCTGGAATTATTTACTTTTAGTAACAATGCATTCGCCCCACCTTCAAACATTTTTCTCCTCCTTCTTTCCTTTTACTGGAAGAGAGTTTCATTTGTTCACAAAACTCTTTTTCTCACTTTAATTTCCTTTAAATTCAGTCCGTTTTGACTCCTAAGGAAACTTTCATTTTTAAAAAAGGACCAAACTCCTTTGTTTTTCTCTTAGATGGATGATGCCCTGCCCTGCTCTCCAGCAGCCCCCACAAAGTTAGGAGGTTTTGTTTCTTAAATTAGGCCAGAACTAGTCATTCTGATGAACTCCAACTCCAATCAAGGACATTGGCCAATCTGTCAGAACCTAAAATAAAAATAAATCCACTAGCAGTGTCTTCCACTTTGAATGTTTATCCTGCTGGGTGCCCCTCTTTCTTTCTGCAATGGAAGAACCCGCTTCCATTTTGCAAGTCTGTGTGTGCCCCCTCGTTTGGAGCCATTTGCAATCTCTTGCACTCCCGTTTCAAGGTGGAGCCCCAGCCAAGATGAGTTTCTCTGAAGAGCTGCTACCCTAATTCCTCCCGTTCACTTCGAAGCTTGTCAGGGGGACCCAAGCAATAAGAAGGTCAATAGGAAAACAAATCCCACCTTATTAAGTCTTGTTTGATCTTAAAACCACATCATCCGAGATTTCAGCGACATTATGCTGGCTCCGCACAAGAGGAACAGAGTTTTCTTATGAAAATAAATTAGACAAGCACACAGAAGAAAAAGAAAATGATGTGCAACGGTTAAAATGTTTGAGAGCCTTACATGTGGCCAGCGAGCTCAGCAAAGGACACTGGTTTCTTTTTCTCTCTTCTTTAGTCTTTTATTCCCTACTCTCTGTTCTCCTTGCAGCAAAACAAATATTTTTCCTACCACAAATATTTTTAAGGTGCTACTTTTCAATTAACGATGTTTTATTTCTTTTGTGTGATGGGGTTTTTCTTTTTCGCACTGAAATGATAAAGACACTGAAGATGGCAAAGGGAAGCCCTAGGAACAGCCTTGCTACAATCCATCAGCTGCGATAATATCAAGATGAATATATTGTCAGGAATCTGTATGTAGCATTTCATTTATCCTACCCACTCTGCTAAGAGCGGCTCCCCCGGGGATTACATTATTATTCAAGCTTCCTGGACTCACTCCAAATGCATATTGCAACTACAATTCAAAGGGAAACTTATAAAAGGTGATAGGAAATAGACCTTCTACAGAACATTTTTTAAAAATTAACCTTTTCAGAGTTTAATTCCATCCTATATACCTATAAATAGACCAGCTTTCAGGAACTAAAAACTAATCCTATAGTAATAACACAAAGCTCAATTTCTCATTCCATACGATCATTAATATTACTTTAAAAATCACGAGAAATCTCTTCAACTTCTTAAGCATTGTAATTCATTTCTGTACACCAATTCAAGAAACCTCATTAGTTTAGGTGGCCTTTTTGCAATACCATCCAAGGCACGCAAATATTTGGAATTTTTACCTTAGGTCAGAGTTTAAGAAAAAAATGATTTCTCATTTCCAGAAAGGATTTATGAATGTAGAAAAATGCTTTTGTGACAGTGACATGTTTGTGTTACCTAATTCACAAATAAAATAAGCTATATAGAATATATGAAGTAAAAATCAAAAGGAAAAAAGAGAAAGGATTTTATATAAATGGTGGATAATTTTTAAGTAAAAAAAAATCTTGTTACATCCTTAACATTTTTAAATCTTGTTACATCCTTAACATTTTTTTCTATAACCCAGTTTCAATACTCCAATCAAATGTAAGATGGAAGAGCTTTGATTTGAGAGAAAAAAAATCCTTTGAACATTGATCGACATGTGATTTGTGCAATTATTTAACCTGGATTTAACTCCCTCTACTCTATGCTCAAATCACTTGATTGACTGAGATGCTGTTTCCATTGAGCTGGGTTTACAATTATCTTTAAACAAGCGAAACTTCAAAGGCTGCTCAATGGGTATTTTCCGTTCTTCATGAGAACTCGTAAATGTATAACCTGCATATAAACAAGTCACTCTACCTAATTAAATGGAATCTCTTCCTCTCTATTAAAAATTTAGAAGTGCTGCCTGGGTATAAACATGTCATCTCAGAAGGTGGGAGGAGAGACCCTCTTAACGTCCGTGAACAACCAGCTGAATCTCCTTTAAGCAAAGCCACGTTAATAATAGCACAGACACATAAATTATTCTAATTATTTTATTATCAGTAAAGATTGGTTAAACGGAAAGGGTGTTCATTGTTGGCAATTATGCCCTCAAGTTTTATCTGACTACTAGGGAAATGCAGTCCAGGGCTTTAATTTACTTCAGAGACCGTCACATAGCTTCTTGCCCACTTTCTTTTTCAAACATCTGTATCCTAGAAGAGGTAACAGGTAATGGAGCATTTTCGCTGATGGCTGCGTCTAGACTGGAAAATGTTTTTTTGTTTGTGTTTGTTTGTTTGTTTTTGTTTTCTTTAATCACATTTCTAGACTTAGAACTCTTAGGAAAATGATCCATAAAAGGTCTAGTTTGGAAATTGAAATGTTCTTAAAGCGTTTTGAGTTTGTGTTGTTTCGTTTGATTGTTAAAGGAAGAAAAGGTTCTTAAAGTCCTTGTCCCTTTTTTGAAAACTGATGGAGAAATTATAAAGCACCTCCAGCTAATGAAAATAGTTTACCTTGAGCTCAGGATTCACTGCTATAGCTCCCAATCTTCTTTTTTTAAAAAAAAGAAAAACTCTTTTCATAAAGTTTGAAACAATATTTGTGGCATTAAGCTTTATATCATAAGACCAGGCAGAAATTGCAGCATGTAAATGTTTGAAAAGGAGACGTAGACTTTTGAGCTGTGAGGTGCTTTGTTGGAGCGTCCTCTTGTGGTCAAATGTCATCAATACAACTTTAGAGTCACTTTTTTTTAAAGGGCGGTTTTGACAAACCCACAGTAGCGCAATGTTGACACAAGTTGCAATTCAGGATTGAAAGTTTGGTATCTTGTTAGATTTTGTATCCTCTCCTATTCTCCAGAAACACCTTAAAATGCATTCACTCAAGCAAACAGGAATTCATGAGAGCTCTTAAATATACAAGAACTCTTAAAATACACAAAAATTATGCACAAATGCAAGGCAATGCTCCTTACTGATCTGGGAACAGAGAAAGTCTACCTCATGAGGTGGCATCTCTCCCCAGGTGTCCTTCAACTGGCCATGGGAGGGACAGTTTTTTCCCATCAGCACCACTGTCAGAGGCCAATAGCATGAGATGTAGTGGCTGCAGGCTGGGTGGATCATGTCACCCATCACTGCCCCTGTGACGTTGAGTGCACCCATCTGCAAGGAGAAGGTATATCCCCAGTGGAGCAAGGCTCCCAGAGGCCTCAGTTCTTAGATGGAAGTGAGTATGGCTTTTCTCTGATACCTGTTCCAATAGGGAATTCAAAGTGAGGGGGAAATATTAAAGGGAGTTATTATATTCAAGTATTTCCATAATTTGTTAACTGTAAAATATATATCATTTTTATGGCTTCAAAATAATCTACTTAGAAGCCTCACTAAAGATAAGGATCTTTGTGAAAATTCCTGCCTTTGACCAGAAATCTGGGTTAAAACAGATTGAGAAATGAGAGCTTCTCTTTGATACCTCACATTTTTAGGTCTTGAAGGGACTCTGGGCATTATAGATTTCAAACTTCTCATTTTACAGATTAGAAAGAAAACAAAGAGGCTGGGCACAGTGGCTTATGCCTGTAATCCCAGCACTTTGGGAGGTCAAGGTGAGCAGATCACTTGAGGCCAGGAGTTCAAGACCAGCCCGGCCAACATGGTGAAATCCCGACTCTACTAAAAATACAAAAATTAGCTGGGTTTGGTGGCAGGGGCCTGCAATCCCAGCTACTCAGGAGGCTGAGGCAGGAGAGTTGCTTAGACCCAGGAGGTGGAGGTTGCAGTGAGCCAAGATCACACCACTGCACTCCAGCCTGGCTGACAGAGTGAGAGAAAGAAGGAAAGAATGAAAGGAAGGAAGGAAGGAAGGAAGGAAGGAAGGAAGGCAGGCAGGCGGGAGGGAGGGGGAGGGAAGAGGGGGGAGGGAGGGATAGGGGATGTGGGGAGAGAGAGAGAAGAAAAGAAAAGAGAAAGAAAGAAAAGAAGGCACAATGAGGGATAGGGACCTGCCCAGGGTCTCCTGGTAGAAAGCAGCAAACTTGGGATGGGAAGGGAGTGTCTCAGCTGTAGTTAACATGGCCCACCCTCCTTGGCTCCATCTTGCCAAAGAGCTTTCTGGCATCCAATTCCTAACACTAGCCTGAAGTTCCCAATTTGCCTCAATTGCCCCTACACTTCACCTAAAACTTCTGTCCTGCCACTGATTGGTCCATCCTGGCTCTTTCCTCATAATGATAAATAAATGATCACCGTATTCTTTAAGATAAGACTAGCCGCATTTGAAAATCACATAATATAAAGCATCCTCTCTGAAAATTTCTGGAATTCTCATTCCTTGTTTATGTACCTGGATTTAACTCCCTCTACTCTATGCTCAAATCACTTGATTGACTGAGATGCTGTCACTCTTGTCACTCAAGAGTCTTATACAAAATAGGGTATGGAAAGAAACTAATAATGTGCATTTTTATTATAAATGCCAATTTTAGCACATCTCAATGACTGATTTTATAGATCATTAGGAAGTAGCTTTTAGTCATTTATGAAAATAAAAGCCCATAGAATTATTCATCGTAGGTAAAAGAAAAAACTGAAGAAAGGTCTTTGATCAGCTGCCCTAAGGTTTTCAGCTAATATATGACATAGAAATGTGTAAGGGTTCTGGGAGATTGATGGACCGCCAAGATCTGAGATGGCTATGGTTGCCGCAGACATCCCCACAAGATGGCGCTCTTCTTTATTTTCCATTCATCTTAATTTTAAAAAGTGATTTTTACAGTTTCAGAATAAAACAGAATCATGAAATATGTAGATGGTTTCATATATTATCCTGTTTAATGTTGCAACATACATCGCAGTTATAAAAATCAGCGTCCCCCTCCCCCACCCTGTCAGGAGGCGATCCCTGCCTGGATCCCCAAGGGTAGGGTGAGGGGTGTTGATGGTGCTCTTAGGAAATGCCAGGACTTGGCAGAAAGGGAGTGTGTGGGGTGTGGATGTGTGTTGCAAGATTCTGTTTTTCCTAAAAGGTGAATTTAGTCTTAAAAGTATGTTAATAAGATTTTCTCATATATTAAGAGTTTTCTATCATCAAGGCTAAAGCAGAGGCTTCCCAATCACAGCCCCTTCCTCCACAAATTCCCCTCCTGAAGGGACTGTGCTGTCTATATCCCCTCCCTCCCACAGCAGTTCCTCTCCTGGGCTATTGAAATAGCAATGGATTCATAACTCTCTTTAGAAAGCAGCAGACAGCAACTGATTTCGCAGGAAAATGAGTAAAAAGAAAATAATATGTTGAAGTTATTTTAAAACCTCATGGATTTGGGCTAGAGTTCCCAATGATTGCCTCCACCATACTCTGGTTCCAAAAACTAGACTGAAATATTTTGCTAATAAAGAAATTGATCCTGGCTTTTCAACAAATGAGGCTGGAACAACTGGATGTCCATATGCAAAAAGAATAGCCTAGAGAAAGACCTTATACCTTACATAAAAATTAATTCAGAATGGGCCAGGTGCAGAGGCTCATGCCTGTAATACCAGCACTTTGGGAGGCCAAGGCAGGCGGATAACTTGAGGTCAGGAGTTTGAGACCAGCCTGGCCAACACCCTGTCTCTACCAAAAAATACCAAAATTGTCCAGGTGTGGTGGTCCACGCCTGTAATCCCAGCTACTTGATTGAGACAGGAGCTGAGACAGGACAATCGCTTGAACCCAAGAGATAGAAGTTTCAGTGAGCCAAGATTGCACCACTGCAGTCCAGCCTGGGTGACAGAGTGAAACCCTATCTCAAAAAAGAGAAAAAAAAAAAAAGTCAATTCAGAATGAATGGCCTAAACATAAACTGCAAAACCATGAAAACTTCTTGAATACAACGTAGGAGAAAATCTACATGACCTTGGGTTTGGTGATGAGTTTTAAAATACAATACCAATAGCAATCTCCAAGAAAGAAAAAATTGGTAAGTTGGACTTTACTAAAATTTAAAACTTCTGCTCTGTGAAAGACACCGTTAGGAGAATGAAAAGACAAGCCACAGGCTGGAAGAAAATATTTGCAGAACACATATCTGACAAAGGACTCGTATTTAAAACCCGAAAGAATTCTTAAAACTCAACAAATGAAAAACAAGTAACAGAATAAAGAAGGTGCAAAAGATCTGAAAAGACACCTCAATAAAGAAGATATATATGGCACAGAAGTATACAAAAAGGTGTTTGACATCATTTGTCATTAGAAAATTGCAAATGAAAATAATGAAACACTACTGGGGCTGGGCGCGGTAGCTCATGCCTATAATCCCAAAACTTTGGGAGGCCAAGACGGGTGGATCACCTGAGGTCAGGAGTTCGAGACCAGCCTGGCCAACAGGGTGAAACCCTGTCTCTACAAAGAATACAAAAATTACCTGGGTGTGGGGGTACGTGCCTGTAATCCCAGCTACTCCAGAGGCTGAGGCAGGAGAATCGCTTGAAGCCAGGAGGCGGAGGTTGCAGTGAGCTGAGAACGCACCACTGTACTTTAGCCTGGGTGACAGACCAAGACCCCATCTCAAAAAACAAAAAAAAGAAAAAAGAAAAGAAACACTACTACACAACTATTAGATACTACACAACTATTAGAGTGGCCACACCCAAAAAATCTGACAATACCAACTGCTGGCAAGGATGTAGAGTAACAGAAACTCCCATTCTTTGCCAGTGGGAATTCAAAATGGCATAGCCACTTTGGAAGACAGTTTAACAGTTTCTTACAAAATGAAATAATCTTTTATCATGTGACCCAGCAATTGTGCTCCTAGGTATTTGTCCAAATGAGCTGAAACTTATGTCCCCACAAAAATTTGCACAGCAATGTTTATAACAGCTTTATTCAAAATCACCAAAAACTGAAAGCAGCCAACATGTCCTTTAATAGGTGAATGGAAAAGCAAACTGTGGTGCATTTATACAATGAAATATCATCTAGCAATAAAAAAAAAAGATATCAAACCACGAAAAGACATAGATGGCCAGATGTGGTGGCTCACGCCTATAACGCCAACACATTGAAAGACCAAGGTGGGAGGATCACTTGAGGTTAGGAGTTTGAGACCAGCCTCACCAACATGGTGAAACCCCATCTCTACTAAAAAAACAAAACTTAGCTGGGCGTGGTGGCACACACCTGTAATCCCAGCTACTCTGGAGGCTGAGGCAGGAGAATCACTTGAACCAGGAAGGTGGACGTGGCAGTGAGCCAAGATCTCACCACTGCACTCCAGCTTGAGTGACAGAGTAAGACTCTATCTCACCAGTATTCAACATTCTTAAATAAAAGAATTTTCAAACCAGAATCTCATATCCAGCCAAACTAAGCTTCATAAGTGAAGGAGAAATAAAATCCTTTACAGACAAGCAAATGCTGAGAGATTTTGTCACCACTAGGCCTGCCTTACAAGAGTTCCTGAAGGAAGCACTAAACACGGAAAGGAACAACTGGTACCAGCCACTGCAAAAACATGCCAAATCATAAAGACCATCAACACTATGAAGAAACTGCATCAATTAACAGGCAAAATTACCAGCTAACATCGTAATGACAGGATCAAATTCAAGCATAACAATATTAACCTTCAATGTAAATGGGCTAAATGCTACAATTAAAAGACAGACTGGTAAATTGGACAAAGAGTCAAGACCCATCTGTGTGCTGTATTGAGGAGACCCATCTCACAATGCAAAGACACACATAGGCTCAAAATAAAGGGATGGAGGAAGATCTACCAAACAAATGGAAAACAACAAAAAAGCAGGAGTTGGAATCCTAGTCTCTGATAAAACAGACTTTAAACCAACAAAGATGAAAAGAGACAAAGAAGGCCACTACATAATGGTAAAGGGATCAATTCAACAAGAAGGGCTAACTATCCTAAATATATATGCACCCAATACAGGAGCACCCAGATTCATAAAGCAAGTCCTTAGAGACCTACAAAGAGACTTAGACTCACACACAATGATAGGAGACTTTAACACCCCACTGTCAATATTAGACAGATCAATGAGACACAAGGTTAACAAGGATATCCAGGACCTGAACTCAGCTCTGCAACAGGCAGACCTAATAGACATCTACAGAACTCTCCACCCCAAATCAACAAAATATACATTATTCTCACCACCACATCGCACTTATTCTAAAACTGACCACATTGTTGGAAGTAAAGCACTCCTCAGCAAATACTGTCTCTCAGACCACAGTGCAATCAAACTAGAACTCAGGATTAAGAAACTCACTCAAAACCGCTCAACTACATGGAAACTGAACAACCTGCTCCGGAATGACTGCTGGGTACATAATGAAATGAAGGCAGAAATAAAGATGTTCTTTGAAACCAATGAGAACAAAGACACAATGTACCAGAATCTTGGGGACACATTTAAAGCAGTGTGTAGAGGGAAATTTATAGCACTAAATGCCCACAAGAGAAAGCAGGAAAGATCTAAAATCGTCACCCTAACATCACAATTAAAAGAATTGGAGAAGCAAGAGCAAACACATTTAAAAGCTAGCAGAAGGCAAGAAATAACTAAGATCAGAGCAGAACTGAAGGAGACAGACACACAAAAAACCCTTCAAAAAAATCAGTGAATCTGAGAGCTGGTTTTTGAAAAGATCAACAAAACTGATAGACTGCTAGCAAGATTAATAAAGAAGAAAAGAGAGAAGAATCAAATAGACACAATAAAAAGTGATAAAGGGGATATCACCACGGATCCCACAGAAATACAAACTACCATCAGAGAATACTATAAACACCTCTACGCAAATAAACTAGAAAATCTAGAAGAAATGGATAAATTTCTGGACACATACACCCTTCCAAGACTAAACCAGGAAGAAGTTGAATCTCTGAATAGACCAACAACAGGCTCTGAAATTGAGGCAATAATTAATAGCCTAACAACCAAAAAAAGTCCAGGACCAGATGGATTCACAGCCAAATTCTACCAGAGGTACAAAGATGAGCTGGTACCATTCCTTCGGAAACTATTCCAATCATCATTTTATGAGGCCAGCATCCTCCTGATCCCAAAGCCTGGCAGACAAAAAAAGAGAATTTTAGACCAATATCCCTGATAAACATTCATGCAAAAGTCATCAATAAAATACTGGCAAACCAAATCCAGCAGCACATCAAAAAGCTTATCCACCACGATTAAGTTGGCTTCAACCCTGGAATGTAAGGCTGGTTCAACATACACAAATCAATAAACATAATCCATCACATAAACAGAACCAATGACAAAAACTGCACAATTATCTCAATAGATGTAGAAAAGGCCTTTGACAAAATTCAGCAGCCCTTCATGCTGAAAACTCTCAATAAACAAGGAACTGATGGAACGTATCTCAAAATAATAAGAGCTATTTATGATAAACCCACACCCAATATCATACTGAATGGGCAAAAACTGGAAGAATTTCCTTTGAAAACTGGCACAAGAAAGGGATGCCCTCTCTCACCACTCCTATTCAACATAGTGTTGGAAGTTCTGGCCAGGGTAATCAGGCAAGAGAAAGAAATAAAGGGTATTTGATTAGGAAAAGAGGAAGTCAAATTGTCCCTGTTTGCAGATGACATGATTGTATATTTAGAAAACCCTATCATCTCAGCCCAAAATCTCCTGAAGCTGATAAGCAACTTCGGCAAAGTCTCAGGATACAAAATCAATGTGCAAGAGTCACAAGCATTCCTATACACCAATAACAGACAAACAGAGAACCAAATCATGAGTGAACTCCCACTCACAATTGCTTCAAAGAGAATAAAATACCTAGGAATCCAACTTACAAGGGATGTGAAGGACCTCTTCAAGGAAAAACTACAAACTGCTGCTCAATGAAATAAAAGAGGACACAAACAAATGGAAGAACATTCCATGCTCATGGATAGGAAGAATCAATATCGTAAAAATGGCCATACTGCCCAAGGTAATTTATAGACTCAATGCCATCCCCATCAAGGTACCAATGACTTTCTTCACAGAATTGGAAAAAACTACTTTAAAGTTCATATGGAACCAAAAAAGAGCCTGCATTGCCAAGACAATCCCAAACAAAAAGAACAAAGCCGGAGGCATCATGCTACCTGACTTCAAACTATACTACAAGGCTACAGTAACCACAACAGCATGTTACTGGTACCAGAACAGAGATATAGACCAATGGAATAGAACAGAGGTCTCAGAAATAGCACCACACATCTACAACCATCTGATCTTTGACAAACCTGATAAAAATAAGAAATGGGGAAAGGATTCCCTATTTAATCAATGGTGCTGGGAAAACTGGCTAGCCATATGTAGAAAGCTGAAACTGGATCCCTTCCTTACACCTTATACAAAAATCAATTCAAGATGGATTAAAGACTTAAATGTTAGACCTAACACCATAAAAGCCCTAGAAGAAAACCTAGGCAATACCATTCAGGACATAAGCATGGGCAAGGACTTCATGACTGAAACACAAAAAGCAATGGCAACAAAAGCCAAAATTGACAAATGGGATCTAATTAAAGTAAAGAGCTTCTGCACAGCAAAAGAAACTACCATCAGAGTGAACAGGCAACCCACAGAATGGGAGAAGATTTTTGCAATCTACCCATCTGACAAAGGGCTAATATCCAGAAGCTACAGAGAACGTAAACAAATTTACAAGAAAAAAACAAACAACCCCATTAAAAAGTGGGCAAAGGATATGAACAGACGCTTCTCAAAAGAAGCCATTTATGCAGCCAACAGACACATGAAAAAATGCTCATCATCACTGGTCATCAGAGAAATGCAAATCAAAACCACAATGAGATACCATCTCACGCCAGTTAGAATGGTGATCATTAAAAAGTCAGAAAACAACAGACGCTGGAGAGGATGTGGAGAAATAGAAATGCTTTTACACTGTTGGTGGGAGTGTAAACTAGTTCCACCATTGTGGAAGACAGTGTGGCGATTCTTCAAGGATCCAGAACTAGAAATACCATTTGACCCAGTGATCCCATTACTGGGTATATATCCAAAAGATAATAAATCATGCTACTATAAAGACACATGCACACATATATTTATTGCAGCACTGTTCACAATAGCGAAGACTTGGAATCAACCCAAAACATGCACTGTGATAGTTTGCTCAGAATGATGGTTTCCAGCTGCACCCATTTCTCTGCAAAGGACATGAACATGTTTGCCCTGCAAACATGCACAGGGCAGAAAACCAAACAGTGCATGTTCTCACTTATAGGTGGGAATTGAACAATGAGAACACTTGGACAGAGGGCGGGGAACATCACACCCTGGAGCCTGTCATGGGGTCAGGGGCAGGGGGAGGGATAGCATTACGAGAAATACCTAATGTAAATGACGAGTTAATGGCTGCAGCAAACCAACATGGCACATGTATACCTATGTAGCAAACCTGCACGTTGTGCACATGTACCCTAGAACTTAAAAAAAAAAAAAAAAAAGGAAAGAAAGAAAGAAATATACAAGATAAGCCTGGGGCATCTTGCAGTGTCAGGAAAGTACGGAAGTTCTCATTCTCTCTCTCTCTGTCTGTCTCTCTCTCTCTCTCTAAGCCTGGGGCATCTTGCAGTGTTGGGAAAGTAAGGAAGTTCTCATTCTCTTTCTCTCTCTCTCTCTCTCTCTCTCTCTCTCTCTCTCACACACACACACACACACACACACACACACACCCCCCTAAATTGATGTGTCAAAGAGACACAGGAACCAGCTTAAAGAACTCCCAATGGCCAAAGCTGGAACAATTTGAGCAGCAAAAAAAGTAGTATTGGATTATAACCCAAAGTATAAAATAAATATCCAAAATATCCAAAGTCCATAGTGACATAATAACTGAATAAATAAATAAGAAAGAGAGAAATCTCTTGCTCAGAATTCCAATAATTTGTGTAGCTACTTCACCTCCAAAGAGGTGGATCATAACTCCCTTCTCCTTAAGTGTGGGCCGTACAGTGGCTTCCTTCCAAAAGGTACAGCATGGAAGAGGGACAGGGTTCCCCTGCAGTGGAGACACATGACAAACACTGCCTCAGCCAGATGACCAACATTAACTTCGCTAATGACAAATCATGTCAATAGGATGCCCCTTGATATAAGAGGATGAAAATGGCATTTTACCTCTGTGGTTTTCTTCCAAAAAACATATTACCCCAAGCTAATCATGAGATAAAAGTCAGACAATTCTCAATTGAGAGAAATTCTACAAAACAGATCAGTAATCTTCAAAATGTCAATGTCATTACAAACAAGGCAAGCCTGAGAAACTGTCACAGACACAAGGGGCCTGAGAGACGTGACATCTAAATGTAGTGTGATGTCCTGGATATGACCCTCAATCAGGAGAAGGACACGAGGGAAAAACCAAGGACATTAGAATAAACTACGGGCTTCAGTTAATAATAGCGCATCAGTGCTAGGGTAAAAATTGTGACAAATGTATTATACTAATATACCATGTTAACAGGGAAAACTCGGTATAGGGAATATAGGTATTCTGTATTATCTTCACAATAATTTTGTGAATCTGAAACTTTTCTAAAATTCAAAGTTTAGTTTAAAAAATGATGCCGGGCATGGTGGTTCATACCTGTAATGCCAAGGCTCTAGGAGGCTGAGGCAGGAGGATCGTTCGAGCCCAGGGGTTTGAGGTTGCAATGAGCTGTGATTGCGTTGCTGCACTCCAGCCTAGGTAACAGAGCAACACCCCGTCTCTAACATTTTCCAATTTGTGCATACAAAGCTAATGGGTAAATTTTCTTCCATTTTTATTAAAATCCTGGTGCATCCACTCTCGCAGAGATGTGGAAGTAGGTTTGGATCCCGCCTCTTACTAGCCATGTGACTCTGGGAAAGTCACTGAACCTCAGGCCTCACACCAGTCAAATGGGAATTCAATACCATGAACTATATCAAGCATCAGTGCCTGGCACCTCAGAACATGTAACCTCAGAACGTTGCTTTTATTAGCTAGCTCATGTGGATTGGACAACAAAACAAATGTCTGGGTAGTAAATCAATTTAAATAGAAAACTCAGAATGTACAAAATTCCTACACTGAGTTCTTCATCATGGATGAGAGAATAAAAAATTCTTATCTTAACCCATCAAGCTCCAACATCAGCTGCAGAAAAATATTCAAACCATTATTTACTCCAAGTCCAAACAGTATCTTTCAATGAACAGAAAATCCTTCTAGTGGAAGAGATTTGAGAGTTTCTTCTCAATCTGCTCAATCTGACTCCTGGGCTGTCCATACAATTGGGGTCTTTAGAGCCTGGCTCTAACTTTGTCCTGAGGCCAGCCCTTGGAGAAGGCACTTCTCTTTCTTTCTCTCCATCCTTGCCCTTGTGCCTTTTTTTTTTTTTTCTTTGAGACAGAGCCTCTCTCTGTCACCCAGGCTGGAGTGCAGTGGCGTGATCTCGGCTCACCGCAACCTCCACCTCCCAGATTCAAGGGATTCTCATGCCTCAGCCTCCTAAGTAGCTGGAATTACAGGCACCCGCCACCATGCCCAGCTGATTTTTGTATTTTTAGTAGAGACGTGTTTCACCATGTTGGCCAGCCTGGTCTTGAACTTTTGACCTCAAGTGATCCACCGGCCTAGGCCTCCCAAAGTGCTGGGATTACAGGCGTGAGCCACTGCGCCCAGCCTCTTGTACCTTTTTCGCTCTGGCTTTCTTTTTTTTTTTTTTTTTTGAGACGGAGTCTTGCTCTGTCACCCAGGCTGAAGTGCAATGGTGCCATCTTGGCTCACTGCAACCTCTGCTTCCTAGGTTCGAACAATCCTCTTGCCTCAGCCTCCCGAGTAGCTGGGATTACAGGCACGCACCACCACACCCAGCTAATTTTTGTATTCTTTTAGTAGAGACAGGGTTTCACTATGTTGGCCAGACTGGTCTCAAACTCCTGACCTCATGATCCACCTGCCTCGGCCTCCCAAAGTGCTGGGATTACAGGCAGGAGCCACTGCGCCTGGCCTCACTCTGCCTTTCCTATGATTCCTTCACGCCTCCTCTTCCTGAATCCCCTCTATAGCTCTCTCTTCTGATATAGATGGATCGGGCATTCCCTGTTTCATCTCTGCTCCAGATTCAGGTTCTGAGGAGGAGAAAATGAAGTGGACTCAAAGACAATCAAACTCTATCCCCTGAGAAGATTAATGTCCACTAGCAAGCCTTCTTCTTACTTGTTGTTAGGCTAAGAGGGTATGTGTGCCCATCTGTGCCTTGAGGCCAGATTCCAGGAAAAGAGGAAAGCAGAGATACAAGGAGGGAGAAAAACCCATCACTGTACATGTCACATCCTGAAAATATTTTATGCATAAAATTGAGGCATAATACCTGCACACATATGATTAAAATTTCCCACTAGCAAAACTGCTGGTTTATATAATAAATATAAAATGGATCATTATTCTGTGATGTCCCCAGAAGTGATTGGCAGGGACTTAGTCACAGAAACAAGTGTGAGAAGAACTGCCTGGACCTGTTGGGTGAATATGTCCACGTGGAAGAGAAACTATACAGCCCAGGCTTCCTGACCTTCCTAGTATCTTCTAATATTGTGGGGCCAAAAATCCCCTGAATGTAGCTGGCTCAATGTTTCCTACAGTTTTTGTTACGGTTGTTTAATCAGAGTCATAGTTACATGGCTCCAGGAAGTGAACTTTTATCCTCTCCCTCAAGGAACTGCCCTGTGTTAGGTAACCAAATTAATTGATTTTCAGGAACAAGAGGCACCGGACATCATGAATATTATTTCTCACCCATCATCAGACTACATATAGTCATCAACTTGATAAGGTCCAAAATTGATGGAAACAAAAAAACCTGCCTCACTGCCAAGAAAATATATGATGTTGCTGTATAGGCAACTCATTAACACCTCCCCTCACATCACCTAAGGTCGAAACACTCTGTACGCTTCCCGGAGGGCTCACAGAGTCAGGTCTTGTGGTTCACTGACAGAGAGAAAGGCGGCAGGAGGCACATCCGAGGCTATTAGACAAGAGAACCAAGGAGGTCGAATCCCCAAATGGAAACAGGCCCGAGAAGGAGATAAGCCACAAGGCATCCCTGGAATGATTGTCCAGTGTCCTGCTGGATTCTGCCAAGGCCAAGCAGCGCATAGCAGGAAGAGTCTTTCCTAGGTCCATGGGGCCCAGTCTCTAATCGTACACTACAATATGACATATATTATAGATGTGGTAATATATTACATGTATTTATTTGTTTTAGTAAATGCTTCCTTTATACTAAGAACTATACCAGTGACATTACACGTATTGCCTCATTTAATCCTCACAACAACCCTACAGGGTAGACACTATTATTCCCAGGGGAGCAAAGCCATAAGGAACACTAAGTGGGGAGACCCTGGGGAAAAGATTCAGCTTAAGAGAACTCCCAGGCTTCCACTGGGGTTCAAGGGTAACAGCCTTTGTTGCAGGTGAATCCAACCCAGAGACAATCATCCTGACTGTCCTATGGCCCCACAGGTGGTCCCAGACACCTTCGACCCAGCAGGCTAACCACTGAGCACCTTTAACCCTATAGACTTTATTTGGTGGAGATAGGAATTGATTGATTTATGTATCTCTGAGGGAGAGTCCCTCAAAACTTCTAGTATCAAACCCAGAATTACATTATAAAATACGTCAAAAGTACATTAATGACCCACCTTATCTGGCTCTTCCAGTTAAATGCTTACTTACATTCAGCCTCCGGTTATGCTACACACTTTCTCATACCCTGTTCAATAGTCCCCGCCCCACGTTCCCTTCTTTAAGAGCCATATTCTCTGTTGAAGAAATGATAAATGAATATAAAATCAAGTATGCTAAAGGATTGATGGATCACCCCTTCCAATTATTTTTTTTTTTCCTGAGGACAAATCTTAATGCCAAGACCAATGTCAAGGGGGGAGTTTCCGGCAGAGAGACCGATGGATGGGGGAAGAGAGGACAAGGTTGTTATCTGGTCTTTGGACTTGCGTAGCACATTCTTTGTGCCAAACAAACAACTTGTGTCATCATCTCTGAATTCATCAGTGGCAGGCAGATTATTTATAATAAGGTGAGGCAGGCAAGGGGTTGCAGCAAATGTTCTAAGTAGGAGCAAAGAGTCACCAGCAATGATGGAAAGACAGCAGAGGTCCTTGGATAAAGTGATGGGATACTCCAAGCACCAGGGCAGGGCCCACCCTTTAAGAAATTGCTGTCCCTATTGTGCAAACACTCCTCCAAGAGGGAACTGAGCAGAGCAGGACAGGGAATGACAGGAGGGGTTCTGGGGCATGGGGAGAAGGGTGATGCAAGAACAGGGCTTCCAAGTAGCTGGGAGATGAGGTCAGCTCCCGGGGCATAGCAGTCTCAGCCCCAACATGACCGGGGTTATGAGAGGGGGAAAAAGCATGAGCCCCAGGCACAGCTCACCCCTTCCCCGAGGGGTAAGGAGGCCAACAGAGTCTCGGGAGCAGCAGGAGGCGCAGCTGAGTCAACATTCCATGCCCAGGCCGGGATGAAATGAGGGAGGGCCAGGACTGAATTTCTATGTGGAGTTCTGGAGGCCTTGGCCAAAGGAAGAAATAAACAACACACAGGCTAGGAAGAAGGCTAACATACCTTACCTTACTCTGTGTCTGTCACTATGAGAAGCCAGGTGTCAATTACATGGAAACCTCATATTACAACAGAAATGGCTGCCCCCCCTCCCACGCTAGTGCACACCTGTAGTCCCAGCGACTCAGGAGGCTGAGTGGGGAGGATCATTTGGGACCAGGAGTTTGAGGCTGCAGTGCACTGTGATCATGCCTGTGAATAGCCACTGCACTCCCTCCTGGGCAATACAGCAAGACTGTGTCTCTAAGGAAGAAGAAAAACAGAACTGGCAATTATGTCACTAAAGAGCTGAAAAGTTTTGATTCTACTACCTCTTTCTTTGCTTCATCTATGCTCTGAAATCATTTTCTGTGATTTCTTTGTTTTCACAGCAGTTCAAAATACAATATCTGGGTGCAAACTTCATTTTCCTTTCCTCGTTTTATGACTCTGATGGGAACCTGTGTTCCCTACTGATACATAAAATTGCATTAACTTAGGCTCTTCAAAGCACAAAGTTAGCTCTAAATTATGGGGCCCTGAGGTGTCTGAAATACTTACTATGATTTGTCTGGGAAACATATTGTAGGTATAAAAAGTCAAAAAGAAAACAAAGTCAGGGGGTACCCATAAAAAGATTCCCTTCCAGCTTCCCATCGTGGGATGTGGGCTGTTCTGGTAATGCGAGAAGAAATGGTGTCAAATCAGACTGAGATTGGAAAATAGGCTTTGACATTGAGCAGGACCTCATTCCCCATTCCCAGGCCCAGTCAAGAAGACTTTTCCAGGGGTACCCAATACTGCTGTGGTCAGTTTTTGATCTCCTGCAAACACTCGACTTCCCAATCAGCGGTCAGACACTCCAGGTGATATATGGGGGCTGGGCACCATTTCCCATCACCTGGGAACTTCCTCTTTCCATCTCTGGAAACCCAGCTCTCCCAGGGAAAGGCTGTTTGCTTCTCTCTTTCACCCCACAGCCCACTCCTTTGAGATAATCCAGGTATATATCCTGGATTGAACTAGACATTGAAAAACCAAAAGCCACCTTAACTCTCCCATGGGGCGAGGAAGGCCTGACTGTGGCTGCCTAAACACCAACTCCTCTTTGAGAAGGGGGAGGAAAAACTGCCTCTTGTTCTTTCTGATGAGCTTTCTGTCAAGGAAACAAGAGCTGATTCCCAAATGGGTCATCTTGCCAATTATATTAATAGCAATCCGTTCCAACTGGGGTTTCAGGTGATTTCCGTTTTCTTCTTCACACTTTTCTGTGTTTTCCAACTTTCTGCAATGATTATATAATCCTCTTTTAAGAAAACCATACCAAAAAAACAACAACCAAAAAATCCAGCTTTATGGATTGCCTCCTCATGCCTGTAATCCCAGCACTTTGGGAGGCCGAGGTGGGTGGATCACTTGAACTCTGGAGTTCGACACCAGTCTGGGCAACATGGCAAAACTCCATCTCCACGAAGAAATACAAAAATTATCTAGGTGTGGTGGTATGCACCTGTAGTCCCAGCAACTCAGGGGACTGAGGCAGGGACAGCTTGAGCCTAGGAGGTCAAGGCTGCAGTGAGCCATGTCCACACCACTGCACTCCAGCCTGGGTGACAAAGCAAGGATTTGTCAAAAAAAAAAAAAAAAAAAAGAACAAAACAAAAAAGGATTGCCGCCCCTAGAAACTTTCCAGGTGGTTCTCTTGGATGCAATCAGCTACTCTCAACCCCCAAGTGCCTGTGCTTTTCCCAATCACAGCCCTTGTCATTCTGCTTGGCTGGCTTTGCCTTGCTCTTACTCTCTCTTATCTCCATATCCCTAGTGCTTTGTTCAGGGACCAGCACATAGGAGGTGTGTCTATTGAATAAATGAAGTCAATGAATGAATACATGGATGACTGAGGACCAATATTACCTGCAGAACTATAGACTTTAACAAATCTTCATAGTCATATATCAGCTCATGTCTATTCAGACAAAGGCAATTCATTGAGACCAAGATGGTTCTCCAAAACCCAAGACTCCATGGTAAAATTTGAAATCTGGCGATCTCGGAGTAACAAAGGCTTGTTTCAAACATTTCTCTGTTCCTAATCCAAACTCCTTGTTATTTCTTGGATTAATTAATCTTTAGACATTTACTTGAAAGCATAATTGCCTTGGGCTATACATTAGTTCATTCTCACATTGCTATAAAGATACTACCCGAGACTGGGTAATTTATAAAGAAAAGAGATTTAATTGACTCACTGTTCTACATGGCTGGGTAGGCCTCAGGAAGCTACAATCACGGCAGAAGGTGAAGGGGAAGCATGGACCCTCTTCACATGGCAGTAGGAGAGAGACGTGCAAGCAGGGGAAATGCCAGACAGTTGTAAAACCATCAGATCTCATGAGAACTCAGTCACAGGAAGAGCATGGGGGAAACCCACCCCTGTGATCCAATCACCTCCTTCCCTCCACACGTGGCGATTACAATTGGAGATGAGATCTGGCTGAGGACACAGAGCCAAGCTGTATCAGGCTGTAATGGATTACAGCTGAGAAAGTTCCAATTTGTCCTCACCAACTGTTTAAAAACATCAGCCACCCTCACAGCCAGGTTCCAGTGGCATTACATGTTTTTTCTGGTTTGTTTCTTATTAGTAGAGACCTGGTGGTTCAACTACAGGTCAGCAAGGGGGTCAGGGGTGTGTTGGAGGAGGGCCACGATCATCCCTAAATATTTAGCTCATTTCCTTCACTGATTTTAGGGGCACAAGAAAGTCCTCTTGTACCCCAACCATTCATTTCCTAACTCTTCTCATGCCTGTACTAGGAGGACAAAACTTCCATTCCAAGATAGAAGATAGGGTGGGTCCTGCAGACTCATCCCAGGGAAAAGGACATGGGCTAACAGCCATACCAAGGAGTAGCTGGGAGATGCCCTTCCCAGAGCAGTAAGGAGGCCACCAGAGTCCTGGGAGCAGCAGGAGGCACAGCTGTCCTACAGACCCTGTAAGGAGACCAGGAAGACTTAAGTCTACCTTTGACTCCCTCCCAATTTTGCCCAGAGCTTGCCTAGCTTTTGCACCGAATGCAGGCTATTTAAAGCTGGAATTGTTGAGTTTGGATTTCTGTCAGGGATTTCTATCTGGTTCCCTCTCCTCTAACATTCTACTGCGAGGAACAAGACCGAGAGGCCTGATTAGGGACACAGAGCTGGGAACAGCACAAATGCAAAAGAGGACTGGCAAAGTGTTTTTGTTTCAGGGGAAAGTGTTTTTGTTTCAGGAAACCTGCTGACATAGGGAATGCTTCTGTTTTTCTGCAGAAATGCTGCCTTCAGTGGACAAAATTCAGCCACAATCAAGCTAATTGAGTGCACAAATGTAATATTTTTCCAGGGCACCTCCAATTTAATGCTTGATGAAATTGTGTCTTTCGCATATATTTACAAAAGCTTTTCTTCATCCAGAAATGTCTGTTAAAATTGCTTATAGATGCTGAGATAGCAAATCACTCTTCTAATGTAATGAGGTAAGTCATCTCTATAAACTTTGCTTGCTCAAATGTACTCGCGTAAAAGAAATCGGGCTACAAGCTTTTCTCAATAAATAGAATGAACAACTAGAACTTGATGGCTGTAGCATGTTCTGCCTCACTGCTAAGGGATGTTTAAAATTGCTCGCACTCTCTCTCCTCGCTCTTGCAGCAGAGTTTTCATTTTGGTAGTTGATGGAAAAAGGAGGTCAAATAAACCGATGTGGATAAGAAGCCAAAGCCGTTTGTCAAAACACAGGGAGAGGACTGGAGACGGGAGTCATTTAAAAACTAAAAATTGATTTAAAAGATTTCTGTCCTCAAATCATTTGTCTTGCTAAATGTAGCCATTTTGTGAGCCTGGTTTTCCCTGCTGTAGCTATATTTACTAATAGTTTATACCATGGGAACTTCACATACTGGGGAAGATTCATATATACAGCCATTTGTGCATAGCCCAGTAAAACTGGTCTGAAGATCAAGTCCATGGAGAAGTCAAGACCTTTCGGGGTTCACCCATTTGTTTCTCAATAAGATTTGCCTTCTAACTTTTTTAACTGGAAGGGCAACTCTGTAGCAAAAGGCGGAAAAGACCATCTCACACACACCTAGGTCACAATACAGGGCTGTCATGTATGGCTGCACAGGTTGTGCACTGCACAACACCAAGGGAGGTATCATTCACATAGACTACAACAGGATGAGTGTTCTCTGGGGTTGTGCAACATGATGGCTCTGCCCAGCCCCACCAAGGCAGGGAGAAAAAAATCATGTTCTTGATCACAGTGTTACAGTACAATAAGTTTTCATAGCTACATTGCATCAATTACCTTTTATTCCTCAAAGAATAAAATCAAAGTTCTTGTTACCAACTCACAGCCTGCCAGGTACCCTTTTCCTTCTCTTTGCAAAGTAAAATTTCTGGGGAGAATAAGTCAAACCTCCAGATGGTTCTCTTTATTCATGAAACAGTTTGGACAGCTTGACTGAAGAGGACAGGCTGAAATCCAGAAGAAAATGGGACCAAAATTCAAGTGCCCTGGCTGTGAGTTTTGGAAAACACTGGACTGCCATTGCTTTGTATAGAGGAAAAACAGTAGACAGTGTTTGAAACAGTTCTCCAAGCGCCTTTCCTATGTTGGCCTGCCCTTTCAACTTTCCCACATACCTGTTGGCCACACCAGTGGCCAGACTGTCCTGGGCACAGTGGGAGCGTAAGTTTCCCCATATTCACCCCATGGCCTTGTCTGCTCCACACCACTGCTCCCTTTGCAGCCTGAAACACACGTATGATTGAGAGGTAACAATGCCTAAATGTTCACTGATCTGAAACACTGCTCCTGACAGTCTCTGCCCAGCCCTATCAATTCTGAGTTCAGTATAATTTGGGGTTAATGAGAAAGGTCCTGCTTCTTAGGCAGTTCCTTGAACTCTGCCCAAGCACACAGAACAGTATATTCTGTGATTTGGGGCATCCATTTTAATATGTATAGGCAGGACACATTTGATAAAATACCTGATTTTTGCATAACCTGCTTTTTAAGGACTATCTCAGGGGCCTTTCACATACGTTATGGGCCACTAGTGACCCAAGAGCCATGCTCGATCCAAATTTCCATCTAAAGTTTGCCAAAGGGCCAAAATAGCAGCCAATCAGCTCACGGATGTATTTGGTTTGGTCAATGCCATGTTGTTACGACTGTTGTTTGAATTGAATTTGAATGCCTCAAGCAAGGCAGGCATTCCCCATTTTCCCCAGATTCCCCACTTCTGTCCAACCTGCCCATTTCATACATTCATTTCCATTACCTACCTAGTCCCTGCAGATGACTGAGTGGGCCCTGCATCAGCCAGGTGCCAAAAATGAGTAGTTGACACACCCTCCACTAAGGAGAAGGGTTAGGAGGAGTAGTCAACTTCCCCTCACTCCCAGCCCTCTACCCTGCTTATGGGGAGCACTTGTATAAAAAGGAATCTGCAGAACCCAGTACCAGCAGCCTGGGGACAGCACCTTCACATTTATGAACACAGATAGATACATATATATACATGCGTATGCAGTCTATCCATGAAAATGTACTGGAAACCAGGCGACTCCAGGGAAGGCCACTGGCTAGTAAGGGAGAGACATAACTTTCCCTGTACAGAAAGAAGTCTCTGAACTTTTTGACATGTGTACCATTGTATCAGCGACCTGTCATTCATTCCCAGACCCTTAAGAACCTGCATGGAGTGCTTTCTCCCAGCTGTAAAACCTCACCTTAGATTTTAGTGTGCAGCTCAAATTGTTCCTTTTCTCTATCATCTTTCTCAATCCTCCCAGTCAAAAGAAATCCCTTCTCCGTGCTTCCCATCGGCTTGTGTTGGATCTCCTTTGCCAGAATGCTGTAGCCTGCCCCACCCTGCCCCACTGCTCTCTCCAGTTTGTGGCTGCCCCTGATGCTTATTTTCACCTAATTAACCTGTAGAAAGATAAGCAGATAAGGGGTCCCTCTGGGACCCTTTTTCTCCCCCATAGGTCCTCTCATGCCCTGGGCATGTACTGCTGCCCAACAGAACTTTCTATCGAAATGTTCCCTGCCTGCGCTGTCCAGATATACTAGCTGCTGACCACATGTGAAAGCTGAGCATTCGAAATGTGGATTGTGTGACTCAGGAACTGATTTTATTTTATTTTATTTCATTTAAATTTAACTTAAATAGCGACACTTGGATAGGGGCAACCATACTGTACAGCTCAGTCCCAGAGCTTTCTTCCTACAGGGACAGCCTCACCAGCTGAACCCCAAGCACGTTTAATTTTCAAACAATTCAGTTGAAAGCAGGGCCACAAAGTACGTGTTTCTAAAGTACAAATTCAGTTTATTCATCTGTTTATGACACAGTACACAGGAGGCAAAGTGTTTCACATCATAGACTTCACTTCCAACTCCTTGGAATGTTCATTTCTTTGGCTTACAGGAGAGACTAGACAGGAAGGCCAGGCAATGCTTAGGCAACTAAAATGAGGTTGGGGGTAATGCTAACGTCACCCTCACAGGGATGGCCACGGGGACTGTTATTCGCAAGCTGGTTTTCTAGACCTGTTAGCTGGAAGCATGGTGAGCACCATTTCTGGACGCTCAGGCCGTGTCGGGCTTCAGTCATCTCCACCACACAGGTACAGCAGCGCTTTCTGGTAGTCGCCCTTAGTGTCTTGCTACAATGGCCCAGGAAAGAAAAGAAACGTGGTATCAGAAAAAAGCCCAGACTCCTCAATAACACAGAAGTAGCCTCAACGCACAATGAAGCTTCTCCCATGACAAAGAGAAGACTCTGCAGGAGACCTGCCCTGATACAAAGGCCTGGAAGGCCACACCCAAACCATTGCCAGGGAAGCCTCCAGGAGTGTGGTCGGAGGAGGTGCTGGGGAAGACACTCAAGGCTCCTTAGGACTGTGGGGTGGAGGGAGTGCAAGGTGCTGAGGATTGACATAGGTTAGTGACCAGGGCTGTTCTTACTGCAGCAAGGTCCTACAAACACCCTAACTTTCCTCTCTCGTCCTCGTCTTTCCACAGAAAACAGGGTACTTTCCTAGCTCACTCTCCTATTTCCTGCATTATTAAGGTCAAGTGGAAATAAGCTGGTGAGGTGAGGAACAATTACTAAGAGTCTAACTGGTCCTTTGACTTTAAACATGTGCCCTAATAAACCTGGCTACAAAAAATCCAGCTCTAACTTTATCCTTGCTAACCATGGGCATGCCTTTGGACATCTGAGGAACTTCTAGAAAGGGGAATTGCAAGGGCTGTCTGAAATCTACACAGTGGTACCACTGTGAATGCCATCACTTCCTTACTGCAAATGCGACATCACATCAAAACAGACAGATGCTAAACTGATTGGAGAGATGGGAGTTCTGAATAACTGAAAGTTGTTAGGCCTATCCCAGAGGATTTTTCAAGGAACCAATGCATAATAAAAGTAAAATGTGGCCGGGCGCAGTGGCTCACGCCTGTCATCCCAGCACTTTGGGAGGCCGAGGCGGGCGGATCACGAGGTCAGGAGATCGAGACCATCCTGGCTAACACGGTGAAACCCTGTCTCTACTAAAAATACAAAAAAATTAGCCGGGTGTGGTGGCGGGCGCCTGTAGTCCTAGCTACTTGGGAGGCTGAGGCAGGAAAATGGTGTGAACCCAGAAGTCGGAGGTTGCAGTGAGCCGAGATTGTGGCCACTGCACTCCAGCCTGGGCGAGAGAGCAAGACTCCGTCTCAAAAAAAAAAAAAAAAGTAAAATGTAACTGATCTTCCAAGCCTCTTCGGGATGTCAGCAAGCCTTGCAGGATCATCGTCATGAACACCGATGATCATTGTAGAGTAACAGATGTGAAAAATATAAAACATCTGCCTGATTGTACAAAGTCCAGGACAAATCACAAATGGTGCTTTCAAAATAAATCCCTGATAGTTGATGACTAGCATCTCTTCCCCAGAGAGTCAGAAAACAGAAAATCGCCACTCTGTCATCATTCTGCCAGGCCACCTGCCAGGGCCCGGGGTGCTCTGGACGGCAGGGCAGGCTGACACTGCACCTCGGGCTTACCTGGATATAATAGTACAGGGACTTGCCGTACTTTCTCTTGAATTCAGACCTAATTTTCAACATGTCCACTTCACTGCGGGAGACCATGATTCTGATCAGGACCTTATCTCGCGTCCCCTTGCCCTGAAAATCAAGTTGATATTTGTTACATTCGCTGAGAATGTTATCGTTAAAGAAAGCGTCTACAGGTTGAGCATCCCTGATCTGAAAATCTGAAATCTAAAATGCTCCAAAATCCAAAACTTTTTCAGTGCCGACATGATGCCACAATGAAAAATTCCACATACAGCACTTAACACAAACTGTTTCATGCACAAAATTATCAAAAGCGTTGTATAAAATTACCTTTAGGCTATGTGTGTAAGGTCTATATAAAACATAAATGAATCTCAAGTTTAGACTTGGGTCCCATCCCTAAAATATTTCATCATATATATGCAAATATTACAAAATCAAAAATAAATCTGAGATATAAAACATTCCTGGTCCCAAGCATTTTGGATAAGGGATATTAGGGCACAGTGTACACTGCCTGGGTGATAAGTACACCAAAATCTCAAAAATCACCACGAAAGAACTTATTCATGTAACCGAACACTACTTGTTTCCCAAAAACCTATAAGAAAGGAAAGACAGAGAGAGAGAGGGAAAGACAGAGAGAGAGAGAGAAAGAAAGAGAGAAAGAAAGAAAAAGGGAAGGAAGGAAGGAGAGAGAAAGAGAGAAGAAAGGGAAAGGGAAAGGAAGGAAAGGGAGGGAGGGGAAGGAAAGGGAGGGAGGTGAAGGCAGGGAGGCAGGGGAAGGCAAGGAGGCAGGAGAAGGCAGGGAGGCAGGGGAAGGCAGGGAGGCAGGGGAAGGCAGGGAGGCAGGGGAAGGCAGGGAGGCAGGGGAAGGCAGGGAGGGAGGGGAAGGCAGGGAGGCAGGGGAAGGCAGGGAGGGAGGGGAAGGCAGGGAGGCAGGGGAAGGCAGGGAGGGAGGGGAAGGCAGGGAGGCAGGGGAAGGCAGGGAGGGAGGGGAAGGCAGGGAGGGAGGGGAAGGCAGGGAGGGAGGGGAAGGCAGGGAGGGAGGGGAAGGCAGGGAGGCAGGGGAAGGCAGGGAGGGAGGGAGGAAAAAAGAAAGAAAAAAAAAGACAAGACAAGAAAAGAAAAGAAAGAAGAGCATCTGGGAATTCCAAACACACCAGGCTGTAGTCAGCACAGACTCCCACTCTATGCCACCATTCAATAAATATATACTGAGCACCTACTACTGCAAGGCTCAGTTCAAGCAGTCTGAGTCTCCATATGTAACAAGAGGTTCCTGACTCTTGCAGGCTTAGAGGGAACATGCCAACACATTTCTATCATCGCTCTGTGCCATTTCTAATGATATGTGCAATAAAGACCACTGAGTTTACTTCCAGAGCATCAGAGCGAAGGCACCAAGGGGTGCTATTTGATATGGAACTCAAAGACAGATGGCAGAGGCAGCACAGACAAGGGAGATGTTCCAGAAGGAAAATGCAAAAGCCTAGAAGCCAGAAAACACATGGCACACTTGAGGTGTAGAAAATGGGATGGGTCTACGGGAAGAGGTGGTTCGTTTAGGGAAGGGTTGTGGGGCTGTCTTTGGGGTCTGATAGACCCAGGTTCAAATCTGTCTGTGTAACTTCAAGCAGGCTGAGGTATTCTGAGCTCCATCTCTGCATTTATAAAGAAGATAATCATAAGCCTCAGAGGTTGTTATGCAATGATTTAAGGTAAAATAGTAGCACTTGTCCACTGTATAGTGGGTGCTTAATAATCGCTCCCTTCCTCGCTTGTCTTGACTCTGGCAGTAACAGGAAGAAATCACGGAGAAACCTAAGCAGGGATCAGACACGACTACCATGTCGCATTTTCTCTCTCCCATGGCACTTTACTTTTTGTCTGTACGCAAATACATGTTCAAGCAGCTGAGAGAAAGAAGACAGATTTGTGGTTCTCTCAGCTGTCACATACAACCACAGCTGACTAGTGTGTTCCTGCATCCACACAGTGGGGTCCCCTTCCTCCATCCATGAATCAAGGAGACTCAATTTGGGACCCAAAAGAAGAAAAGCTGAGTGTGGAAACACAGCTCTCTCAGCCAGCTGCCCTTACCTTCATGGAGTCATACAGCCGATCAGCAAAATACAGGGGCTTGTTCTGAATGCACTGAACTGTGGAGAGAAGAAAGGGAGTCAGCGCTGCAGCTGCTCTGGTCTCTCCTCTACCAATGAGAGAGGATGCCCTGGCCCTGGGCCACAAACCAGAAGTGACCTAATGCAATGGAAAAGGGCTGCAAAATAGGACAGGCTAAGGGAAATCTAGAAATCCTCTGCAATACTAAGTTCCACCACGGTTTTAAACCAGGGGTCTCTGAGGCCTGCAGAACCCAAGTGCATACGTGAGTTTCCACAACACACCCCTCTCTCCTCCTGTTCTCTTACTCCTCCCTGGCAACAATCTGTTACCAAGTTAGGCCTTTCTTCAGTTTTATATTCTGAAATCTATACAATTAAGACTGTAAAACTATCCAAAGCATGCATAGAAGCCACACCTCCCAAACACATTTGGATTAACAGGATGGCCATCTGTCACTTCTGCTCTGGTAGCTGATGTCTACCAGGAATGGGGGCCACATTCACTTACCCAGGTTCAGGAAAGCATTTTCCAGGTCTCCTTTAACCTCTTTCCTGATGCTTTCCAACATGTCATAAGGGCTGTAACTCTTGTACCTATCAAATACTGAGGAAAAACAACAAAGAGTTATCAGATCCGAGCCACTAGTCAAAGCTGTCAACGATCACCCACCTAGTTTTATGCACCATAATTTTTTTAAAAATTGAGGATGATCACAGCATCCTAGGAGCTTAGAGGTTACCACGGTGACCAGAGCCAACATTGGCCAAGTTTGTCGTGGAACAGCCATACCACCTGTCCTGAATGGCACTGCCCAGGCCACATATTTGGACCATCTCTATCTCCCCTGAGTGGAACCCATTCCATCCGAAAACCATAGGAAACAGTACAGAGCATGCACCAAAGTCCACTACTTCAACAAATAATGGCAAGACCAAATGATCATCAAACAAGAAGGAGCTGCAGAATAAAGCACCAAATGCAGAAACTATTTGCAAGAGAAAAGAATCCAGAATGGGAGAGAAAGGTGAGGGAAAATGGGTGAGCCTATGAGAGTGCCAAGCGGAGACAGAACCTCATTCTGGCAGACTCCATCCCAACATGGACATCCACCCAGCCGCCCCAGCCAGGGCCCCAAGGCACTGAGACTCCCTCAGCACAGTGCCCACCTTTCTGGAGGTGGGGCACGCTCCGCTCGGTCATGATGCTGATCCACTTGGGAACATCAGTTCCTTTCCTCTTCACTCCAGCGTCATAGAGATCCTACGAGTACAACCAACCAGGAAAAGTTAACTACACATCCAATGTAACGTCAAAAAAAATGTCATGCAAAAAAAACAAAAAAAGCTACACATTCAAAATGCCAAACGAGGAAAGATGATTATACTGCAGACATGGGCAGAGACCTACTATTTAGGTCAAAAGTCTTAATCACAAGCAGTCTTCCTTAGGCACAGATGGATACCATATGAGACTGCAGATAGTTCGTGAGGTCTGCTGTACAATCTCCTTCCTTGAATAAGAAAGGAGGGACCAAGAGCTTGTATTCATATAAAGAAGAACAAGTAAATGTTCATTAACACATCTGGCCCTCCTCCCTTTGGGCACATTTAGGGGCAGATAAGCTAGCAGATGTTTACTGGACAGCTACAGACCAGGCTCTCATTCTCAAGCTTCTCAGAGACTCAGGGAGTGATGGAGCTGGAAAAGGAGCCCATCTCATCTCACTTTCAGTTTCTGGAAAATTTAGGGGCTACAAGTAGCCCTAACAATGGCAGGGAGGGCAAGAGGAAGAAAGGCTTATGCAAGGGTAGATATTCATTCCGTGATCTTCCACCATCTAGGAACTGCAAAACCCAACTTCTATTACTTTATTTAAAACCCTTCTCTACTACCTGCTAGAAGTGCCGTGTGGAATATATTGAATTTTAAAACTAACATTAATTTAAATTAATTTTTTTCTGCAGCTTTTATGACTTACTTTGAGATAATCGTTGTCCCTCTGAGTAAAGAATATAGTTCATTGCAGTCTGAATAAGCTTAACAAATAGTTCTCAGAGATAATGGAACTAGAACTGGCAAAAGTCTTATTCAGCCAGAAAAGGACAGGTCTCTGCTGGCCTCCCTTTCTCCCCCACCACAACAGAGCAGTACACCATCCTGTCCCTGGCTGTGTCTCCTCCACCTTCTTCTGCTTCCCACCTGCCTGCCTGATTGGTATGCACAGCCACATTACACTCTGCAGAAACTGATGCTTCCATACAAGCAAAGCCTGAGTGAGCATATGTGAGTCACGTATTGATTCTGTAAGTAACACCAGCATTATAAGAGAATGTCTTCTAATAAACATTGCTGTCAGACTATGGTGGGTTTAAAATACGGCCAGAAATTCTTTGAGGTTCCTCCCTTCCAAAGGAAGAGCCTAATCCCCTCCCACTGAGTGTGGGCTAGACTCAGTGACTCACTTTTAATGAAAAGAGTATGACAGCAGTGCAAGGTGGGACTCCTGAGGTTAGGTCATAAAAGACACTGTGGCTTCCTCTTTGCAGATTGCTTGCTCTGGGGAAAGCCGGCTGCCATGTTGTGAGGACGCTCAAACAACCCCATGGAGAGGCATATGTGGAGCGATTCTAAGGTCTCCTACCAACAGTCATGTGAAGTGCACCATCTTGGAAGCAGATTCCCTTGACCCAGTCAAGCCCTCAGGTGACTGCAGCCATGCAACATTTTGTCTGCAACCTCAGAAAAGACCCTGAGCCAGAACAATTGGGCTAATCTACTCCTCAATTCCTGACACACAGAAACTGAGAAATAATACATGTTTGTTGTTTTAAGCCACAGAGTTTGGGAGTCATTTGTCACACAGAGTTAAATTACTATATAGACTATCCAGAGACTTACCAGAAAACAAAAACTCAAAGCAAAAAGCTCAGCACTTACCCGAGCATCTTGGTCAATCAGTTCATAATCAATGACAGAGCCATCCTCTGCTCTTCTACCCTATGGGGGAAAGAAAAAGAACTTCAAATACATTTCTTTGTGTATTTTAAAACTGAAAATGTTTTCTCCCCAGTCCATGTACGCCATTATTTAATTTCCTAAATAAGTAACCACGTAAGATTTTTCTTACTTTGAAACATAGATGGGGCCGGGCACGGTGGCTCACGCCTGTAATCCTAGGACTTTGGGAAGCCAAGGCGGGCAGATCACGAGGTCAGGAGATGGAGACCAACCTGGCTAACAAGGTGAAACCCTGTCTCTACTAAATTAGCCAGGCGTGGTGGCACATGCCTGTAGTCCCAGCTACTCGGGAGGCTGAGGCAGGAGAATCGCTTGAACCAGGTTGCTGTGATCTGAGATCACGCCACTGCACTCCAACCCTGGTGACAGAGTGAGACTCTGTCTCAAAAAAAAAAAAAAAAAAGAAAGAAAGAAAAGAAAAAGAAAAAGAAACCTAGACCAGCCAAGGAGTGGTAAAATCATTGAG
The DNA here is from genome assembly GCF_000001405.40 of Homo sapiens. NCBI lineage: Eukaryota > Metazoa > Chordata > Mammalia > Primates > Hominidae > Homo > Homo sapiens. Next base: position 60,354,701 of record NC_000015.10, read on the forward strand.
CAAGGAAGTGGGGGCTGTGCCTTGCCATCAACAATCCCCCCCTTGATACCCAGTCCTGGCCTACACACCTTACAGAATCCCTGTCCCCATCCCCCACAAAAAGCTGATGAGATTTAGCTCTTTCTCACAGAGAGCTTGCAATGCAGATGGAGGAATATGTGGAAACAAATGTAAAGCAGCCCGGGAACCCACAGCACTAGAAAGACACAAAATGCGGGCGGAGGAAGAACTCTCAGAGGGCAGAGTCAGCAAAGAGTGTGAACGATGGGCCTGGGCTTAAGCTGAAACTTCAAGGGTCAGTCAGATGCAGCTAGCCAAGCAGAGCGGGAGAGCCAGCTGGCACACAAGGGATGGCACAGCACGCTCTCAGGTAAGTAAGGAGCTGCCCTGTCAGAGCAGAGCTGAGCGGGAAAGATGAGCAAAGAAGATGCAGGGAGGGTTTAGAGGACCTTTCACAGCAGTTAGGAGTTTAAATTTGATGCAGCAGAAATGGGGTTTGAACAGAGGAGTAAAATGGTGAAAGTGTATTTCACAGAGATCCGTGGATGGTGGTACATGGGGCAGGTGGTAGCGAAGAGAGGAGAGCGAGGGAGAATGGCATAGGAGTTGTTGCAGTAATGGAGATGTGAGTGGGCCGGACGCACTATCTGTCATTTGTCATCAGGGTTCCCAGGGTCTCTCGTCCCTCCCCTGGCACATAAGTATTAAGCTACACGCTGGCCAGAACTAGGGATTCACAGGGGAAATGCCCCTTCCTCCATGTTAATGTGTTAATATTAGCAATCAGCTCCACAAAGACAACTCCACCCCAGACAAAGGACTATATGGGCAAATTCTTCCATGAGAAGTAAACGCAGTGAAAAAGAAACCAGAAGGTCACTTCCCACTGGGTCCTGCATGACCACAGATAGAGGCAAAGTGACCTTCCCTAAGTCACACGGCCAAGGCTCTGGCACATAAATCCAGGCCAGGACTTGAGAGCCGCCCATCCCTTCTCTGGCTCCCAAAGTCCACTTGTCCATGAGGTTTTGCAGGATAAGAAATCCTATTATACAAAATTGACAACTCTGCAGTGACAGTGCAAACCCACTTTCAAAAATGCAGCTGAATTTCTGATGCAGGCACAGGGGATTTAGTTAATTCACTCCAAGTATAAAATGAGGTATGTGACTTGCCTTGGGAGGAAGCAAGGGCAAAGAAAGAAACTGGGAAACCAACCTTTGCCAGGGCAACCATCAGCTTGCGGAAGTCACCAGATGTGTCCGAAATAATGTCCTTCTCCAGATCAGTCTTGTACACTTGGAGGAAAATACATCTGGTTTTATGCTTTCTGCCTGTGTAGCCAACCATCCACCCCAATCTCCCCATTTCCCACTAAGACTCTGAGAAGCAGAACAGCTACGTCAGCTGGACATATCCATTCTCCTTAACCCCAAACAGAGGAAGGATTCACTAGAATGATTTTCGCCCTCATGAAATCAGAGCCAGAGTTATTATCCATAACAGGGGGCAGCAGGGCTAGATCAAATCAGGGATCCTCAGGCTCACCGTTGATTGGTGACCTCTCGTGTAGTTTAAATACTGGCTCCCAGCCCTCCTGACTGTGAGTACTTGTTCTGAACATCAAAAAAATTGGAGGTCTACACACGCACACACACACACACAATTGTGCTTTACTGTCCACTGAGAAAATGCACAGCGGCAAAAACTACTAAGAATTAAACAATGCTTTTGAATGAAAGTATATTTCAATATTCAAAATAGCATCTATATTGAAATACAGTAGCTAGAGAAGAACTGTAATGTTCCTGATACAAAAAAAAAGATAAATGTGTGAGGTGATGGATATCTCAATTACCCTGACTTGATAATTACATATTATATATAATACATGTACCAAAATATCACATGTACCCCCAAAATATGTAAAACTATGATAATAACTTTAAAAAGTAAAACAAAAAAGAAATGCAGTAGCGATGTAAGTTGCATTGTTTATTCCCCTCATAGCCTTCTATACTGCTAAGTGTGCACCAGTCCACAGGGGTCTCTTGCTGTAATTCTTCAATTATCCACAGTCCAGAGTTGGCAACCTCTTGAGCAGACACTGAACAGCGCCCAATAAGTGGAATCCATATATAATACTTGCTACTTCTCCTCATCCGATCTTGTTTAAAAACAAGTTTTGTTTTCTCTCCTTTCCCTCCTGTCTACCCTTCTTCTAACACAGAAGTTCTAGTGGAATGTAATAATCAAAATGCAGGCAATGAGGAGGTGAAGGAGAGAAACTTGGACCACAGCCAACCTTGCCTGCATAGTCAAGGTGGCAGGCACTTCTGCACATCACTAATGCAGGCATCTTAGCCCGAACCCTAACCCCAGTGGCCATGATAGAGTCACATAAATTGGGCTGAGAGGATGAATCACAGAAATCAAGCTACTCACTTTCCTTGTAGACTCTGTTAATTTCCTGCAGCTCCTGGTTGGTTCTGGAGCAGATGATCTCAATGAGAGAGTCCTCGTCGGTTCCCAGCCCCTGTGAACCAGGAAGCACGAACATCAGCAGGGAAATGCTTCCCCACCATTAGCCTACTTCTCTGATCTCCATCAAGTAAATTGCAAACATGGATTGGGTCTGTTAGCATCCTGCTTTCTACATTCCTTCTGAAGAATCTATACTCCTACCCCTTAGCACAAAGTAATGGCATTTTCTATTCCTTTAAAAAATGCTTCACCAGAGCACAAGATGGTGGAACTGGCATGTTGGAGTTCAACTGTTAATATGGTTTTTTTTTTTAAGTAGTGAATAGGGGCTGGGCACAGTGGCTCACGCCTGTAATCCCAGCACTTTGGGAGGCCAAGGCAGGCAGATCACGAGGTCAAGAGATCAAGACCATTCTGGCTAACACAGTGAAACCCCATCTCTACTAAAAATACAAAAAATTAGCTGGGCATGGTAGCGGGCGCCTGTAGTCCCAGCTACCCTGGGAGGCTGAGGCAGGAGAATGGCGTGAACCTGGGAGGTGGAGCTTGCAGTGAGCCGAGATCGCGCCACTGCACTCCAGCCTGGACGACAGAGTAAGACCCCATCTCAAAAAAAAAAAAAAGTAGTGAATAGGAAGAGGCAGCAATAGAATATGCCAAAATACTAAAACTGGCAATTGCCTTTTGCTGTGGGTAGATAAAGTAACTTTTTCTTATTATTATTTTTCACTTTCTACAATAACCACTCACTATTTTAACAGATTAGAAATTTCTTTGTTAAACAATTCTCGCTAAAATAAAGGAATACAGAAATTTTATGTTGTCACTTGCAGCCAGCATTGTTAGAGTAAGTCTTTTTACCAGGCAAAGGTATAGTTAAGAAAAAATTTTTAGCTGCACTCTTTGAAATGTAAAATTGGGTTAATGTTAAAAATTTCATTCTTGTCCTTCCATTTTTGCTTGATAATTATGCACTCTTCAGGCACTTTAGGGAAGCAAAAAGAAATAATGAAGTGCCAAATAAACCTAGACACCAACACTTTATTAAGGAATAAGAATTTGATGGGTGATGTATTCAAATTTAATATATACACTTTTGAGCATGTCAGATAGCTTGAAAGGACTCAATGAAACATGTATTTCAAAGCTGGCTTCATGATCAAAGTCAAGATTTAATAATCAGGATTCTTTAATACTTGTCTTTCCGAATATGGAACTATCACTTTGAACTAAGTAGAATTACAACTGTTTAAAATGTAAATCAATTATAAGGTGTTAATACAATAAGAAACTTACCCACATGAAAAGCGTGTCAGCTATTAATTAAACTTATTAGCGTTTATATGCCCCGAAAAAGTAGTTTGTATAATATAAGCTAAGCCTCAGGTTAATGGTTAATTTTGAATTTTATTCTTCATCTAACCTTTGAGCCAATGGCTCTTCTTTCTGAGTTTTTAATCATGATTTGTAGAGGTTCCAGCAAAGCCAAAAATTCTCCCCTTGTTAGCAAAAGGTCCATACAGCATTCTACACAAATGTTATTAAATGACTACCGAGTATCTTTGAATATTTTGAGAGGCAGTTGTTCAATCTCAAGGATGATAGAAATATAGTCTAAAAATAACACACAGTGGGAGAAATGTTATATCCTGACATTGTAGAATTGCAAGACAGGCAGAATAATGTAAGATGTGTTTCCTTCCATCACTGATATACCAGTGGTAATATCTGAGAATTCCAATAGTGTTTTTATGTCTACATTCAAAGGTGACCTTGGCAATTTCCAAAGCCCGGCCCAAACTCTCCACAGACTGTCCACAATTCCTATCACAAGGGCAAATTCTACTGTAACATATGGCAGATACTGCCACCGGTACTGCCAGAAGTCAAAACAGATTTTTTTTTAAGCATAGTTCAGTTAATGTCACTTCAAGCTTTATGGATTTTGGACGGGTATTCAACTGTGATAGCTAATGGAAGAGCTGGCACAGGGTCAAAGCTTCAGCAGTTAAAGCACCTTCCATTGGGCCCAATTACATAGATTACAACAGTGACTGACAGCTCAAAAAGGTCTGTTTCAAGTCCCTAATACCTAGTAATAGATACCAGTAAAGCCACTCGAATCACAACTAAATAGATTCTTGATGAAAATAAGACAAACTGATCTGAAGTGTTGATGGTCAGAAGAAACCTAGGAGAGGCTGACTCATCCCTGCCTCCAAAGGTCCACAGACTCGGTTTTCAGGAGCGCTATTTTTATCAACCAGGATCATGAAATGTTGTCGACATTTTATCATTCTTAATGACGTCTTTTCTGCAGTACAGTCTACTTAGGAAACTCAGACAAGTCCGCTAAAATAAACTGAGCACAGCTTGGGCTAAGCTGAAGAACTAAAGGAAGAAAGAGACTTAACAACAAATCTTACAGCAGCCCTGAGCTATCAAATTCCAGGCTTTGGAGATGCCCAGTGTCCGAAGCACCCTCACTCTTGTGTTCTCTGGGAAAAGGATGACAACTGAACTGTGACATTAGCTCTGGTGACAGGCTTACAGCTCAGACTGTTCATAATTCAGGAACAGTGGCATCAGAGAAAACAGACTCGGAATAAAAAATCAAGACCAATGGTTTCCCTCATCTACAGCGCAGACTTTACCCATGTATATCAGCAGAGGGCAGTGTCGGACTGTTCAAATGCTGCAGACCCACACTAAGAAAAGGGTCCAAATGTGTTGCAGTACAACATACATTAATGTGTGTGCATCTATTGCATTTATATAAAACTTGATGTTGGCCAGGCGCGGTGGCTCACGCCTGTAATCCTAGCACTTTGGGAGGCCAAGGTGGGCAGATCACCTGAGGTCGGGAGTTTGAGACCAGCCTGACCAACATGGAGAAATCCCGTCTCTACTAAAAATACAAAATTAGCTGGGCGTAGTGGCGCATGCCTGTAATCCCAGCTACTCGGGATGCTGAGGCAGGAGAATCTCTTGAACCCGGGAGGCAGAGGTTGCAGTGAACTGAGATCGCGCCATTGCACTCCAGCCTGGGCAACAAGAGCGAAATCCATCTCAAAAAACAAAACAAAACAAAACAAAAAACTTGATATTTTAAGTATGCACAAAGTTCAGGAGGTTTCCAATCTACAGTTTTTACTTAATTTAACCTAAAATTCCAGGTTCAAAAGAACTTTACAAAAGAAAAACATAAAAGATAACGTGCATTGAGACTTCACAGTTACTTTCTCACAGGTACGATTCAGGTACGATTCTTCATCCAGAATTACCCCTTATATGCACTATGATGTTCTGATTCTGCCTGAATTTGAAACAAATGGTACTGACAGAGAGAGTATGGGAGGAAGAAACACCCACGAAAGGATGGGCAGAATTTGCAAGCTTCACTTAACAAAAGCTATGAGTTTTTTTTTCTTGCCTTAATATCACAACATATCTTTTTAAAGGAGGAAGTGTAATCAAGGAAGTAGTTTTCCCAAATGGTATTCCAATTGCCCAGGTGCTGAGTAGTAGCAGCTGGTAACTGACTTCTCAGCATCATGAAATTTCTTTACAGTCTTAAAACAAGTAATTGAAATATTTTTGGTACAAATCCTGAGACATATAACTTCAGTTCATTTTTAAAAAATGGTTCCAAATGAGAATTCAACAAAACTGAAAATCACCAAATTACACTCAGAAAGCTGTAATTCACAAAATTAATAGCAGATTTGACAGAGATGACATCTCACATGCATTTACCTTCATGGAAGCTTTTAGCTCAGAAGCGTCATACTGAGCAGGTGTCTTCAATAGGCCCAAAATCACCGTCTCCAGGTGGCCAGATAAGGCTGACTTCAGTGCTGATGCAAGTTCCTTCAAGATAACAGGCAATCATAAGGAAAATATTTATTTTACTTTAAAACTAGTGAGTAAAACAAAAGTAAGAGGGATCTTTTTGTGAAGCAGGTTGTGAGTCTTTGACCACTCCGGAGTCTTGGGTCAAACGCCCTCAACTGCATTCCCTTCAACAGACCCACATCTCAGAAACATAAACATCAGGCTTTGCTTCAACGAAATTCCTTAAAATCCAAGTTAATTTTGCCGTCTTCCCCGGTCAATAAAAGGAAACTGGAGTCGTATGTGATTCCTAAGAAAGCTGTGAGAGTGCAGGCACTTTGCAATATGCTTGAAAGCAGTAACACTCCGTGGAAGGCAGGACGCTTTCGGAGATCAAGGCCCCTGCTAAGAAGGAGATGTTTGAGCAGACAGCCTCCTGGCAAGCAGATCTTGTGGCCTCCCGATATACTGTAAAAGACGTGGGGGCAGCCATTCCAGCGGCAGCTCCTCAAAGTCACCAGAAGGAACCAGAGGCCGCAACACAGTTGGAAGTGAGGTCATGAAACTTTCCTATGCAAAACACTTCATCTAATACTGAGAAAATATCTCCTTGTCCACACCAAACTCGGACGGTGTTTAATGGAAGTGATAGGAAACTAACACCCCCGAACTGGCCCCCTTGAATTCCCTGCTGCATGTAATTTCTTAAGGGTTGGATCCACTGTCACCATGAACACAAAAATTTGTCAGAGGTCTGGTCAGCACCCATGTATGTAGACAGACACCCCAACTCAATGTGTCTTTTAGCGATGCTTCCTCGAGCTAAACTTCCTACAAATCATGGCTGATGACTGAAGCCTCCTACTGAAATAATGTTCTTCTTTTCGCTTTTTTTTTTTTCTTCTCTCTCTTCTTTCTTTCCTTGCTTTCTAAGAGCACCTGTGGCATCTACAAAGCTTAGCCCCTACAGGTACTTGCAGGCTACGAGAGGTGATTTGCAGCATGCTTCAGAGACAACCATGCTGAATCATTCGTAGATGTCAAAAGTGTTAGAACTGACATGGATCTTAGAAGCCACCTGGCTTTCACCACCCATTTTCTCCTGCTTCCCAATGTCCCGGGAACACACGGCACTTAGGAGGGGACTGTAAAAGCAGTAGCTCCCAATTATAACACCAGTCTCCCAGTTTGGAACTTTGAGGTTAGGTAACTCCAAACTTAGCCTACCCTTGACACTCCCCTCTACCCATTCTCTATTCAAACCTCAAATAGCATTTGGGCACCTACTGACTTCTTCCACTTCTATTCTAAACTCCTTATGGGCGTTCAACTTCCTGTTTCTCACAATGTCCAGCACAGAGCTTTGCATTTAACAAAAACTAAACAAAAACTCCAGAAATGTATGATAAATCAAACATAACCCTTCCCTGTAAGGAGAAGCCTCGCATCTGGCGTCTGCTAGAACATGAAAGAGTCGTAAAAGCAGCTGTCTCTCCCAGCTCCTCTCCACTCTGCCAGCCGGGCCTAGGTTCTTCAAGCTCATCACCTGGGCAGCTGCAGCCCGTATCCCTAAAGAACTCTGCAGCACAAATCTTCCTTATTTCACAAATTTTCTTCTTTATTTCACAAACAGCCGATTGTTTCACTTGAAACTATCTCAAGTAGTTTACATATCTTTTATAAAAGATACATAATTCTCCTTGGCCTAAGGCTGAGAGTCAAGAATTAGTAGGATGATGAGCTGTCCCCAGCACACAGCAAAGCCTGTGAGATCTTGGGACCTCATCATAATTCTGGTAATATCTTCCCTCCTAGAGGGTATGTGGGAGCTTTGTTCTACATATATCTAATCTAAAACCAAGATCTAGGTTTTGGGTGTGGTGGCTTATGACTGTAATCCCAGCAGTTTGGGAGGCTGAGATGAATCATTTGAGTCCACATGGCAGAAGTTGCAGTAAGCCGAATCACACCACTGCAATCAAGCCTGGGTGACAGAGCAAGACCCTGTCACAAAAAAAAAAAAAAAAAAAAAAAAAAAAAGTTTCAGGCTTCTATGTGTGTGTGTACACACCCAAATGTATTCCAAGACCATACTCTGTGACAGCTGAAAGATCAAATTTTTTGCTTGCTATCCAGAGATGAGCCTTCTGCTCCACTGGGAACTTGGCTCTACCAGCTCACAGACCCCTTTGGGAAGCTGCAGAAATAAAACACTCCCCTCTATGCCTCACTACACAAGATTAATACACTTCTAGTGAAAGAAGAATTTTAATGCACTTGAGATGAAAGAAGCCAGATGCTTTCCTATTTATGTCCTTTCCAACCATTTAGAGTGCGGGGGATGGAAGTGTAGCAAGGCTTGACCTGCAACTCCCAGGACCCTGCTGGTCATGTCAATCCCAAGGGCAGAAATATCTCTTCTAGAATCCTTCCAGCTCACCTCCACTGTGGCTACAAGTGAAAGCCATAAGTCAAACGGGAGCTGCAGGAAGCCACACTTACTGCACTGTCCAAGAATAAATCAAAAGCTTTTAATAGCAAGAAGTTAAAAATAAAGCAGCACGTCCTTAAAAATAAAATTTCCTACAACTGACAAAATAAAGGACGAACACGCACTGGTTGTTTCTTAACCACTAGTGGACAAGCAAAGGGAAAAAGCACACAAAGACCCTTTAAATAGTAGGAGCATGGCATGTTGAAGATAGCTTTGCAGACCAAATGAACTAACAACTAAGCCCACTCGTTGCAAAAAGCTTAAGAATTCAAGTGTATATTTTTAAAATGAGAGGAGCTTGTTAGGATCAACACTCAGTGGAGGCTAGTATCCTAAAATTAAATTAGAAACATCTTATCAAGAACCAGCAGAAGTCATAAAGATGAAATGAGTTGCTACATGTACAAAACTGAGCACAGTGCCTGGCCCAAAGTAAGCACTCAATAAATGGTGCCTGTTGTTGTTATTGTTGTTGTTCCCTATTCCTAACTTTCTATTCCCAGAAGCTCTCCCTCCAGGTAGCCTGGGTTGGGGGAGGGTACTGTCCTTACACAGGAGCTCCCAAGCACTCTAAAGCGAGCGTGACCATCTGCGCTCTGCCTCCTCTCAGATCAACGGTGGCATGAGATTCTCACAGAAGCGCGAACCCTACTGTGAACTGCACACGCGAGGGATCTATGTTGTACACTCCTTATGAGAACCTAATGCCTGATGACCTGAGGTGCACGCGCGCGTGCACACACGCACACACACATGTGCAGTGACTCTTACAAGGATTTAAGAAGAAAATCTTAGATATCCAAGGGTCCCACAAGTCTTTTGCGCATGAGAGCCACAATTCATGAAAAGAAAAAGCAATGTCTGAGGAAACAAAAATTCAACAAGAAATGCCCTCCATCCCTGGAATTGCCTGTACCTTTTTGGTCCTTCTCTGGTAGGCGAAGGCAATATCCTGTCTCTGTGCATTGCTGCGGTTGGTCAAAATGTTGACAATGGTGACCTCATCCACACCTATGGAAATACAAGTTGTTAATCGTTACTCAGTATACTCTAGTATTTTGGGCTTACATAGAAGGTGTCAAGCAGACTTTTTCAAACTGAAATTTATATACTGTTTTCCAAACTGAAATACCCAGACACCAAGATTTGTTCTATCTCTTTCGTCAGCATCCTCTACCCAATGTGTACACTCTCTTTCCTTTTTTCTTGAGAGCCTCAAACCTCAAGCTTAAATGGACCTTTTAAATACTTGTGGTTTAAAAACTATTTTATTCATAAATTGGTTTCTGGAATCAACAGTAGGAGGTGCATATGTGGGGCTTTGGCAGTCAGATGGAACAACAGAGATTTAGTAGGATTTTAAATGAAGGTCCCCAAATTGCCATTTAACTCGGGATTTAATAGAGAGTAACTGCAAACTGAATTAATAGAGATAATTATTTATACTTATTGCAGGATTATGGCTATATAAGCAGCTAGGTATAATTTCTATAATTATAAAAACTGTCATGACAAATGAGTCAGATTTAACACGGCAGTTGTATTTTTAATAGCATAATTGATTAACACAATCACACTTATTGAAGACAAAATTGTTTTGTAAGGAAAATAAACGTTCCACTGCCTTTAATCTTCAATAGGCAATTTTAATAATTAATTTTATAACTTTATTAAAAAGAGTAAGTGTTTTAATCTAAATTAAATCTAAATTGGGAGTTTTGAGGTGCCACCAAAATATTTTAGTACCTATTTTAATTGGAACATGTGTATTTACAAAGATAAGCAATGCCTTCTGGTGTCTGCAAGTTTCCAATTTCATATCAGAAATACTCCTAACATGCCATTTAACTTAAGAAAGCACAGTTTGTAAATTCAGAATGTGAAAAGTCTCTCTCCTGACTGATTAATAACTTTGTTTAATGAAAGAAACAGTCTTTGCCATAACTGGATAGGTAACTCTTGGGTGAGAGAGTAGAGTTGCTAAACCTACAAAGTCACTTGCAAACTACAAATGGCTTGGCCTGAAGAAAATCAGAGGAGTCCTGAAGAAACAGAAAGGTCAAAACTGTAACGCTTGAGACAAAGACAAACAGCAGATTGACAGAGGAAGTATTTTGAATTCTCAAGTGTGTTAGATCAAAAAGTATAAAGTTAGAATTTCTGGGTATAAAAATAAATAACTTTTTAAAATGTATATGCTCATTTCAAAGCAAGTCCATACCAATATGCTTGCTATCTTAACTGTAGCATCTATAACTTTAGCTCTCATTTTTAGAGTAGCCAAGGTAAACATAGAAATCCAATTGCTGCTGAGTCTCCCTCTCCCTCTCCCTCTCCCCCTCCCCCTCCCCCTCCCTCTCCCTCCACGGTCTCCCTCTGATGCCGAGCCAAAGCTGGACGGTACTGCTGCCATCTCGGCTCACTGCAACCTCCCTGCCTGATTCTCCTGCCTCAGCCTGCCGAGTGCCTGCGATTGCAGGCGCGCGCCGCCACGCCTGACTGGTTTTCGTTTTTTTTTGGTGGAGACGGGGTTTCGCTGTGTTGGCCGGGCTGGTCTCCAGCTCCTAACCGCGAGTGATCCGCCAGCCTCGGCCTCCCGAGGTGCTGGGATTGCAGATGGAGTCTCGTTCACTCAGTGCTCAATGGTGCCCAGGCTGGAGTGCAGTGGCGTGATCTCGGCTCGCTACAACCACCTCCCAGCCGCCTGCCTTGGCCTCCCAAAGAGCCCAGATTGCAGCCTCTGCCCGGCCGCCACCCCGTCTGGGAAGTGAGGAGCGTCTCTGCCTGGCCGCCCATCGTCTGGGATATGAGGAGCCCCTCTGCCTGGCTGCCCAGTCTGGAAAGTGAGGAGCGCCTCTTCCCCGCCGCCATCCCATCTAGGAAGTGAGGAGCATCTCTGCGCGGCCGCCCATCGTCTGAGATGTGGGGAGCACCTCTGCCCCACCGCCCTGTCTGGGATGTGAGGAGCGCCTCTGCCCGGCCGCGACCCTGTCTGGGAGATGAGGAGCGTCTCTGCCCGGCCGCTCCGTCTGAGAAGTGAGGAAACCCTCTGCCTGGCAACCGCCCCGTCTGAGAAGTGAGGAGCCCCTCCGTCCGGCAACCACCCCGTCTGGGAAGTGAGGAGCGTCTCCGCCCGGCAGCCACCCCGTCCGGGAGGGAGGTGGGGGGGGTCAGCCCCCCGCCCGGCCAGCCGCCCCGTCCGGGAGGTGAGGGGCTCCTCTGCCCGGCCGCCCCTACTGGGAAGTGAGGAGCCCCTCTGCCCGGCCAGCCGCCCCGTCCGGGAGGGAGGCGGGGGGGGGGGGGGTCGGCCAGCCGCCCCGTCCGGGAGGGAGGTGGGGGGGTCAGCCCCCCGCCCGGCCGGCCGCCCCGTCCGGGAGGTGAGGGGCGCCTCTGCCCGGCCGCCCCTACTGGGAAGTGAGGACCCCTCTGCCCGGCCAGCCGCCCCGTCCGGGAGGGAGGTGGGGGGGTCAGCCCCCCGCCCGGCCAGCCGCCCAGTCCGGGAGGGAGGTGGGGGGTCAGCCCCCCGCCCGGCCAGCCGCCCCGTCCGGGAGGGGGGAGGGGGGATCAGCCCCCCGCCTGGCCAGCCGCCCCATCCGGGAGGGAGGTGGGGGGGTCAGCCCCCCGCCCGGCCAGCCGCCCCGTCCGGGAGGGGGGAGGGGGGGTCAGCCCCCCGTCCGGCCAGCCGCCCCGTCCGGGAGGGAGGTGGGGGGGGTCAGCCCCCCGCCCGGCCAGCCGCCCCGTCCGGGAGGGAGGTGGGGGGATCAGCCCCCCGCCCGGCCAGCCGCCCCGTCCGGGAGGTGAGGGGCGCCTCTGCCCGGCCGCCCCTACTGGAAAGTGAGGAGCCCCTCTGCCCGGCCAGCCGCCCGGTCCGGGAGGGAGGCGGGGGGGGGTCGGCCAGCCGCCCCGTCCGGGAGGGAGGTGGGGGGGGGGGTCAGCCCCCCTTCCGGCCGGCCGCCCCGTCCGGGAGGTGAGGGGCGCCTCTGCCCGGCCGCCCCTACTAGGAAGTGAGGACCCCTCTGCCCGGCCAGCCGCCCCGTCCGGGAGGGAGGTGGGGGGGACAGCCCCCCGCCCGGCCAGCCGCCCTATCCAGGAGGTGAGGGGCGCCTCTGCCCGGCCGCCCCTACTGGGAAGTGAGGAGCCGCTCTGCCTGGCCAGCCGCCCCGTCCGGGAGGGTGGTGGGGGGTCAGCCCCCGCCCGGCCAGCCGCCCCATCCGGGAGGTGAGGGGCGCTTCTGCCCGGCCGCCCCTACTGGGAAGTGAGGAGCCCCTCTGCCTGGCCACGACCCCGTCTGGGAGGTGTGCCCAGCGGCTCATTGGGGATGGGCCATGATGACAATGGCAGTTTTGTGGAATAGAAAGGCGGGAAGGGTGGGGAAAAAATTGAGAAATCGGATGGTTGCCGGGTCTGTGTGGATAGAAGTAGACATGGGAGACTTTTCATTTTGTTCTGTACTAAGAAAAATTCTTCTGCCTTGGGATCCTGTTGATCTGTGACCTTATCCCCAACCCTGTGCTCTCTGAAACATGTGCTGCGTCCACTCAGGGTTAAATGGATTAAGGGCGGTGCAAGATGTGCTTTGTTAAACAGATGCTTGAAGGCAGCATGCTCGTTAAGAGTCATCACCACTCCCTAATCTTAAGTACCCAGGGACACAAACACTGCGGGAGGCCGCAGGGTCCTCTGCCTAGGAAAACCAGAGACCTTTGTTCACTTGTTTATCTGCTGACCTTCCCTCCACTATTGTCCTATGACCCTGCCAAATCCCCCTCTGCGAGAAACACCCAAGAATGATCAATAAAAAAAAAAAATAAAATAAAATAAAATAAAATAAAAATAAATCCAATTGCTGGATATGAGATTCAGCTTCAAAGATGCTTATTTCAGCATTGTATACAATATTGAAAAGTAAAGTAGAAAAAACACCTGTGTCCAATAAGAGGCTGATTAAATGTTCTTTTTTCCATGTAATGGGATACTATGCAGTCATTTAAAATGATGGCATGGAAGTATTAATTAATGTTGGAAAATATCCACAATAAAGGTACTGTTAAGTAAAAAAAAAAAAAGGTTGCAAAGCAGTATGCTCTGTATACTCTCATTTTTGTAAAATGTGTATGCACGTATAAGAAAATACCTAGAAGTCTCTATATCAAAATTTTAATAGTGATCATGTGAGTGATGGGATTATGTATAATCTTTCTTTTGATTATCTGTACTTTCAAAGTTCACCATAATGACCATAAATGGGTTTTTTTTAATACCCGGTGAGTGGCAGGCAGTCATTGCTCCAGAATCGACTAGTGACTTCACTTCAAGAGAGTCCCTGTATAACTCTAAATACTTCAGTTAGAAAACACAGTATGCATGGTAATTAGGAATTACATCTATATAATTCTCTTCAGTTTCCAAACATCGTAAGACAAGCTATGTTATTTAATCCTCATAACAACCAAGAGGGGATAGCTATTTCTCTTTCTATTTCATAAGTGGAGGCTCTAAAGCTCAGAGGGACTGCAGCCCATCCCTGTATGTGTTATGTGTGTAAACATTTGTCCTACTGGGGTCTCAGCTTCTATATCTGCACAAGAAGGGGGCTTGAACAATGACCCCCCACTTCTGCTTCCACAAAACACTAATGGATATAATTAAGCTTTAACTTATATTTTGTTTCATTTAGGAACGGGCAGAAGAGATTGATTCAAAGACTCTAAAATACCCACAAAGTGGACGTGTGCCTGGGCTGCTGTGCATTCATGCCTACCCACACATGCGTGTTCGCTTGCTCGTTTGCTCCCTTGCTCTGTCTCTCAAAATTCTATGGCTCTAGGTTTCTATTAGGAAAACCACTTGTTTATTAACGTGTTTTGCCTTGTACTTAATTTTATTACCCACAACTGAAAATACTGAAGAACCATCACAAAATACAATTCTATCCTCTAACCTCAATTCTAATACTTCCAGAAGTCAACCTAGGGGCCGCTGGCCTGAAGGCATACCAAGAACAGTGACCCATAAAAAAGTATTCTCTCTTAAAAACAAATGCAAAGTCTGTGTTTGGGTCAGAATGTGGTTCTTGGCCCCACCTGCATTAAAATCACGTGAAGCACTTATTAAAAACACAGTCCCTTAGGCTGCACCTGAGAACTACTAAGGAAGGCTCTGTAGAACTTGGGACCGAGGAAGCAGCACTTCAACAAACTCCCTAGTAATTCCTTATTTGAGAATCACCAACAGAAATGGATAACCATGGTGGGAAATGGAAATGTCTCTAGAAATCTACCTATCTAAAAGACTTCTATGTCACTTCTACCAACTGCTTTTGTGAGGTACAGGATCGACTACAATTTTAGGAAAAGAAGTGCTTACTTTTGTCCAAACAACCCAGGTAAGAAGTAACATCTAAAGAGTTCACTCCACAAGCCGCAATGCAGTCCCACACTCTTAGCCAACGACACAGCTTTTTGCCCTTCTTTCCATAGCAGCTAAGTGTCCAGCCAGCACTGATAGAATTTAATCCAATTATCGGAGATCCCCATAAAGAGCCTGGGTGGTTAACGTGAATCTTACCTAGGAGGCAGCAACAACCATAGTCTAAAGGAATCAAAATGTATTTTACCTAAATTATTTACCAAGCAAACAGCCAGCTGAGATGCAGTATCTAACATGCTGGGACTTTACAAGTGAACAGCCGTAATGCATTGCACAAGTGCTAATGCCACTAACTACAAAGAAATGAAATGGAGGCTGTTTCTGCCAGCAGAAGATTCCCCTCCTACCGCCCTGCCCAAGAACCTCACCTGCATCAGCTATTTCTCCCATACCACTGTCTGCATGTTTCAAATTGAACTGGAAAGAGGAAAAAATCATGGAGCCAGGATCAACTGCCTAGTCAAAGCCACTTAAGTCATGTCCTATATTGTAATACCAAATACATGCATCTGCAAATGGGATTGAACCATCTTATCTTTAGAACACTGCTGCTTCCTCTTGCCCTGCTATTGTAATTGGTGAGGCCATTTATTCCTGTGAAAA
Organism: Homo sapiens; assembly: GCF_000001405.40. Lineage (NCBI taxonomy): Eukaryota > Metazoa > Chordata > Mammalia > Primates > Hominidae > Homo > Homo sapiens. The sequence continues at coordinate 60,370,545 of NC_000015.10, forward strand.
ATTGTTCAGTACAGGTTGAGGTTGCAAGGGTCATCCGGTTACTCACCATTTCTACCCAGGATGCAACTGAAGGACTCGGACGGAACCTCGAATACCTATGTCAGCACAATCATCATCAACAATGCACAACCAGTGCCAGGACACCAGAAAAGCTCTAAATTGAATATAGTGCCAGAGGCCCAGGAGATGGGGCTCTGCCTCCCTTGATTTATACTCTCTGACCTCTCGTGTTCCAGTGCTTAAGGAAGTGTTTGCTGGGCGGAAGGGCACAGGGTCTAAAGAAACTGTGTGGGTGGGGCGAGGGCATAAAGAAGAAACAGAAAACCTGAATATCACTTTCTTTTCCATCCTCTTCCTCGTGTGTCTGATATGAGTGATCACAAAGTCATCTAAGCAAAGGCTCTCCCCAAAGAAGAGTGATGTGGATAGGGTGACCCCACAGAATATGGGTGAGAACATGAATTCTGTGATCCAGGCAGATTTTTTACAATTTTTTTTCAAAACTAACAGAAGTTACAGTTTTCCAACATTGGTGAGGAACCAAGACACAAATGTATTTGGCTCCTGATAAGAAACAGCACAAGGAAATCTTTAAGCATTTACTCGTTGAACGAAAATAGCCAACTAATCTAATTAGCTAACTACAACAATATTTTCAACACCTGGATCGTGGGCACCCCCAGAGGTCAGTCACTGTTCCAAATGCCAGTCAGTCCGAAGCAATAGCTTTGCCAAGGGAATGCCACGGGGAGGTGTTGCTGACAGCAAGGTGCCAGTAGAAACCTGGGGGTCATGGGTCCCATAAATCATTCACCATATTTTTCAAGCACAGAGAATATTTGCAGTTTAAAATGATGGCTGGATCCAAAACCACAAAATCAGCCTCCTGGAGTTTCCTCCTCCTCTCTGCGGGTGGAAACCCCAAGTCAGCTCAAGCGCCTGGCATTCCATGGAAAATGTGTGTCTTTATTGTCCATGGCAAGGCACCAACAGCCGTTCTGAACAGGATGCTGACTCACATCTGCCGAGACACACTGACTGCACAAAGAAAATGGATTTCATTTGTGTTTGATGAAGGTCTCGGGAGAGTGGGGGTTGACTTGGAAAACAAAGGAAAACTGTCCAGATCCTCTCCTTACCTAGATTATGGGGAAGACCACGACTTGACTTGACTAAGATTACTGAGCATACCAGTATCAAAGCTGAGAAGAAATCATCTTTACTAAAAGAAGGTCAGAGGCATGCCACAAAGAGAGGACAATGCCACAGAGTTATGGGTGTGTACACGTGGACGTAGTTCATTTATTATAATAATAGTAACCTTTTGCCGGGCGCGGTGGCTCACGCCTATAATCCCAGCACTTTGGGAGGCCAAGGTGGGCGGACCACGAGGTCAGGAGTTTGAGATCAGCCTCACTAACACGGAGAAACCCCATCTCTACTAAAAATACAAAATTAGCCAGGCTTGGTGGCACATGCGTGTAATCCCAGCTACTCGGGAGGCTGAGGCTGGAGAATCACTTGAACCTGGGAGACAGAGGTTGAGGTGAGCCAAGATTGAGCCATTGCACTCCAGCCTGGGCAACAAGAGCGAAACTCTATCTCAAAATAATAATAATAATAATAGTAACCTTTTACTGAGTACCTACTATGTTACAGGCATTTTTATCAGATGCCCATATTCTATCACGTACTTCTCACCACACCCATCTGAGGTGGGTGCCATTGTCATCCCGGTTGTACTAATGAGGAAACCAATGCTCATAGAAGGCAGAGACTCACTCAAGGTCACACAAGCAAGACACTTGCAGGGCTGAGATTCAAACCGGGACTAAAGACCCTGGCTCACTGCACTAGGCAACTCTGCCTCCTGTGATAGAAAATTATGCAAAACTTGAAAATAAAGCAAGAGGAAGACAGCATATCCTCCAGGTATGTGCTGGAGCACTATCTCACAGGCCCAAAGACTCCTGCTCAAGGGGCCTGCTCTTACCTGACGTGCTACTTACTACTGATTTGGGCATACACTCTGTGGGGTTACATGTTAACTTGTAGATTTTGGTCCAGTAGAAAAGATAACCCCAAAGGTTGTGGCTTCACTACCCTATAGGACATTAATGGTCTTGTATTCAGCTCAACAATCTTTCCTTTTTTTTTTTTTTTTTTTTAAACAGGGTCTCACTCTGTTGACCAGGCTGGAGTACAGTGGTACAACCATGGCTCACTGTAGCCTCGACCTCCTGGGCCCAAATGATCCTCCTGCCTCAACCTCCTGAGTAGCTGGAAGCACAGGCACTCACCACCAACACCCAGCTAATTATTAAAAATATTTTTAGGGATGAGGTCTCCCTTTGTTGCCCAGGCCCTCCCAAAGTGCTGGGATTACAGACAAGAGCCACCACACCCAGCCTGGCCCAACAATCTCATTCCAACATTCTTTTCTCAACACTTACCAACATCCAGTATCTCAAATTCCCTCTGAACCAGCCTTACCTCAGTGCATTAAAAGTTTAGTATATGTTTATCCTATGAGTCAAGTTTGTACCTTTTTAAAATTATACTTTGATACTTTTTCATACCACACTCCACCATCTAGCTCCTACAAAGGATATGGTACAATAATGTGTCAACACGTGTAGAGAACTGGGCTGAAATTTTTACATACAAATGCACTTACATTTGGTAATCTGTAGATAATGATTTGCCACCTGGTAATAATGCATGGCCACTAAAGGGATAACCCAGTTGAGGTTTTCTTCAGCAGAAAGAGCTAGAAGACTCTCTTCTGAGGAGAGACATGAATAACTCAGCAAAGGGAGGAAGTCCTTCCAAACAAGCCTGTTAGGCCAGCCAGTCATCCATCTAGTGAGAGAGATTTTTAGGGAGAGAAAAGCTCCCCTCTAGCCATAGGACTACCCAAAAGCACCTTCAGCCAGGGTGCTGGCTGGCCCGGAACCCCTGCTGTAAAAGTTGCCCCTCTGGGTCATCCAGCACAAGCGAGCACTGTGTCTCCAGAGCGTCTCTCATCAAGACAGGACACCCAGCAGGCTGACAGATGCCAGGGGAGGCCTCTGGATAAGTAGCAGCCACAATATAGTGCTTTGGAAACTCCATGGGACTCAGACCTGTGAGATCCTGGGGCACATTAGTTCTCTTCCTAGGCCTAGGTATCTCACCCCTATAGAACAGAGATAATGATAATACTTATTTTACCAGGATGCAGAAAAGACTGGCTGAGTTAACGACTAGAAACACATCTACTGCCTTCATTCAGCTTCTCTGTCACAAGCCTGGCCCCTGCCTGCATTTGAATTTCTGCCTGTGAAATATGGGGCAAAGAAAGATAGAGAACATTTTTGCCATTGGCACACATGGATGAGTAGTCCAGTTACATGACAAACTCTGGCAGCTGCCAAGAGATGGGAGAGAAAGTAGGCATTGCACAGGGTGAAATGAGGCAGGGGAGTTGGGTGCCTCTCCCAAGCCTGGCACAGCTGGGGCACACAGTCTCAACTCGGGGAAAGTGTAGTTTAGCTAAGTGCCTAAGAAGTGGTTTTGGTCCAAAAATCAGATTTCTTCTATTTCCATTCTGCTTTGATCTCACTTCAGCTGAGTTCCTTAGAAAGGATTTAAGGTATCATCGACTTGGTAATCTCACCGGCTGCTTTAATAATCTAGAACCTTGTCTGCCTTCCATGCAGAATTATATTTCTGAAACAAGCTACAAGACCAGCAGGAAAACACAAAGTACACCACTGCTCAAGATTCAAATCAAATCGTCAGTGAAGGAACATGCATAAAATGCAAGCCCTGTATTGTGCTCTGCTACTCCGTCAGCCTCATGGGACAGAAAATTAAAAAATGTGAACAGATGCGAGAGAAACCAACGCAGCCACCCTTAACTCACTTGATATTGGAGAATTTTCTTGGCATTGCTGACACCAGATTAGAATCTGGTTACTGCCATTGTCCCTGGGTGAAACTGGTATTTGGATTTCCTCAGGGAAAAGAGCTAACTGTTTTTTAAAAAAAGAAAGAGCTGAAGAGAGGCAGGTGATGAAAGCTGATGCTTACAATTAGAAAGGCACCAAGGACTCCTTTTCCAGTGTTTGATAGCTACGTGGCTCAGGTCTGGCACCTACATAGATACATAGACAAATATCACTACAAAGAAAATCTGTGCTGGCAGAGTCACAGGGTGGCTGTGACTCAGCACTGGCCTCTTTGTTCCCAGCACTGCTGTAAGATGAGAAGTCAGTCTAAAGTAAACTTGAACACAGAGAGAAAGGCCTCAGCAACTGGGAAGGGTCCGTTCCCTCCCGTTCCCTTCCAGGAGGGTGAGAAGGCCCTGGGCTACGTGAGTCACAGAAGAGCTCACACTCAGACCTGCTCTTGTTGGTTTAGCTCCTCACTTGCAGCCCTCCGTTAGAGGAGAGAGGCTACTTTTCCCAGCCAGTCTGCCTCTTGGCGCCCTCAAGAGAATATATTTCTAATTGTTCTGCTCAGCCAAATGAATATACCTGGCGTGCAGGTGAAACCAAAAATATCCATCCTGGCTTGTTCTGCAGTGGCATGGGATGTTAGTCTTTTGGCCACAGAAATCTTAAGCAGTTCTATTTTAAAAGTATAAGAAAAAAATAAGTGCAAAACTTCGTGCAGTTATGCTTCTATACTTGCGCTTCTGAGAAAGGGGGGAGAAAAATCACCCACTTTTGCATCCCTTCCGGAGAACACAAATACTGCTAAAATCAAAACTGGCAATAATAATAGGGTAATTCATTACCCTCCCCTTCCAGAGAGAGACCAAAGCTGTACCAGTTTATTGGCACTTACACTAACTCTGGGGTTGTGCTGCTGCTAATTACAGTCTATTTTCTGGAGTCTCGATTCATCCTTTTCTAATTTAGCTGACTCTCCTTTCTAGTTATTTGGACCCATATGGTAAACCATTCACAGCTGTGTTGTACACGCCATCGTATATATTTAACCCAAGGCCAATCTAAACCAAGAGACTCCTACAGATTAAGTCTCAGCAACCTCTTGTTAATTAAGCAGTATTACTACTTTTGCATGACTGTACTCAGTTTCTAACCAGACATAAATTAAGGTAAGTCGTTGCATAGTCTACCTCAGGACGGAGCATACATAAAACAATCCTGCATTTGGTTTAGGCAGCACAGGCAAAAAATACTGAGATCCCTTCAAACTAGAAACAAAGCAGACTTATTTTGATTTTAGCAGTATTGTGCTTCTCCCCCCTTCTCATAAGCACAATAAACGAGTATGTAGAGTATGATGAGAACACAGACCAAGAAATAGCTGGTTCTGCCTTCTCAGAGAAAGCTTGTTGATGCTGTGCACTGGCCCAGGCTGAGAGGTAAATGGGAACTGCGCAGATGTTTGAGGTGGGGAGGAAGGAGGCTACACGCTCCTCAAAGAACAAAGGCAGAGGCATGCTCTGTAGAGGGCCGTGAACAGAGCCAGAGACGAGGCTAGAAAGATACTCTGTAAAGGCTGAAGCAGGGAGGTCCCTTAGAAGACAGATGCCATAGGCCAGGCGCAGTGGCTCACACCCGTAATCCCAGCACTTTGGGAGGCTGAGGCAGGCGGATCACCTGAGGTCAGGAGCTCAAGACCAGCCTGACCAACATGGAGAAACACCATCTCTACTAAAAATGCAAAAAAAAATTAGCCGGGCATGGTGGCACATGCCTGTAATCCCAGCTACTCGGGAGGCTGAGGTAGGAGAATCGCTTGAACCCGGGAGGCGAGGTTGCAGTGAGCCGACATTGTGCATTGCACTCCAGCCTGGGCAACAAGAGCAAAACTCTGTCTCAAAAAAAAAAAAAGAAGACGACGACGACAGATGCCATAACAGCTCACAGGAGAGGGGTGACAAGAGTTAGGGGAAGGGGTGAATAAGAGCTGCCTCCCAAGCACTGGAAAGTGAGCCAGGACAGGTATTTTTGGTTTTGTCTGCACACCTGGAGGTATATTCATTCAGTTGAGCACAGCAATTAGGAATATATTCTCTCGAGGGTGCCAGGAGGCAGACTGGCTGGGAAAAGTAGCCTCTCTCCTCTAACAGAGGGCTGCAAGTGAGGAGCTTTAGCTCACACCAAGAAGAGCAGGTGTGACTGACAGTTCGTCTGTGAGAACAGCCTTCGTGACTCCTGCAGCCATGCCCTGGCCATGGCAAGCAGTGCCCCCAAACAGGTCTCTGACCAGCTCTACCCTCCTCGCCATCATCCCACTCCAGGCCTGCTCCTGTGCACCATCCGTGTACTCGACAGCAGCTGATTAAGCCTCCTCCAAGGTGGCCTGCTCCCAGCTCTTCTTCCTGAGAGCACACAGACCACAGGGAAATCAATGGAACATTACATGGAGTGGGTAGCGTCCCGGCACACTCACACACACGTGTGTACACACGGCTACCCCCGTCTAGGAGAGAAAGAGGGCCAGTCATCGTCACATGGTCCTCTGGCTTTTGTTTCTATCAATACTTGAGGTTTATACCGTGTCCTTTGATGTCAAGGAAACACCAACTACTTAGTATTGTCTCTTCCCGATGAAGGGTTAGAGGTGGGAGTGGGGCCAAGGTGTGGTGTAAGCTTCTTAATTACACTTAAGGCAAAAGGCATTCTAAAAAAAGAAGGTAAGATCTTAATTAGCTCATTTTTAAGTGGTTTTAGTTATCCAGTATCTAATAATATCAAGGAGAAGGAGGAAGGAACAAAAGGGTTGTTATCCTTTCCAACTAATGACTTCATTTTTGTTTTTAATTAAGTTTACTGCCTTCCACTATGAAAGTAATACAAGTCATCATAGAAAATTTGCAAAATACAGAAATACAGAATATACTGAAAGCCCAAGAAAGGAAAAGGAGCAATTGCCCACAATTCCATATACAGGCATACCTCGGAGATACTACTGGTTCGGTTCCAGACCATCACAATAAAGCAAATATAGCAATAATGCAAGTCACACAATTTGGTTTCCCAATGCATATAAAAGTGTGATTATATTATATTAAGTGTGTAATAGCATTATGTCTAAAAAACACATAACTAAATTTAAAAAATACTTTTATTTCTAAAAAATGCTGGCACAGAGACAAAGTGAATAGCATTGCCACAAATCTTCAATTTGTAAAAACCATAATATCTACACAGTGCAGTAAAGGAAGGACCATGAAGTGACGTACGTCTGTTTCCATTGCTAATGCCTTTTATTTTTTCTTTTTTGATTAAAAGAAATCATAGGCCAGGCCTATGATTTCACACCTGTAATCCCAGCACTTTCGGAGGCCAAGACAGGTGGATCACATGAGGTCAGGAGTGCGAGACGAGCCTGGCCAACATGGTTAAACCCTGTCTCTACTAAAAATACAAAAATTAGCCAGGTGTGGTGGTGCATGCCTGTGGTCCCAGCTACTCAAGAGGCTGAAACAGGAGAATTGCTTGAACCCAGGAGGGTTCTGCCAGGAGGCAGAGGTTGCAGTGAGTCAAGATCATGCCACTGCACCCCAGCCTGGGCAACAGAGTGAGACTCCGCCTCAAAAAGAAAAAAAAAATGGTTGTGGTTGTGATCACATAGCATATACCATCCCATTTCTATTTCTTGATGCAACTGACACATTTAAGGTGAATGGATGTTAAAATGAGTGTTAGGGAAGTTACTGTGGTGATGACTGCACAACTCTGCAAATACACTACTAAACACACTGAAATGTACACTTTATATAGGCAAATCGTATGGCAGATTAACTGTATCTCAATAAAGATGTTGAAAATTATTGACAAACTTTATTTTTCCTATCTACATTCTGCAGACATTCTATGTAATACAGAGAGTTACACATTATCTATGTAATATAGTTTTACTTATTTACTTAATGATTATAAGGAAGTATACCTCAAGACATACTTCCCAACTAAAAGATTTATCTGGTCTTTCACTACCATAACCAATGCTAATATTAGCACTGAGCTCTTACGAATATCATATTCTTTCTTCGCAATAGTTCCTAAAAGGATTTAGGGTTTTAATAATGCCAACAATCTAGAAATTATTTTAAAGGACCAATGGACTTGCAAAACCTACTTACTCTCTAAAATCACTAAGCATCAAAAATAAGTAGGCTGGGTGCGGTGTCTCATACCTGTAATCCCAGCACTTTGGGAGGCTGAGGTCAGCGGATCACTTGAGGCCAGGAGTTCGAGAGCAGCCTGGCCAAGATGGCAAAACCCCGTCTCTACTAAAAATACAAAAATTAGCCAGGCATGGTGGCACACGCCTATAGTCCCAACTACTTGGGAGGCTGAGGCATGAGAATAGCTTGAACCCAGGAAGCAGAGGTTGCAGTGAGCCGAGATTGTGCCACTGCACTCCAGCCTGGTGACACAGCAAGACTCTGTCTTACAATATATATATAAATAAGTAAATAAATAAATAGGCCAGGCGCGGTGGCTCACGGCTATAATCCCAGCACTTTGGGAGGCCAAAGCGGGTGGATCACGAGGTCAGGAGTTCAAGACCAGCCTGCCCAAGATGGTGAAACCCCGTCTCTACTAAAAATACAAAAATTAACCAGGTGTGGTGGCGCACACCTGTAATCCCAGCTACTCGGGAGGCTGAGGCAGAGAACTGCTTGAACCCAGGAGGCAGAGGTTGCAGTGAGCCAAGATCACACCACTGCACTCCAGCCTGGGTGACACAGCGAAACTCCATCTCAAAAAAATAAATGAATAAAAATAAAATAAATAAAAAGTGGACCTAAGTGAAACTCACTGAACATTAAGTCTGGGGGAAAAAAAAGGAGATGGAGAATCTAAAGCTAGACCACAAATATGAGACTTAACAGAAGTCAGTAAGACCACAGATGAACAATGTTTTTCATATCTGAAAATAATTCAAGGCAATGAAAAAAATCCAAGGCAATGAAAAAAATCCATTCCTCACAGGTGAGTGCTACAACATTATGGTGCCTAAGAACACAGGCCTAGGGGTGGACAGAGGTGTGTTCAAATCCCAGTTTGATCCAAGGCCAAAAGACCTCAGGCATACTAATCCTGACTTGTATCATCCAAGACCTGGGGATGACAGAACACTACATCAGAGGTTACTTTGAAGTTCATCTAAGATGAATGTTCCTGAAGTGCCTGGTGCAGTATCTGCCCACAACGAGCATTTTATAAATAGTTGCAATGATGATAATGTCAGCTGCTTTTGATCAAACTGGAATGTCGGAATCTAAATCTTAGCCCTCCAGACGTTTCTGTCTAAAAACTACAGTATTTTTCTACTAACTCCAAAAGGCCTGAAGGTATTTTTATTACCATGAGAGTTTCAGCTGTGACCAGAGTTCATTTGCGCAATCTTTACATTCCAGTGCACTAAGTGCTTTCTCACGCAGGGACAAAAGAAGTCTTTGTCCCATGCTTGTGAAAAGCACCATCTTTGCTAGATGAGTTAACTGCTAAACTTAGGGCTGCTGCAATGACATGCTGGGAAACCACATGAATCTAGGCACATCCAAATAGTGAAATAGGATGGGTTTTAGGAAAGCAAACCACATGGATGTGTATGTGCATGTGTGTGTGCATGTGCTTGTACGTGTGTGTGTTTTAAGGTAACATATTTTGAGTACCATCTATATGCCAGGCATCGTGCTAAATGCTTCATACTTTACAACAATCCCGTGAGGTGGGAACTTTGATTAGCACCCCTTTATAGGCAAGGAAACTCAGTCTTAGCAAAGTTCCGTGTTTTCCCCAAGTCGGGTGGCTAATGAGTGAGTTGTGGAGCCAGCATTTGAACCTGGGCTCACATACGCTCTCATCCACTATGCTCCACTGACTGGAACTGGCTGTAGTGAAATAAGCCCTGCAGATTTTAGTTTAATTTTCTGAGTAGTAACTTTTGGCAAGAATGGTCATTTAAATGCACCAAAAAAAAAAAAAAAAGAAAAAAGATTGGGCTGGGTGCGACGGCTCATACCTGTACTCCCAGCACTTTGGGAGGCCAAGGCGGGCGGATCACCAGAGGTGAGGGAGTTCGAGACCAGGCTGACCAACATGGAGAAACCCTGTCTCTACTAAAAACAGAAAATTAGCTGGGCATGGTGGTGTGTGCCTGTAATCCCAGCTATTAGGGAGGCTGAGGCAGAAGAATCACTTGAGCCCGGGAGGTGGAGGTTGCAGTGAGCTGAGATGATGCCCTTGCACTCCAGCCTGGGCAACAAGAGTGAAACTCCATCTCAAAAAAAAAAAAAAAAAAAAAGATTTTTTTTTTAAAGGTCTAATTTGGATGCTTCATTATTCTGCCCTCAGCTGTGCAGACAGTCATCTGGGGGGTGGTCCACAGCAACTGCAGAACATAAGGCTTCCCCAAGGCAGATGATGCAAATAAATCCTCACATCTTGTTAGAACCATAGAACGTTAAGCGGGTTTTTCTACTCTACTTCCTGTCTCTGGAAACAAGGTCACCAGATTCTACATGGTTTTAGGAAAGGTGACCATGTAATGTATCCTCCAAAATAAGACAGTTCTGAGAGTGAAAGGTGCACTATTAGTAAATACGCAGGCATAAACCAGGACGTCATCCTAGTTATAGGTTCCCAGGTCAGCCTGGTTGAGGTTTCTCAGTCTTTCAACGAACCGTATGTGAACTATATAAGTGTGTCAGTAAGTTAAAACGCTGTACATAGAAGAGAAAAATGTGACATGGCTCTTCACCAGGGGCACGAACCAGCAGCAGCTCTAATTGTGCTGGGTCACGTCTGCATCCCAATCTGGCCTCATGGTGAAAGGAAGTGCTTTATCCAAGGGGGGAAAAGTGGAGAATCACAAAAGTCACCACGAGAGCTGCAATATTTTTCAGGGATTCAGGGGATGGGACAACCCCAAGGATTGCTTAATTAATATAAGCCCAGAAAGTCTGAACATCCTATTTTGTAGACCCAGAAAACAATATAATGACCATAAGAAGCTCTTGCTCAACCCTAACCAGTTAGCACTTTATTTGCTTTATTTCAAGAGGAAGGCTTTTACGCCTCCTGGTCTTCTCTTACTCATCCTAGAACTTGAGGAAATACACTCATTCTGACAGCTCTTCTAATTCCAGCTCCAGGCCTAAGGAGCAGCAGAACTTACCGGGGTTTAAAAAAAACAAAAAAAGTCTGAATTTTTCACTCTCTAGATCAATCTAAGAGCAATGCAGTAAGATTTTCCCAGCAAATGTAATTAAATTAAAGGGGACTTGGAACAAAAAATGCCCTTAGGGACCACTATGACCAACTTCTTCCTTGCAGAAGAGGGACTGAAGCCTCAAAGTGAAGAGCTGCACCCAAAAGCATACCCCTAGGACCAGATCCGGCTCCCAGACTGATTCCTTTTAACCATTACTTGGTTAAAATACTATCTCATGCTGTACATCTCTCCAAAGAGAAGAAACGGGGGGTGGGGGAGGAAAGAATGGAAGGGAGGGAGGAAAGGAAAGAAGGGAGGGGAGGGAGGGAGGGAGGGAGGAAGGAAGGAAGAGCAGGAAGAAGGGAGAAAGAGAAAGAGGGAGAGAAGGAAGAAAGGGAGAAGGGAGGGAAGGAGAAAAGGAAAAAGAAAGAAAGGAAGGAGGGAAGGAAGGAAAGGAGGCATGGGTTGAGCTAGGTCTGGATCTACTCCATTAAAGCTCGATGACAATTTCAAATCGCCAACGTATGGCGATTTGAGGGAGAATAAAGAGACAACCAAAAATGTCTCAGTAAGACCCTGACAAGAAGAGGACAAATGTATCACCTACCTTTGGTCTTGATGGCTGTTTCAATGTTCAAAGCATCCCGCTCAGCATCAAAGTTAGTATAGGCTTTGACAGACCCATATGCACTTGGGGGTGTAGAGTGCTGAGGTTAAAAGATAAACATACTCAAATGACACACATTTAAAATCCTCTTGTTGAAATAACAATGCCTAATATGTTTTCCTATTGTTTCTTTTAACAATTCAGATCATTCTCATACTAGGTAACTAGGTAGGTATTAACACACCATCACACTTCACGCAAGCAATTTCATTTTTTCTAATAAGAATTCTTCAAAGGCTCAGCTAGTTTAGAATATGCTGTCTCAATTTCAACTTCTCATCTTACTTTTAGTGAGAGATCAAAAGTAGACAATGCAAAGCTGGAGACCTGAAGCCAGCATTTACTCAGGATGGCTCTGAAGACCATTAAACTGGGCTGGCAACAATTCGAAATAAGCTGAAAATGTGGAAATGCCTCAAGGACAAGGGTGTTTAGCTAAGTTTCTGCTACAGGTACATGAATTTCTACTGGGCCAGTGTTGCTGAGCTTACAATTCAGATAAATGAGGGAAGCAGCTTCTCCCACCTCTTTACTTTGGTCACCACTGTGGCACCAAGGTGGTCTGGCCAGACGGCCCACATCCTCCTTGTGTTTCCCCCCCTCTCCTCTGTATCCTTCCCTCTGCCTTTATTAATACCATCCCTTGTGCCTACCACCCTCCACTCTTCCTAAGATTTCTTATTGCCTTCTAAACCATACCCTCTTCCTTTCCCAATGCTTTTCTTTTCTTTTCTTTCTTTTCTTAGGTAGGGTCTCACTCTGTTGCCCATGCTGGAATGCAATGGTGTGATCATGGCTCAGTGCAGCCTCAACCTCCTGGGCTCAGATGATCCTCCCACATCAGCCTCCTGAGTATCTGGGATTACAGGCACCTGCCACCACACCGGGCTAATTTTTTCATATTTTTTGTAGAGACAGGATTTCGCCGTGTTGCCCAGGCTGCTCTTGAACTCCTGGGCTCTAGTGATCCTCCCATCTTGGCCTCCCAAAGTGCTGGGATTACAGGCGTGGTGGCTCACGCCCAGCCTTTCAGTGCTTTTCAAAGCTCATTATCCTTCCTGATCTGACAGATGGGAATCTCCCATTCCAGATTGAGGTAAGGACAATGGAGTGCTTCTACGTCAGTTCTCCTTTCAAGGTATTAACTTCCCTCCTTCTTTGAAATGCTCTTATAGTTTTCCCTCTCCCTGCTACCCAGTCCCAAAGCTAAGGGCAGACAAAGAGGATGTACATTGTGGTTGTGGTTGGCTGATGGCTGGTGGAGGCAGCATCACTGCCCATCCTCATCATCAAGGCTCCCATCCTGCAACCCACCCCAACCCCCCCAGCACATAATGCCCGTATAATGTGATGACTTGGCCTTGGCGCAGTTTCTGTGAAGAGTGAAAAGGCCAAGATCCGTGAGTTACTTCTCCACCCACAGGCATCACATTATAAACCACCCAGCACCCACGCCATTCCATTTTATTAGCACTGAGACTGTATAGGTGAGCATCTAAGATGCCTTCCTATATCTAGATGACTCCCAGGAGAGGCCAGAAATCTAAGTTCAGCATTTGACAAATGTTTCCAAACGCACTTGTGAGGACTATCTTGGCCAAATATTAAATCCAGTTCATATTTATAACCTGACATGCAATGCATTATCAAAGTATGTTCCATCTAATTTCACCACTTAAACTTTCCAGTAAGATGAACTTGATGACATGGAGCACACATTCAGGAAAAAGGCAAAGTGCTATTTTGAAATACTCAGTGTGTTTGCTATGGTAGCTATAAAATGTGGATGAAATCTAAGGAAAAACATTTTCCCATTTATTAAGAGTGCCATCGGTTATTTACAAGGCAGGCAGTCCAGGCATTGAGCCATATCATGTATGACTGCATTTACCAGGAGATATGTCGTCTTGTTCCAAAAACAACAGTGAGGGGGAAAAGTTTTGTGTCATTTTATAGTGTCTCTGGAAATGAAATTAAATCGAGAATTGAACCTATTACCTATAAAATCCACTTGTCTGAAATGAAATTAGTGAGACAAAGTTATCTTTTCTTTCCTTAAAATAATGGGGAACATGTGACATTTTCTATTTCTGCCCCACCTCTCCACACATAAGAAATATACTAGAGTAACTTCAGAGGCTACACAAAAAGCCCTCTTATAAAACCTGATAGCAAATACAATCTAAGTCCATTAGAGAAACAAATTATTTAGCACCTGAATTTGTCTGACTTCAACATGCAGTTTGTATTGTTCCCAAAAACAGCATGCACACGTTTCAAGAAGAAAAAAGATTTTAAAAAAACTCTATAGGCTTTATACTCCATACAACCTGTGCTTTCACAGGCTCCATTAATTTGAACATTTTGATGGCAAGTACCATGAACAATACAGAGGGTCTTGCACCATGTGACCCAAGTCACTGTCAACCCTCTGTTGAGTGATTCATTGCATTTTAATTTCAATCAAAGAATATTTTGAAAGATCTGTCGGATATGGCTACAAACCAGTATCAGTGCTGAGTCTGCGTAAAAGCCATTTCTGCCAGGATGACCTGGAAGATGTATAGTACCATTAGCTATTTTACATATTCATAATTTATATTCCACTTGATTCTAAAAGTATTTGAAATAATTTTAACTTCACATATAGCTTAAATTTTTTATTTGTAAAAAAAAGAAACAAATGCAACAGAATTTCTAGGTTCACATATTTCCTATGAAAGAAAATTCAGTTTAGTTCTAAATTCCCTAATAGCCACAGAAAAAAAGGAAACAGATGAATTACAATAATTTCATTATATTCTTGGTTTTTTAAAAGAAATATCCTAGCTTTTTTAGAGAAAATATTTTCCAGGTGTGAAATTTTTTAAAGTATAGGTCCTCGAGCCAGGCATGGTGGCTCCCACCTGTAATCCCAGCACTTTGGGAGGCCAAGGCAGGCAGATCACGAAGTCAAGAGATCAAAACCATCCTGGCCAACATGGTGAAACCCAGTCTCAACTAAAAATACAAAAATTAGCTGGGTGTAGTGGTGCACACCTGTAGTCCCAGCTACTGGGGAGGCTGAGGCAGGAGAATTGCTTGAACCCAGGAGGTGGAGGTTGCAGTGAGCCGAGATCACGCCACTGCACTCCAGCCTGGCAACAGAGTGAGACTCCATCTCAAAAAATGAATAAATTAATAAATAAAATAAAAGTATAAGTCTTCATCTGGAATAACTTCCTGGACACTGTAAGAAATCCAAAAGATGCAGAATTAGTTTTGATATGGCTGTGGCTTATGCCAACCAGTAATAAAATCCCAGGACATGACATTAAAAGTCATGTACCATCATAACAGTTATTACCAATGACATGCTAAGTATGGCAGAATAAAATTCCAGCCATTCCAGTGTCACTAATTCTGTCCAATTTTAATGTGAGGCCAAGAAAAGTTTCCAGTGCCATGATATTTCCTTCAAATTGAACTACTAGGAACAGCTGAAGTATTAAGAAAGAGGAGAACCAAATGATGACTGTCTGAATTGTCCCCATCTTCCTTAGATGTACAAGGATAGAGAGTAATATGGTTATCCAGAGAGATGTCCAACTTGCAAAAATTATATAAAGTGAAAGTGATATACTTACATCACCCTCCAAGCTGAGCTTGCACAGGATTTCGTGAACAGTAGACATTTTGAAGGAAGCTGGAAAAAAAGTACAACAAAAAGTCTTTATGAAGAGGCTCTCCTTTACTCTGAAGCACAGCGATTCATTATGCTAATTTCTACTCCTTGGACCATTTCATCTGACGATATTGGAGTAGTTTTTGCAAACAGATGCAATTCCCATCTTACGACTGTAAAAACTAAACCTCAGAGATGGTCTGCCTTGGGTTGGGATGGACTACTAAACTAGCCAGTCTTTCTCTTCCTCTGTGTAAACAGAACCTGGGGAGACTGATGTGTGAATGCAAAAACAAAATGTTCCCCATGGCTAATGCAACCTGTTCAGACAGGATAAAACTGAGTCTTCTACTTCTCATAAAAGGTGATGGGCTTGCCGAACCAGCCACTACTTCTGTATTTCTCACAAGTAATTAAACATATTGAGAAGGACCTGAAAGCTACGATGTGAATCGAAATTAGTAGCATTTTCATGTTGCCCTAATTCTTAATTGGAATCTTTATTATTACCCATAATTACTTTCTTAGTCCAATGATACTTGGAAGATATTAAAGTATTTATGAGAAAGACGATGGACAGATTTTCTGACCTTAACTCATTCCATAAAGGACTGAATCTGTTGTATTTAAGATTTGAAATGGTTGAAATGAAGTCATCTTCCAGTTAATATACTTAATGGGGCAGCAAAACAATAGCCTGATGAATTGGCTTTCCACCTTTGCAATCATACAGTTCTCGGAATTGATACACCCAATCCCTGCCAATAAGGAGTGCTCAATTGGTGGTAAATTTATCTCAACAGAGACAAGACAGGTCATCAACATAATCACCCCAAGAATAAAGAAAACAGAGTAGAGCTGCGTCCTGAAATAGACAGGAACGACATTTAAATTGCAGTGACTCCTGCTTTGGTCTCTTTTTGCTTAATATTCTTTGATCAAGGAAACTGCACACATGCAAATACAGCTTTCTATTCTCTTCACTTTGTTTAGTCTAAATATTTTCATAAAACTGGTTTGGCGAGAGTATGTGACATAGATATTTGCTAACTTATAGGAACATTTTGGACTAAGCAGATCCCAGGCCTGGTGTGGGAAGAAAGTGGGGAAATGTAAGAGGAGAGGATTCGCCTTTAGTTGTGGTGAAGGATGTATTTTTGCAAGATTCTCATCCTGGGCTCTCCCCCAGACCACTACTCTCTTCTTGATGCTCACAGAAGCTTTTTATGCACAGCGAAAAGTCAGTCAAAGACCTTCCACTTCCCCCACACTCACAACTCTCAGACAGCCTCCCCACCCCAATTTGTCCCACCGTTGGGGTATAATTCTGGTTTGTAAAAAGTATTGCTCTAGAAATAAACTGTGGTACATTCAGACATGGAATATTATTCAGCACTGAAAAGAAATGAGCCATCAAGCCATGAAAAGACACAGAGGAACCTAAATTGCACATTGCTGAGTGAAAGAAGCCAACTGAAAAGGTAATACAGTGTATAGTTCCAACTTCATACCATTCTGGAAAAGGCAAAATTATGGGGACAGCAAAAAGATCAGGGATTCAGGGGAGGGGATTATTAAGGCAATGAAATGATTCTATCTGATATTGTAATGGTGGATGCATCTATGTACAACACCAACAGTGAATGCTAATGTAAACGATGGACTTTGAGTGGTAACGATGTGTCAATGTAGGTTCATCAGTTCTAACAAATGTACCACCCTGATACGGGATGTTGACAGTGGAAGCTATGCGTATGTGGGAACAGGGGAACATGGGCATTCTTTGTATTTTCTATTCAACTTTGCCATGAACCTAAAACTTTCCTAAAAATGAAGACAATCGGCCGGGTGCGGTGGCTCACACCTGTAATCCCAGCACTGTGGGAGGCCGAGGCAGGCAGATCACGAGGTCAGGAGATAGAGACCAGCCTGGCCAACATGGTGAAACCCCATCTCTACTAAAAATACAAAAATTAGCTGGGCGTGGGGGCGGGCGCCTGTAATCCCAACTACTCGGGAGGCTGAGACAGGAGAATAGCTTGAAACCAGAAGGCAGAGGTAGCAGTGAGCCAAGATCACACCACTGCACTCCAGCCTGGGCAACAAGAGCAAAACTCCGTCTCAAAAAAAAAAAAAGACAATTTAGAATAGTCTTGCTCTGTAGCAGAACCGTCCAATACAGTAGCCACCAGCCTCATGTGGCTACAAAGCATCTGAAATGTGGTCAGTTCAAACTGAGATGTGCTATAAGTGTAAAGGACATTCTGAATTTTGAAGACATAGTATGAAAAAATTATATAAAATTTCTCATTTATAATTTCTTTCTTGGTAAAGGCAGGGTCTTGCTATGTTGCCCAGGCTGGTCTCGAACTCCTAGCCTCAAGTGATCCAAGCACTGAGATTACGGGCATAAACCACTGTGTCCAGCCCAATAATTTATATATTGATCATATATTACAATTACAACTATGATATGTTGAATATATCTTATTTCCATTTAATTTCCTTTTTCCTTTTTCCATTTTTTTTCCTTTTTTTTTTAATGTTTCAGTAGAGACAAGGTCCCACTGTGTTGCCCAGGCTGGTCTTGAATTCCTGGGCTCAAGCAATCCCTCCGCCTTAGCCTACCAAAGCACTGAGATTACAGGGGTTAGCCACCACACCTAGACCTTTTTTTTTTTTTTTTTTGTCTGAGACAGGGTTTCTCTCTCTGTTACCCAGGCTGGAGTGCAGTGGTGCAATCATAGCTCACTGCAGCCTTGATCTCCAGGACTCAAGAGATCCTCCTGCCTCAGCCTCCCAAGTAGCTGGGACTACAGGCGTGTGCCACTACACCTGGCTTTTTTTTTTCCAGTAGAGATAATGTCGCGTTACCTTGCCCAGGCTGACAGTCTTCTTGACAGAGCAAGAAATCTCTAACTTCAACATGGACCAAGAAACATTCTAGAGGGTCTCATCAGTATCCCTCAGCCCGAGAATTACCGAAGCAGAGGTGAAACTCCTAGGATGGACATCAAACCACCCAAGCCCTGGCCTTAACTATCACCCCTGGACTCAGTCAGAACTGGACCAGGTCTGCAGCAGGGGATAAACTGTTGTCATCTGCTGTGCAGAATTCTAGTCTCTACCATAAACAGGCAAGAAATAAAAAATGCCAAACGTAAAACAAAAGCAAAACCAGGGAACTAGCAAGTCAGAGTTGCAAACAGAGTTGTTTCCACTTAGAGAGTATAGATTAAATTCCACTTGTTTATGAAATCAGACACCTCACATTGGTTCCGATGTTTAGAAAATCTCAACTAGAGGCACGGTAACTTTTCATTGTGTTGTTCTTTCAAGTTGTCTTTCCAGCTCTGAGCTTTGTAGACTGCTGCCTACCCGTGTCCCACATGGGACTCCCCAGTACTGTGCAGATCAAAGACAATCTGATAGGCTTCTTTACACTCTCCATTCATGTTAATTCTTCTCCCACAGCCACAACACCTTGAGGAGACTGTTAAAAGCCCCACAAATCTTCCTTTCGGTTTCACCATTCATAACTGTGCTGCTCTTTCATCAAATCAGTCCTGCATGCCACCACCAACTAAATCTCCCCATTTAATCTTGTCAAAATCATTTGACATCATTCAAAATCAGTCCTCCAGCAGAGCCCAGCCTTCAAAGATGAGCATCAGAATCCTGTAAACAGTAAACAGTTCCCTCTGTTTACTCCTCAGCTACAGTTGACTAGGGCCAAAATGTGACTTGCCTCTCCGCACTCACCACTACTTCAGTATCTGCTCCAACAGGGTCACCACGACCCCTACTCTACAGAACTCTATCTTGCCTTTCACTGCCAGGGCACTTTTTGATACCACTTCATTCATCCATTCGGCAGAATGTTTTAAGTGCCCTACACGTGCCAAGTATTCAAATGGTGAATGCATAGGTACAATTCAAAGCAGTAGAAAGTATATGGTTGACCTCATCTTCCCTACATAGTCCCAGTCCCCCTACAGATTTCAGATTATCTTTACATAATGCAGGTGCTAAATCAACTTGAAAACAATGAGTTGCTATTTTGCATAACATTTATACTATGTATAACCATTTTGCAGAAAAAAAAAACAAAACACAAACATCACAATAACCACAAAGTCACACTTACCACAAAGCAGTATCTATGAAATTTGACATTATCCCATGCAGGTGCCTTTTGTATCCATATAAATATTTCCTACTTCATGTGAGTTTAATGGCAAACATTTTCACCCTAGAAATAAAATATGGCCACTTTCCTCCCATGCCGATAGCATTCCGGAAAACATGGTGAACATTCCTAAAACCCACTGGGCTTTCTGTAAGAAGTGTGGCAAGCACCAACCCCACAAAACGGCACAATACCAGGACTCCCTGTATGCCCAGGGAAAGCGGCGTTATGACAAGAAGCAGAGTGACTATGGTGGGTAGACTAAGGCAATTTTCTGGAAAACGGGTAAAATTACAAAGGAGGTTGTGCTGAGGCTTGAGTGTGCTGACCCCATCTGCAGATCTAAGAAAATGCTGGCTGTTAAGACATGCAAACATTTTCAACTGGGAGGAGATAACAAAAGAAAGGGCCAAGTGATCCAGTTCTAAGCATCATCTTTTGTTTTATTATGAGGACAATAAAATCTTGAGGTTATGTCCAAAAAACAAAACAAAATAAAAAGAAATAAAATACAGTGCTTGCTTCTTCACTCCATCAAATCCCCTAGCAATGCAAAGTCATTTTGCATATGATCTATTATTCGCTGGAAGGAACAGTTGGCTTTGCGATTCACTGTTTGTTAAAACATTAGTTTAATATAGCATATTTGACTAATGAGAATGTGTCAGTGTGCTGCTATCCTTGAAAGCAGGAAAAGGAAGTCTTGGCAGTGCTACTGTAGGTTACAAACACTGGTAATACGCAAGGAATTAATCAACGAACCCATACCAAGCATACGCTGAGCCTGCACTATATTAAAGGATACAAAAGACACTTATAAAACTGTGAAATGCAGACTTCCACCCTGCAGGACCTTTGAGCTCTCTTCCCTTCGTGCCTCTGTGACACACTGAGAGTCTAGTCCAGGGTCACCCAGTGAATTAAGTAGCTGAGGCAGGGCCAAAACCCAGATCCCCAGACTCCTGGGCCAATGCCCTTTCAACCTCACCACAATGGTTCTTTATTCCAAGTGATTAAGACACAGAGAGAAAGATCACAGCCATCAGAGCGGGATTAGTTAAGGGCTTAACAGGGAGGTGCTGTCTGCCTAGGCTGAGAAGGGTGAATCACCATGGGAGGTTCCAGCCAAGAAGCAAGGGGGAAGGCCTGGGGAGAGGGGAAGAGGAATAATGCCCCAGGGTGGCAGAAGAACAAGACTACAGGCTGGAAAATGAGCCACGTCCAGTGGGGTGCCCTGTGGGGAACCTAAAATATAAGTCTCTGAATGGTGCAAAGTTAAGCTTGCCTATGGAAATACTGGGGAACCTATGAGCCAAAATGATTGGGACTCAGTACTCATATTTATCTATTCACCAAAACATTTGCTCTGGAGGCAGAATTTTCTTACTGAAAACAACTACTCTGACTTCAGTGTACTTACTGTTTTGAATGAAAATAAAAAATAAAGCCTACATGCTGTATGAGACAATTTCACCTCTACTCACTCCTCATCACCGTATAAAACTCATAAATCCATTAAAAACAGAACCACTACTCCTTTTCTGGCAGACTTCTCTAAAGAACATGAAAATGGCAGTTTGCACCACTCTTTCCAACACTTCAACCTCACCCAGCTTGCCGACTGGTTTCAACTCTCCAACAAGAAAAAAAAAAAAAAATCAGCAAATTCAATCTGTTGATGAGTACATCTACATACACATCAGTGCCGTGCCTTCCATTCCCAGGGAGGGCAGGGTCACTAGACAACATCATTAAAATGACCCTTTATCAGAGAACGTTTTTCTGTTTAAGGAAATAAACTAGAGGTACAGGGAGACTCACTGATAAGAGCCATACCCACCTCAAACTGGTTTAAAATCATTCACTACTTGGGTAGGAAAACAGGTCACTTGGCCCCACCCTAATGAAAAGAACAGTTTCTTCTGCCTTGAAAAGGCTGATAAATGAGACTGTGAATGCCTGGCTAAAAAAGCTCACAGTGCAAGGCTGATCATTAATGAAATCAGTGCAGTTATTGAGAAACAAGTCATTTACATTTAACATAAGGACTATATTATTTAGGTTGGTGCAAAAATAACTGCCATTACTTTTAATGGCAAAAACCACAATTAACTTTTGTACCAACCTAATAATTTAAGGGTTTGTCCTTATTAAAAAAAAAAAAACTCTATAGATTTTATTGTATTCTATTGCTTCACTACGAAAGTGCAGTTACAAACAAAAAAAGGACAAGTGAAGCAGTTTTAACTTTACTCCCAAAAAGAAGAGTAAAAGTTTACAAAAAGGTTAAAACAAACAAACAAAAGAAAACTTAAAAGTCAACACTTCAAATAGTAAAAACACATTCTACTGAACTAAATTAAGAACCAGTTCCAAAAAGCCCAAATGTTAATCTGAACAAACAAAAACATACTGCAACAGGGCTGGTCTGCACAGGCAAATCTGAGTCTAATCCAGAAGTTTTGTGGACACACCCACTTCACAGTTTAAACGTGGAGTGTTGATGCGTTACCGCAAAACAGATTCTTAGCAACCATGGTGAATCAATCAGGGACTGGTGATTCAAATGAAGATTTTAAAGCAAAAATGGGTAGAGGTGGGAGTGTGGAGAGTTGGGTTCTCCATCAAAGCTCTTACTGTACACAGTCCTGGACACACAGTCTACAGGCCACACTGGAATTTTAAACTAAAAAAAAAAAAAAAAAAAAATGTACTGGGTGAGGAGAGGGGTTCCCACTGTACTCCATCCTCCACCCACCTACTGCATCTTTATTTATCAGAACCTTTTTGAAAGCAGATATTCTTCTCCTTGGTTTTATGGTCTTGATTAATGACTGAGTCACAGGGCCAACTCATTCCCCAGAATTCCTGGAATTCGGCCCAGTGACCTCGATCAAACTGAGCAGGAGGGACACACAGCACTTGCTCCAGCTTGTCTCTTCTGTGGCCTGATCTGAATCAATATTTGTTTGCTCCCTACTGACTTGTTGCAGCTTCATGCTCTCACAGCCTCTCTCTGCTGGTATCCTGATCTGGGGTTGGAGTGGGTGGAAAGAGACCGGCAGGAAGAATGATGTCACTTGGCATGAAGCACTTTCAGGGTTGGGAAATCCAGGCCTTCAAGTCTGCAACTCAATTTCAGTGTTTTATGGCCCACATATTGTATTTTCAACAGGGCCTGGCCGCCTACAGAAAAAAGTCTAATGTCAGCATTCAAGACCTTCCACACTGTGGACTTACCTACCTTTCCTTAAATATCTTCTATACACACACACATGCATACACGCATCCTGCACAGAAGAGTTAACTGGACTGTTAACTCTTCTCCAAACACGCTCAGCACTTTCTAAGTTCCCTCCACCAGGAACCTCAATCTTAATTAGCTGACATCTGAATGAGTCTTTAGGATACAGGAAATCATAAATGCCGCCTTTCTCACACACCCCTCCTTGCCCTGTGCTTCTGCAGCTTTTTGTGTGTCTGTGCAACATTAGAGTTACATGTGTAAAGTCTGTCTTCCGTATTATCCGCCCACAGGGTTTCCAACTTAACTCCCTCCTGTTTCCTCATAGGTCTGAGCACAGTGCCTGGCACACGATAGGCATTCAATTTCATCTTGGGATGGTTTACACACACTGGGTCTTTCTATATTAGAAAGTCTTTTTTTCTTCTTTTCCAACACACTC
This sequence comes from Homo sapiens, assembly GCF_000001405.40. Classification (NCBI taxonomy): domain Eukaryota; kingdom Metazoa; phylum Chordata; class Mammalia; order Primates; family Hominidae; genus Homo; species Homo sapiens. Next base: position 60,393,941 of record NC_000015.10, read on the forward strand.
TCCTTCCTCAATTTTCTCTCTCCCTCAGACTGGACATTTCGAATGCAGTTCCAGTTCCGTGCATTCAGAGTTGGAGGCTTAAATCACCAACTTCTGCAAATCTTAGCAAAGCCCAGCAGGTCGCTTCAGGGCAGCCTCTTATCAACATATAGCCATGCCCCCCACCTCTGTGCTGTCAGGGATACTTGGACCCTAGCTCTGTCCATAGGACCACATGGGAACGTAACCTACAACTCCTAGCAAGAAGGCAGCAAAGAGGCAGGATGTACGAGTGGCCTTAGGACTCTGATTTCCTCTGAGCTGTGAGTGTATAGCCTGGGTGTGGCAGGGAGACAAAGGACATGGACAAAGGGCTCCATAACACAGTCACTCCCTAGAATAAGAAATTTCTACACCACACCTGGGGTAAAACTCAGGCCACTTGGGTGCTACCGACCTGTCCAGTTGAGCTCAGCTGGATTAAAAGCTTCAGGGTGGGCCAGGCATAGTGGCTCACGCCTGTAATCCCAGCAGTTTGGGAAGCCGAGACAGGCGGATCACTTGAGCTCAACAGTTCCAGACCAGCCTGGCCAACATGATGAAACCCTGTCTCTACTAAAAATACAAAGATTAGCCCGGCATGGTGGTAGGCACCTGTAATCCCAGCTACTCGGGAGGGTGAGGCTGGAGAATCACTTGAACCTGGGAGGCGGAGGCTACAGTGAGGAGAGATCGTGCGACTACACTCCAGGCTGGGTGACAGAGCCAGGCTCCATCTCAAAAGAAAAAAAAAAGAAAAAAAAAAACAGCTTCAGGGTGTACCCTAGAAGGGAGATTTGGAAGTCATCTGGTAGAACCACCCAGAAGGACAAATATGGGCATCTCCTGACCCCTACTGCTGACCTGTCCCTGGAGAAAGTAGATGAGGACTGCCTCTGGCAACAGCAGAAGAAAAAAGATACCAGGCAGTGAATGGGTGGAAAGAATTTTTTTGAAGGACTGGAATTTCCTCTGGTGTGGCCTACAACTAGAATAGGGTGTGGCACCAGGGCAAGTGAAGAGGATTCTCATGTGAAAAAAAAGAGGAACATTCCATTTCTATTTAATTCTCACAATTGAATCTGGAAGGCAGCTTAAGACACCATAATTTTAAGCAAAACTTCCCCGAGGTAGGTAAAATGTGAAGTTTAGGTCTGTGGAACAGCTGGATTAAAGGGGAAATGAACTCCCACCAAGTTTAGAAACTAGTATTAATTTGGGAAAATATAAAGTTTAAAATCCAACAATTCACTTATTTTGTCTCTTTTCCTTCTCTCTCCGCCAGATTTAAGGTCTAAAGAGCAGGGATTTTATTTTTGGCGGGGGTCTGTTTTGTTCACTGCTGTATCCCTAGTGCTCATAACTATGAGTGGAACACAGTAGGTAATTAATATTTTGTGGAATAAATGGTTGTTTAAAGCAGCCCACTAGAGCCTGAGACTCCTTTTGTGACAATCCCGCTCTCCTTTAATGAAAAATGTCTCCGCAGGCTCCAGGCTCTGCACAAGCGAAGGGTGAGAACAAAGGCTCCAGACAATGCATTAGTGCCAGATTCTAGGCCCAGTGGTGTAGGAAGAGCCTACAGCCCTCAAAATCAATAGCAATTATAGAAGCACATCTACTTTGCCAGGAAAACTACTTAAATCAGAAATTAGCCAGGAAACTAACGGCCATGACTGCGAGCCTAATGTCAATCAATACCATAGTTTAATAGCTCAAAGACACAAGATGCTAAATATTGAGACTCCAGTGCAAGACTGAGCTCCTAATCAAAGTCAGTGAGTCAGCAATATTTCCTGGGCATTTACCACAGGCAGTCTAGTTGGCACTGCGGGAAATTACAAAATCTAAACGGTCTCCAAATCACAAACCTCCAATTGTAAAAATGCACATACATGTCACATCCTTCCACTGCAGATGCAAGGGACATTTTTGGACAAACCCTTGACCTTTAGATAATCGACAGACTTGGAAGAAGGGAAGAAATTACTAAGCAGGACTGTGTTAACACTCCTGGCCCTTGCCCATCAAGGGCACCTCTGCTGCCCCAGTCTTACCAAAAATCTTCCTTAATATTGCCTGAATATTGCTGCTTTACATTCTATAAATTATAGATCTGTTTAGGTGAACGAGGGTTTTTTATTATTATTATGTATTTATTTTTTGAGACTGGGTCTTGCTATGTTGCTCACATTGGCCTTGGACTCAAGAGATCCACTAGCTTGAGCAGCTGGGACTACAGGCCCACGACCACGCCCAGTATCGTTGTTTTTTAAATAACAAGACTCCTCTCGGTTGCTGAGGCTCTTAGGACCACCAACCATTCCTAACTTAATGAATATCGATTCAATCTGCTAGTCTCTAGCTGGATGCAGGTCCGCCGAAATGGGAAGGAGGAAGGAATGCAGCGTAACTGGACCGGCCTGGATGGCTGTTGTAATGCGTCACGGAAGAGCCAGAAGAGCGTCTCTAAGGAGGTGGAAGGTGGAAAAAAGAAAGTGGAACAGGGGCAAAGACATAATTTTCCAATTAAAATAATTTACTCAGTGTCAACCTTAAAGCTAAAAAAAGTTCCAGAAAAATATTTCAGTGATTTAGTCTTCCTACACACACATTGCCCCTCACTACCCTCCACCTCCCCACCACCAATCCCATAATCAGGCAGTGCATGTTAAAAAGGTCTTTCAGGGCTAGCCTGGGAACGTCAGCACCTTCTGCAACACTGTTTCAGTGGGAAAGTGCATTCTGCATTCCAAGTCACCAAGTTCCAGACAGGCACAGTAGCACACACGTGTGAACAGAATCCATCAGTACAGTCTGGGGCCCAGGCCTTTGCACACCAACAACTTAAGGTTCTTGGTAATGGCCCAGCGTGCACCCATGAGGCCACTGCTCTTTTACACACGCACTCAGAACACCCACAGCTTTAAAACGGCAATCTTACTACAAAAATGACACTTTGCATTTGCACAGCACTTTGTTTTTTGTGTACTTTACACATTTATTACCTAATGACTGTGTTTTTTGAAATCTCCAATAACTCTGGGTGGTGGTAAGAATAGGCATCCTTAAGCCACCTTCCCAGATGAGGAAACTTATCTGTGTTCCCCTCCTTCTTCTCAACAGCCGGCTGATGGAACCCAAGCCCTCCACACCAGCAGTGGGGCCAGCTGCACAGAGCGGCCAGAAGGGAGAGGCCCCGGGGCCACGCCCTTCTCTCTACTCTCAGTTCCTGACTCATTGTCACATCATGGCGAGTAACAGGACAACCCTCCCCACAGAATCATGGGGGACACTACCTTCCTGAGGCCAATGTGTTCAACCAAGCGGGAAACTCTCCGGGTAGAGTGAAATCCGAAGTTGCTATGCTACAAGATAACCTAGAGCAAGGGGAATAACTGACGTTTTAATGTCTTCTTTTATGGGGGGCTGAGGGGTGCCTACTCACACTCCCCCCTCTCGTCTTCCCCCGCTACTTCCCTCCTGCTGGTCGGTTCAACTCCACAAGCGCGCGTTTGTTTCGAGTACAGTAACTTAGAGCAGATGGGGGGCACTTTCTAGAGGGCAGTGGAAAGCCCACTTGCTACTGCTGCGCCGGGGACCTGCGGCTCCCTGGGCGGCCACGCCCTGCCTCGGCGGCGCCTGGCGCGTCTGGAATGCGGGGCCTCCCTCCGCCCCTCTCCCCACGCCGCCTCGCCCCGCTCCCGCTAGGGCTTCTTAGAGAAGCCCGACCCCCCACCACCTCTGCCCTGCACCCTCCCGGCCCGAGGGCCGGTGGCCCCTCACCCCTGCCCCAAACACCTTGTCCCTGAGCCCCCTCCCCAAAGACTCTCCAGTGCCGGCCGTCCCTTCAGCCCCCTGCCCCCGACGGCCTCCGGGGCCAGTTGCCGGGGCCTCCCTGCCAGGCCGTACCCTTCTTCCCAGCGTCTCCACACCCCGCTAGCTGGCGGCCCATCGCGGGCGGGCAGGGCGCGCCCCGCTTACCTGGGCCGTGCGCCGAGAGCTGAGAGCGTCCCCAAATGCTGAGCAGAGCCGGCTGGCCTGGGTGGGGCTTTTATACCCGCCACATCCTCCCTAGGCGAGGCGAGGCCCGCCCCGCCCCGCCCCGCCTCCCCCTTACACGGCCCGCTCCCACCCCAAGTCAGGGGTGACTCACCCCGGCCCGCCGGCCCGCAGGGACCGCGCCCTGGAACGCTCCCGAGCCGCGCCACGCGGGAGCGGCCCCAGCGCCCCTGGCCCTGCCCTCCGAGAAAGCCCGGCCGAGGCTGCCCCGAGGCCCACAGGGACCCCGTTTCTTCCTCCTTTCCTCATTTTACTTCTTAAGTGCCACGTCGAGCTCTCAGCCTCGGCTTGGGTTAATAAATTAACAAGACTTTAGTAGTAGACTCTGGGCTTGATTAAGTGTTTTTTTTTTTTTTTTTTTTTTTTTGGCGTTAATGCAATGGAGGAAAGAATTGTTCCAAGAAACATAAATCTGGACTCCCCTGAGCTGGGGCTGTTGGCATCCAGCGCCCCATTACCGTCTGCAAACATGTCAGCTTAACCTCTGGCCGCCAGTTCCCGGGGGGCGCCCGGGGAGGGAGGGAGATTCGCCCTGTGCTGCAAAGCCTGGCCCGCCCCGGCCTCCGAGGGCCAGGAAGCCCCGAGCCTGGGCTGGGAGGCCAAAGCCGGGAGCCAGGATCCCACCTCAGTCCCGCCCAGGGTGGCGCCCCTGTCCCTAGCACGGCTGTGCTCCGCTTCTCTCCGCGCCTGGGGCATCTCTGCGCGGCCTCGTAGCAGGCAGTCCTGAGCGGGGTGGGGCCCATAGCTTTGAACCCGGAGTTTCGTGTGTGTGTGTGTGTGTGTGTGTGTGTGTGTGTGTGTGTGTGTGTGTGTGTTTCGAACCCGGAGTTTCAACAAAGAACTTTCCTCTCCTTCTTTCATGACTGCTGGGGTGTGTGTGTGCGTGTGTGGTGTGTGTGTGTGTGTGTGTGTGTTTCTTGCAGCCGTTTAGCCAACTCCCTTGCTCGGTGTTGCTGTTACTCGCTTTTCTTCCGAGAGAGAGAGAGAGAGAGAGAGAGAGAGAGTTTCTTGCAGCACAGAGAGAGAGAGAGAGAGTGAGATAGAGAGTTTCTTGCAGCCAGTTAGCCAACTCCCTTGCTCGGTTTTGCTGTTTCTCACTTTTCTTCCGTGTGTGTGTGTGTGTGTGTGTGTTTCTTGCAGCCGTTTAGCCAACTCTCTTGCTCGGTTTTGCTGTTTCTCGCTTTTCTTCCGTGTGTGTGTGTGTGTGTGTGTGTGTGTGTGTGTTTCTTGCAGCCGTTTAGCCAACTCCCTTGCTCGGTTTTGCTGCTTCTCGCTTTTCTTCCAAGAGTCACGTTGGCAACGTGCAGGCAGACACCTATTTGTTGTATGTGAGACGACGCAAATACTGTATTCGAACCTCAAACTAACAGGAAAGCGACGCTGAGAATCCCGAGGATCTCTGGCTGCGTTTTTTAAACCCCTCCTTGCACACTACTTCCTGCAGCTCTTTTTCCTGGTTTTGATGATTCTGTGTTTCAATCTCCCATTTATCTTAACATCCATTTTTACTTTCCATTTGAGCGTCAATTCACTCCTGGGAATCAGAGAATGATAGCAAGGCCAACAGACATTCAGTGCTCTGCCCACTCGCATAGAGTGACACAGGCAAAGTCGGCCACAGCTGAGGTCTTTTAACCCGCCCAAAGCTTTCTGTTACCCAGCGCTTTCACGAGGAATTATACGCGATGGGCCCTACCACAGAGCCAAATAGAAAATCAAGCAACACTTTGGGTACAATTGCTGATTTACATTTATAGCTCTTCAATTTAGCCTGAAAGCTTCAAAGTCAGAAACAATGTTTATCTGCTTACTTTGTGTGAACATTTTGGAAGGTTAGGGGAACACAGGCAGACAGTAATATTGGGCACGATTCAGCCTCCCTTCTGTGTATCTCAAGATAGGTTCCACAGTCTCTTACTCCTAATCGTGCTGTGATAGGCCCTTTACAGAAGATAAAATTTAATTCAAATCATGTGGAATATATAAAAGCCATCAAATGTCCAAAAGAGTTTTGTGCTCATCTTGGGCATGCCACAAATTCTAACTTCTATAGATTTGTACAATCACCAGTCTTTGCATCATGCTAAAGAAATGTGCACTGATGTTATCATAAAAATGAAGCTATTAGAAGTCATAGTTTGCTATTTCTGAGGAATGTGAGGCCAGTTCTTCCAGTATAAAAGATCTTTTATTAGTCAGAAGACTCTATTTTCCCCCCTGGTTGAGGAGAATGTTTACATCAGCCCTCAGATTGTCTGCTGTTGTCCATATTGCTCTCTAAGTGCTTGACTTTGTTTTGTTCACACTTCATCTGCTGCACTCAACACCTACTAGCGCCTAGCTAGCAATGATAGGCACTCACTAAATGTGATAGAATGATAAAATACAATTATTCACTGAATAATAGAATGTTAAAGCAGGGAGGGACCCTAGAGATTAAATTGCCCTATCCTTGATTTTTACTATTATTATTCTTATATCTTTTAGTTGAGATCTCACACTGTCACCCAGGCTGGAACGCATGGCATGATTAGGGCTCACCGCAGCCTTGACTGCGGAGGCTCAAGAAATCCTCTCCTCTCAGCCTCTTGAGTAGCTGGGACCACAGGCCCACGCCACCAAGCCTGGCTAATTTTTCTATTATTTGTAGAGACGACAAAGTCTTGCTATGCTGCTCAGGCTGGTCCCGAACTTCTGGGCTCAAGTGATCTGCCTACCTTAGCCTCCCAAAGTTCTAGGATTACAGGCGTGAATTACTATACCCGGCTCTTGATTTTTACATATGAAGAAATTGGAGTCCAAATAAAATCTCCTGCCCAGTCCAGGGATTAAATAATGCACCCAAGGCCCTCGTATCAGTTACCTTTGCAGTATAACAAATTATCCCCATAAACTTAGTGGTTAAACATAACCATTTACTTGCTTGTAATTCTGCAATTTAAGCAGGACACCCAGTGGGGACAGCTTGGTGCTCCTCCACAGCATGTTGGGTTGGGTAGCTTAGTTGGGGTTGGAAGATTGAAAGCAGCTTCATTCGTCTGGCGCCTGAGCTGGGATTGCTAGAATGACAAAGAGCAGGCTGGGCCTTTCTCTTCCTTGGTCTTACATCCTCCAGGTTCTCCTCTTTTGCTACACCACGGTAGTCATGGCAGCCAGCCTTCTAGAAGCAAAAGCTGAAGCTGCCAGGCCTCTTGGCTCACAGGCTGTGCAAAAACAAGCAATAGGCTGGATTTGCCCTATGGGCTGTAGTTTGCTGATCCTTGTTTTAATCCATTGCCCTACTCAAGTTTTTGGTTTTGCCCTCTGATATCTAGGCTCCTCCCTTTAAGATGTATTTCCTTTTCTTAAGAATGGCCCAGGCCAGGCATGGTGGCTCACGCCTGTAATCCCAGCACTTTGGGAGGCTGAGGAGGGCAGGTCATGAGGTCAGGAGATCAAGACCAGCCTGACCAACATGGTGAAACCTCATTTCTACTAAAAATACAAAAAATTAAGCTGGGCGTGGTGGCGGGCGCCTGTAGTCCCAGCTACTCGGGAGGCTGAGCAGCAGGAGAATGGCTTGAACCCAGGAGGGGGAGGTTGCAGTGAGCTGAGATCGCACCACTGCACTCCAGCATGGGTGACAGAGCGAGACTCCGTCTCAAGAAAAAAAAAAAAAAAAAGAATGGCCCATATTTGTAGCTGAGCAGTTCTCTCAGTCTGCTTCATTCATGCCAGGAGAAACTGAAAGGTCTAGAAACTTCTTTTCATTTTGCACTTTTTCTGGTTTAAGCTGGCAGTTGTTTCATTAATACAAGTATCTTAAAAACCATGTAGATTTTCCATATCTTATTAAGGTTCACACCATGCTCCAAGATTTATATACAATTTTCTCAAAAACTTTATTTATATAAATCTTGCTGAGGTTTAATTCCATGTTCCAAGATTCACATTCATTTTTTTTTTTTTAAATAGATCTCTCTCTACTTTACATGTCAGGCTGCAGTGGGACAATGCACTTAAGATTCTTAGAAGCCCTGAGATCGTCTTCGAAGTACCACATTAAATCTTTCTTGGAGTCTTTAAAAAGAAGTTTTTGCCGGGCGTGGTGGCTCACACCTGTAATCCCAGCACTTCGGAAGGCCAAGGCGGGTGGATCACAAGGTCAAGAGATTCAGACCATCCTGGCCAACATGGTGAAACCCTGTCTCTACTAAAAATACAAAAATTAGCTGGGCTTGGTAGCGCGTGCCTGTAATCTCAGCTACTCAGAAGGCTGAGGGAGGAGAATCGCTTGAACCTGGGAGGCGGAGGTTGCAGTGAGCCAGGATTATGCCACTGCATTCCAGCCTGGCAACAGAGTGAGACTCCGTCTCAAAAAAAAAAAAAAAGATTAAAAAATGTATAAAGAATGTCTGGTATATTGTAGGTGATGAAAAAAGCCATAGTTATTTCATTGGCTTTTTTAGTCTTTGCAGCAGCTGGCCTTGCTGAACGCATAGTAAGACCTCAATAAATCCTTGTTGAATTCACGTGTCATGACCCAAACCACACAGAGTACTCTTGGTATGGACAAACCACAATGTCTATTTTGTTTGGAGGCATTTCCAGGGAAAAATCTGCAGTGACTTCAATGTCTCTTTCTCAGCTGTAACAGACATTTTTGACCTCAGTTCATTCTCTGAGACAGCCAGAATTCTCTTTCTGAGACATAATTCTGATTATATGACCCCTCTCCAGAAACTCTTCCCAGCAGGGCTCTGACCTACCTGGGCAGCCTCATTCCCCCACATCTTCACTCTTCACCGCTCCATGTGCCACTGCTGGACAGGCCAGGCTCATTCATGCTTTGTACCTTCCTCCATCCTGTTTTCCTGCTGGAATGCCCTTTCCTGCTTTCCTCAGTGGTGAACTTTGCCTCATCCATCAAGCCTCAGAGTAAATATTATTTTCTACTGCAGAGCAAAGGCTTTCCCAAGCCCTTCAGGCAGATTTGACTACTTCTCTTGGCATTTTAAAAATATACCTCTCCTCTTGCAATTGTCACCTCGCATTGTTATTTTTTAATTTGTTGGTCTCAGCAACTAGGCAGGAGCTTCTTGGGGACAGGCATTTGGATGTTTCCTCTTTGCATTGACATTATCTTACCCAGTACCTGTTACTATCAGATTTTTCTCCATAAACGCATTACCTTGCCTTTGTTCATACTTAAACTCACCTGGCAAAAATTAAAATGTATAGTATTCAGTGTGGTGAAAATGGGCAAAATGGGAATTCTCAGACATTATCGGTGGGAGGGCAATTTGTCAGTATCTATCAATACTTAAAATACTCATGCCCTTTGATGCAGTGATGTTGCTTCAAGAAAGCTATCTTGAAGAGAGAGCTCTACGTGACCATAACAATATATGTATAAGGACATTTATATCAGCATTTTAAGATTGAAACACCCTAGGTGGCCATCAATGAGGCTAAATTAAATTAATTTTAGAGTATGTGTTCAGTGGAATGAAGCTGCTGAAAGGAATGGAGTAGATCAACATGTTCTGACATGGACAGATTTCCAAAATATAGTGCTAAATGAAAGAACAAGCAGAATGTAAGTGCAAAACTGTGTCTTGCTGGATTGCTAAGTTACGATATGATGTATAAAACATTATGAAAACTGATTTGGCTACAGATGCCCACTCTGTCAAGATCATTCCTATATTAACCCACTGGAATATTGGGATGCTTCCTGAGGTGTAAGCATCTTATTCTTAACTCAGCACATTTTACTGCATTTATACATTGGCATGTCAGAGAATGAATATTTCAAACCCTATCAGCCTATTGTTTCTTCCAACAGCATTTTTCCATCTAATTTTGTAGAAAATACAAATATTTAGCTGCTAAGTGTCTGTTATCAATAGAAAAAAAACCCTAATTCTGCAATACAATACGTATTTCTTAGCCATAGAGCCTATTCAAAATAGGACAGTATTTTTCATGAAATAAAATATTTTGAGTGAACATGAAAACACACAAAAACATAGCTGCATTTTGAATGTTTTTATCTTCATTAAGTGTCTATTGAAAGTATTTTGGGTGTTTTGAATTTTTTTTAACTTTGAATTAGTCTTCAAAGTTAAAAAATGGAATTAGTCTTCAAAGTTAAAAAATTCAAAACACCCAAAATACATTCAGTAGACCCTTAATAAAGATAAAAGCATTCAAAATGCAGCTATGTTTTTGTGTGTTTTCATATTCACTCAAAATATTTTATTTCATGAAAAATACTGTCCTAACTGCTTGGGAGACTGAGGCAGGAGAATCGCTTGAACCCGGGAGGCGGAGGTTGCGGTGAGCCGAGATTGCGCCACTGCACTCCAGCCTGGGCAACAAGAGCGAAAAACTCCGTCTCAAAAAAAAAAAAAAGTCTCCTTTTTTTCCAGCCCCGGCCCCAGACGCTACAGCCGCCGAAATGTTGATGCCTAAGAAGAACCGGATTGCCATTTATGAACTCCTTTTTAAGGAGGGAGCCATGGTGGCCAAGAAGGATGTCTACACGCCTAAGCAGCCAGAGTTGGCAGACAAGAATGTGCCCAACCTTCATGTCATGAAGGCCATGCAGTCTCTCAAGTCCCGAGGCTACATGAAGGAACAGTTTGCCTGGAGACATTTCTACTGGTACCTTACCAATGAGGGTATCCACCATCTCCGTGATTACCTTCATCTGCCCCCGGAGATTGTGCCTGCCACCCTATGCCACAGCCGTCCAGAGACTGGCAGGCCTCGGCCTAAAGGTCTGGAGGGTGAGTGACCTGCAAGACTCACAAGAGGGGAAGCCAACAGGGATACCTACAGATGGAATGCTGTGCTCCCTGGTGCTGACAAGAAAGCCGATGCTGGGAGTGGGTCAGCAACCGAATTCCAGTTTAGAGGCAGATTTGGTCGTGGACATGGTCAGCCATCTCAGTAAAATTGGAGAGGATTATTTTGCATTGAATAAACTTACAGCCAAAAAAAAAAAAGTCAAACAGAATAATATGACTAAATTGATTCTATTTATGTTAATATTTATGTGTATTCACACATTTATGTGTATATTCATATATGTCTGCATAAGTAGGTTCATGTAAGCACATATGTAAATATATGGAAGTATGTACACCAAAGTGATATTGGTCAGCTTTGGGAAAAGTATTTGTTCAGGAGAGTGTTCACCTTTACTACATATGCTTGTTTGCATTGTTTGATTTTTGTTAACAGTTAATAGAGACACCTTCTATAGTTTTAAAAAGAGTTGAAAAAAAAAAGACATATAGCCAGCGAAAAGAAGGGCTGTCTTCTTACACTTAAGATTATGACAGGTCATGCCAGGCTTTGGGGAAAACTTGAATCTTTTTGATGGTATTTTTCATGTATATTTAAGAAAACAATAATTTAAAAATCTATAAATAGAGGAAAAGATGGACATCATAGCACTCTCTGCTGACAAAGAAAACACTCAATATTGTAACATCTCATGTGATTTTGTTTCTTCTAGTTATAATCTATGAGAATACAACTTAGGCAGAGCCAATGCTTATATATTTCATACAATGCATGAAGAAAAAAAGCTTGCTAAGCAAATTAATATAATAAATAAGATAACTCGTGGCATGAAGTTTATGGGAAGGGTAGAGCACATTTCTTTGTTCATATAAGCTTTGTATTGTTTGTATTACATCTTTTATCTCTTGGTACTATGACTGTTTATGTTTCAGGTTGCACCATCAAACTAGGAGCTCCTTGTTCATCTTTGTAACCCCAGCGTGGGGCTCATAACATGCTCTCCATGTTGAGAGACCTGACGTTGTTGGAGTGGACTCTATTACTGGATACTCTGATATTCATCATAGAACTCAGGAGGCTTGGGCTCCGGTCCTAGCTCCTATATAAACTGGGTGTACTTGTACATGTCACTTAAGCTCTCTGGTCCTGTTCCTCACCTGGAAAATAAGGGTCTTTGACTAAAAAATTATCAAATTCTGTTTTAGCTCAAAAACTTGATCCTTAATATGCAAATGTAATAATTTAAGCACATTAATCATATACATGCACATCTATATTGCCAAACACAGACAAGATTTATCTGTTCACTGAAAAGGCCCAATAGGATTTCTAAATGGAAGTACTTTGAATAATAAAATTAAACCTTTTTACAAGTAGATCAATAGATCATTTTTACCAAATATGATTGGCCTTCTTTCTCTGAATTCCTTTTTTGTTCAAATTAGGAGGGGTATCCCTGTGTAATTGAATACATGCATATAAAGTTGTTGCTTTCATTCAGACTCTTTGGATTGTGGGGCCCCAGCATGTATTTAGCTCCTAGATTATTTAAACATATAGCTGCAATTGAGAAATATCACTTTAAAGTAAAATAAAGCTGTGTCGAATATCATTAAGATAATTATAACAGGCAACTGTTAAATGTCCATATGTTGCAAAGGAACTTAGGTTTCTAATAAAGTGAACCTGTGATAACATACTTAGGTGACTAAATATGGGTATATACACTAAGGACACACTTAAAGCTATCACTAGCAATAGAGTGCAAATATTCCTCCCCACTCTTCAGGGAGTGTTGGCAAGCAGCAAGCAGAATGGAACCCAGTTTTGTAACCCAAGAGGCCAGAGCTGGTATATGGTTGCTTTGGGAGAACATGAGAAGTTGGAGTACAGCTAAGCTAGATACCAAGGGAGAAGCCAAGGGCACTCTGATCTGTTAAAAAGTCTGAAATACAAGAGCAGAATTTAAACAGAGGGGGAAGCCAAGTTCTATGGCTGGAAGAACACAAATGCAAGTAGGAGGGAAGCAAGGAGGGAGGGGACAGGCTGCAGCTGGGGCTGGGGTGGCATCCATTGCCTCTGTGACCATGATGCTGGGAGATTGGGTGAGGTTGGAATGAATCGCTGGCATGCATACTAAATCATCTCTGCCATTTCTTCAAACAATGCAAAAAAGAGAAGAATAGGAAGGAGAAGGAGGAGGAAAGGAAGAAGACAGTGGAAGAGAACATTGTGAGGGAGGATACCGTGACATTGTGATACAGAGAGCAGTGAAGGGAGAGGTTTATACTCCTGACTACAGCATAATGACATTTTTTCACATCTAAATTTTAGTTTTTACTTTCTGAGCCAGTTAATATAAAAATACATACATAAATAAATTTTAGTTTCTTAGCATCTGGAGAACAGAATATTTTGGCCCAGATCATCTGTAAATTCCTTGCTAGCTCTTACATTTGTAAGACCCTGCTAAAACAGTCTCAAATTCTGTAAGACTCAGTTAAAACAATCACTGAGAGATTCATAAACCAACTTTATTACTCAGGTAGTAGAATTTTAGTTCAACTACTTAACATTTTGGCATCTGGTTTTCCTGGGGTTTTTGGTAAGAAGGCCTGATTGCTTTCTAATAGGGTGGGGTCTCAGAATTGTGTTAGAAGCAAAAGGCAAACAGATGGGTAAGCTGCTCTAATCAGCTCAAGCTGGAAAAACAAACAAACAAAAAAACCAAAAAAACCTCTTTTCTCTTAAAATGAGAGGTTGGTCTTCCCCAAATTCCAATGCTCCACTCCCTGATTTGGAGATGAATCAGATGACTTCACTGGTCTTCCCCTTCTCTGATTTCTATGATTCATCAGCTAAAGCAACTAGGGAGGGGGAAGAAGAACCCTTCCAGTATTCAGGTTATATTGCAGCTTAAAAGGAAGGAATCTAAGGAAAAACTGTTAGAATTGTAAAATAATGAAGAAACAAACTTATAATACTCCTAACTAAGACATATTTTTAAAGAGGACTCCCTATTCTGGTAATTATCAATTACATGGACTTGGCTGTTTATCAATTGTTTTATAAATATTTTTCTATGAAATCAGTAAAAAAGAAAAAAGAACGCATCGTAGAGATAAAAACCTTGTTTCAGGCTGGACGTGGTGGCTCACGCCTGCAATCCCAACACTTTGGAAGGCCAAGGTGGGAGAATTGCTTGAGGCCAGGAGTTTGAGCCCAGCCTGGGCAAAAAGGCAAGATCCCATTGTTACAAAAAAAAAAAAAATTAGTTGGGTATGGCAGTGCACATCTGTAGTCCCAGCTACTCAGGAGGCTGAAGCAGGAGGATAGCTTGAGCCTATGAGTTTGAGGCTGCGGTGAACTATGATTCCCACCACTGCACTCCCCCATGGATGACAGAGTAAGATCCTGTCTCTAAGAAGAAAAAAAAAAAAAGATAAAAAGAAATCTAATTGGTTTTGACCATCTGAAAAAGCTGCCAGTATCTACCTGATTATAATAATCAAGGAACCCCCAAGAGTCATTCAATTTAACAAACATTGAGTATCCACTAAATGCCAAGCCAGGCAGGGCTACACAGCACATATAATAGGAAGAAACATCAAACTCCACCTTAAGGACTAGTGGAAGTTAATATGTAATGATAATTTGACAAATGCATCAGATATGAAATCTAAGTGCCAGGAGAATACAATAAGAGAATGACTAATTCTGTCAAGGAACAGTTCACCATTAGAGAAAGGAAGTAAGCCATTCCATCTTGGCCAATGCATTAAAGTTGCTCATAGTTAGTTGAAGCCATTGCACAACCATGAAAGAGGAAATGTAACATAAACCAATGTATTCTCTATCAGCAGGAAGTGGCAATGTAGAGAGGTGTGACTGTTTATTTTTAAACAAACCATCCAGTATAAAAACAGGTGAAGAGAATTAGTCATTAGAGAAGGTAGGTATTTGATTAATGCCACCATTGTGAAGATAGTTTTGGAAACCCTCTGCTTAAGTATTTCCCTCAAAGCTGAAGGCAAATTCTGGTCACTTGAGAGGAGTTTTGAGGAAGAGCTAGCAGTCATTCTGGACCAGGGCTGGTGATTAAGAGGGGAAAACATAGTAGCAGAAGAGGATACTGATTTGATCAGGCCCTCATTTGATAACACTGTTCAGTGAACTCAGCAAGATTTATTTTCTGGTTGTAAAAAATATTTAATCATTCTGATATGAGGGCTGAAGTGGATATCTATCAGTCCAATCAAGATTTTGGACTTCCTGAAATACTCAATATTCAAAATCATGTGATATTATTTAAAAGTAATAATTTGGTGAGGGTAAAAATGTTCAAAAATGTAGTGAACTGAAATGGAATATTCAATGATAACATGAATAATGTACTTATACAGCAAAAAAGAGTTTAAAAATCCAGTATTCCCACAAGCAAGGGAATAGCTAAGTGTGATGTGGTTTCCAATGAATGACATCAGCCCTATGTAAGTCTCCACAGGAACAGGCTAACATCTGCCATCCCCTTTCTCTTCCAAAACCTGTGGTATTCTTGTGGGCATTCTGGATAACTGGAACAAGCTGAAACATGAACCCAGACAACAAAAGAGTTAAGAAGGTACAGACAGGCCGGGCGCGGTGGCTCACGCCTGTAATCCCAGCACTTTGGGAGGCCGAGGCGGGTGGATCACAAGGTCAAGAGATCGAGACCATCCTGACCAACATGGTGAAACCCCATCTCTATTAAAAGTATAAAAATTAGCTGGGAGTGGTGGCGGGGGCTGTAGTCCCAGCTACTAGGGGGGCTGAGGCAGGAGAATAGCTTGAACCCGGGAGGCGGAGGTTGCAGTGAGCTGAGATCACGCCATTGCACTCCAGCCTGGGCAACAGAGCAAGACGCCGTCTCAAAAAAAAAAAAAAAAAAAAAAAAGGAAGGTACAGAGTTAGTGGATGCAGGGTTGGACCTGAGACATCTGCATCTGCCACTCACCCAAGCCAGTCCTCAAAGATGTTGACCCCTCTCCTAGGGCTGCAGCTACTCTTCCTTCATAAACAGAAATCATATCTTGGAATAGTCAACATTGCTTCTGTTAGTCTACTAATAAATTATGTATATTATAAAATTATCTGCCCTGTTTTGTTAAAAAAAACATGAAGCCCTTATACCCTTAATATCTAATTAAAAAGGAATGGCAGAGAGGTAGGGGAGAATGGCCTGGGACCCACATGGGCTGACAGTACAGGTCTCCATATTACCATTTTGTTTTAACTGTTTTTTTTTTTTTTTTGGTGTTTTTCGTGTTTTTTGAGATGGAGTCTCACTCCGTTGCCCAGGTTGGAGTGCAGTGGCGTGATCTCAGCTCACTGTAACCTCTGCCTCCCGGGTTCAAACAATTCTCCTGCCTCAGCCTTCCAAGTTGCTGGGATTACAAGTGCCCGCCACCATGGCTGGCTAATTTTTGTATTTTGAGTAGAGATGAGGTTTCACCATGTTGGCTATGGCTGGTCTCAAACTCCTAACCTTAAGTGATCCACCCGCCTTGGCCTCCCAAGGTGTTGGGATAACAGGCGTGAGCCACTGCGCTGGGTTTGTTTTAACGTTTAAGCCCAATTTTCTCTTTCAAGGCTGCAGCATCTTTTTTTTTTTTTTTTTTTTAAGACAGAGTTTCGCTCTTGTTGCCCAGGCTGGAGTACAATGGCATGATCTCAGCTCACCACAACCTCAGCTTCCTGGATTCATTCAAGCGATTCTCCTGCCTCAGCCTCCTAAGTAGCCCACCACCACGCCCAGCTAATTTTGTATTTTTAGTAGAGATGGGGTTTCTCCATGTTGGTCAAGCTGGTCTCGAACTCCCAACCTCAGGTGATCTGCCCAACTCAGCCTCCCAAAGTGCTGGGATTACAGGTGTAAGCCACCGAGCCTGGCCTTTTTTTTTTTTTTTTTTTTTTTTTTTGAGACAGAGTCACACTCTGTTGCCCAGGCTGGAGTGCAGTGGCGCCATCTCAGCTCACTGCAACCTCTGTCTCCCGGGTTCAAGCAATTCTCCTGCCTCAGCCTCCTGAGTAGCTGGGATTACAGGCACGTGCCACCATGCCCAGCTAATTTTTTGTATTTTTTGTAGAGATGGGGTTTCACCATCTCTACAGGCTGGTCTCGAGCTCCTGGCCTTAAGTGATCTGCCCACCTTGGCCTCCCAAAGTGCTGGGATTACAGGCGTGAGCCACCAACCCCAGCCCAACATCTTTTTTTTTTTAATTTTAATTTTTATTAGAGATGGGGGGTCTCACTATGTTGCCTAAACTGGTCTCGAACTTCTGGGCTCAAATGATCCTTCATGAATAATTAAAAATTTGTTTTTGTAAAGCCAGGGTCTCCCTGTTGCTCAGGCTGGTCTTGAACTTTTGCTCAAGTGATCCTCCTGCCTCAGTCTCCCAACATGTTGGGGTTATAGGCATGAGCCACTCCTGGCCAGAGCCACTGTACCTGGTTCGACTTTAAAAAGGTTAGGAGAAAGACCAGCTAGACAAAAAGTAGCATTTAAAGAGTTATCCGGCCAGGCGTGGTGGTTCATGCCTGTAATCCCAGCACTTTGGGAGGGCTAGGCGGGTGGATCACAAGGTCAGGAGATCGAGACCATCCTGGCTAACACAGTGAAACCCTGTCTCTACCAAAAAAAATACAAAGAAATTAGCTGGTCATGGTGGCGGGTGCCTGTAGTCCCAGCTACTAGGGAGGCTGAGGCAGGAGAATGGCGTGAACCTGGGAGGCGGTGCTTGCAGTGAGCCGAGATCACGCCAGTGCGCTCCAGCCTGGGTGACAGAGCGAGATTCCATCTCAAAAACAAATTAAAAAAGGGTTAGCCATTATTTTTTTAAGTGACTTTCTTGGAAGGTTACCACACTTTTTTCCACATTCAAAGTTCACTTCCAAATGATATAATTCAAATGTAATTCTCCAAAGAAAAATTTTGAAAGGAACCCCTATCCCATTTAGCTTTGGAGCCTAGAAGAAGGAGAGGCACCTGCCCCACTGTGTGTGAGGGTCTGTAGTTCTTACCCCCTTATTACTTATTTGTTCCACTCCAGTAGATTTAAAATCTGCACCTTCCATCTCCTTGGCTTGGCTGCATTCTCACCATATGGCAGGCATATTTAGTACACAGAAACAAGAGTGAACAGCTTGCCAAGTAGGACTGATCACTGTAAACTTAGGGGTGTTTTTGTTTTTGTTTTTTGGAGACAGGGTCTCATGCTGTTACCCAGACTGGAGTGCAGTGGTGCAGTCATGGCTCACCTCAGACTCGACATCCTGGGCTCAAGTGATCCTCCCACGTCAGCCTCCTGAGTAGCCAGGATGACAGGCACATGCCACCATACCCGGATAACTTTTTAAAATTTTTTGCAGAGACGAGGTATTTTCATGTTGTCTAGGCTGTTCTCGAATTCCTAGGGTCAAGCAATTCTCCTGTCTCGGCGTCCCAAAGTGCTGGGATTACAGGTGCGAGCCATTGCACCTGGCCAGCCTTAGGTTTAGATTGAAAAATAAGGTCTCCTGAGCTCCATGTCCTCAGACTTCCGTAGTTTCCAACCTGCCCCCTCAATTTATCCTATCTATTGTAGTCATACTTTCCATTCTAGAAGTTTAACCATGTTGCCTATCCCAACTCCCACCCACCCCCCCCATTAAAAAGCTTTTGATTATTTCCCATCTCAAGATAACTTCCACAGTCTTTTTTTTTTTTTTTTTTTTTTTTTTGAGATGGATTCTCACTCTGTCCCCCAGGCTGGAGGGCAGTGGTGCGATCTCGGCTCACTGCAACCTCTGCCTCCCAGGTTGAACTGATTCTCCTGCCTCAGCCTCCTGAGTAGTTGAGATTACAGGCGTGTGCCACTACAATACTTCACATTTATACAGTGGGTTGCATTTTTAAAAGAACTTTCATGTTCATTATTTATTAGATGGGTACTACAGCCAGTAGGATATGCTAGAAAGGCATATAATATCCAGGTTTTGTTTTGTTTTCTTTTTTGAGACGGAGTCTTGTTCTGTCACCCAAGCTGGAGTGCAGTGGCACGATATCTGCTCACTGCAAGCTCCGCCTCCCGGGTTCGCGCCATTCTACTGCCTCAGCCTCCCCAGCAGATGGGACTGCAGGCGCACGCCGCCTCGCCCGGCTAATGTTTTTGTATTTTTAGTAGAGACGGGGTTTCAGCGTGTTAGCCAGGATGGTCTCAATCTTCTGACCTCGTGATCCTCCCGCCTCGGCCTCCCACAGTGCTGGAATTACAGGCGTGAGCCACCGCGCCCGGCCAATATCCAGGTTTGACCGATGAAAATACCAGGACTTGAAGAGGGAAGAGATAGGGCCTTAGCAAATGGCAGAGTTGAGACTATGTTTCAGTGCTCTTTCCCCTTTCCTCCCCTAACTGCTTCTTCCAACAAAATCCAACCCTGAGCTGGCTACTTCTAAGACTCAACCTCTCATACTTTTCTTCCTCTGAAAGTTGCAGCTGACAGTCTTAACATTCCGAAGACTTCCTCACGGCTGGATGTGAATTAACTCTAGCACTGGGCTCCTGGGAGGCAGAAGGCTTGGCTGACAGCCTTGTATGCAAAATGACATTTAGGCCTTAGGCACTTAGTCAGTTACAGAGTCCTGCTCCTTAAGAGTAAAAGTTTTCAGACGCTAGAGTGTAATATCAAAAAAGCCAAACCGAATTAGGAACGGACCTATCACTTTATTAGCCTCCCAACATGCACACATAGACAGAGCTATGCAAGCCTGCTGCACTGTGACTTCACACGCTCCCCCACCCCACTTTCCGAACTCAGAAGAAACTCGTTGCGCATTTCTACAAGACTGCAGATTGGTGCTGGACAGAAACTATTTCCAACTGCCCATTGTGGCACTTGGGAGTTATAATTTGCATCACTTTTGATGGGGCAGAGGGGAGACATTATACCTGCAAACAGTGTTCAATTATTTATTTTTCACAATAGTAAAACTCTTGTTTGGGTATTGTTGGGACCCATGACTAGATATTAGTTAAAAATAAGACACCAATTCCCTAAAACACAGACCAGACATAAAATACATTCTATTCTTAGTTGTATAGAAATGTTAACTCTCTCATTCAATTAAACAGGTGGATCTTAATCACTTGATCATTTATTCTGGATCCCTTTCTGACTTTCAGTTGAAAACTTCAGGGACAAATGTAAATATTGTCTCATGAAGGATTATGTAGTCAGTGAGACTGTTCCCAGACATGATACTCTCATTATTTATTTGGAGTTCCATCTGAGAGGTTAAACCAAAAAAGCTTTAATTTTTTTTTTTTCAGTTTCAGCGGCTTAAGTTGGACAGATGTCTGCTGAAAAACCAGTTTGCAAAACTGTGTATGACTCATGTTTACTTGGCGTTGGATAATATTATCTATGGATGGTGAGGCGTAGGAAAGAGTGGGCATATTTTCAGCACACCAGTGATTGGGCACAGGTCTCTCCCTGTGAGAAGAGGTAAGCTTTTTGTTGTTGTTGTTGCCCCAGGAAGAAGGACAGACTACATACTCAGGTGGAGACGAGTTTTGGCTGAAAGATAGAATGGTTTTGTTTGTTTTTTGAGACAGGGCCTTGCTCTATTGCCCAGGTTAGAGTACCGTAGCGCGATCACAGCTCACTGCAGCCTTGATCTCCATGGCTCAAGCAATCCTCTCACCTCAGCCTCCCCAATAGCTGAGACTACAGGTGTGTGCCACCACGTCCAGCTAATTTTTTAATTTTTATTTTTGTAGAGACAGGGTCTCACTGTGTTGCCCTGACTGTCCTCAAACTCCTGGGCTCAAGCGATTCTCCTGCCTCGGCCTCCCAAAGTGTTGAGATTACAGTCATGAGCCACGCTTGGCAAGATAGAATATTTTTCAGAGGTTTCTTTTTTTTTTTTTGAGATGGAGTCTCGCTCTGTTGCCAGGCTGGAGTGCAGTGGCGTAATTCCGGCTCACTGCAACCTCCGCCTCCTGGGTTCAAGCGATTCTCCTGCCTCAGCCTCCTGCGTGGCTGAGATTACAGGCACACGCCACCATGCCCGGCTAATTTTTGTATTTTCAGTAGAGACGGGGTTTCACCATGTTGATCGGGCTGGTTTTTTTTTTTTTTTTTTTTTTTTTTAAGACAGGGTCTCACCCTGTTGTCCAGGCTAGAGTGTAGTGGTGTGATCATAGCTCACTGCAGACCTAACCTCTTGGGCTCAAGGAATCCTCCCACCTCAGCCTCCCAAGTAGCTGGGACCATAGTCATATGCCATCACGCCCAGTGAACACTTTCTTTCTGGTGCAACGTGATGTTCCAGATTCATCTTCCATTGTTCCCTGACCCAAACTTACAATCAGTAATTTCTTCAAAGAGCCCTGGTTTCTTTTAGTGAAGAACGGGATATAGAAACCAAGATCTGGATGTTACATGTGCCATTGCTACTAAATTGTCACTGCATCTAGACCCTCTCAGCACAATAAGGAAAAATGGGACGGGCACAGTAGCTCATGCCTGTAATCACAGCACTTTGGGAGGCCAAGGCGGGTGGATCACTTGAGGTCGGGAGTTTGAGACCAGCCTAGCCAACATGGTGAAACCCCATCTCTACTAAAATACAAAAATTAGCCAGGCGTGGTGGTGGGCGCCTGTAATCCTAGCTACTCGGGAGGCTAAGGCAGGGGAATTGCTTGAACCCAGGAGGCGGAGGTTGTGGTAAACTGAGATCGTGCCACTGCATTCCAGCCTAGGCGACAAAATGAGCCTGTGTCTTTTAAAAAAAAGGGCCAGGCAAGGTGTCTTATGCCTGTAATCCCAGCACTTTGGGAGGCCAAGGAAGGCAGATCACCTGAGGTTGGGAGTTCAAGACCAGCCTGACCAACATAGAGAAACCCCATCTCTATATTAACAAACAAACAAACAAACAAACAAAATTAGTCGGGCGTGGTGGCACATGCCTGTAGCTACTCAGGAGGCTGAGGCAGGAGAATCGGTTGAACCCGGGAGGCGGAGGTTGTGGTGAGCCGAGATTGCACCATTGCACTCCAGCTGGGCAACAAGAGTGAAACTCTGTCTCAAAAAATAAAAATAAAAATAAAAATAAATAAATAAAATAAAAAATGTATGCATATGTACTCACACAGCTGTAACTGTTTCTTCATCTCTCTCACTGTATATTAAATACCATGAGTTCACTCTGATACTTCCAATTCCAATAGAATATCACAGGGTTTATTCTTGCCTTCCCCTTTCCCATTATCGGCATTTTTTTTTTTTTTTGACAAGGATTCTCATTCTGTCTCCCAGGCTGGAGTGCAATGGCTGAACTCAGCTCACCACAACCTCCACCTCCTGGGTTCAAGTGATTCTCCTGCCTCAGACTCCCGAGTAACTGGGATTACAGGCACCTGCCACCATGCCCAGCTAATTTTTGTAATTTAGTAGAGACAGGGTTTCACCAGGTTAGCCAGGCTGGTCTCGAACTCTTGACCTCAGGTGATCCACCCGCCTCGGCCTCCCAAAGTGCCGGGATTACAGGCGTGAGCCACCACGCCCGGGCCCCATTATTCGCAATGTATTTACTTGCTTAATGAACCTGATGTGTAACCTAAGTCCAGGCCCTTGGCCCTAGCAAAGGGGAAGAGGAGTGTCTTAGTCTATTTTGTGCTGCTATAACAGAATACCACAGACAGGGTGATTTATAAAGAACAGAAATGTAATTCTCACAGTTCTGAAGCCCAGGAAGTACAAGATCCAGGCACTTGCGTCTCGTATGTGCCTTACTGTGTCCTCACATGGTGGAAGTCAGAAGGGCAAGAGCGGATGAATTTTGAATCCTCACATGACAGTAGATCAGAAGAGGGTGAACCCACCCCCATACACCCTTTTCATAATGGCCTAATCCATCCATGACCTAGCCACCTTCCCAAAGGCCACACCTCCCAACACTGTTGCATTAGAGATTAAGTTTCCAACACATGAATTTTGAAAGGGAACACATTAAAACCATAGCAAGGAGAAAATAAAAAAAGGCCAGGTTGGTCTCAGACAGGCAAGCCCCACCTTTCCTGGTGTCTCAGCACAAAGATGAGCCCTAAACATAACATGCCTATCTATTCCTCTCTCCTACGTTACAGACCCACATTTTCAGTGTTCTATAGGACATCCCCGTAATTGTTCTGCTGACGTTTAGTTGAAAACACAACTTGTCTTTTCACCCCCTCTCTATTCTAATATTTTAAGTCAGTGGCAACACTTAGTAAAAACCTCAGTTGTCTTTGAAACATCTTACTGCATAATTCTGTACATACATGCTATTTCTTCGCTTACTGAGCGATCTGGGCCATATCTTCGCTTACTGAGCTGTCACACCCCTACCTCCAACCTTATCAGCTGGAGAACATGCACACATCAATAATCCAGATGCTCATTAACTTGTGATGGAATTATATCCAGATTAACTCATTGTGAGTTCAGGCTGAGCACAGTGGCACATGCTAATAATTGCATCGCTTTGGGAGGCTGAGGTGGATCACTTGAGGTCAGGAGTTCAAGACCAGCCTAAGTAACATACCAGGTCCTCATGTCAACAAAAATAATAAACAAACAAACAAATAATAAGTTGAAAATATTGTAAGTTGAAAATGCATTTAACATACCTAACCTACCAATAAAAAAACAGAATGGCTGTATGGATACTTGAAGTATGATTTCTATTGACTGCATTTTGCTTTGGCATCATTGTAAAGCCCAAAAATCCTAAGTTGAACCATTGTAAGTCAAGACCATCTTTACATATTGATTAAATGTTTGCTGCTTGCCAAGCTTGATTCTAGATACAGGGGAAAAATAAGATACGGTTTTTAGGTCAAGTTTTAGCTCATTTATGAGATCTTTTTTGATGTCTACAGGTAGAACAACTCCTACCTCTTCATGTAACTCTTACCCATTACAGAAATTAATCACAATATTTACATTTTTGTACCCATTTAGATGTCTGTCTCCTTCTGTGAAACTGTAAACACTGAAAAATGTGTTTTAACTTTGTATTCCCAACACCTAGCACAATGTCTGTTACCCAGTTGTGATTCAATGTTACAAGTAAACATTTATTTTGAGGATAGGGTAAAATCAGATATCTGCTGCCTCTTAAATAGCTTTCCAATCTATACCTTTTTAATACACCTGCTATATGTACAGTTAACACCTCCTTGCCATTGGTCTTTCTCCTCTCTAAATAATTTTTTATACTGTAGCCTTCCTAAAATTCATCATTTTGCTTAAAAGCCTTTAATGCCTCCTCATTGCTTTCCGATTCAAACCAAACTAGGCATAACATTCAAATCTCCTACTATTGAGCTCCAACATACCTCAACTTCATCTCCCACTTATCATATTTCACCCCCATGCTTTTCACATGACCAACTTCGCTACTTCCTAAATCCAGCTCCTCTCATGATTTTCCCTCATGCTGCAACGCTCCACTTCCTTTTTGTCCACATTTTTACTTGTCTTTCAAACAGCTTAAAGGTCATTCCTACTAAGCCTTTCTCTGATTTCCAAGTGTCCCTTTTTCTTACTCCTTTGCACTATTGTGTCAGTTGAACATTTTCACTTATATTATAGCTAATTATGCATATCTATCTCCTGAACTAGATTAGGAAATACTCTTAAGGCAGAAACCAATCCTAAATTTATCTTTAAATCCCGAGATTGGTATAATGCATTACATCCAATAGATACTCAAAAAATGCATTACCAATTCAACAGAGGACAGGCAAGGTTTTGATAGGTGATAATAAATCCAAGTAGACACAGAATCATGTACAATAGCATGCAGGCAGGGACAAGAATAGCTAATGTGTGCAATGTTAAAGCCTGGCTAGAGCAGATGTTGCATTAATGGCAGTGCTTGGAAGGGACCGGATACTCATGTTTATCAATGTGGCTTTGCCCTACTGGCATATGTCTGTTAGGATTATGTGTAAATACTCTCCAGTGCTGTATATTATTATTTTTTGAGACGGAGTCTCACTCTGTCGCCCAGGCTGGAGTGCAGTGGCACAATCTCGGCTCACTGCAAGCTCCGCCTCCCGGGTTCACACCATTCTCCTGCCTCAGCCTCCCGAGTAGCTGGGACTACAGAAGCCCACCACCACACCCGGCTAAGTTTCTGTATTTTCAGTAGAGATGGGGTTTCACCGTGTTAGCCAGGATGGTCTCGATCTCCTGATGTCATGATCCACCCACCTCGGCCTCCCAAAGTGCTGGGATTACAGGCGTGAGCCACCGCACCCGGCCTCCAGTGCTGTATATTTCTAAATAAGCAAAATCTAGGATAGGGAGAATAGAAAATATTCCTTCTCCCCACACCCAAAAGAAACAGATTTTGAAGAAAAGGGAAGAAAGTCAACCCACTAATCACAGAATCTTTATAAGGGTTCTTCACTTTCAAAACAGCAATAAATTTATACTCAGGCTTCCCTCCTACTTTCTTAAAGAATCAACCAGGCTATAGCTCATATATTGAAAGCAAACACATCTGCCAAGGCAAACTCTTGACTGTTTAAATCTGTTTGATGAAGTAAGTAATCTAGAGATCCACCATCTTAGAAACACAGGTCTGGTTCTTGACTCTTTTCAGTAATTTTTGCCTGGCAGGGCAGATCCAAATCCCAGATAGATGCCTTGTAAATGTGTCTGCCATTATATACCTTGATAAGTAGACTGGACATGAGTGAAGGGGACATGGCAACAGTAGATGGATAAATGAAATGGATCCCCTTTATTTCTACATCTCAACAAGAAACTCAATAAATCTTAATATCAAATACGTTAAGGTTTGATTAAAAACTACTACATACCAAACAAAAAAACAGAACAAAACAAAATACTACTATATACCTATAATGCATAGAAAACGTCTTAACATCTTTACAACATGCCCATTAGGAACTACAGATGCAGTATGCTAATGAAAAGTTAAAGTTTTCTTTCCTCTCCCTCCCCTAAACCTGTTCATAGCATATGTGATTTAAAAATATGTTCACAAATTCTTTCCAAACTTCTCCCTTCAAGGGTGGAGCTTAAGTGTGGGCTTAGCGACTTACTAATCCTTCAGATGACTGCAGCCCTAGCCAAGAGCCTGACTGCAACTTCATGAGAGACCTGGACTTTTGACTTACAGAAACTGTGAGATAATGTTTGTTGTTTTAAGTAGCTAAGTTTTGGGATAATTTATTATTCAGCAAATTGGTTATAACCAATATAGCACACAAACCTAGAATCCAAAAGTAGAAATGACTAAAAAAAAAAATGAACATTTTAAATTAACTTTCTTCCCACTCTAACCACACTATTTTCTCAATGGGTTAACACCATCATTTACTCAGTATCTCAAATGAGAAACCCAGAAGCCATACTTTACTCTCCTTACCAACAACAAAACTGAGTTGTCATTTTTTTTTTTTTCCTTATACATCACTTGAGCCCACTCCTATTCTTGCTGCTTTAATTCTGGGCCATTGCCATTTTTCAGTTACTACAACACAGGCTCCCAACATTTCTTCTTTCGCTTCCCAGCTCCATCGCATTCTCTAGACTAATGCCAACAAGAGCCCTTTTCAAATACATATCTGATCATGTCAGTTAATTAACCTTCACTACTGGTTCCCACATTGCACAGGACAAAGTTCAAATGTCTTAGCACAGTGTTTCTGTCCCTATCCTGCAGTTTTCTCTCTCATCTCCCATGTTCATAGCCTATAATCTCTCCAACTTTCACCTTTTCATAGGCTGCTTAGTTTCACTTAGTTTCTTTGTGGAAGACCTTTAATTTTCCCTTATAAATCCTACTATTTTTAAAAGACTCAGCTCAAGTTCTATCTCAGAAAACCTTAACTACCAAGATCTGGTTAGATGACTTGCTTACTTTATCAAAGCACTTATCACATAAAGCAGTATAGTGTCTTCCACTAGAATGTGATCTCCTGAAAAAAAAAATCTTTGATACCTACACATTCATGCATCTAACTAATATCTGCTAAGCAACTACATGACAGGCACTGTATTAGGTGTTTATTACTTAATGGTGAACAAAACAAATATGCCCCTGTCCTTGCAGAGCTTGTAATCTATAAGAAAAGAAAATCAAAGAAACAAATAAATATGGTGAGATCTGAAAAAACAAGGCTATGAGAGAATAACTGTGGGGACCTACTTTGGAGTGCATGGCACATAGTTGCACTCACTTACTGAATTAAACTGTTTTCAAAGAGGTGTGTATAAATTACACCTTCACTGCTGAGGTATAAATGGGCCAGGGTGATCACATCCTTGCTAGCCCTAAGTCTGATTTAAAAAAAAAAAAAAAACTTGCTCATTTTTTGAGATAGGGTCTTGATCTCTCACCCAGGATGGAGTGCAGTGGCACCATCATAGCTCACTGCAGCCTCAAACTCCTAGACTCAAGCGATCCTCCCACCTCAGCTTCCCAAGTAGCTGGGATTACATCCTGCTAAACATATTGTCAGTTACTTCTTGGCTTATAAATTCTCAGTACTAAAAATCAAGAAAAAGAACATAAAGCATATCAAATGTATGTTAAAAAAGGAGGCTTCACTAAGCACAAGCAAAAAACTACCTTTATATATGATGTTATTCAAATACATGGATAAGATAACACATTTTATGATGTAAAAAGTAATATTTAAAAATTAAAAGGCAAGTCTTTCTGGTATTCAGAAGTCTGAAGCAACCACTGTCCAGCTCTTTAAAAAGAGCACATTCCATTCTGGTGCACACAAATGTACATTAAAAATAAAATAAAAAAGTGTAAGAGTACATTTCAAGGGAATCCCTGCCTCTCCCTTGGCTCGCTGGCAAATGATTCACAACCAAAACATTTCTGGGATATGTGACTTAAGGAATAAAAAAACTCAGTGTTTTATAAAAGGGAATGGCAGGATGAGGAAATGATTTATCAAGATACAATTTTACTAATAATTACTTCTCAAATAACTTAAAAATGTTTTATAACAAAAAATCAAAATGAAACAAAACTTGGTAGTTGAATATAAGTATTTTCAACTGTTACAATACTTGAGGAGATTTTTCGGTCTAATTTCTCAGAAATTAGGCCAAAAGAATAGCTATTCTTTACACAGAATAGCTAAAAAATTTCAATGTGAAGCAATTATCTAGGATTACAAAACTTATATTTTACAAATGACATACATAATTTCTGAAAATTTTAGTGTAAGGGTTCTAAAGATTAAACAAGCCTGTCCTGTTTTTTTTTTTCTTTGAGACAGGGTCACACTCTGATACTCAAGCTGAGTTCTGTGGTGCGATCACAACTCACTGTAGCCTTGACTTCTTGGGCTCAAGCAATTCTTCTGCCTCAGCCTTTTGAGTAGCTGGGACTACAGGCACACCCCACCACACCCGGCTAACTTTTTTATTTGTAGAGATGAGGTCTGTGTTGCCCAGACTGGTCTCCAACCCCTGGACTCAAGTGATTCTCCCGCCTCGGCCTTGCGAAGTGCTGGAATTACAGGTGTGAGCCACCACGCCCGGCCCTGTCTGTAGTTTCTTAAGTCCAAATTTGCTACAGCAACATCAGTTGATTATGCCCTTTTCCAAATTCATCTGCAGGCCCGGAAAATTTAAATCAATCAGTATAGATGAGGATAAAAATAGCTTATGCTGGCCAGGCACGGTGGCTTACCCCTGTAATCCCAGCACTTTGGGAGGCCAAGGCAGGCGGATCACAAGGTCAGGAGTTTGAGACCAGCCCGGCCAACATGGTAACACCCTGTCTCTACTAAAAATACAAAAAAAAATTAGCCAAGCCTGGTGGTAGGTGCCTGTAGTCCCAGCTACTCGGGAGGATGAGGCAGGAGAATCGCTTTAATCCAGGAGGTGGATGTTGTGGTGAGCTGAGATCATGCCACTGCACTCCAGCCTGGGCAACAGAGCGAGACTCCATCTCAAAAAAAAAAAAAAGCTTATGCTTTACCACATTAACCTTGTCATCTGGAGCAATGACACTGACTTTTTTTCTGGAAAACATACCTATCTCTTTGCTTTCAGCAGTGTATTTCAACACTCAGCTTGAATCTAGAGATAGAGGCATCTGTCATCAAACATGTTATACCACCAAATTTTTTCTTTTATTAAACAAACTGATGGTTGCCAAACAAGAAGTCAGTAATCTGACTTTTCAGAGGCAGGGAGTTTTTATTTTTGGCTTCTGTAATGGAATTTCACCAAGTTTTTAAAGGTATTAACTTTATTAACCTGTAACATTCATCATTTTAAAGGAGTATATAAAAACTGTCAAAATGGGTCAGAAACAAAGTTTGCGATGCTCATAATCATCTTCAGCAGTGGCAACATTTAACTTTTTGAGTCAGTCGCAACAGACTGGCAATATAACTAACACAATACATAACGATAAGTGTTGTTCTTGATAAAAAACCAAATTATTTTTCTATTTACAATTTTTAGAAAAGGTTTAATGTAAAAATATTTTTCTTCTTTATATATTTCCCTGCCATGATAATGTTAAAACATATCAAGATCCTCCTCAAACTTCAAGGGTGAAAAGCATACCATTCCATTTTAGTTGAAATATTCCTTCACATAGCCAACACATTTTTTCAAGGCACTCTAGCTACTACAGGAAAAATGTTCCTCTTGCCTACTGATTATTTTCCCTCAAACTTATCTAAATTAAACACTGTTATAACTGTTTTTTTAAATTTAGTTTTCCATGGTACAGTCCTCAAGTTATTTTTCTTTTATGTGGAGCCACTCCTTCAGTTTCAACTTGCTGAGCAGGCAAGCAACTGCTTTTGGTTTCCATGGAAACTGGATTCCTGTGGCTGCGTGTAGGCATTCTCGTTCCACCAATCTAAGAGATGAAGCAGAGAACAGAATAGCTTAATGTATCTACAACATACCTATATACAGTCAACTCTGTAGTATTTATACATGTATTAACCACCTTGCAAATAAGCTCTTATATATTTTTCATCTCCAGCTAGCTGGCTGTTTCTAAACAAGTTTTAATCTGACACATTTTTAAGTACTAAACTTTCAAATAACCATCAGAGAAGTTGATAGATCTGAGTAGATGGGGAGCAAAGTGAATGGGGAAACTATTCTCTGTGTTAAATTTATTAGAGGTTGAAAAGATAAATTAGAAATCAAGGGAATGACAGGCCTTATGTGTGATGTGTTTGAAATAATTAAACTGAAGGACAAGAAAAAGGAAGGAGTAATAGGGAGGGAGCGAAAGGAAATACAAGAAGGTCAGAGGTGGTAAACAGGGAGAAGAAATTACATGGACAAACAAGAAAGATAATAAGAAGGGTAGGGAAGATAAGGAAAGAAAATTGAGGAAAGAGATGAAGATTAAGAAAAAGGGAAGTAAAAAAAAAACAGTAAAAGTGTAAGGAAGTTTCAAGACAAGAACCCAAGTAGCAGGGAAATCCTGAAGGGCTGAAAGAGGAGAGCAAGAAAGAAATAAGAAAAGGGGAAGAAAAAACTGGAAGGGGGAATACAGAGGATGGGGGAAGGAACTTTGCTGTGGTTCTACCTTCAAGTCTACCCTTCCTTACCCTCACTTTCTAGCTCACACAGTCAAAGAGAGGTGGTCTATTTTTTTTCTTTTGAGACAGAGTCTCGCTCTGTCACCCAGGCTGGAGGACAGTTGGCGCGATCTCTGCTCACTGCAACCTCCACCTCCTGGGTTCAAGCGATTCTCCTGACTCCAGACTCCTGAGCAGCTGGGATTACAGGTGTGTGTCACCATGCCTGGCTAACTTTTGTATTATTAGTAGAGATGGGGTTTCACCATGTTTAGGCTGGTCTGGAATTCCTGACCTCAAGTGATCTGCCCGCCTCAGCCTCCCACAGTGCTGGGATTATGGGCATGAGCCACCGCGCCCAGCCAAGGTGGTCTATTCTTAATACAGAATCCCTTGCTATGTAGTCATGTTAAAGATGTGATCTATAAAAACAGTAATGGAGAAGGCCAATCTCACAGAGAAGGACCAAAGCTGTATAGCCTGAAACTATTTCCACAGAACCTGCCCATATCTGCCTTTATTTTCCCTGGCCACCTTGTTCTCCTCTATTTCTTCATATCCCGTCCAGTCAATTTCAGGCCTGGGACTGAAGGGTGATAGTGTAACTCCAAGCACTCTCTCTCATAATGCTAGCCCAACAGAAATACTATTGGCATTTGCTCCAAGGGGTTACAGACTCACTGAAAAAGCTCGGACTCTGGCTTCCTTTATTTAATATCTACTGTCCCTTTAAAAAGCATTTTTTTTTATTTACATTTACCTGACCAGAAAGGACAAATTGAGTACAGATTTGTCTGTGTGAATCTGATGAAATTTTGTAATATACTGATTAGAAAAGTGCTGCGACTTTTGGATGATCTATACCACTCCTCACTCAGCTGGTATTTCCTATAAAGGTATATTGACCACACTAATTCTATCTGTTAAAATTTTTGAGAAAAGCAAGCATTTTGAAAACCTCCACTGCAAGACTGTGTGTGTCTGAATGTGTAAAATAAATGTTTATTACAGAAGATGTAGAAAGAAAAAAGGGATAAGTGTGAAGCTGCTGCAAGAAAGACTGGAAGCAGAAGTCAAAAGTAGCCCAGGAAGCAAATGGGACCCTTAAATACAATCTCTACTTGATGCAGTAGGGAGGCAGATGCAGGCTCTACTGGCATATCTCTCAGGGTTAGTACCAAAGGCACTATACAAGGATGAGATCAGAGTTCAAGTGGACTCGTGACTATGGGATCACATTAGAGGCAGAAACGTTTGAACAAATTTTTACACCATGAAAATATGCAGATGATTTCTATTTCATATAGGTCTTACTTCCCTGGTTTCCTGAAAGCTGTCATCTTACCATTGCTGCTAAAACTAGAATCCATATTTGCACTTAGATTGGTTGGGACTAGAAGGCCCAATCCCATGGCCTAGCTAGGAGGTAGGGAAGAAGATGGGGTAATTCCTATCAAACACAGGGCTAGATTGTGGGGAGGTGAGTAGATCACCAAAAACTTTCCACTGGCTTTCAAAAATATATCAAACCAACTATTAGTTATCTAATTGTCCACTGTACCTAATGCTGGGCTCTACAACAACCTGGGCCTGGATAATCTCGTTAAGTATTTGTTCCTGGACTGAATGCATGAAGCACACTCCGTGATACACATGTAATTGAACTGTTGTAATTATGTGGCCAAATTGTGAACATATGGAATTTCTCCTTTTCCAAATACAGTCACATTTTGGTCAAAATGAACTACATATACAACAGTGGTCCCAAAAGATTATAATGGAGCTGAAAAATTTCTATCATCTAGTGATGTCACAGCTGTTACAACATAACAGTGCAATGTATTACCTTGTCTACGTTTAGATATCCAAATACCAGTGTATTACAACGGCATACAGTATTCAGTACAGCAACATGCTGTACAGGTCTGTAGACTACCTAACAGCAATAGGCTATACCATACGGCCTAAGTGTGTAGTAGACTACACCCTCTAGGTTTGTGTAAGTAAGCTTATGGTATTTAAACAAAGACAAAATTGCCTAGTGCTGCATTTCTCAGAATGTATCCCTGTCGTTAAGTGATACATGACTACAAATTGTGTTATTGTACTAAAGCACATTCTAGACATTATTTAAAAAAAATCAAATCATTAAAGTATTTCCAAAGCATAAAGCATTCAACACTATTTTAGTGTCAGTCTATATCAATAAGGAAAGTATATTACTCATTTTTTTAGAAACACCTTGCACACACATAATACATTTTTCCTTTCACTTAAAGTTGTTCAATTCCAAGGTATTAAACTGTTCATTTTCACTAAAAAGGAATAAACCACTCCCACACAGAATTACATGTTATAGGTGAGAGACTATAATCAGTGTTTCTAAATTAAAAGGAAATCATTCTCCTAGAAAAACACAGATCCTTCAAAAATAGTTCTTCAATTATTTTTGAGTTACTTAAGAAAATTTTTCCTTAGGTTATAAAAGTTACTACTTCTAGTAAACTGGAAACAGACAACCAAAACTGAAGATAAAATAGCTTAAAATGCTAACAAGTAACTTTCTCCATTCTTTCACTTGTCCCAACTTAACATTTATATTTTCTTGGCCAAAGCTAAGTAGGAATGTACAAGGAGTTCTCATTTCTAAAAGGATACTCCCAAACAGTAACTTAGAGTGGAGAACTGAAAGACATAAACAAACAACCCTGTTTACTTTAAATTATTTAAAAATCCTCAGTATTTGCATTCCAGCTGTTTCTCATAAGGATTTGAGGACATTTACAGATTAATTCAGTATAGTACAGACAGTGAAAAGGAAGAATACACAAGTGATAGATGCTCTGGGGCAACCATAATGAGAAGATAATGACTCAGACAATAATTCTGACTCAAAGACTTTTGGCAGTAAGTAAGGAAAATATACTGGATCGTGTCCTGAACACATTCAGAGTCATTTGTAGAGAGCAAAACTTTTTTCTTTCCTTTTCTTTTTTTGAGACAGAGTCTCGTTCTGTAGCCCAGGCTGGAGTGCAGTAGAGTGATCTTGGGTCACTGCAACCTCTGCCTCCCAAGTTCAAGCGATTCTCCTGCCTCAGCCTCTCCAGTAGCTGGAAATGATTACAGGTGTGCACCATGATGCCAGGCTAATTTTTGGTAGAGATGGGGTTTCACCATGTTGGTCAGGCTGGTCTCAAACTGCTGACCTCAAATGATCCACCCGCCTTGGCCTCCCAAAGTCCTGGGATTATAGGTGTGAGCCACTGCGCCCAGCCCAGTGCAAAACTTTTCTAACAACTAAACTCGAACTGGAATTTCCTACACAATATACAGAATGAGTGACATAGCAGAGAATAACTCTAGCTATGGGTTTATAAGCTTCAGATAATGTCATTCAACTGTTACTTTTGGCAAGGGTTCTATAAAGAGAGTAATGTTAATTGTAATTCAGTAAATACTGAGTTACATAATACCTAGAAAGACACAATTTAGTCCTTGATACTTTAGGTATATTTTTAATTAGGCACTCTGTTCACAAACTGCTATTACTTCTTTTTCCTCATCCTAATTAACAATGTTTAATTATATCATAATTTTATTACATGTACTCTTCCGCAAATTGCCTAAAATACTTAATGAAATGAAACCCAGTATATATAAATAAAAATTACAAAAAACCCCACAACTTTGCTTTTCATAGGAATATAAGGGTTTAACTACATGGATGCCTTACCCATACACCCACTGTGCAAGCTAAGAGAGTTTTCTTTAGTTGACTTATAAATCTTGCAAAAATAAAAAAGTTCCACTACCACGAAGACTGGACTCACCATGGCATACAACTTTATCCTTCCTATGGATATAGCTTTTAGAATGGTGCTGTGATTAATATGACAATGAGAACATCAGGGTGAAATACGGTAAAGTCAGTGAAATAGACGAATAATAAACAACCTAATGAACCTTTAATTTCAAAAAAGATCTTACCTTTTGTTGTGTTGTGGTATCCAGTGATTTCGGTGGAAAAGTACAAGGTATTCTTCCATGATGGATATGATATGGTAATAACAGGCTGGGATCTAATGGGACCCAGGGAACTGAGAGACTGGAAGGTACACCAGGAAGGCCGCAATGTGTTTTATACAAATTGTATGCTGTCCTAGTAACTTTTCCATCAGAGGCCTTATAAATCAGGAGTGAAGAATCTTCTGCTGCATGAGATAACAAGTAGGAACCCTCCTGCAAGCTAAATTCACACAATGAAACTCAACCCACTGGCTCACTGTGTCAATTTCAACATCACTTTCTTAATCATAATCTATTAGTAAAATTGAAAATTATGAGAAGATCACACCACCTCTAAAAATACTTTTATGACAAAATAAGATTTAAGAAATCTTTAAAACTATTTTTATGCTTTTTAGGCAACTAATTTTAATTCTTATTCCAAAGTTCAGAATAGTTGATCATTTTCTTTTTACTTTTATAGCAATTCGTAAGTTTTCATTTAATGGGAAACAAACAGTGTGCCTAATTCTCTAATCCATAGATTAGATATTTATAGGTATCTATACTGAAAAGCATTCCTACAGCATTTTCATTCATTTAACACTGCAACTATTTTGTACCTAATAATAGATAGATGACTAGATACAAAAGTGAAGGTGATATGTTTGCTACACTGAGTAGTTTAAAATAAAGTGGAAGAAACAGTCAATGGAACAATCACAGTACAACATGAGGTGCTATGAGGATAACAGAAACAATAGCAGCTAGCAGGTATTAAATGTTTATTATGAGCTAACTACTGTATTATGGCTTCAAATTTATTTTCTATTAGATCTTCCACAATAAACCTTCAAGGCATATTAATTTAGGGTGATAAATAAACAAATTAGAGATGCTAAGCAATTTGCCCAAAGTTGTGAGTGTAGGCTTAGATATAAACCCAGGCATTTGAACTCCACAGGCCATACCCTTAATCACGATCCTCTACTGTAGCAATAACAAACTATGTTGAACATCAAATCCACATTTTTCCTTTCTCCTTATAAAGTTTTAAATAATTCAATGTATCATCTTAAAGAACTAAAGGGATATGAATAAATATATTGTGCTTTCTTAGGATTACACAGTCCTCTGGATCAAAGATGTTAAGGAGAACATCGGTTCTTTACAATATATTATGAAAAAATAAAGATTTATCATACTTTAGCTATACAGATTTGCCTATAAACCTAATCGGTTACATTTTCATCAATTTTTAAACTGAAAATAGGTGTTGACAATTGCTCTTATCCTCTGGAAATTTTTTTTCCCAATCATTTTCATATTTCCATATAAAGAAATGAATTATTATGATAGTAGGAATAAATAACATTTCAAAGATTGAGTTTTAATCAATGAAAATCATATATCTTAACTACTTCCACTAAAAATGGAGAAAGCTTTCATTTACAGAAGAATATATTAATATTTAATTCATGGAGAATGAGAGATACTCTAAGGAGGAGTATCTTACAAGTGCTGTACATGTCTAATGTACATAGATGAATATAAGCTATGGTAGACAGAATAGTGGCCTCCTAGAAATGTTTATGTTCCAAACCTGGAACCTATGAATATGTTACATGGCCAAAGGGAATTAAGGTAGCAGATGGAATTAAGGTTGCTAATCAACTGATTTTAAAATGATCAAATTTTACTAATCACAAGAGCCCTTAAATACAGAAGAAGAAGGCAGAAGAGACTCAAAGGGAGATGCGACTGTACAACTCCAGAGAGATGCGACTTAACTTGGCGTTGTAACTTTGAAGATGGAGGAAGGGAGCTACAAGCCAAGGGATGCAGGTGGCCTCTAGAAGCTACAAAAGGCAAGGACTAGATCCTTCCCAGAGCCTACAGAAAGGAATGTAGCTTTGCCAATGCCCTGATTTTAACTCAGTGAACCCTGTTAGACCTCTGACTTGAGAACTGTAAAATAATAAATTTGTGTTGTTTTATAATCTTAATTTGTTACAGCCACAATATAAAGCTAACACACAAACTAAATAAAATATTGATAATAAAATTTCAAAAAACATCTGGCAAATTTCATGCATAAGCTTTGTATATAGCATGAAGAACAGAATATATAAAATAAAAATCCTGTCACATAATCACAGAATATCAGAACTGAAAAGTACCTAGGAAGTTATTGCACTTGACACCATCATTTTACAAATAAGGAAAATGACATCAAGTTAGATAATAGAATTCTTCAGAACTAGAGCTTTGAGATTTTGACTGTAAGTTCGTTTTCAAGTTTAACATTTGGTAAGGGCATAAGAGAAGGAATGCAAACATTCATATAACAAAACAGTTTGGCAAATCATCAGGGGGAAAATCCATATCCTAAGACTTGCCATGGATCTAAATGACTGTTCATTTAGCTCTATGTTCTTTTTTTTTCTAGAGGAAGTCTCACTCTGTCGCCCAGGCTGGAGTGCAGTGGCACATCTCAGCTTTGCAATCTCTGCCTCCCGGGTTCAAGCGATTCTGCTGCCTCAGCCTCCTGAGTAGGTGGGATTACAGGTGCACGCCACAAAACCCAGCTAATTTTTTTGTATTTTTAGTAGAGACGGGGTTTCACCATGTTGGCCAGGATGGTCTCCATCTCCTGACCTCATGATCCGCCTACCTCGGCCTCCCAAAGTGCTGGGATTACAGGCGTGAGCCACTGCGCCCGGCCTCTATGTTCTTCTTTTTTTTTTTTAATCTTGAAAGTGAAAATAATATAGCTATGGTGGGCTGAATAATGGTCTCCCACCATGATGTCCTTATGCTAATCACCAGAACCTGTGACTGTATTATATTTAATCGTTTTGCAGGTGTGATTAAATTAAGGATTTTGAGATGAGGGGATTATCCCAAATTATGTGAGAAGGCCCAAAGTAATCACCAGGAACCTTATAAAAGGGAGGCAGAGGAAGATATTACCACAAAAGGAGAGAAGGCAATGTGATGCGACGCAGAGATCCAAGTGACATGCCCTGAGAATGGAGGAAAGAGCCACAAGTCAACGAATACAGGTGGTCACTAGAAACTGACAAAGGTAAAGAAATGATTCTTTCCTTAGTCTCCAGAAAGGACCACTCCTGCTGACACCTTGACTTTTACCCGGTAAAACTGATTTTGGATTTCTGAACTCCAGAACTAAAAAGAGAATCAATCTGTTTTGTTTCAAGCCACCAAGTTAGTGGCAATGTGTTACAGCTGCAATAGAAAAATAACATAATAATAGACTTACAGGAAAATGTACTTGCAAGCTCATTAAAGCCAGATACTAAATTACTTTATATTTTTACAATATAAATGTTTACATTTGACATAATAATTTTTGCATTTCTAGGTTATTTTGTCTCTATTCCTAACAGTACATTTTCAAAGTTTCTAAGAATTTTCATCTAAGAAAATCAGATGTATCAAAGCAAAATGCCTAAAAAATACTTACCTACTTAGTTTCTTTAGAATGTGTTGGAGGATGTTAAATAAATTGGAAATCCTGATAAACAAAAGAAATTCATGTAAAATTAAACTGCAAAAAACTTACTTTTAGCAATTATAGCTCCTCAGGCAGAGAAATGCCCTCAATAACAACAACAAAAACAGCGGATGAGATAATGTAATACAAAAAATCTGAAACTTATTTCTATTTGGATTAAATTATGATATTTACTTAATTTTTTAAAAAAAATTTCCTTTTTTTTTTTTTTTTTTTTGAGATGGAGTCCTGCTCTGTTGCCCAGGCTGGAGTGAGTGCAGTGGCGCAATCTCTGCTCGCTGCAACCTCCACCTCCCGGATTCAAGTGATTCTCT
This sequence comes from Homo sapiens, assembly GCF_000001405.40. Classification (NCBI taxonomy): domain Eukaryota; kingdom Metazoa; phylum Chordata; class Mammalia; order Primates; family Hominidae; genus Homo; species Homo sapiens. The sequence goes on from NC_000015.10 coordinate 60,432,299, forward strand.
TGCCTCAGCCTCTCAAATAGCTGGGACTACAGGCATGCGCCACCACACCAGGCTGATTTTTTTGTATTTTTGGTAGAGACAGGGTTTCACCATGTTGGCCAGGCTGGTCTTGAATTCCTGACCTCAGGTGATCCACCCGCCTCGGCCTCCCAAAGTGCTGGGATTACAGGCATGAGGCATGGGGTCGGGCCAATTTTTGCCATTTCATGATTTCCTTTCATTATCATAATGTATTTGGCTTTTTGTGAGTCAGAGCAGTTGTAAAGAGATCACTATTTTATGTTCAAATTATATACTTAAAAAAAAAACGCTGGCCGGGTGCAGTGGCTCACGCCTGTAATCCCAGCACTCTGGGAGGCCAAGACGGGCAGATCACAAGGTCAGGAGATGGAGACCATCCTGGCTAACACAGTGAAACCTCATCTCTACTAAAAATACAAAAAATTAGCCAGGCGTGGTGGCGGGCATCTGTAGTCCCAGCTACTGGGGAGGCTGAGGCAGGAGAATGGCACGAGCCCGGGAGGCGGAGCTTGCAGTGAGCCGAGATGGCGTTACTGCACTCCGGCCTGGGCAACAGACCAAGAATCCGCCTCAAAAAACCAAAACCAAAACCAAAACCAAACAAACAAAATGCTAAGAGGTCTTTAGTAAAGCTAATATGCCGAAGAGTTTGTCTTTCAGAGATGGTGGTGAATGAGCTTCCAAAAAAATTGATAGGTACGTTAAACCTGTGATGACAGAGAAGCCACTCACTCGGGACAGGATAGCTAAAGGGAAATAAAACACAGGTTTTTTTTTTTTTTTGAGACAGAGTCTCGCTCTGTCGCCCAGGCTGGAGCGCCAGGCTGGAGCGATCTTGGCTCACTGCAAGCTCTGCCTCCCGGGTTCACGCCATTCTCCTGCCTCAGCCTCCAGAGTAGCTGGGACTACAGGTGCCCGCCACCACGCCCGGCTAAGTTTTTGTAATTTTAGTAGAGATGGGGTTTCACCGTGTTAGCCAGGATGGTCTCATCTCCTGACCTCATGATCCACCCGCCTCAGCTTCCCAAAGTGCTGGGATTACAGGCATGAGCTACCGCACCCGGCCAAATCAGGTATTTAAAAAATTTCTTTAGTAGTTCTTCTAGACCTAAAGTCCGTCTGTCCATCCTTCCTTTCTTCCTTTTCTTCTCTCTCTCTCTCTCCCTCCCTCTCTTTATTTTTATTTTTTTGAGATGAGTCTTGCTCTTTTTGCCCAGGTTGAAGTGCGGTGGCACGATCTCGGCTCACTGCAACCTCCGCTCCTGGGTTCAAGCGATTCTCCTGCCTCAGCCACCCGAGTAGCTGGAATTGCAGGTGCCCACCACCACACTTGACTAATTTTTGTATTTTTAGTAGAGATGGGGTTTCACCATGTTGGCCAGGCTGGTCTCGAACTCCTGACCTCAAGTGATCCACCTGCCACAGCCTCCCAAAGTGTGGGGATTACAGGCATGAGCCACTGAGCCTGACCTCCTCCTTTTTTTTAAAAAAAAAAAATGTTTTTCAATGAGAAAAGCGAGGCAGGTGGAGAGTAGGGTAGGGAAAAGCTTTTCTATTCACATATGTAAAAAAAAAGTTACTGTTCAAGAGAAGCAGTCCTTGTAACAGAAGCAGACATACTGAAGTACAAGCACAGAGTTCAAATTTAGATCTGGGACCCTTAAAAAACAATGTCAAGCCTGGAACTATGCGGCTAGTAGAAGTCAGAACCATTTCTTACCCTAAGTGGGAATCAAACATATTAACTACCAAGGCTGCAACTAGCTTAGCTGTGTGCTCTAGGGCATACCACTCTAATATTTCCTCATATAAAAAATGGAGATAATACTACCACCAGCCTTTCCTAGAAGTTGTGAGATGAAAATGGGATAATAATATTCATAAATTATTTTGCTTTGCATTTAGACATTTAGAGTTCTGAGTACGATAAATTCATTTCAGTCACGTGTATAATGATGCTTGGTAGAAGGGCAAACTGAGAAGTTAGACTCTCAGAGTTTTTGACTGTACTATCCTTTCCCTTTCCTGTAATGGAGTAAAACGTTTGCTTCCCATGCACGGCGGCTACTTTGGCTCTAGCCTCCCTTAAGTAAAAAGGCTGGTGCCACTGGCATTATATTTAATTTGGAGATGGAGATAATATAAACGGATCACAAATTGGGTCTGTGCTCCATCAATGGATGAATGAATAAAATGTGATTACACACACACACACACACACACACACACACACACACACACACACACAATGGAATATATTCAGCCATAAAAGAAATGAAATTCTGTTATTTGCATCGTGGATAGAACTGGAAGTCATTATGTTAAATAAATCAGGCACAGAAAGACAAATATTGCATGCTTTCAATCATATGTAGAAGCTAAAAAAGTGGATCTCATGGAGCATGGAGATACAGAATAGCGGTTACAAGAGGCTGGGAAGGAAATGGATGGGAGAAATGAGAAGCTGGTTAAGGGATTAGACAGGAGGTATAACTTCTAGTATTCAATACCATAGTAGAGAAATTACAGTTCATCATAATTTACTGTATATGTCCAAATAGCTAGAAGGGAAGAATTATAATGTTCCTAACACAAAGATAAATGTTTGAGGTGAAGGATATTTCATTTATCTTGATTTGGTCATTACACACTGTATATGGGTATTAAAATATCACATGTAGGAGCCGGGTGCAGTGGCTCACGCCTGTAATCTCAGCACTTGGGAGGCCGAGGCGGGTGGATCACGAGGTCAGGAGATGAGACCATCCTGGCTAACACGGTGAAACCCCATCTCTACTAAAAATACAAAAACTTAGCTGGGTGTGGTGGCGGGCACCTGTAGTCCCAGCTACTCTGGAGGCTGAGGCAGGAGAATGGCATGAACCCGGGAGGCAGAACTTGCAGTGAGCCGAGATCACGCCACTGCACTCCAGCCTGGGCAACAGAGCGAGACTCCGTCTCAAAAAACAAAACAAAACAAAACAAAAATCACATGTAGGGCCAGGCGCAGTGGCTCACACCTGTAATCCCAGCACTTTGGGAGGCCGAGGCAGGAGGATCACCCGAGGTCGGGAGTTTGAGACCAGCCTAACCAATATGGAGAAACCCTGTCTCTATTAAAAATACAAAATTAGCCAGGCGTGGTGGCGCATGCCTGTAATCCCAGCTACTCAGGAGGCTGAGGCAGGAGAATCGCTTGAACCCAGGAGGTGGAGGCTGCAGTGAACTGAGATCACACCACTGCACTCTAGCCTGGGCAAAAAGAGCAAAACTCTGTCTCAAAAAAAAAAAAAAAAATCACATGTACCCCAAAATACGTATAACCGTCATCTACCACTAAACAAAGAAAAACAAAACAAACAGTACATACTGCTGGCCAGGCATGGTGGTTCATGCCTGTAATCCCAGCATTTTGGGAGGCTGAGGCAGGCACATTGCTTGAGTCCAGGGGTTTGAGACCAGCCCAGGCAACATAGTGAAACCCCGTCTCCACAAAAAATACAAAAATGAGCTGGGCATGCTGGTGCACACCTGTAGTCCCTACTTGGGAGGCTGAGGTGGGAGGATCCCTTGAACCGGGGAGGCAGAGGTTGCAGTGAGCCGAGATCACACCACTGCACTCCAGCCTGGGTGACAGAACGAGACTGTCTCAAACACACAAAGAACAAAAAAAAAGACAAAACAAAACTGAGTCCAATGAGACCTCTATACATAAAAAGACTAAAAGTCTTGAAAATAATTTAAGCTTAAACAATATTTAAAGAAAAATTAATGATCACATTAACAAATTTTTCAATTCTCACCACAAAGTAAACTTTCTTACTTGAGTGCTGAAAGCTTTTCTTTTAATTCTTCTGAGGTAATTTCTTCCAGTAGAAAAAGTTTTGAAGTAAATGCATCGATATGCCCTAAAATAAAATATCAAACTTAGAAAGAAGAAGCAATTGCAGTATTTAGAAAAAAAAAAAACCAAGTTATCCTGTCTCCTTAAAGATTACAAATTTTAATAACTGTGAAGAAATTTTACATTTTAAAAGGAGAAATACACATTTTATTAAGTCTTAAGTAAAGCTATATTTTAAAATAACATAATTCAGATTATAAAACATTTATATTCATTCTAAAATATTTGCTGAATATATGTTTACACATGTCCACACATACGAAATCATTTCAAAGCCTACAATTTATGAACAACAACTATTAAAATACTGGTGTTTCTAATTCCTATTAAAGTTACATTTAATTAGCCAGGCGTAGTGGCGGGCGCCTGTAGTCCCATCTACTCGGAAGGCTGAGGCAGGAGAATGGCGTTAACCCGGGAGGCAGAGCTTGCAGCAGTGAGCTGAGACTGCACCACTGTACTCCAGCCTGGGTGGTGACAGAGCCAGACTCTGTCTCAAAAAAAAAAAAAAAAAAAAGAAAGTTACATTTGCATGGCGTTTATGAGGAGAATTATCATAATTATGATATTTATGTATTATCATAATATGTATTTTTATGTTAATACATATTAACATAATTTGAATTATGTTGATAATTATGTATTATCAAAATAAGCAGATAAAATCAAATGTACAGGGGCTAAGACACACTTGGCTCTTAAGGTAAAAATTAGATTATGAAAATCTGGCTTAATATTTTTTAATTAGACTGGGTGTGGTGGCTCACGCCTGAAATCCCCGCACTTTGGGAGGCCGAGGCGGGCAGATCACCTGAGGTCAGGAGTTCAAGACCAGCCTGGCCAACATGGTGAAACCTCGTCTCTACTAAAAACATAAAAAAATTAGCCAGGCATGGTGGTGGGCACCTGTAATCCCACCTACTTGGGAGGCTGAGGCAGGATAATTGTTTGAACCCAGGAGATGGAGGTTGCAGTGAGCCGATACAGTGCTACAGCACTCCAGCCTGGGTGACAGAGTAAGACTCCGTCTCAAAAAATATATATATATATTTATTAAAGCACACCATAAGATTTCCCAAAGTTAAAAAAAAAATCAAAGCAGTCAGTTCCAAGTTTTACTTTTTTTTTGAGACAAAGTTTCGCTCTTGTTGCCCAGGCTGGAGTGCAGTAGCATGATCTTGGCTCACTGCAACTTCTGCCTCCTCAGTTCAAGCGATCCTGCCTCAGCCTGCCGAGTAGATGGGATTACAGGTGCCCACCACCAGGCCTGGCTAATTTTTTGTATTTTTAGTAGAGACTGGGTTTCATCATGTTGGCGAGGCTGGTCTCGAACTCCTGACGTCAGGTGATCCACCTGCCTCAGCCTCCCAAAGTGCTGAGATTACAGGTGTGAGCCACTGAGCCCGGCTGAAGTCTTATTTTTATTTATTTATTTATTTATTTTTTAAGACAGAGTCTTGCTCTGTCTCCTGGGCTGGAGTGCAGCAGCGAGATCCTGGCTCACTGTAACCTCCACCTCCGGGGTTCAAGCTATTCTTGTGCCTTAGCCTCCTGAGTAGCTAAGACTATAGTTGTGTGCCACCACTCCCAGCTATCTTTTTTTTTTTTTGGTATTTTTGGTACAGATGGAGTTTCATCATGTTGGCCAGGCTGGTCTCGAACTACTGGCCTCAAGCAATCCACCTGCCTTGGACTCCCAAAGTGCTAAGATTACAGGTGTGAGTAACGGCACCCGGCTCCGATTCTTACTTTTTTCACAAACACAATATGAATCTAGAATTCCAAAAAACAAAACAGCAAATTCTCAATATGATGCTTTTGTTATAACAAGTAATGCGTATGTTCTAAAACAAAACAGGTTGAGAGCTAACACCAAGGTCCTGAAATATACCAAGGAAGAGTGACATAAAAGAGTCCTGGGTTAAATGTTATATAAGTCAACACAAAAATCGTATGTATTGTACCATAGTTAAAAACATCAACTAGCATGATGAGAATATAAGACGTATCAATGTTGAAGACAAATTGTTTTTATTTTTTTAACTCCTAATATTTAGGTATCAAAACAAATTACCTGGAAAGCTGATGTCAATCACTGGGACAATTAAAAATGCACATAATTTAATGTTTCATTTTCTTACCAAGCCCCCTTTCATTTGCTTTATGCTCATACAAATAATTAGAAACATTTTTACCAGATGGCTTCCTTCTAAGACACCAAATTCATTTGTACCCATACCTACTTATTATATGTAACACTCATTACACAGTGGCATTTCTAATAACAAAGACATATCGTAATGATTTAAAAACCATAGAAAGGAAATACTAAGCATAATAACTTTTAGATGTTTACTAATTATGTCTTTGAGAAGACTAATAGTTCTTACCTTTTGAAAGAAATTCATTTAAAAAAGTTTTATAGTATATGTCAAATATGGTCTGTCAAAAATAACTATACAGAGAATACCATACTAAGTGCTCTGAGGATCTACCTACTCAAGGAGTTCACAACTCTCTCAACATTGGAGCTTTCTAACCTGTGGGCCTCAAATAAGATATATATGTGCTTAAGATACTCATCACCTCAGCCCTTCAGGCAGCTCAGCAATGCTTGGGATGGCAAAAGCTTCCTGGCTATTGCCCTTCAGCCACAAGCAATCTCTCTTATATATCACAGTGTGCTGTACAAATATTTATGTGCATCAAGGTTGGAAAGCACTGATTTATAGAGGACAAATAAAATCTATACATAATAAAAATAAAGCTTTTATATACAAGCGTTCATTCATATATATATGCACATAAACATATACATGCATACATGCATTCATATGTGTATAGGTAGGTACTCCTTGCTTTGCATGCAGTGTGAGGACCATAAAAATGCCTATACAGGCTGAAACCCTACAATTGTAACAATCAATAGGGAAAATTACAACTGTTTGGTTACCTTTAAAATTTTTATCAAAACACTATAAATTCTCTATCAATCATAAATGTATAGGAAAACGAAAAGAACAGTAAAATATTTTAGTACACTGTAATCCAAAAAATTAAAGTGTTTTCTTCATGAAACGTTAATGAAGAGCAGTTTGAACAGTGCTTGTTACCTTCTTGCACAATTTGTCATAGGAAGGATGCATCTTTTCTTTTTCTTTTTTTTCTTTTTTTTGAGACAGGGTCTCACTCTGTCGGCCAGGTTGGAGTGCAGTGCTGCGATCTTGGCTCACTGCAACCTCCGCCTCCCAGGCTCTTGCGATTCTCCTGCCTCAGTCTCCTGAGTAGCTGGGACTACAGGCGCATGCGACTACTGCCCAGCTAATTTTTTACATTTTAAGTAGAGACAGGGTTTCACCATGTTGGCCAGGCTGGTCTTGAACTCCTGACCTCAAATGATCCACCCACCTCGGCCTCCCAAAGTGCTGGGATTAGAAGCTTGAGGCACCGTACCTGGCCGGATACATCTTTTCTATGCCATGGTGAACCGTTATATTCCTAAGGATCAGCTTCTGACACTGTATCCTTGGTGCCTTCAATGTCATGAAATTATCTTCAGGATTTGTTTACTGTAAAATCTTATGCCAGTGTCACTTGTTCATCCTTTATGTCACAATGCTTTCACTAAGTTTGTCTGGCAGCAAATCTAGAGTCACTGGAACAACAGCAGTGCCAACATTCCCACTCTTTGCTATTTCCTCTGTAATTCCATTTATGTTCCATTCAAATTTCACTTCTGGCAGTATCACCTTTTGTTTCTTTGCTTTGCTTTAATATTTTTTGGTCAATTCTTTTGATTATCTACTTTGGTAAAATATCACATGGGTTTATCACCGGGAGACAAAGAGTCAACACAACTGCACACTCTGCTTTCTGTGCATGAACTCAATGGGTACACAATAAACAATTATAAACAGACTTTGAAAGAAGTGACATGACTGGTCACTGATCATGATTTGCCTGTTACTTATGTAGTGATCTGTGGACTGAAGAGCCAGCAGTGAAGCTTATACTTTATACAATTACTCACTGTTAATACACGGTCATAACTAAAACTTGTGCTTATTGAAACTGTGTGCTAAGTGAGGACTGCCTATATATCAACTATATAGAATTGATAAATATTATAGGGTTGGAGGGTGAATACGGAAGTTGCAATGAGACTATGTGGGAAACTGTCTTAAAGGAGTAAATCTTCAAGTTTTTATGGGGAAAAGATAAAAAGAGTACTGCAACTAGGGAAAGTGGGGAACATGTTTATAGCAAAGCAGAGCAAACAAACAAATCACAAGTGTGTTGATTCTACTGAAAAAAGAGACTATAAGCTATAGAATTGATTCTCAAAGTGTGGTCCCTAAACTAGCAGCATCAGTACGACCTGAGAAAGTCTTAGGTCCCAATACAGACCTAGTGAATCAGACACTCCAGGGTGGGGCCAGCAATCTCCACTTTTAAAAGCACTTCAAGTGATTTTCTTGAACATCTTCCTTAAATTAAAAGAGTATTATAACATTTTTAAAAACTCAAAAACTCAGATGTTATCCCCCCATACCTACACCCCACCAAAAAACCCCGAACAAACCAAAATCCCACAACCATACAATATATGCTTTTCACCAAACACTTGTCACAGAAGCCAAAAATACTATCCCAGTACAATGAAATGAAAGGCTCACAAGAGGATAGGATTCACAGAGAATAATCAGCAGTTAGGATTACTTAGGATTTTACAAAATAATTAAAATGAAGTAATCCATACAGTTGATGTTGAACTGTACATTTAAAAACTGAAACCTTAATTTTTTTTTTTGTCATGAATCTCCATTCTCTGTCAGTACTTTAAACAAAATTTCACTCGTAAGTTTTTAACTGGGCCTTTTCTAAAATGGATGTGGCTGGCAAATTGCATTCAAGTAGCTAATGTTGAGATTGTTGGTGTGAGGTCTTTGGAGGAACATTGAAATTTTGGTTACAGAATGAAAATTACTACAAAAACTTCGAGTATGTGTATGAAGGAGGAGGAGGCAGGCAGTACATCACCAATTAGTGCATTTAGCTACTTCCTTTTTTGAGTTAAGCAGAAAGAATCAATTATCTACTTAATACTCTCATAAAACATGAAAACAAAATACTGATTAACCAAAACAGGAAAAAACATTTTAAGTGAATAACCTTTCTTTGATTAAGAAACACACCCTCATAGGATTTATTACATACAAGCAATCAAGCTATGCAGTATAACACAAAATTTTATTAGACTCAACACAGAATTTTATCAGACTCTGACCTTAAGCTGTTTATTGTCTAACAGGAAGAAGGGATAGGTGTTAAGAGAGAATAAAGTACAAAGTAACAAGTCAGAGAAGTAAAAGACTGCACTAAGAGATCAAAGAAAGCAAAAGACTACACAGAGGAGCAGTCTGAGATGATTAGAAAGGATTGAGATTTATGGGATGCATTGAGATGTTCGATATTGGACATTCCAGTGGGAGGAAATACTACCAATAATGACTAGCAAGTAATCTATTATGTGAGGATGTTAACTGTACATGAAATGAGCCAATGCAAATTGAACTTCAGCCTAATCCCCATACCCCAGCAGAACAACAAAAACAAAGGAAAAAGTCATTTCATCAAAATATTTGAGGTTTTAAAAGTAGTGTCATTATAAGAAAATTTCAAAATAAATATATAGGTCAATAAATAGTTAACCAATTAAACAGTACTCTAAGAAGCTAGAAAACAAATGTGTATTTTTGATTATACTATTAAATAAGTGTTTCTAAAATAGGTCAGCATGGTAGGTCATCCCTGTAATACCAGAGCTTTTGGAGGCTAAGGTAGGAGGATTGCTTGAGGCTAGAAGTTCAAGACCAGTCTGGCAATATAATGAGACCCCATCTCAAGAAAAAACAAAAAATTAGCTGGGCATGGTAGCACATGCCTGCAGCCCCAGCTACTTGGAAGGCTGCAGTGGGAGGATCACTTGAGGCCAGGAGTTTGAGGTTACAGTGAGCTATGATCACATGACTATACTCCAGCCTGGGCAACAGAATGAGACCCTAAAACTAATAAATACATAAATAAAAACGAAAGTAAAAAAGGGCAGAATAGAAGTATTCACAATTGAATTTACAAGTATGTAATTACAAGAAAATTAAAAAGGAGAATAAAGACTTTTGTATAACTTACCAACATAAAATGAGCTGTTGGAATGCAATAAACTTTCAGTCCATAAGCGACAAAGTTCACTTTCAGTCAGAGCTTCAACTCCATAACAAGCTTGATACTCTACTTTTGGTAGTACATAAACTGGAAATTGCTGCAATGCAAAATTATACTTTTTCAAAGCTCTATTAATTTACTATTAATAGCAAATACATTTGCCTATACAGCTTTGCCACTTTCAAAATGCTTTCAGGTAATCTTATTTCATCCTTTCAATTACAGCAGGATTCACACTGTAAGATGGATACATTCAGGCCTGATGAATAGAAGAATGTTTGGTGCCAAAAGGTGGATGGATGAAAGAGATCTCTCCTCACCATTCCCATTTGTGACCAAAATCAACATACCTCCCCACATAGGCAAGGTTTGATTTTGGTCAGGGAATGTGACTGACAGCAGACTCCTTGCAACAAAGCCTATCATACATAGTTGCCCAAAGGCTCAAAGCCAGATGCTGGGAAGCACTGACTTTTTTATATACTAGTCATTTTCAAGAGGATAAAAAAGGTAGAATTTTTTTCTCCTTTAAAGCATGAGTCACATTGTCTTAGGCTCAAATACTCTGAGCAGCTCGTTTCATTCTACAAATGAAAGAGCACTAATGCCTACATTAACACCTGTTTGTCATTATCTTCAATTTAACGGCTTTATTTCAGACACGAAGTATCTGACAAATTATCCATCCAAATTCACTGGTCAGGACACTACATAAGTAAAATGACTGTACCTATTACTGGCCTAAGGGAGCGTAAGCAAAGAAATACATGTTGTTCACTGTGCTTATGCTATCTCATTATCTTCAAAGAAAACTCTACTCTTAACAGGAGTCTATTTCCAGTTGCAGAAAGAGAAACACATGATTTAAGGTACTTAACTTGAACTTATAAGGCTAATTAGTACTTCTGACATTATACTGTGTCACCATTTACAGATTTGAAAATATTTCATCAGTATTTCTTAATTCTTGATTTTTACAAAGTGGCAAAGAGTGGGCTTGGTACAATGGTGGTGGTAAGAACAATTCAAATCCACTAATATTTTTCTTATCAACAGTAAGTGCTGTTTCATGTGATTTGCCCTTGAACTACGTGCATGTGAGAAATCTGGTGATCTTGTTAAAATGTAGAATCTGGGGTGGAGCCCAAGATTTTACATTAATAACAAGCTATTGTTCCAGGGACCATACTTTCAGTAGGTAAGGCCTCCAGTGTGTCTTCTCAATTAAAAACAAAATTAAATGTGATTAGGATTTTACCAATAAAGCATTTTACTATGTAATTTTGCAAATGGTTATCTGCATATGATTTAGTCTCTCATAACTTCAGAGCAAATAGGAGGTCGAGATAAAGAAATTTGCTCAGGCTGGGTGCAGTGGCTCATGCCTATAATCCCAGCATTTTGGGAGGCTGAGGTGGGAAGATTACTTAAGGCCAGGAGTTCAGGATTAGCCTGGATGAAACAGCAAGACCCTGCCTCTACAAAAAATTAAAAAAAAAAAAAATTAGCTGGGCATGGGGCACATGCTTACAGTTCTAGTTACTCAGGAGGCTGAGGTGGGAGGATCACTTGAGCCCAGAAGTTCAAGGAAGCAGTAAGCTATGATCGTGCTACTGCACTCCTGCCTGGGCAACACAGCAAGACTCTTGTCTCTTTTAAAAAAAGAATGAATGAAATTTGCTCAAGGACACATAGCTAGTTTACAGCAGAACTGAAAAAAGTTGACTGAGAAAAAGGATCACATTTCTGGATTAGAAATGGGTAAGAGTTAATTCCATATATTTAAAAAAAATTTTAAATATGTATTATTTCTAAAAAGCAAATACTTTGGGAGATTTTCTTTGATAAAACTACTCTATCTATAAAACCAAGTCCTAAAACCAGTTTAATTTCTGTATGTATTCTACTGCCATCTCCAGGAAGCCAGGGGAAAAAAAAGGCCTGAACATTTCATCTTTCCTTAGTATCCCAAAATTGAAGTAAAAATTTAAGGATAATCAAAATTTTCATACTATAAAGTTTACTATTTTTTTCCCTTGATAAATGGCTCCCCAAGTAAAAGCTTTTCTTGGTTCTGTTCCAATTTTTCACATAAAGCACTTAGGATACTTGGTTCATTGAGACAGACAGTAATAGATATTATGAAATCATCCAAAGTTCCTGGGTATGGATTTCATAATCATGTATTGAACTCAGTAAATTCTGTTTTATATCTTGTGGTCCAAATTAGCCTCTTTATTATTATTTTTTTTTGAGATGGAATTTCACTCTTGTTGTCTAGGCTGGAGTACAATGACGCAATCTCAGCTCACTGCAACTTCCACCTCCTGGGTTCAAGCGATTCTCCTGCCTCAGCCTCCCGAGCAGCCAGGTTTATATGTGCACCACCACGCCTAGCTAAGTTTTGTATTTTTTTAGTAGAGATGGGGTTTCACCACGTGGGCCAGGCTGGTCTCGAACTCCTGAGCTCAGCTGATCTACCTGCCTTGGCCTCCAAAAGAGTTGGGATTACAGGCGTGAGCCACCGTGCCTGGCCTAGCCTCTTTATTTTATCCCATCACTTGAGACTGGCTGATGTTTTAGGTTCTCCTTTAAAGTGCAACTCTTATTAAGCAGAGTTTTGGTAAGGAAACATAAATGATACTGGAAACTAAAATGACAACTAAAATAATTGAAGAACTGAGGAAAAATAAAGAAGAGATGAGGTTCTTGGACAGCAGAGGTTGAAGACACTTCTAAGTATTTCAAAGCTCTATCTAAGCAAGTTGGTTTTTAGGTAGGAAATACTAATGGGGGATGTAATTTTGCTGAATTAGTTTAAATAGTACCACTTACAACATTTTCAAATTGGTGCCTCAACCTCCCTAAAGTTCCCTTAGTCAACAATATCACCCCCTCACCATTTTCCTCATTTACTCGGTGCCGATTTACTGAATTTCCAGAGGATAAAATATTTTGGACAAACAGAGATGAATAGGACATAATTCCAAGGGGCATACATTTTACTAAGAGATTTAAACCATAAACTACTACATATAATAACGGGGGCAATGTAAGCATTCACTGAAAATTTTAAAATTTTATTCTGAGTTTGACACAATCAGAAATATAAGCCTTCTATTTAGACAGTCTTTAGGGTGTGACTATTTTGACATATTTTGATGAAGAATGAATTTTCTTCTATAAGGTTATGTCTTGAAATTTACAAATTTCACCTTAGTCAAGTGAATTACAATGTCCTTACCAAGCTGTCTTGTTCAAGAATTAAACTGGTATCCAAAATTTCCCTAGGCTATTCTTACTTAAGAGATACCGGCCATCAACAATTTCTAAGTGCTGTAAGCTGAAAAAGAAATACAAAGTGGTATGGGTTCACAGAGTAGGAAGTTAAAGAAATGAGGTTAGCCTCAAAATAAATCAGAGAGATAGCAAGAATCAAAGAAATAAAACCTTGAAAATACAATCTATAGGACTGATACTATATGTATTCATGATGTTCAAGCTTATGGTTATTAAGTTTATTAGTTAACACAGATGAGGCAGGAAAAATTAGCAAATAAAGTCAAATCTTTTAATTCACAGGATGTTATAGCATTTATCTAGGAGGAGACTATCAAACCTACAGAATTTTGTCATTCCTTGAGTTTCTCTTGTAAAGAGCACTAAAACCAAACAGTTTTCAATTAAAGCCATTTGGTTTCTAAAATTTCAAGTTTGAATCAATGATAAAAACTAAATTATGTGAATTAGAAGTTTAAGAATTTAGGACTTTATAATCTTCGTTCTATTTAACAAAAGATAAAAACATTATCAAGCACAAGTTCCACCAAGTCCACTGGATTTGGGTGGACAAAGTGTACATCCTGGATCTGGATGGGTTGGCCTTAGTTTATCATAGTAGTCAAACCCTCATGCCGCTGTTATTAGCAATGTGGAAAAGTTGGCACTTTTTAAAAATTTTTTTTGAGATAGAGTCTCACTCTGTTGCCCAGGCTGGAGTGCAGTGGTGCGATCTCGGCTCACTGCAAGCTCCGCCTCCCAGGTTCACGCCATTCTCCAGCCTCAGCCTCCCACGTAGCTGGGACTACAGGCGCCTGCCACCATACCCGGCTAATTTTTTGTATTCTTAGTAGAGAGGGGGTTTCACTATGTTAGCCAGGATGGTCTCAATCTCCTGACCTCGTGATCTGCCCACCTCGGCCTCCCAAAGTGCTGGGATTACAGGTGTGAGGCATCACACCTGGCCCAGTTATTCTTTAATATGATACAGTAGTCAGGAAGTCCTCCACAATGATCAATAGTAGAACATCACTAGTCTGGATTCACCTGATCCCTACCTCAAAACACAGACATTCAAAGTGGTCAGTGATGATTCTTATTGGGCAGTGGGTTAGATAACAAGAGACAGAGACACCAAAACTTGTTTTTTTAAATGTGTACTGTGACAAATACATACAACAGAAAAAGTCCTCAAGAAAAATTAAAGGAAACACACTTTAATATTACATACTCAATTATAATATAGAAGATTCCCTTTATTTACCAGAACTCAGTAGTCATACACACAAAAAAATGCAAACTAATCTGAAAGAGAATTTCAAATATGAAAAATTTTTAAAAGAAGTAATTACTCAAATTGCAGCAATACATTTTTTTTCCTGAGGAAAATATTTATATCAAACCCAAAAGAAACAACAGGGGAAAAAAGAAAGGAAGAGATTTGGTCTTCTAACAGTCCTGAAAAGACCTTACATATGTGTGAAAGGCCATCTTTCAAAAGTTCTACTTGGACTTCTAAAGTAAGTCAACAAGAGCCCCAAAGTGAAAAGAACTCGAGTTCACATGTAATAATGGAAATCCAAATTCCCAGAGAAAACAGGTATATATATGCCAATCTAGATGTAATCTATGATGATGCCATTTTTTAAAAAGTTTATAAAGGTGGAGTATCCCTTATCTGAAATGCTTGGGACCAGAAGTGTTTCAGATTTTGGATTTTTTTCTGGATTTTCGAATATTTACATATACATAATGAGATATCTTGGGGACAGGACTCAAGTCTAAACACAAAACCCTTTTATGTTTCATATCCACCATATACATAGAGCCTGAGAGTAATTTTATACAATATTTTATATACTTTTACACATGAAACAAAGTTTTGACTGGAGTTTGGCCTGTGACCCATCATACGAGGTCATGTGTGGAATTTTCCACTTGTGATACCATGCCGGAGCTTAAAAGTTTTCAAACTTTGGAGCATTTTGAATTTTGGATTAGGGCTGCTCAATCTGTATATTCCAAGCATGAATGTTACCGGCATTTATGGCTACTATATACAAACACTTTCCCTTATTAAAATCGATCTCAGCATTTTAGTAAAAACAAAAAACAAAAAACAAAACTCAACCTGAAGATACTACTATGAGTGCTCAACAATTTAAACTTCACAGTAATGGCATGTTAAGTATCTATTGATTATTTATGTGATCATATTCTAACTCCGCAAATAACAACTTACTCTTCTGATTTTCTTCCGTTTTTTAGAACGTGGTCTTGTCTCTATCCTCTGGACACTGCAGCGTACGAGTAACAACAGGTCTTGCAGGCTAAATAACTTATAAACAAAATTTCCTTCCTGAGGAGCTAGGTATTCCGATGTATCTTCAACATAGTCCTGAAGTTCATATGGCAATCCTTTAAAAATAGTATTTCTCATTTTTAAAATACATTAGCTCTTACCCATCATAAGCAAGGATACAACAATTCAATTAACTATTTTAAAACTTCTATCATCTTTAATTTTCTACTTCTCTGCCTAAGGGACCCTCACACTATTACCATTTCTGTTTACTTTTACTGGAACTGCAGTAAGAGCTGAAATCCTAGCTTTAAGGTTCTTCTCCTTTTAACTTTCACTAACTCTAGGCAAAGTATAAATTCGTGAGACAGCATACCATGTGAGAAAAATAAAAAGTTTAAAAAGTAATGTTATTCCTAATCTAGGCAGAGCTGAGGAGCAGATTTATTTCACAAAACCAAAAAGTATAAAACTGCAGTCCAACACCAAGTATAAATAAATTTTAAATCAATCAATGTTTATGATTATTCTGGATGCACTTACCCTTCACCAATTTGACAAATCACATTACCTATAGCTTAGCAGTCACTGTACATGTTAGATAAACACAAGCTGCAAGACCCATACGCCTTTGTATACATATCTAGAGAGGATTATTTTGGAAGCTGAAATACTGATCAATAGATCGAAAAAATGAAATATCAGTGACTATATGACAATTACAAAACAGGTTATGACAAAGTAAAGGAACGAGGGAGAAAAACCTAAGGAAAAAGAACAAGTAAAACACTGTAAGCTCTTTGTAAATATTTACTTACGTCCTTTTGGCTTCTGAAATGCAGAAGGCCATCCAGATTTCGGCCAACTAGAGGAGTCTGAAGGACCAGACAATTGCTCAGAAACAGAAGGCTGTTTAGAATTTTCTAAATTCATTAAGGGCAATTCTGGTACTTTTCTGGAAATTGGCTTTAAGAGCTCATCCTGCATTTTTAAAATCTCTCCAACTGGATCAAATTTTTTATATACTCGTTTGATAGGTTTTTTTAAAACACATGACTCTTCAGGACTACAAGCAGTATTAGTCTGGTTTCCTACAGAAGCCTGTCCTGAGGAAGAATTTGGACTAGCTGGTCTGGAACTTAAGTTAGAACCCACAACAGCTGTCTTTCCATCACTATTATTTTTACATTCTGTATCAATGATTAAACACTCCTCATCTGTATCACTGCTGCAGAGAACTGTATCTTCAGTTTTTGCTGCTTCTGATCCAACAGTCTTTTCCTTTGAGTTGTCTAGGTTTTCTAGAACATTAGGTCTTTCACCATCAGCATGTAATATATCTATAGTCATATCATTTTTATTAGAAGTTTCAATTTCCTGAGAATTTTCTAACTGTAAGGCATCAGATGTTTTCAAGTCACTATCTTGTATCAAAGGCTTGTCAGAATTTGATACCTTTTCACATGATTCAAATCCCTGATCATCTTTATTTTTGCATTCCTCAGGGCCACCATCCATACCAGTGACCAGCTGTTTCTCCTTTTGCAATTGTTCCATCAGAATCTGAGATAAACTTCTAGAATTAGCAGAAATGTCTGGTGCACTTGGTGCCACAGTTGTAGTTCCTGCTTTGGGGGCTGTAGGAGCATCTGTCATGTTAGGTACTGTGGAAGTACTTGCTGGACTTGGTGATTTTGATACTTTGGTGGTGGTTACTCCAAAAGTTTCAAGTTCTGTGACATCATCATCAAAATCCAAATACAAGTTTTCAAGACTCTCAATTTTTCGGCACTCGTTGACTTCACAGGACATCTTATGTAAATAAATTGGTAAAGTATTAGTAAAAATTTCAAGCCACCCTACCTATCTCTTAATGTCCCTATCCCTGTCATACATACTTCCTGCTCTTTTAAAGTAGAAAGAAAAGTCTAATGGTTGTAAAAGGTTCTTGTTTAAGATGACAACAAACTACTACCAGCTATTATTAACCTCATCTTCCCACTGATATGTTCATGATAACAGGCAAATTTGCCAAGTTATAATAGCACAAGAAATGGAATATTTACAAACTACCACATCTCAAGAGGAATTTCAACGAATCAAAAAATAGACAAGACCACAAAGAAGAAATGTAGGGCCAAACGGGAGGCAGATTTTCATTTATGTCTACTCTATAGGCTCCTGCAGAGACACTTGGTCTTAGCTGACCAGGAGGAAAGTCCCTCTGCCACTGTGAGGACGCTGCTTTTTAATGCGTCCAGAGAAGTGTCGCCAGCTTCTGGTGCACCCTTAATATCAACCAGTGACTTTCTTTCCACAACTACTCAGGGAAAACAACTCTTAGCAATAAAAGATGGGGCAGAAATTGACAGAAGGTGGTTTATTGTATTCTGAGACATGAAGTCATAAATATTGTTTTTCATGTACTGTTTTGGTAATGGAAAAACTACACACGGCTTTTAACTTATTCAGGACTACACTGTCCCCTCTACAAGGAGACAAGCACCAGAAGACCTCTCTTCAATCTGACAGAGCACTTTAAATACCATAGAAATTTCATAACTGGTTATGTACATCCACTAGCCTTACAGTTGAGGATTTAAGAGAAAGGTTCTAACAGTCACCAGCAGTGAGTAAGAAAGATCAACTCGTGTAAGTTACTCAACCTCTCTGAACCTCAACGGCCTCATCTCTAAAACAGGTACAGCAGGGGCATCTTCTTGGATTTGTTCTAAAGATTAAGTGAGAAATTATATATAGAAAATCTCTTGGCATAGTGGCTGTCACATAGTAAGTAGCCTCTCAGTAAATGGTAGCTAGTGAATGGTAATTCCTACTAAAAGACTACCAAATTTAGTAAAAAAGTATAATTAAACTATATGCTGCTTATGTGAGGCATTCCTACACAAAAAGGTTAAAAACAAAACAACTACAGATGCCATCAAGAGATAAAAAGAGGAAGAATAGCAATGAAAGTGTTAGACAAAGCAGAATTCAAAGCAAGAAGCGTTATATAGAAAAGGGAGAAATGCTAGTTTGAAAAAAGAAAATCCATGATAAACAGATAGTGGTCATAAATTTTTATTGTACAAACTGAAAAATAAAAGAAAAATTTGACAGAGACACAATTATACTAAGTCAATGAGATACTGTCTCTAAGTAAAAAATAAAAAGGAATCCAGAAAGTATGAATAATAATAAACGATGAGAATATATATGAAAGATTGAAAATACATATATAAACAGACTACAAAGATACACTTTTTCCCTTCCCAAGAATCCAAAGGGCATTTCAAAAAATGAACTATAAATTAATATACAAAGAAAATCTCAATATAGACCAAAGCAGAATCTGATAAAGTCTTATTCTATGTTCAGAAGGAAATAAAATTAGATATCATTAAGAAAAATGTAAACAAACAATAAACTCAAGCACTTCAAAATTTAAAAACATTCCAAATTGTTGGACCACAGAAATCAAAATAATTCCAGAACACTTAGCAACATAAATTAGACTAATAGACATTAAGAAGTATAATAATTTGAGGCAAAAAAAGCATTATCATCCTCTCATTTTTACTTACTTTTACCTGCACAATCCAGAAAAAGCATTTTACTCCAAGTTCAGGGCCTGAAAACTCAGGCTGTCATTTCAGAGAAAGCTCATTTACTTCTGGTTCACCCTGACTCCTGAGGTGCAGCCCCTTTGGGGTCCAGGCCCTTGGTGGAAAACTGAAGTTTTCCTTTTATCCCCCTAGTCCTATGATGCTGCCAAAAGCACAGTTCATTTTCTTAGTTGCCTCTTCAGAACTGGCACATATAATCCAAGGAAAAAATGACCCTAAGTATAATAGGCTTACCTTCTGGGAATCCTGTTTTCTTCAGTATCTCAGCCCTACAATTCCTCACTATCTTGTTAGCTTTTTGATACTTCTAAGAAAGACATTTTAATATTTGTCCAGCTTTTTTAGATGTCATCAATAAAAGGAGGGTCCAAATTACCTGGTCTACCATTACTGAAAGAAGCCACTGTCAATTTTCATCCCTTTTAACCTACCTCATGTTTCTTCTTGTTACTGCCTGACATTCACCTCAATATAAGTTTTAGGCAGATTTTTAAAAGTAAAATGTGTAAGAAGAAAACATAAGTTAAAAATGCTTTATGACATATGTATCATAAAAATATTAAAAGGCAAATGGCAAAGAGAAAAACATAAACAAATATAAAAACCAAAAGGCCAATATCCTTAAAATTGTATGAGCTCTTAAGTACAAGAAAAACATTTTTATATTTTAAAATTTTGTTTGCTCCCTCATTTTACTCAAGTCTCTGTCCACATTTCCTATCCTCAGAAAAACCTTCTTAATCGTGAATATAAAATGACCCCTTCCCCACCCATCTCTCTATTTCCCCTTAACGTACTCTATTTTTCTCCATAGCATTTACCACTACCTGCTTTTTTACTGTTATCTGGGCCCTCTGCCACTTATTTAAGGTCTGAGGGAAAACAGGTTTTGTTTTTATTCACTGCTGCTTCCTCCCTGCATAGAATAGTATCTGCTTAATAAAAACTTATGGAATGAATGAATCAAGTTCTCTATAAACAATGTATTTAAAAATAATGGAAAAAATATTTTAAAATACAGAATAATAAAAGCTAATATTTACAGAGTGCCAAGTGTTACTCTAAATGCTTTATATGTACAAATTCATTTAAACCTAAACAATCCTATGAGTTAGGTAATATCATGATGCCCATTTTACAGATAAGCAAACTAGACACAGAGATATTATGTAATCTGCCCGAGGTCACATAGCTACTAAGTATACTGAAGATTAACAATCTGGCAAAATACTTTCTGTAACAATCAAATTAAGCTCACCTGTTCCTTTTCACACTTAAAAACTCTTAGATATGGGTCAGGTGCAGTGGCTGACGCCTGTAATCCCAGCACTTTGGGTGGCTGAGATGGGTGGATCACCTGAAGTCAGAAGTTTGAGACCAGCCAGGCCAACATGGCGAAATCTCATCTCTACTAAAACTACAAAAAATTAGCTGGGTATGGTGGTGCACACCTGTAATCTCAGCTACTCGGGAGTCTGAGGCAGGAGCATCACTTGAACCCGGGAGGCGGAGGTTGCAGTGAGCAGAGATCGCACCACTGCACTCCAGCCTGGGTGGCAGGGTGAGGTTCCATCTCAAAAAAATAAAACTCTTGAATATGAATGAGACCAATTAAACAAAACCTCATATTAACCACCACCATCAAGGAGTTTTCACTACATACATAACTAAAAACGTGCTCAGCCTTTAACATAAAATATCAAACTTAACCCTCATAATAACCTTGTCAAGTAGGTACTACTTCCTTTCATGTATGAAAGGAGAAAACTTAGGCTGAGGGAGGTTAAGTTAGTTGCCTAAAGTCCAGCTAGACTCGAAATTCAATTTCAGTTTGAATCTAAAGCCTGTATTTTTAACTACTAGGTTTAGGGATTTGCAATAAAACTTTATGCTTCAAAAGGATAAACAAGTACATTCCCCTTAGGGGAAAAAAAAAGCATTACATACGTCCATTTCAGATATAAACTCTTCAGGTTTGTCCATAAAGACTGCAGAGACTGGAACAGATGTGTTTTTGGACATCATAAATTTTAATGGAACTTCATGAAAGATTTGATTTCTCTCTCTCATAGTCATTTTCTTTTGGGGAAGTGGTGAATTAATATATATTACTTTAACTGGTTTTGAACCTTAAAACAGAAACCAAAGAAAAGAGGTGATTAGTATCTAATTGTGATATATTTTTTAAAAACAGGATGTATGACATGAGGATCACCAAACAAAGAGACACAGGAGAATGGCAGCACATGTCCCATATATTTGCTACCCTTAGACTAGCAGATATTAAAGTCCTTTAGAAATCTAAGGGCAAGAAAATCCAACTGGCAGGAGAAAAATGTCTTTCTAGCAATGTTTAAAAAGGATTTTCTGGTTTTTACTATTATATTCTTACTGTCATTATTACTCAGTTTCTTATAGGAACTTGCAAAAAGTGATGAAATATTTACCACATAGAATATATTACATTTAACTCTAATTTGTAGTTTTGTTTCAATAGACATAGTCTTTCATTTATTGTATTTATGCTGTGACATATATTAACTCTGAAAGATGTTTAAAAAATTAAATATCAAAACAGTATGGACATAATTTCTTATATACAGGAATATGCAAATATTAATTTTATTGTCAAAAGAAAGACTACCCTATTGCTTATATGTATAGACTTACTGTTATTCCAAATTCCAGTAACGAACAAGTAAATAAGTCATAAAAACTCACCCATTTGAGGTTGTCTACTAAAGTACTACGTTCCTTTCATTTCAGTGAAAGACAGAACAACCTGACCATTTCATGTATTTCTTGGCCACCCTATGCCATCATTTTGTCTCTAACTCTCACCCTTAAACATGACTACAGGTGCTATAGACCTAATTAATTCATTTAGTAGTGCTGAGCCTAAAGTAGCTTTACACATAAAAAAGTTTCACTGAATGTGTCAAACTTACATCCTCCTTAAATCAGTACTTTGATATCTGACAACTGACCACCTATATTTAGACAGCTGAAATGAAATGGTTCCAACCTCTTTTTTCTTTTTTTTAAATTTTACTTTAAGTTCGGGGATACATGTGGAGAATGGGCAGGTTTGTTACATAGCTATACATGTGCCATGGTGGTTTGCTGCACGTATCAACCTGTCATCTAGGTTTTAAGCCCTGCACGAATTAGGTATTTGTCCTAATGCTCTCTCTCACCTTGCCCCCCACCCCCTGACAGGCCCCGGTGTGTGTTGTTTCACTCTCTGGGTCCATGTGTTCTCATTGTTCAACTCCTATTTATGAGTGAGAACATGCAGTCCAACTTCTCTTTTTTGAGAGCATTATTTGACATAGCAAATTACAAACCTGCAACAGGTATTACTTGAATACACACTGGAATTTCCCACTGTTCCTTGTACGTTGGTCCATGATTATTTAATAAGGTAAATAATGACTGACTAGTTAGAGCTATCTGAGGGTGATATCTGGAAACAAGCTTCTCTGCATTTGGATCTTTACTAATATCCTGAAAAACAACAAGTAATTTGTTACTTGGTTATACTTATTGAAAATTTCTTCAATAAAGAACAAAAAAAGTCAGAAAGGGGACTTTGGGACAATCGGGTTAGATATATTTTGTGAGATATAAAAGATTATTTAGGAAGATCCAATGTTGCCTTGGTACTTACATAATGCATAGCTTCAGCTGTTTGTTCTGACGTTTCAATGGTAGCTATATCGTCCTTTGACAGCTGCAACTTTATAGGCATTGAGGGAAATACTGTTTTCACATATTTTACACTGCCCTAAATATGAAAAAAAAATCATTTTATTGCAAAAATCGCAATGTATTTTTTCTAAGAAAAGTATCTTTCATCATATGAAACTCTTAACTTGAACTTTATAATTCTACTAAATGTAAACATCAGATTTAGAAACTTTATGCCAAGATATTCATGTTTTTGCTTAACAACCACTACCTGTGGGTTTTTTTTTTTTGAGACTAAGTCTCACTCTGTTGCCCAGGCTGAAGTGCGGTTGTATGATCTCAGATCACTGCAACCTCTGCCTCCTGGGTTCGAGCAATTCTCTCACTTCAGCCTCACGAATAGCTGGGATAACAGGTGTGTGCCAGCATGCCCAGCTAATTTTTGTATTTTTAGTAGGAACGGGGTTTCGTCATATTGGCCAGGCTGGTCTCAAACTCCTGACCTCAAGTGATCCGCCTGCCTCGGCCTCCCAAAGTGCTGGGATTATAGGTGTGAGCCATCATACCAGGCCAGTTTCATAGAATTTTTCCTGCCACTTTAAAGTCTATCCTCTCCTTTCAGGAGATACAAATCATAACGGGGATGGTAGAAACTCCAAAATATCCTCTCCACACACTTATTTCCAATATGTTTGTCAATAAAATCCCATTAAAAAAAGGGGCTTTCTGCTTGTATTCAGGGGCATTCAGATGGGTGGTAAGAAAAGAAAATCAAGGAACAAAGTAGTGACATTTTTAAAAACATCAAGTATTTCTATCCACAGAATAAAAAGAAAGGGAAACAGATTGGTATTACATATTTTAAAAGTTATCTAATTATTGCTTAAAATTTAATGTCTATATAAAATATACATGAGCCAGGTGCAGTGGCTCACTCCTGTAATCCCAGCACTTTGGGAGGCTAAGGCAGGTGGATCACCTGAGGTCAGGAGTTCGAGACCAGCCTGGCCAACATGGTGAAATCCCCACTTCTACTAAATATACAAAAATCAGCCAGGCTTGGTGGCAGGCGCCTGTAATTCCAGCTACTTGGGAGGCTAAGGCAGGAGAATCACCTGAACCTGGGAGGTGAAGGCTGCAGTGAGCCGAGATCATGCCATTACACGCCAGGCGACGAGAGAGAGACTCTGTCTCCAAAAAAAAAAATAAATAAATAAATAAATATATATATATATATATACACACACACACACACACACACACACTATTTCAGACAAAAAAAAGCTTATATCGTCTGATAATAAACCTTACCAATGCGAGAAGAGTTTTTTCTAACTTTAATCCCATCTCTACTCTGAATGGGAAGAATCCCATTAAGCTGGTGACCTCGTGGAGAGTATAGAATTCTGAATACTTTTTCACTTGTTCAATGCAAGCTCTTAAAATTTTCTGAGAAACAGAAATTAAGAAAAATTCATTTGTATTTCTCTAATAATGCAAAAAGAAAATTTTTAGTTACATGTGACTATGTAATTATTCATTGCAAAAATTAGCCCGATTTCATTAATCAAGCTACTAATACACACATTGTATATTCTTTATTTTCATATTTTTAACCCAGTTACTTACAATATTGATGTTTAATACTAAAATTAGCAGTCTCATTAAAATTTAAAATTAGAGAAGACACATATTTTCCATGTCATTTAAGAAACTGTTAAAGGCACATGAAAATTTCAACACACTTTTCTGCAATCAAAGCAGTTATATGAATAATTAGAAATTAAGTAGTATACTCTAAGAACATTCCCAAGCACAATGAATTAATGAAGTAGTTATCTTACAGGTCACTCTAATCTATAATCTAAAAAAAATCAATGAGAAATGTTATAACTAATCCAAATGATGGAGTACTTAGTATTTTCTTTCCTCCAAACTGTTTTCAAAATATTAATGACTTATCAGGAAACATAATCTGTAAGTTAATAAAATTCACAGCTTTCTGTGAGAATAATATGTGCCACTTCTGATAATATAGAAACAATTCAGAGATGCACAGCTGTTGGGGGTGGGGAAGAGTTGTTTGATTAAAACACACACACACATTATCTTCTAAGATACATATTTTTTCTTCTTCTGTCAACGAACCTTATCTGAAATGTCTTAGAAAATATTTTAGGTCACAAAAGCTCTTGACATCTTCTTTATGTATTATCTTTATCCTATATATCTACATCCCCTCTCCCTTCACATATTTGTAAAATGTGTCACGTTACAAATCAGTAACTTTACTCCAGTATATCTTTTCATCTATAGTTTCAGAACCCCTTCCGCCCTTTTCTAATCTCTACTGCCTGCTATCTTTCACATTTTCTCTCTTCATCTATGCTTTTCATGGAAGATCTATTTAATTCATGGTATCATTTGTAACTAACACAGATGTGGACTAATATGGAAAAGTTTTAAAAAATCTGAGTCAACTGCAAACTCGTATCTGCAAAATATCTTTGCTCCTTATTTGTACTATTAGTTAACTTTCACTTGCAACATTCCCTTCCTATGGTAGTTATTACAAGAATTTGAATATGCAAAGGAAGGTGATAAATAAGAACTATGTGAAATAGAGACCATTCTTGTTACATATTCATTGGCACATCATTCCTGGTAAAACTGTGGTGGATGTTAGTGTTTTTAACTGAATTTACTTAATTCAGTAACTACAGCAAGAGAGTCAAAGGAAAATCTAAGACAGTTTTACACCTATACTCTGATACATTATACAATTATCGAAGTATTTTACAACTGGTAGGTATTCGATCAACTAAACGATCATTATTTAGCTTATGTAGCAAAAAAATGTTTTATATTAATAATTTATCTTTCTTTGAAAAATAACTAACTGAACACAGGAAGTTAAAAGATTCAGGCTGTTCCCCATCACTCACCCACTGAGTGCTATTAGTATTTAATACTCAAAATATCTTGAGAATTAAATACACCAAAAGCAAATGCATTTATACAATACAGATCTATCATTATAAAAAATGCCCCCTAAATTTTATTTTGGGCTGGAAAGGAAAAATATTTCTGGGCTTGGTGAAAAGTGAGGAAAATATGCAAAAACCATAAATCAACACATAGAGGAGAAACTAGAGCAGTGAGCAGTAAGAAAACCTATGAAAGGTGAGGTGGCTTAAGGGCTAATTCTTCAACCAGTTCTAAGATCAGGTGGGAAGCGAAACGTAAGACTTCTACATTTAAGCAGGGATTTGAACAGATATATGTACATTTATGTTCATAACAGCATTATTCATAACAGCCAAAAGGTGGAAGCAACTCCAGTGTTTATCAATGGATGAACAGATAAACTAAATGTAATACACACGCGCACACACAAACACACACACACACAACGGGATATTAATCAGCCTTAAAAAGGAAAGAAATTCTGACACATGCTACTACTTGGACAAATCTTGAGGACATTATGCTAAGTGAAATAAGCCAGTCACAAAAAGACAGATACTGTATGTTTCCTCTTATATGGGGAACCTAGAATAATGAAACTTATACAGACAGAAACAGAATGTGGTTGCCAGGAACTGAGGGGAAGAGGAAACAGGGAGCTACTGTTTAATGGGTACTCAGTTTCAGTTTGGGAAGACGAAAAGTTCTGGAGATGGATGGTGGTGATACCTGCATAACAATGTAAATGTATTTAACGTTATTGAACTGTACACTTAAATGGTGAAAACGGTAAATTTTGTTATGTATACTTTACCAAAATGAAGGAGAAGCAATCACTGAAAATGGTTGAGAATTCTCCAGAACTAATGGAGGCTATAAATCCATAGACACAATAAACACAATCAGCCAGCAGGATTTTATTAAAAAGCATATTTTTATGAAACTCTAAAACACCAAAATTAAAGTACAGTAAGAAAAGACAGAAGCCCTAAAAGAAATGACAATTAGACAACACATTTTTCAACAATAACATGAAGAAGTAGGATTATCTTTAAATGTCGTGGAAAAAAGGTAACTGCCAACTTTGAATTGCGTATGAAATACAATGATCTTACTAAAATGAGAACAAGAGAGATAAAAGATTTCCAAATAAACAAAAATGGAGACTGTTCACCATTAAGAGACCCTCATCAAAGGCACATCTAGAATACATAGGTTTTCAGGAAGAATGAAAGAATCTCAGAATGTAGGTTTGAGAAGAAACGGTGGGCCAAAATCTAGCAAACCTGTAGATAAATTAAAACAAATATAGTCCATATAAAACAATAATGTGGGTAAGTTTAAAAAAGAAACAGCATTACAACAAAAATAGCATACAAGTCAAGAGGGATGTAATGAGAGTCAAAATGCTCTATGATTTCTATATTGTTTGGGAGGCTAGTTGATATTGAATAACGGAAGTATTGACTATAAAAATTCAAGAGTAACCACTAAGAGAACAGAAAGTCGACATGTAAATTCCAAACCAACAGAGAGGGGGACACTAGGAAAAATGTCAATCCCCTCAAAAGGAGTTTAAAAAAAAACACAGAAAAAGTAAAAGAAGCAAAAACAAATCAATATATACCGTCATCATAATGGATGTAAATCACTAAACTTTCTAATTAAAAGAGATTATCAGATTTTATTTTTAAAAGAAAGGAAAGCAATCTAGCTGAACAGTTTTAATCCCACCTAGATTTTTGTAGAAATGGACAAGCTGATTCCAAAATTTACATAAGAATGTAAAGAACCCATGATCTCAGGACTACAAAACTACAGTTATCAAGACCATATGGTTTTGGCATCAAGACAGACATACAGATTAATGGAACAAAACAGAGTCAAAAAATTGATCCAGGCTGGGTGCGGTGGCTCACACCTGTAATCCCAACACTTTGAGAGGCCAAGGAGGCAGGTGGATCACCTGAGGTCAGGAGTTCGAGGCCAGCCTGGCCAACATGGTGAAATCCATCTCCACTAAAAATACAAAAAAATTAGCTGGGTGTGGTAGCAGGTGCCTGTAATCTCAGCTACTCGGTAGGCCGAGGCAGGAGAGTTGCTGGAACCCGCGAGGGAGAGGATGCAGTGAGCAGAGATCACGCCACTGTACTGCAGCCTGTGCGAGAGAGGGAGACTCCGTCTCCAAAAAAAAATTGATCCACATGATGGTGACGAGGTAACTCAGTAAGGGAAAAAATACCCTTCTCAACCAAACTCTGTGCTAAAGCAGAGTTTCTCAACGTTGGCATTACTGACGTTTTGGACCACATAATTCTTTGTAGTGTTAGGCTGTCCAGTACACTGTAGGATATTTAGTAGCACCTCTGGCTCTACCCACTAGACGCCATCAGCACCCCTACCAAGCTCTAGACATTGCCAAATGTCCATTAGGAGGCAAAGTCACTCTCAGTTGAAAATGACTATGCTAGAACAACTAGATATTCATAGATATTCATACGGGAAAAAATGAACTTTGATCCTTACCTTGTATCTTACACAAAAATTAACTTGAAATCAACATAGACTTATTTTCATGTATAAGTTAAAACTGTAAGCCCTTTAGATTAGGGTTTCTCAATGCAAGCACCCCTGACACTTCCAGTTGGATAACTCCTTGTTGCGGGGGACATCACTCACATGCATTTAGTATGTTTAGCAGCATCCTTGGCCTCTACGCAGTAGATACTAGTAGCATTCCACCAGTTGTAACAACCAAAAATGTCTCACCGTCAAAGTCCTAGGGATGGGTGGGGTGGGGGGGCGAGTCAGGAAGGATTAAAACTGACTCCAGTCTGAGAATCACTTGGGATAGGCAAATATTTCTATGCTAGAACACATGAAATCACTAACCACAAAAATTTTTGATAAATTAGACCATTAAAATTCTGTTCTTTGAAACACTATTTAAAAAATTTAAAAATACATCACAAACTGGAAGAAAACCAGTTTGTATATAATGGAGTTGTATTCAGACTATATAAAGAAACTTTACGGCTTAATAAAAATAAAAGCAAATTAAAAAATCAGCAAAATACTTCAATAGACATTTCACAAAAGAAATGCACTTAAAATGAGTAATTTTTATATGTAAATTATACCTTAATAAAATTGTTTTAAAAATTAAATGTGGATTTAAAAGGGAGGCTTTAGTATTTAATGGCTACTATATGATGCTCTAACAATAAAAACACAGTGCAATCTTTTAAAAAATGTGGGGGAGAATGAGAAGAGCATAAGAAAAATAATTTCAACTGTTTTCAGTAATCGTATTGATCACTAGTATTAATATTGTTATTTTGAGGCTGTTGTGAGTGTAATGTGGGATAAAGCAAATGAGACATATGAGGTATTTTTCCTTTAAATCTATTTCCTAGTTCTATCCACTGAATTATTCTCAAAACAATGATCAACCCAGGAGCATCCATAGTGCCCAGATTGTAGTCTTGAAATATCATTTCACACTAAAAGAAACAAGGGCTCTTGAAAATGGCTGATTCCAGGGCCAGGGCAGGAAGTGTACAAAATGAGCCTCAAAGACTACCAGACTGACTGAAAAGCCAGTAGGAAGAGCCTCTCAGTGAGTTAATACTATTTGAGGCTTACAAAGGATAATAATCGTAGTGGACAGAAACACATATATATTTAACTCCATGATTTAATAATAACATTTTAAAAAAAGAAAAGACACCAACATTGGAGAATAAGAAGGAACTAATTTTTTTAAAAGTGGTATTTAAAAGGAAAGAATCTAGTATTTATTCTGCTACATGGTAAGCTACATGAACTGGGAAACCAAATAGTAAGTAAGGGAAAGCATATCTTTTAAAAAGTATTCCAATGAATAAATGATGCAATCAGAATATTACAACTGTGCAAACCACAGTGAATGAATACATCTAGGCAGTGAGCATTAACAGCTGGGGTGGTGGGGAAAATGTTAGTTGACATAAAATTTCAGTCAGGAGGAAAAATTCAAGAGATCAATTATAAAACATGGTGATGATAGTTAATTACAATGTATTGTGTTCTTGAAAACTGCTAAGAGAGTAGATTTTAAGTGTTCTCACAACAAAAAAACAGGTTTGTGAGGTAATGCATATGTTAATTAGTCCGGTTTGGCCTTTCCACAATGTATACATATTTAAAAAACATACAGTACAAAATAAATATATACAATTTTAACTTGTCAATAGAAAAAGATAAAATTCAAAACAGAAAAAGGAGAAAAACTGCAACATACATAGCCCATAAAGTTTTTGTATTTGGAATATACAAAGAAATCTTACATATCAATTAGAAAAAATGAACAGTCATTCTGCAAGAAAAAGTGAGCAGGAACATATGAAAACATGCGCTCTCTCTGGCTCTCGCTCTCCCTCTCTCTCTCCCTCTATATACATATATATATATGTCTGAGATGTGGAGCAACAGAACTCTTAAACACTGCTGGTTAGAATGTAAATTGATATAACCTGGTATAGCCACTTTGGAAAACCATTTGCAAATCTACTCAAGTTGAAGATACGCATACTCTATGACCGAATAATTCCACTTATAGGTATACAAACAGTTCCCAACTTATGAAGGTTCCACTAAATGATTTTCCAAATTTATGATGGTGCCAAACCATTGCAATTTTGTCACAACGTACAGCATTCAATAAATTACAAGACACTCAATAATTTATTATAAAATAGGCTTTGTGTTAGATGATTATGCCTAATTGTAAGTAAATATAAGTATTGTGAGCATATGTAGAGTAGGATAAAATACACTATGATATTTGGTAGATGAGGTGTATGCATCTTTAATTCATTACAGGTTTACTGAGATGTAACTCTATCGTGAGTCAAGAAGCATCTGTATATCGAACAGAAACGTGTGCGTATGTGTACCAAAAGAAATGTATGAGAATTTTCTTAAGAGTACTGCTTAGAATAAGCTCCCAAATGGAAACAACCCAAGTTCCGATCAACAGGATAAATTGTAATTTATTAATATAATGGAAAAATGGACAGAAATGAAAATGAATGAACTACAACTCATACAACCTAAGAATCAAAAAGCACAATACTGAATGAAAGAAGGAAGGCCCAAAAGGATTCTGTTCCCATAAAATTCAAAATCAGGCAAAAAGGGCCAAGCACGGTGGCTCACGCCTATAAACCAGCACTTTGGGAGGCCGAGGCAGGTAAATCGCCTGAGGTCAGGAGTTCGAGACCAGCCTGGCCAATACGGTGAAACCCCATTTCTACTAAAAACACAAAAATTAGCTGGGCGTGGTGGCAGGAGCCTGTAATCCCAGCTACTTGGAAGGCGGAAGCAGAACAGCTTGAACCCTGGAGGCAGAGGTTGCAGTGGGCTGAGATCGTGCCATTGCACTCTAGCCTGGGCGACAAGAGCGAAGCTCCGTCTCTTAAAAAAAGAAAAAAAAATCCCAACAAAATCAGGCAAAAGAGAAGTAGAACTACCACCCTCCATACACACACAAAAAGCACAGAACTTATCACCACCAAAGCTGGGACACTGATTATTCACTCAAGTAAGGAGAATGTTATTTATTATACAAGAGGACTACACAGGGGGCTTCTGAATTACTGGCATTATTTTATTTCTTGACCTGGACAAGAGTTACGTAGATGTTTACTATATAATTATCTGTTAAGCTGCATCTATTTTTTCTTTCGTTCTATATACTTTTCCATATGTACGTGACATTGTACAACATAAAATTTTAAAACTAAAAGATCTCAGAAAAATATCAGTGAATCTTTGGGATGGGGATGTAAAATACAACTTGGAGAAAATGTGCTGCCACATCAATATGGAAAAAAACATGATGATGTTTATCATTTATCATTAGCTACCAAGTAATGTACTTTGTTAATAAAGTACAGTTTTATATTCACCTAAGAAATATCTACATTGAGCACCTGAGCACTTAAGCGTGCCATACACTGTTCTAGTCATTGGAAGACCACGAGTGAATAAAACAGCACTTACAAAAAGGCACTGTTTTACAAAAACAGTGAGGGGAAGGACAATAAGCAAAAATAAAATGTGGTAAAGGGAAAAGTGAGGGTCATACTACATTCCATAGGGTAATCAGGGACACCCTCATTGATAGGTGACATCTGAACAGACAGAGACCTAAAAGAATCAAGACACTACTACACGCAGAAATCCGGGGAATAGATTGAGAAAAATAGAAACCCCAAATGCCAAAGGACTTAAGGCAGGACTATGCTTGCAGTATTGAAGAAATGTAAAGGCCAGTCCGCAGGTGGGGGAAGAATAACTGATAGGGCAATTTGTAGAAAGTGAGGATGGGGGATGGGAGGGAGGGGAGAGATCATGCAGGCCACTGTAGAACTTTGTAAAGACTCTTCCTAAGAAAGATGGGCTGTAATCCCAGCACTCTGAGAGGCTGACGCAGAAGGATTTTTGAGGTCAGGAGTTTGAGACCAGCCTGGTGAACACAGGAGGCCCTGTATCTAAAAAAAGTTAGCTGCAGTGGCATATGCCCATGTCCTTGTTATTCAGGAGGCTGAGCTGGGGAGGATCACTTGAACCCAGGAATTCAAGGCTGCAGTGAGCTAGGATTGTGCCACTGCACTCCAGCCTGGACTATGACTTATGTATTAAAAACATCATTCTGGTCTTTTAAAAGGCACTATCAAAACAAGAACAGCTGCCAGCTCCTTTTCCACATAGAAAATTATGACATTCCCTTTGGATATATTTAGGTTCACAGAAAATAAAAATCAAATTCGTTTATTTAGAAGAACCATTCTTCTGGTTCGTATTAACAGCAAAATTCTTCCTTACAGTGTTTTTTTTTTCCTTCCTTTTTCTGAGACAGGGTCACGTTCTGTCATCCAAGCTGGAGTGTAGCAGCACAATCAAGGCTCACTGCAGCCTCCACCTCCTGGGCTTAAGTGATCTTCCCACCTAAGCCTCCCAAGTAGCTGTGACTAGGACTACAGGCACATGCCACCATGCCAGATAATTCTTTTTGTATAGATGGGATTTTATTATGTTGCCCAGGTTAGTTTCAAATTACTGGGCTCAATCCTTCTGCCTCGGCCTCCCAAAGGGCTGAAACAATAGGTGTGAGTCACCGTGTCCGGACTTTTTAAAAAAACAGTGAAAGTGTAACACTCCTGCTGTCCTTCAACTTAGACTGGCTAGTTTTGTTTTTTTAAGCTACGGTAAAATTTACCACCTTATCCCTTTTTAAGTGTAGAGTTCAGTAGTGTTAAATATATTAACACTATTGTTCACAGTGACCAGCTTTAAAGGCTTAAACAAATTTAGACTGATATTTATAAACTCTACTACAAATATGTGTGTGTGTATATATATATAGTTATTATTTAAGTAGTATACTTTATTCTTTTTTTTTTTTTTTTTTGAGACAGGGTATCGCTCTGTCACCTAGGCTGGACTGCAATGGCACAATCTTAGCTCACTGCAAACCTCCACCTCCCGGGTTCAAGCGATTCTCCTGCCTCAGTCTCCTGAGTAGCTGGGATTACAAGCGCCCACCACCACGACTGGCTAATTTTGCTATTTTTAGTAGAGATGGGGTTTCACTATGCTGACCAGGCTGGTCTCGAACTCCTGACCTCAGGTGATCCACCCACCTCGGACTCCCAAAGTGCTGGGATTAGAGGTGTGAGCCACCACGCCTGGCCTGTTTAAGTAGTATACTTTAATTTTCTGGTAGGCTCAATGAATGATGGTAGGGTACAAGCTGGGATGATATACAGGTCTTACTAATAAATTTGCATGAATGAGTGAAGTATCCAAAAATGAACTCAGAGTTGAAATTTATCATTTTGTGGCTGGTTACCACAAACATAATGAGCACAAGTTCACTTGACCGAGTTTTAAAAGGCCATTCAGACTTTTAGGGACCAGGATAACGCTTTAAATGCTATTCTCTCACAAGGGAAGTCAGTGGGTCAGTTCAAACTATTATGTGAATAAAATGTAATGATACAATACAGTAGCTGGATTGTTAAAGAATATAAATATACATAAAAATATACTATAGTACACAATTTTGAGATGTTAGTTTTTCTACTATTTTAATGCATGATGAAGAAAAGACCTGTGGTTTTTAAATTGGTAACACTGACAGTTCCGAATGCTTTTGGTGGAATCATCACATATTTCAGAATGCTGCTATTGCCTATCACTTCGCAATTTACACAAATGTGAGTTGTTTTTTTACCTCTGTGAAGAGACGGGCATCATCAGAAAGCATATTATAATCCTGCGCACATTTCTTTGCAGAATTCTGCAAAAACTTTAGGAACTCAGTAACTTCTTCGTTCACATGTTTTTTCATATCCTGATTTTTAAAAAAGTAGACATGTCTTGGGATAAAAAGTTTCATTAAAAAGAATCACATTCTTAATCATTGCTATAATAATTTGGACTTAAAGAATAATTAAAGTATCAAATCCAAAGCAGAAATCAAAGAAGTCAGTAAAAATTATTATGCAGTAATGATAAACTGTTATTAAAAACTCCACAAAATAGAAAAGCAAATGACTAAGACTATACAATACATGCTCAGGAACTGAGAAGTTGATTTTATAAAATGCTGTCAAAAAAAATTTTTTTTTTTAATTTATTTTTTTGAGACAGAATCTCGCTTTGTTGCCCAGGCTGGAGTGCAGTGGCACGATTTCGGCTCACTGCAACCTCCGCCTCCTGAGTAGCTGGGGCTGGCTATATAGGTGCCTGCCACCTCACCTGGCTAATTTTTTGTATTTTTAGTAGAGATGGGGTTTCGCCATGTTGGCCAAGCTGGTCTTGAACTCCTGATCTCAGGTGATCTACCTGCCTCAGCCTCCCAAAGTGTTGGGATTACAGGCATGAGCCACTGGGCCTGGCCTCAATTTTTTTTAAAAAGACATACATCCGAATAGAAAAACGAGCAAATAATATAAATAGGCAAGTTACCAAAGAAAAAATAAAAATGGCTTATACACATATGGAAAATGCTTACTGTCATTAGTAATCATAAATTAAATTAATGTAAAGCAAGAGATCATTTTTCCCATTTTAAATTAAAGGCAAAAAAGGTAATGTCCAATATTAGTGAAGATAGTTTTTTCTTTTTTTAAATTTGATTTCGATTTTCTTTTACCTTACCCCTGTAGGATTAGAGAAGATAGTTTTTTCAAAACCTGTCATACAACAGAGGTACAAACAAACTGGTTTAAACTTTTTGCAGAACAATTTATGCATGTGTAACTGCAGATCAAAGCTTTGAAAACATGCATAGGTTTTGATCTGGCAGTTTTAAGAATTTATCTTATGGAAACTATCATTGATATGAACAAAGATTTTGCTACAAAGATGTTCAGCATAGCATCATTTATATAATTGAGAATTTGGAAATGTCTTAATTGAAATAATTAAGCAATAATTTAAAATTGGTATAATCTATGTAAAATTCTACTGCTAGTACTTAAGATGAACTGGAGTGAGTCATGCTCAGAAGTAGAGCAAAATGCTTGAACTACAATGGAACCAACAAAAGAATTAAAGCACCATTGCTCTCTCAATCTCCTTACGTTTTCCATTTTAAAAAAAATGACGGGACCTAAAAACATAAATGTAAATTTAAGATAAAAATATTTCCTAATTTTTATTATTTTTTCCTGAAACTGAAGAACACAATACATACCAAGTACTGCAAGTAGTCATTTTTATTTATTCCAACAGCTTTGGAATTTGCAGGAATCTTTGCGTATTTAACCAACAAGTCCACATAACTCCTCTGCTCTCTCTGTGAGAAACGAGAGAAACGAGGATAAGGAACTCTTGGTTTTGGAAGAAGAACCATTCCAATTGTGGTTTTAACTTTTTCCTTTGCTTGAGTTGCTGAACTAACTGCCGGCTCATTTTCTACAGAACTTGCTGAGGCATTCAAATTTTCTCCTATACGTCTGGAAAACAAAATATAATTTACAAATATGTGCTTTTCACATGAAGATTACTATCATGGAACTTCATGATTCTCAATCACCAGGGAGAATATAGCGTGATTAACAGAGTAAACTCTGGATTATTATCTAACTCTGCCACCTGCATTTTGATGTTTAGCCATTTAAAGTAGATTAAGTATTCTGTGGCATATGATCACAATGCAAACTTACCTTCAATTACCTGATGGAGAGGAAGAGGTATACTTATTCAATTTAGAAGTTTTTTTCCCATTAATAAAGAGGGGAAAATCGTTCTTGCCAATTACACATGCAGGTACTTTATGTTTACATTTTATTAAATTTGAGTTTTTAATACTTAAATTCATCACTAAGATTTATCAGTTAATATGGTGAATAAAAGCTACTAAGAACAGAATGTAAAGGAATCACAAATTTGAGATTAACAAAATTCACTGAGATTCTAAATGTTCTGATTTCCTCTGCTTATCTCAAAAATTAAGAAAATTCTAACATTATGCACCATATTTTTTGAAAGCAGTATTGGTTTTGGAAAAGTTGTACAATCCTCTATCACTCTGGTACATGGCTGAGTTCATGGAAATGACTTTATGCTTTTCATGGATGCCAAAGAAAAATCCTGGCGTATCGTTAATGAAATGTACCAGAAGAGAAAGTAGTGAGTAGCTTCAGAACCTGTTACCATATGTGTTTATGGAATGTGTGAAGGTTGTTAGAATCACAATGGAGTCACCAATGTTTAAAAATCCCTTAATATCATGGAATACTATGCAGCCATAAAAAGGAATGAGATCATGTCCTTTGCAGGGGCACGAATGGAGCTGGAGGCCATTATCCTCAGCAAACTAACGCATGAACAGAAAACCAAACACCACATGTTCTCACTTATAAGTGGGAGCTGAAAAATGAGAACACATGGACACAGGGAAGGGAATACACATGGGCGTGTTGCGGGGTGGGGTTGGGGTAGGAGAACATTAGGAAAAATAGCTAATGCATGCTGGGCTTAATACCTAGGTGATGGGTTGGTAAGTACAACAAACAACCATGGCACACGTTTACCTACGTAACAAACCAGCGCATCCTGCACATGCACCCTGGAACTTAAAAAAAAACAAAAAACAAAAAACACAAAACCCCTGATAATAAGAGCTAGTGAAGGCCATGAAGACAGAGTTCTCATGTTTGAATTCCTCATAACAAAATATTTCTGCAAGGGTATTTGTTCAGGAACTGCCGGTCCTTGGATTGGTGTCACCTTTGTTATTCATCTTTCAAAGATCAAGTATAACTATTTCAAAACAATCAGATAATCCTAATTTTTTACTTTAAAAATCTTTGTCCTCCTTTACCTCCCTGAATACGCACATAGTTTACCATGGCATACATACTCCCATTGCAATGCTTTACTCCCAAATAAATTTCTTTTATTTTAGAGAGTTTCTCTGTTACTTAGATTCACAAATGCTACCCCTGCTTTTAAGAAGTCACCTTATCC
This sequence comes from Homo sapiens, assembly GCF_000001405.40. NCBI lineage: Eukaryota > Metazoa > Chordata > Mammalia > Primates > Hominidae > Homo > Homo sapiens. Next base: position 60,469,839 of record NC_000015.10, read on the forward strand.
AAATTAAAGTATATGAACACAACTTCCTTATCTTATTCATAATCCATCTCTATTTTTGCTATTCAGTTATTGTAATCTACATTTTAAATAAGAGACTTTAGAAGTGCATCAAAAACTATACTTCTTGGCCTGTACACTATAACTTCCACCACAGTTAACTGTTCCTATAACCTGGCTCCAAATTACACAACAATCCACAGAGGAAGGGAAACTAAAGAGAAAGATGGACATCTGCTGACTCATTCTTCATTCCTCCATTTGTTAATATTTATTAACTACCATGTGCCAGCCTATGCCAGGTACTGGAAATACAACACTAAGCATAGTACCATCTCCAACTCCAGGACATTATAATCAAGTGCATTAGACAAGTCAATGAAGAAGAAAGAAAAGTAGATATGTACATCAACACAATGGGACTATGGAGAACTTAGGTTTCCAAAGTGAACACACCAAATACATGACTGAAGAGAATCCTAAGAACATAATGATCAGGGATTAAGGGAAAGAAAGAGAAGAAAGAGAAAATATCCATAGCAGTGGTTCTCAATCATGACAGTTTTAATGTCCCCAGGGCATTCTGGAAGCCTGTAGGTGTATTTGGATTGTCACAAAAGGGGGGAATTAAAGGCATTCAGAAGGGGGAATACTAAATGCCTGCAATATGCAGTACTATCCTGCATATTTTAACAGTCCCCTTCAGGCTTTCTCTTACCAGGTACAAATAAGTCTAGTCCATTATTATCTCTTACCAGATACAAATAAGTCTAGTCTGTTATTATTTATCCTAACAGTACATTTTATTTTTCCTATGATTATTTTATGGTATGCTTTATTTTCTCTTAAATACTTTAAATGAACTTAAATAAATGAACTGTATTCATTTTAACTGATGCATCTCACTACCTCATTATATCTCATAATGCAGTAGTCTATGAGTTTAAATATTAAAAAATAAATTATTTCACACTTATAGGTATAGGATATATTTATTGTTTTTAAAAATTATATCTATTAATTTCATTTTAAGCTAGTAAAGGAGGTATCTTATTTCTTATAAATACCCGTCATAAAAAGTGGGAGGGTATCAGTCTGATACGGCTGAGAACTACTAATTTAGATCTGCATCTGGACAAAGGGTGAGTTACATTCCATCCAAAACTACTACTGATTAGTTTTAAATTAACTTTATAATACTAGAATAAATACGGCAAAAATTCCAAAAGATGACAACACTATTTTAGAAATATGTAGGTCCCCAAATAAAGCAAAAATATTTAAGACCACTCTCTCAGAGCTAAACAATGGATAAAAAACTACTCAAAGAGCTGATAAGGGGATGAGAGAAGAATTTTGGAAATTAAAATTAGGATGCTTAGGTTGGCTCTGAAAATAACACAGGTAAAAAAAAGACACAGCTACTAAAGTTTCTCAAATAATTGTATAAAAATAAGCATATTTTAGGTAAACAAAATGAACATTAACTGCTGATCTTGGGAGAAATGTATTACAGCAAATTGACTTCTCACTAGAAAACGTCTTGAGAGCTCTTCAAACCTAACAGTATTGTGTCTTCACTCTTAACAGTACTGCTTCACAGCTGTCACTCTGAATATGAGAACATGTCCGTCCTTGTGCCACAAACTGGCAAATTTAATTAAGCTGCTGCAGCAACAAGATGCTGACTCAGATACGCCAGACTAGGAATGTCAAGAAATTCTAGCAGTTTAAATTGGCTACATTCAGCAAAGAATGAAATGGTAGCACATCAAGATCATTTCCTTGTGCAGTGCTGTCAAGAACTTCATCAGGGTGTAAACCAAAAGCATCTGACAGGGTTTCTCTATTCACGTATACAGCATTATATTTTATTTTGGTTGATGGTTTGAAGTTTTGCCCCTGCATTTTGTCAACTACCCATTCTCCTTTCTCAAAGTTTCTATGGAAAAACAAAAAACAAAAAACAAACAGGGTAGAATCCAAAACTTTAAGTTTCCTATACTTTAAGTACTGGTTTGGTAGCTTATTTAAAAGTAGCATTTGGAAATGGTGCTTCTAGTCTCCATTTCAAGTCTACTAGTATCTTCTGAGTTTGATTTATTTTCCTAAGTTAAACGTGTTAGAGCTTTATATATATATATTTCCATTTAAAGCTATTTCCCCGCTTGTTTGCTTAAAACTCAGTTACGAGTATCTGCAAACAGAAACTTTAATTAAAAAAAAAAGGTAATCGTTTACAGTGGCTATTTCTACATGAACGGCTCATGGGTCATTTTAATATCCTCTTTTATTTTCTTGGGGGACTTTCCAAATATTCTATAATTTTTTTTCATGCTTCAAAGAAAAGTAACACAATATTAACTTTTTATATTATTCATTTGTAAAAACACTATTCGAGTTGTTCTTTCATTTTACAAACACTTATGGAGCACAGAGAGTAAAAGGAAAATTTTTTTTATCTTGAAATTAACAGAATAAAAGGCCTTGTTTTTCAACAAGAAAACAGTTGTAAACAATAAAGCCTGAAATAACTGTAATAATTATTACAGCAATTAAGAATTATTACAGTAATTACTGTAACAATGATTGTAATAATTCTTAATAAAACAAAGTTAGGAAAAAAGACTAGAAACATCATATCAATAACTTGTGTATTTTTTCTATAGTACAAAGTAAATTATACTAATAGATTATTTTGTGCTCTATAGAAATCTAAAGAAAACAAGGATATTCTAAGAAAAAAATATTTTAGGAGTTAGGTATGCCCAACTTCCAGCAAAATGCCTTTTTCCTTGTACAAAGCCAGGCTATAACCCACACCTGGGATATGCTGAACAGAAGTGGACTTGAAAAGAACCGTAAAAATAAACTTGGCACACTGGCGTGCACCTATAATCCCGTCTATTCAGGTGGCTGAGGTAGGAGGATCACCTGAGCCCAGGAATTTGAGTCTAGCCTGGGCAACATGGCAAGACACCAACTCTAAAATTAAAAATAAAATGAGAAGCAGTGGCAAGATGAAGATTAATACCTGAAATTTTTAGTGTGAAAAGAGAAAGGCTGAGAGAAAAGTTCAAATAAGTTGTTTTTTTGTTTTTTTTTAATTTGAGATAAGGTCTCAAATTTTGAGATGGGGTCTTGCTCTGTTGTCCAGAAGTGCAGTGGTGTGATCATGGCTCACTGTAGCCTTGACGTCCCAGGGTCAAGTGATCCTCCTACCTCAGTTTCCCAAGCAGCTGGGACCACATGTGCATGCCACCACACCAGCTAATTTTTAAATTATGTGTAGAGACAAGGTCTTGATATGTTGCCCGGGCTGGTCTTGAACTCCTGGCCTCAAGTGATCCTCTTGCCCCTAGCCTCCCAAAGTATTGTTATTATAGGCATGAGCTGCTGTGCCCAGCCAAGATTATTTGTGTGTGTGTGTGAGTGAGTGAGTGAGAGAGAGAGACACACACACAGAGACAGAGACAGAGAGGGTCTCACTCTGTTGCCCAGGCTGGAGTGCAGTGGCGTCATCCTCGCTCACTGCAGCCTCAACCTCCCTGGACTCAGGTGATCCTCACACCTCAGCCTCCCCAGTAGCTGAGACTGCAGGCACACAACCACCACACCTGGCTATTTTTTGTATTTTTGTAGAGACAGGGTCTCACCATGTTGCTCAGGCTTGTCTTGAACTCCTGGGCTCAAGTGATCCAGCTGCTCTGGCCTCCTAAAGGGCTGGTATTACAGGTGTGAGCCACCTACGCCTGACCTGAGATGATTCTTTTTTTAAAGATAGACATATGTTCTCTAAATCCCAGGACAACAGAATTTATAGGCATTTTTTGATCCAAATAAACAATGGCAATTCTTTAATTGGTAGTAAGTTTTAAGAAATTAGTTATCCTCAAAAAACTTTACAAGTTGAATAACAAATAGTTTTTAAAAATATCCATAAATGTACATACATAGGGAGTCTATTGCTTTAACTTTGTATATCTGACATTAGCACAGACATTATAATTATGCACTTTGGCAAGAGGAAAGTTGCTTCTGAAACTGCCTCTTTAAAACGTTTATTTTTAAAAAATTGTCTCTTTTTTTTGTAGACAGGATCTCACTCTGATGCCCAGGCAGGAATACAGTGGCACAATCACAACTCACTGCAGTCTCAAACTCCTGGGCTCAAGTGATCCTCGTGCCTCAGCCTCCTAAGTAAGACTATAGGTATGTGCCACTACACACAGCAAATTATTTTTGGAGAGACGGGGTCTCAATTTGTTGCCCAAGCTGGTCTCAGACTCAGGCCTCAAGTCATCTTCCTGCCTTACCCTTGCAAAATGCTGGGATTACAGGTGTGAGCCACTGAGCCTGGACTAAAATTGTCTCTTTAATACAACTTCTGCTTGTTTTTACGTAAACTTACACATTCATTTGATGGAATCAAAAAAGCACTTTTTTCTTTAATGCTTTTTAATGGCAATCTGGCAATATCTATCAAAATAAATATATATACGTACCCTCCACTGACAGTTTATCCTACTTATACAAACACATGTAAAAAGGCTGCTCACTGTTTCTAACAGTAAAGGAACGGAAACAAGCTAAATATCAACAGAGGTCAATTTAAAAATTATATACACCCAACTATAGAATACAATACAGCTATAGGCCGTGCATGGTGGCTCATGCCTGTAATCCCAGCAAGTGTAGTAGGATGTGCAGTAAATGGAAAGTTGTTAGTCCTGTTTTTAAATCCATTCTGCCAATCCATCCTTTGATTGGGGAGTTTAATTAATTTACATTTAAGTTATTGATAGGGAAGGACTTACTACTACTGTTTTCTGTATGTCTTACAGCTTTTTTGTTCCTTATTTCTTCCCAGTGAGCATATGTAAGTCTTTAAAGAAGTCTAAGTATAAATGAGAGAAAAGGTAAGAAAGTAATTAGGAGAATATGTGGAGTCCAGGGATTATTTAAAACAGGAAAACTTGAGCATGTTCAAATACTGATTAAGTTGGCCAGGCAGAGTGGCTCCTGGCTGTAACCCCAGCACTTTGGGAGGCCAAGTTGGAGAATCACTTGAAGCCAGGAGTTCAAGATCAACCGGGGCAACACAGCAAGACCATGTCTCTTCAAAAACAAAACAAAAACGAAAAAGTAATCAAGATGACTGAAAATGGGAAAGAACAAAGATAGAGGAGTAAGAGGGGACAACGGACAGAAAAGATAACTGAGAAAGCAGGAAAAGATGGGGAGATACGTTTCCTCCACTGTAAAAGGAGAAACGAAGAAAGTAAATGTTGAGCTTCCCTGGGGGAGTTTCCTAATTCCTCATTTGGTGTATTTATACATTTTTCTAGTAAACTCAATTACTTGGTTTCCGGATTCATCAACAACAGAGTAGAAATAGTCGATCAAAAAGCAAAGAAGAGCTACTACAGGCAAGTTGGCAGTAAGAAGTAAAAATTATCACTTAATAGTCATTAAATATCAGAGAGGAAAAAAACCTTTAGCAATTTGGCAATATCTATTAAAATATAAACTGTACATATTGTCTGACCAAACAATTCAATTTCTGTGAGTATATCTTACAGAAATAACTATAAAAATTCACCAATATATTGTTTTTAATTACCAAAAAAAAAGAAGAAAAGGGAACACAACGTTTTGCAACACAAGACTAGTTAAATGAATTAAAAGTACATCTATAGGCTATATAGTGAGGTAATATGCAACCATTAAGATTGAACTAAATGCTGGGGCATGAAAAGATATTCAAAATATCACTTTAAATGACAGATAATTGCAAAACAGTTTTATAGTATATTTTTAGTATGATCCCATTTTGTATTATATACCTGTATATGTATGTGTGCGTGTACACGTTATAAACAGTATACTGCTTAGTACTATACTAAACAATTATTAGTATAATATTGGTACCATACTAAAACATTTATTGGTATAAATGTTTCCATAGTATTATACTATATTGGTACAGTATTATAAAAATATTGGGATAGTTTAGCATAGTATTATAAAATACTATAAAATTGTTTTGCAGTTCATGTGTGGAGAAAGGAATGAAGGTCTGAAAAGATAAATACCAGTGTTAAAAGTTGTTTTACTTTAAACATTTCTATAATTTGAATGTTTAATACTAGAGATACACATAAAACTTCAACTATCAGAAAAACGACCATCAAATATGGAAATAAATAACCAAATAAACATATTACCTGTTGGATAAAACACGTAGTTCTTTTAAACTTGGAGCCATGGAATGATCTTTATAATTTTCTCGAGAGAAAAATGTCTTAAGGCCATTTTTGGGGGAAATATCCCTGTGAAACAAAGTAATTTACTTACATTTGACAATTCAAAATCTCATGCTAGACTATGACACATAATGGCACAATTGTAACTTACAATTTCATACCTTCTTACCCCCCCATCCCCAGACAATCTCTTCTTACTATGTTTAATTTCATATACCAGATCTGTGGGCTTAGAAGTGTTACTTCTTGGATAGCTTTAAACCCAGGCCCATTATGGAATTCTCCAGCTCCAATAATCAGCTCTACATTTTCTGTAGTACACAATTAAATAAATGTCACAGAGACTGGAAAGTTAAAGATAGAAAAGACTGAAGTATAATCAAGGGTCTGTCAAAGGCTGGCCTCACTTCTGGCTCTAGGACATAACATTAAGATACTTGGTTGCTGAAAACACTTCTCAACTTATTTTTGTTTCATGCACTACTGTGCTGAGCCAAAAGACACTACAAAGACTAAATAGCCTAGCTATTTTGTTTACTTTGGCAAATGGGATAACTGGTTTGCTAAAACCACCTCAAAGGTGATATGATTTTTCATAACACCATAATTAATTTAGAGACTAACATATTATATTCAATGCTTTCCATATAGTTAGGCATCCAAAAATGCTGTTTGAATGAAGGAATTAAAAACTTGAAAACACTGAATCCATTAACGTTACTAGGGAGGACAAAGGTCAGTAAAATTCCGTGGAAAAGGATAATTCCAAGGGCTACAATATTGTGCAAAGGTTCTAAACCACAACTAGTTCCACAATGCCGGTGGTATACAAGAGCATCTGTGCTACATCTGAATGCATACTTTATAGCACTGGCAAGGAATGCAAATGTGCATACCTCTTACCTAATCAAATGGTAACTTCTGGGTGTCCTAGTGCCCAGATAGGAAATTCTAGCATATTTGCTCCATACTCTTCTCCTTTTTAAACTGTTCTTAAAGGCATTTATCCAAAAAACTATATTAAGGTATTAATGGTAAAATTAGAAAGTCTTATTTGCTATGCATCAGTATAGTTTCTTATTACCTTGTCGTGGTATTGTATCTGTGACATCTCAATAAATTCTTAAGTTTCTGCACATCATATAAAAACAAAGTAAAGGGTCTCAGGGATTGTGAGCTCCCTGGGGATGGGAGTGTTGTTAGCAATAAACAAATACTCAATGAACATACTGACTTAATAGTCTGAGTCAGGTACTATTTTAATACTCTTTGTAACCATTTATAACATTTGATCCTCCTTGGCTGGCTTAGTAAATGTGTGTTAAAATGAACTAAAGCAGCACATGTATTAGCTAGATGGCTACAAAACCACTATATTATTTAACCAGGTTCTCTATTTGCAAAGTTCTCATACACTTTTAAAATACAGTCTATGCATTTATATCATTTGATATAGATTTCAATATAACAAAAAGCATGTCTATTCTTAAAGAGGGTCTTTTTTATTACTTGTATGGAAATGGGCCAAGGTTCTTGGACTCAAGAAAATTCCAGTATCTCTCCTTCACAGGAGACCAACAATAAATACCTGAGGGAATTATACCTAAAAATAATTTGAGTGCTGAACTGTGTTGTTCCACTATAGGAGTGGAAGTACAGTCAGCCATAACTCTAGCATTCCGTATGTGAAGATGAGGATAGGGTAAATTCTGAGACCCTAAACTTGTATTTTCTGTTTCCTCCAAATCTCTCTATGCCAGAAATCTATTTTCTTATGTCAACCATCAGCCCCACTACACTCCTCTTCAGTGGATTACAAAGTGGCTACAACTCACCAATTCAGTCCTGGTTCACTTATGACCATCTTGGAGCTCATCTTCCTAGATTTCTGCTTCACTCTAGCTCACAGTTCACAGCTGCCTGGCTGCGAAGGCTCCAAGAGGCAGGATCCCTCCAGAACTTACTCAGCTGAGTAAAAACAAAAGGCCAAGATCAAAAGCAAGTGATTGGCTAGGCCAGGTGCTATTAGGTGAGGAAGAATCTCTCCCTAAACATCTACCCTCAACAGACTGTGGCACCTAAAACAGAATACAGCAGACCCAAGGTTCTTTGTAGCAGAGCAGCAATGACGATACAGGACGAGCCCTTTTCCATTTAATCTACGCCGGGAGTGTTACTCTCAGGACACTCACTATGGAAATAAGAGCTGAAACAGAACGGTGTTCTCATTGCTTACATACTAGGCCACTTGATGGCATGGAACGGGAAGTCAACTCAGTTTTCCATTCCCTTACTGCCAAAATAAATCTTTTGTTTTCCCGACCATGCTTTGTTATGGGGCAGATTCTGGCAGGCACTTTATGACAAAAGCTACCTCGATATCAGGAATCTTAGGCCTTTCACAAAGAACCTCACATTTGAGAAGACTTGAGGTCAACTTAAGTGACATTTCACAAGATCACTTACAGACATCATCAGGACTACAAATCAGGCTTGATCTCTCATGTTCAGTACTTCTCCTGTGACCCCAGGCAGACTGATAAAGTGACCTGCGAGAACCTAATCAAATTTAGGAGTCGGTCTCTCGACACCGAACGGGCCCGACCGGCTCCCACTTAATCTACCTCTCACACTTCGACCCAGTGTGGAGCTGGGGGGGAATAGTCGAGGAAGGCAAAAGAAACGGCTGAGGGAAAGGGGACGCAAAGAGAGGGGAAACAAGGTTCCAGAAAAGCAGGTAAAAGGGCAAGCAAAGCAGGGGTAGGAGCCGCGCAGAGCCAGGAGCAAAGGGTCCTGGCCCGGCCGCCATGTTCCCTCCTCCCGCCCCTGCATGAGCACGCCCGCTGGCCCGGCAGCGCCCTCCCGTCCGCGTCTGGGCTGCAACACAGCCTTTCCGCCCACCTCATGGTCCGCGGCGGCTCTTGCCCAGGCCGCAGCCACACACCACACACGCTCCACCCCACTCCTCACATTGTCGCGCGCGCCCAAAAAAGACCATATTTAAAGGATGTGGCCGCGCCGACTCGGCCCTGCGTGATGACGTCTCAGCGACATAGTGGGCGGGGCCTTGCGTCTTGACGGCTGCTCCCCTCCTTTCCTCCCGCCACAAGCGCTCGCTGTGGTTCTGGCAGCGAAGTGCGAGACTGGGCTCGCCAGGCGGAAGTGGTTGGAGACTGCGTGTTTTCCTAGAAAGTCCTCGACCTTCGTCGGGGAGAGGAGGGGAGTGATAAATTGGAAGGCGGACAAGCGACAAGTGCGGTACTGGAAAGACCCAAACATACTTGGTTGTGACCTCAGGCAAGTTTCCTGACTTCCGTAACCCAAACTCCTCATATGTAAAATGGAGATGAAATTGTTACTGCTGCATCATACGGTTTTTTGGAAAGGATTAAATGAAACAAAGGAAGAAGCTGTGCTCTGCACAGTACCTGGCACATAGTAGGGCCTCATTAAGTGCTCCTTCACCTCCGCTCCACTCCCCATCCAGTTTTAGCTGTGAGTTCAAACACTAGTTTTGTTCTCATCCATTACGGAAAGATTTATTGACCGTAAACAGAGTACTTTGTGCTTGGTGCTGGGTACACATGGACTAAGACTGAATACTGATTTTTCCAGTGCTTTGGATCTCTGGCAATCTAAGACATTTACATTAAATACAATAGAAAGTAATAAACTACATAAGAAAGGTGTATAGATTGAGGTTAGAGGGAGAGGAATAGCTAGTGTGAGGGACAAAACGCAGTTTTGAATAGTATTGAGTACTTACATGTCAGTTGCTGCACTGAGCACCTGCCGTGTGAGCTCATTTGAAGAATGTGGGTATGTGGAATGAAGAGAAAGGGCGTTCTAGACAGACCAGCACAAGTGTCAAAAGACAAAAATTTGACACATCTAAAGATCTCAGTTGGCCTTATTGCGATTCTGGAATCAGGCAACACTTCATTCCATAAAATGGAATGAGTGTCCCAATGAGTGGAACAGAGGAGGTTGGCATTACGGACAGAAAAAAGGTCTGTAGAAAGTAGAAACAAAGAACAAAAAGCAGATTGATCATTTCAAAGTTACTTTCCTGGTAAGGTGGAGACAGACAGTACAATAGAAAGATAACTGATTGGTTAACATCAGGTTACTTCAAGTTACTCTTTGCTGTAGGGACTAAAACAGAGGAAATTCATTATCTTGCTGATTGAAAATTGAAACTGGCCTGTTACCTCTGTCTCCTGATTTCTTGGAGGGCCACATAACTCAGTTTCGGTGTGGTGAGCCTGAGTGATACCATTTTTATTTTAGTCTGGTCTCTTGGGGTCTAGTGCAGAAGTTCTAAACAATGGCCTCCTATAATTTTTTTTAATACAAGGAACTGCATAAACTTATTGCATAAACAGAATCTAGTGTGTGCTATTAGGGAAGCATGTTCTACATTTTATTTTAAGACAGAGTCTCCCAGACTGGAGTGCAGTGGTGTGATCTCAGCTCACTGCAACTTCTGCCACCTGGGTTCAAGCGATTCTCCTGCGTCAGTCTCCCTAGTAGCTGGGACTACAAGTGCATGCCACCACACTTGGCTAATTTTTGTATTTTTTTTTTAGTAGAGATGGGGTTTGCCAGGGTGATCTTTAACTCTTGACCTCAAGTGATCTGCCCACCTTGGCCTCCCTAAGTGCTGGGATTACAGGTGTGAGCCACTACCCCTGGCTGACATTTTAGACTGATTTAGAATATTGTTAGAAATTATGTTAATGTAAAAAATATGCTACAGGAAACCATAGGTAGTTTATTTTGCCTGGAATGCAAGGTCTCTGAAGAGTAGTAGAGGAAAAGGGGTTGGAAAAACTGGTTGAAGCTAGAACACGTAAGATTTTATAAGCCAGACTAAGGAAGTTTGACTTTATTGCATAAGAAATAAAATGCTAGGAAACAAACAAACAAAAAAGCTTACATAATGACACAATCAGAACTGGCTGGCTGTGCTTCAGGAAAGTTCACCTGGCAACCTACGGAATTCATTGAAGGGAGGAGGCCAGTTAGGAGACAGTGTTTGTGAATGCTTAAAAAAATCAACCACTACAATGCCTGGCACTGTGCAGATAGCATTTCTTTTTTTCTTTTTCTTTTTTCTTTTCTTTTCTTTTTTTTTTTTTTTTTGAGATGGAGTCTCCCTCTGTCGCCCAGGCTGGAGTATAGTGGGGCGATCTTGGCTCACTGCAACCTCTGCCTCTCGGGTTCAAGCGATTCTCCTGCCTCAGCCTCCTGAGTAGCTGGGATAACAGGTGCATACCACCACGCCCGGCTAATTTTTGTATTTTTAGTAGAGACAGGGTTTCACCATGTTGGTTAGGCTGGTCTTGAACTCCTGATCTCGTGATCCGCCCACCTCGGCCTCCCAAAATGCTGGGATTACAGGCGTGAGCCACCATGCCTGGCTGCAGATAGTATTTCTTATTAGGTAAGTGATGTGGATGGCTTGTGTAGGACAAAGGCAGCGTAAAAGTTCATGTGTTGGGTACTGTCTCACAAAGCATGCAGTCAGGAAGAGTTGGGGACACCTGACCTGGCCTGAAGGAACTGCTCTAATTGTTTAAGAGCTCATGCTGCTGGGAGGTACCTGCCCATGGTAGTGTGATATGGTAGCATTACCATACAGCTCTGTGTTGAGATTTCAGATCATCACCAAACAGTATGCTCTGAACTGGTATATCTGAGTTTCAATGGTTGCAAGATAGCACACAGAATCAGAATTTTTAGAATCAGAACACGATTTGGAGATTATCTAGTCCAACCCTCTTGTTTTCCTTACAAGGAAATGGGCTCGTTTCAAGATTGTCAAGTGACTTTTCCAACATCACATGATCAATGATAAAACTGATACTAAAACTCAGGTCTCATAATTCTTGCCAACGTGTGCATTGTGCATCTTCCCAAAATTCATATCTTATATGAATATGTAATTCATATGTCATATTATAGGAGCCTAATGGCCTCCTATAATTTTTGTTTACTACAAGGAATCCTAATGGTATTTGGAGGTGGTATCTTTAGGAGGTAAGTAGGTTTAGATTAAGACACAAGGGTGCAGCCCCAATGATGGAGTTCATGCCCTTGTCAGAAGAAGAGAAACCACAGCTCATTCTCTCCCCCAAGTGAAGACACAGCAAAAAGGTAGCCATCTGCAAGCTAGAAACAGAGTTCTCACCAGGAACCAAATTGGCTGGCAGCTGGATCTGGACTTCCAAGCCTCCAGAACTGTAAGAAAATAAATGTCTCTTGTTTAAGCCTCCCAGGCTATGGAATTGTCATAGCAGCCCCAGCGGAGTAACATAAAATACAATAAATATATGCATCCTTTCTTTTCTGTTTTGTGAACCACAAGAAGCTTAGTGGCAAGAACATGGACTTCTGGATTCCAGTAGTTATCTGTCTCAGGTTGGCATCTCAGTTTTTCTGTCTACTGGCACTGTGATCCTAGGCATGTCGTGTGTCCTCTTGAGTCTCAGTTTCTTCATCTGGATAATGGAGGCAGTGATACCTCACCTACAGAATTGTTGTGAGGACTAGAAGTAATATATATATAAAGTGCATTGCAAAGAGTAAATGTTCAACAAATACTAGCTATTAGTATATAATTTTTCTGAAAGAAAAATCAAAGATGAACAAAACACAGTGGAGATGGCACTGTACAAAGACCTATAATGCAAAGAAGAAATGGTGGGCCGGCCGCGGTGCCTCACGCCTGTAATCCCAGCACTTTGGGAGGCTGAGGTGGGTGGATCACCTGAGGTTGGGAGTTCGAGACCAGCCTGACCAACATGGAGAAACCCCGTGTCTACTAAAAATACAAAATTAGTCTGACGTGGTGGTGCATGCCTGTAATCCCAGCTACTTGGGAGGCTGAGGCAGGAGAATCGCTTGAACCCGGGAGGCATTGGTTGCACTGAGCCGAGATTGCGCCATTGCACTCCAGCCTGGGCAACAAGAGTGAAATCAGTCTCAAAAAAAAAAAAAAAAGGAAATGGTATACATATATATATAGAAGATTCCATGGGACCACAAATGAGTAAGAAATTCATTCTGATGGAGATAATTTAGAGATTACTTCAGAGGAGTTTAATTTATTTTGGGTCTTGAAGGATGTGTAGGAGTTCACTGGGTAGAAAAGGGGTTGTGGGTTTTAACTGTGGGAAAAAAAATCACAGAAGTGTGAACAGCTCCACATATTCTGGGGAAGAGGAAAAGCTGTTGCATCGCTGTGTTGGGGAAATGAAGGTTGTTGGACTGGAAATGGTGAAGCGGACTAGAGATGGTCTTCATTGCCATGCTAGAGATTTTGGACTTTATTCTCTGCATTATGGGGAATCTGTGTGTGTATATGTTTGTGTATCTGTGTTTTAAATAGCTTGAGTTATAAGCTACATACCATAAAATTCATTCATTCTAATTGTACCATTAGGTGACTTTTAGTAAATGTGTGAAGTTTCACAACCCTCAACATGATAAAGTTTTGGAACATTTCCATTAACCCCCAAATCCTGTGTGCCCATTTGTAATCAGTCCCTCTTTCCAGCCCCAGGCAACCATTAATCTACTTTCTGTCTCTATAGGTTTGCCTTTTCTGGACATTTCATTTAATGAAATCATACAATATGTTGTCTTTTGTGTCTGGATTCTTACCATAATGTTTTAAGGATCATCCATGTTGTAGCATGTATTAGTATTTTTTCCTTTCTGTTGCTCAATAGTAACTCATTTATGGATATGCCCTTTTTGTTTATCCCTTCAACATTTGATGAACATTTAGATGGTATCTACTTTTTGGCTTTTCTGAATAATGTTGCTGAGGGCATCATTTATGTGTACAACATTTATGTGAACATTTTATATGTACAAGTCTTTGTGTGAACTTTGCATTTTTATTTCCTTGAGTAGATAACTAGGAGTGGAATTGTTGTATGGTAAATTTATGTTTAACTTTTTTTTCTATGTTGCTGACACTGGTTTCAAACTCCTGGCCTCAGGTGATCCTCCCCTTGGCCTCCCAAAGTGCTCGATTACAGGTGTAAGCCATCATGCCCAGCCTATGTTTAACTTTTTAGAAAACTGTCAGATTGTTTCCCACAGCAATTGCACCATTTTATTCTGTGGATTTTTAAGCAGAAGAAAGATGCGGTTTTCCATTTCTGGTAAACTGGGGAACAAACAAACCCAGAAGTTGAATGAGAAGCCAATTTAATTTTGAAAGAGTTTATAACAGTGTGTACTTCTTTGAGTTTACAAAATGTTTAATTGGACCAGAATTTAAAAAAGAACTCTAAAAACTGCAAACATTAACTAAGCAATTACTAGGTGTTCATTTCTTCTTGGGGACCAAATCAAGACAGAGAAATGTGCAAGATCATCTTTCTTTTTTTAAATCAGTAATAAGTCATTTTCCTACCCCTCAGCTAATGAGCTGCCTTTGCTTGATTCGGGGTGAACTTGGCCTTGGAATAGTTTACAGCTTGGTAACTGCTTCACTCAGGGAATTGCCTCATGAATTTACAATCCTCCATAAGGTATTTTCAAAATGAGAATCCAGAAATAGTCCTCTAGCAAAAAGGTTTCAATCTAGTAATTGACTCAGAAACTTTTGGGGAAAATATTGTCGCTAATTGCAGTTTGTTCAAATCAGGCCTTTCAGCAATAAATGGTGTTTCAAGTGGAGAGGGAATCATCAATGCCAAAAACCAGCAAAATACTCTGGCCTAGGATATGCTATGTAAGAACAAGAATGGCTAAAGTTTTCGATTTTTTTCTACTCAGAAGATAATATTTTCTAAAATATATTTAGATATGTTCTGTATTATGTGGCCCCTGGGCTGAAAAAAACCCCAGAAATCATTGTTCACTTGAAAGATGGTCTTTTATAGCGCGTAAGTGTTCTACAGAGAGAAGTTGATAACAGAGATAATTCCAAGCAGAATAATTTAAAAATTGTATTTGTCTTTAGAATGCAGTGTGTGTTTTATCAGAGGAGTAGAGAGAGAATGGTAGAAGGGGTGGGTATGGGGCTTGTTAGGAAGTCATTATAATAGATTTTGGGTGAGGCTAATATTAAAGTTAATTTTTGTCCTTCAAGCAAAGAACAATTGATAGATGATATAGCTTCTTCCCCACAAAAGGGAAGTTATCCTGGAATTAAAAATATTGTTTGAGAAGTCTATCAAGTGGTTAAATAACAAATGGATTACTGAGATGACTGTATTATACTGGAGTAGACAGTTCCCCTCCCAAGGAGAAAAAAATCTAGAATCAAATTAAATACAGGAAGACTGGTTTCTCTCTTTCCAACATGAGAGATAAGTGACATTAGAAAAAAACCAAGAGTTTTCTTTAGCTCACCACCGGTGGCAAAGTGAAAGGAGAGAGCTCCTGTTAATCTCCTAGAGTGACGCTTCTGCCACCACTGGGAGTCCATGCTTGCTTCAAAAGCTGGGGGCAAGGAGTAGAAGCAGTAGGGGAGCCATCAGTGTGAATCTGCTGGAATCTAGGGGGGTTCTCTTGACCAGATATTCCCTTCTCATCCTCAAGTTCCCGAAATCCCTTTAGCATGGAAGTATCTTTTTTTCTTCCTGTCTCTGATGACTTACATTACATTAATAATCTCTTTTGGACCATGGTTTTGAACACCACTGGGCCCTATCTTCAATTTCTTATTCAAAAGGGGAAGCCAAGGTGCTTAACTGCATCTCAGCACAGCAGCAGCTATCTTTCCTACCACCATGCATGTGGCTCGGTGTTTTCACAGACCTGTTAGGAGAAGCTGAGGCCTCTGCACCTGCCCATTTGGTACAAATGCACGTTAGATATGAAGTCCGCTTTTAAGGGGCTAGACTTGACCCTTGCTTCCTCTTGCCTCATGAAGAAAAGTTTAGTAGTAACAGTAGCAACTAAGACATTCTTGAGGTCATGTCTTACTGACCAGTCTATGGTTATTACTTTTGCTTTCTTTCCTAGACTTTATTAATAACCTGACATTTGTTATCCTTTCTGCTTTTCCTGTGAGATCATCAGGAACAGAATTTTAAGAAGTCTCTTCTATATTCCCTTTTACCCTTTTTGAAACTGAGCAAGCTAATCCAGGATAAAGAGGTGGCTGAAAATCATTATTTTTGGCAAAAGGAGTTTAGGCATGAGTTTGGGCAGAGATCTAGAGGTGACAGATTACATATTTTAAACTCTGTTTTCATTAACTCTCAATTTCTGCAGACACCGGAAAGTGTAGTGTTTATAATTATGTAGAACTTGATGGTCTACAAAGATTTCACATGCATAATATTTCATTCTTTTTTTCTGAGGTAGTTGAAAATAAAAGCAGGATTAGGGATTGTTTACTACTTGCAGCAACTTTGGGGAATAATTCGGATATTTATTGAATGCTACTGAGTGCAGGGGATGCTTAGGCATTATGGTATGTGGAGGAAAATGCTAGCTCAGTTGCCTTTATTCTGACTTCAGAGTATTTTATAATTTGAATGTCCTTGATATTACATTGAAAATAATTGATGATGAGGTTTTTGCACCATTAAAATGGTGTAATACTAAGCTGATGCTAAATTTATGGTTCACCCCTAAGTAATTTACTCAAAAGAAAGGGTGGGAGTGGGGCCATGACACTGCAGGTAGTCAGAGACTCTATTAAAAGTCTTTGGCAACATTTCTACAATTCAATTTTAATGACTTCTAAAGCAAAAATGACAATCTATGCATTCAGGATTTCTCTCCTTCTGCACTCAGGGAAGATAGGACTAATCAGTCATGGCACCCTTTTCCTATGAGACAGGAAGCAACTTCAGAATTCTCAGTTCTGCATTTCCAAGAGTGACTGTCAATCAGTGGGTGTTATCTCACAAGTTAATACCTTTTTCTTTGCCTTCTCTGATCAAAAGGGTTGCTTGATCCTTTTAAACATTATTTTCCCTGCAAAATGGCAGCAAATAATTTTTTTTTTTTTTTTGAGGCAGAGTCTTGCTCTGTCGCCAGGCTGGAGTGCAGTGGTGCGATCTTGGCTCACTGCAACCTCTGCCTCCCAGGTCCAAGCGATTCTCCTGTCTCAGCCTCCTGAGTAGCTGGGACTACAGGCACGTGCCACCAGCCTGGCTAAATTTTGTATTGTTAGTAGAGACAGGGTTTCACCATGTTGGTCAGGCTGGTCTCGAACTCCCGACCTCGTGATTTGCCCATCTTGGCCTCCCAAAGTGCTGGGATTACAGGTGTGAGCCACTGCACCCAGCCAATAATTTTTTAAAAAGTGCCTGGCCAATAATTTTTTAAAAAGTGCTACACTGGCCAGGCGCAGTGGCTCATGCCTGTAGTCCCAGCACTTTTGGAAAGACGAGGTGGGCGGATCATGAAGTCAGGCGTTTGAGACCAGTCTGACCAACATGGTGAAACCCCGTCTCTACTAAAAGTACAAAACTTAGCCGGGTGTGGTGGTGTGTGTCTGTATTCCCAGCTACTTGGGAGGCTGAGGCAGGAGAATCTCTTGGACCTGGGAGGCAGGGGTTGCAGTGAACCAAGATCGCACCACTGCACTCCAGCCTGGCGACAGGGCGAGACTCCATCTCCAAAAAAAAAAAAAAAAAAGCCAGGCACGGTGGCTCACACCTGTAATCCCAGCACTTTGGGAGGCCGAGGCTGGCGGATCACCTGAGGTCAGGAGTTCAAGACCAGCCTCAACATGGAGAAACCCCGTCTCTACTAAAAATACAAAATTAGCCGGGCGTGGTGGTGCATGTCTGTAATCCCAGCTACTCAGGAGGCTGAGGCAGGAGAATTGCTTGAACCTGGGAGGGGGAGGTTGCGGTGAGCCGAGATCTCCCGCCATTGCGCTCCAGCCTGGGCAACAAGAGCGAAACTCCGTCTCAAAAAAAAAAAAAAAAGGTGCTGTGGTATACACCGGTGCTTCTCACACTTTAATGTGCATACGGATCACCTGGGATCCTATAAAAAGGCAGATTGATTTAGTAGGTCTGGGTAGTGCTGGGATTATCCAGTTCCAACAAAGTCGCAGGAGATGCCGTGCTGCTAGTCTGGACCACACTTACCTACTCTCTCCTAGACCCTTCACTAGAGACAGGATGTAAGCTAGGAAACTATGTACAGTCCAATTCAATAACCAAGAAAAAAGAAGAAAAACAAGGCAAGTGTTCCATTAGAAGCTGAAGTTTTATTATAGGATAACAGTACATAAAGCACATCTAAAATTGATGTGTTCAATGCACTTTTAATAAAGGTAATGTAATATTAAAGGTACAGTTTCTAAGTACAATATAACAACATTCATATTAGAATGAAAATTGGAGTATTTAAAAGACAACATTAAATCTCTCTTTTTTGTACAGCTTGTATTTACAAAATGAATCAAAATATTTTTTTTTTAAATTCAGGACTCAATAAAATAAACAGCTGGAAATAAGCAGACTAGTGTAAGAGTGAATTGAAAAGAAAACCCAAGGTAAGTGAAAAGTTGGACGATCCTCTAATAAAGATCATTAGCAAAGTTTTAGTTCAATACTAGTTTTAGGATTCCCATAAATGGCTTGCATTTTTAGTGTGGCAGAAAAGGAGTTTTTACATACTGTACACAAAACAGACAGCATATATTTATAGGTACAGTATTACTGTTTCCAAACTTGCATGTATATTTACAGAAGGCTGAGTTTGTTTACTCAAACAGAAGTTTGTGAAATTTGTGTGCTTAATCCTCAAGACCTACACACAATTAGAATCAGCATTTCATGTGGTCTTTTTAAATGTGGCTTTAATACTTGGTTGTAGAGGAGAATGTTAACCGTAAGGCTTGGCTTACTTTGTAAATTTAACAAAACAACCCAGGAAAAACGTTTTAATTGGGGCACACTTGTTATCATTTAACAATTGTCAAATGCTGACATGTGCTAGCCATTGTGCAGACGCAAAAAGATACAATCTCTACCCTCAGGAAGCTTAGGATGCTAAATCGTGCTTTAAAAAAAAGGTTTCAATCTCTTTCCAAGAGAGGCAGTTAAGGAATGATGTGATTTATATTAAAAGAGATTTCTCCCTCAACTGTAGCCAATCCACTTTAAAAGGTTAACTACTAGCATTAGCTCTCATTAACCACACAATTGCATTTATAATTAAGGTAACAGCAACTCTTCCACAAAAATGGAAAATGTCTAGAATTGTGGATAAATATTGCAGTGCATGGAAGCCAATAATCATGGCTTGAGAATTTATCACCTTCAGTTACAAAAAGTGCAGTAAACAGAAACATTTGCTCTACATTTATAAATTGCTCAAAAATCTTTGCTAAAGATCTTACAAATTCAGTAATATTACAGAACAATTCTAATCAATATTTAATAAGGTTAACTACATCCTTAGTTAGATATTTGATAAACTTTGCTTTTCAATAATGCCAGTAGATCTTGGGAGAATGGGTAGAAAGGCTTAATTAAGCTACTTATTAAATAACTTTGAAAATGAAGGTCCTTCACTCAGTTCATGGAACTGGTTGAGGTCATACTGAAACAGAACATCCCATGTCGAATTTGCTTTATGGCCCATGTTATGGCAGAGGACGTCTCCATCCTTCTCATGACTCAGGTAGGAGGGGAAAGGTTTATTCTGCCATCAAGCCATCTAGGATATTTTATGTAAATGCCCATTATCTATAATAGGAGCTAAGAATACAACTGTGTTAGGTGCCAGTAATACAATTCCTTAATAAGAAAAAAAAGTATATTACTCCATTAAACAAGTTTCTTTAGGATCTTGAAGGCCTGGCAAATTATTTTTCAGCTTAGGAGATATGCTGTAAAGCCAAGTAGCAAACATAAAGTAAATGCTAATAAGTTTCCATATAGCCATATTTATAAACAAATTCACCCTATAGATGTCAAATATCCATACTAAGGAAGTAATTTTATCCTAATTAAATACACTCTAGAATAATTTATATAATGATATTATGTATTTAAAGAGAAAAGCATGTCCCAAATCCAGCACTCTGATACAGCTGCCAGTTGGGCATAGGTAGATATATATATATATGTATATATATACAAATATATAGTTATACTCAGTGAAATTAACAAGACCCAAAGGTGGTATTGTCTAGGAATAAAAGGGATAATTTTTGTTGTTCACAAAAGTAACTTGTCTAGCACCACACATCAGAAAAACACAAAAATAGCACACTCTAGTTCTAAACAGCTATGTCTAAAATAGATTATATAGTAAAACCGGTATTATACAGCATATTGTGGATTTGATAAACAGATAAATATTTGCACTGAGTAGGCTGTTTATAATATAACATTTTCTTATCTATACAGAATGAAAGCCAAAAAGTTAACTGTATAGAGATGTGCAGAACAACATTAAATATTATGACTCAAAAGCAGGGACAGGTAAATTTGAAAGAAGAGTAAGAGAGAAAATGTTTACAGGCCGTTACAAGTTCTTAAGTTAATAGTAAATAAGGAATCGATTGCTCAAGTTGAAGAAAGCAGTAAACAAGAGATTGCATTTACATGCAGATGTCTAAAATTTGTATTTTTTAAGTCTATGCACAAAAGTCATTTGTTTTATTGCTTGACATTCAGTTATGGCTAGATTATTTAACCTATTTTTTTTGTACTTTGGAAACAAGAATATTGTTAAAGGTGCCATAAAAATGGACAACACTGAAAACAGTTTGCAAATAAACCACCTAACACTGCAGTTCTTTATACATATTAAAAGCCTTGTCTGGGGTTTGTCATATGTTAAATATTATTTAAAGTGGGAAAATATGTTGTAGCTTGAAGCCTCCCATTGGCCCAAACATCCAATACAAAAACACATCTCCACAAAAGGAGCAGGCAGACAATACAGGTACATTTATAGAAGCAGCCAGCTAATGTCCTAATGTTTAAAAATTTACCACTGTTTAATATGAGATTTCAAACTGTGTGGATAACAGGAGAATTTTGGATTCAGGAAGATGTATACAGTACATATGGATTTTTTTTGTGAAATCATTTTCACTATATTGCTCAAGAATTATCTGCATTTACATATGCAATCTGTTCAGTGATAATCAAGTTCCTAGAAATAGTATTCATCCACATTAAAGTAATAATGATGAAAAAGGAATCACACATGAACACTGGAGAGAATTTAGTTGTTCTTAGAGAACAACATAATGGCATGTGCAACATGTCAAAGCTAATAGCAAGCTATCTTTCATTAGTTCTTAGAAGGATGAAAGTAAAAGAAGTGTGGTACTGCTAATGTGGCAAAGTACATTAAATGTAAACAGCAAACACAGATTTCCTAGGCATCTATTTAAAATATTCATATTCACTTTCTCAATATAAGACTCCATGTTATGTTGCATCACTGACAAAAGGTTGTTTCTATTTGGATTGAATATTCTGTCATTCATTTATAAATAAATGACTGAATGTATTTATTGCTCTAAGTTCTGAGGGTTTGGTTGAACATGGAGATCCCCCCCGCCCATCTAGGATGGCTACTTGGTGTGAAGTCAGGCTTCTGGATTCTTTTAAAAATTATTCTGAGAGCCTGACAACACTGATCTCACCTACACAAACAGACAGACAGACCCAGAAGTGAAACCAATTGCACTGTGGAGACATTGCTAGTCAGTCTTCTCATCTCTTAAAAATAAATAGCAATAGGAAGGTCTCTATAATACAATCTGATGGAACCTCTTTACTAACATTATGTTTAGGGATAGAATGAAGACCTGTATCATAGACTCTTACCAATAGATCAAGATTTACTGTTGCAATTGCGTTTCTGGGCACATTATTTGATCTATAATATAAAGTTGTTTTCATGGGGTTCTATATCATAACTTTATAAGAAGTGGCAATCACATGTTATGTAAAAATGTCAACGTGTGTGTGTATACACACATATACAAATACACATAGAGAGGAGAGATTTCTACCATTTTCCATATTCTTTATTATCAAAAACAACATGGTAAAGGTATCCTTTTCATCTTACAGACATGGGAAGTTTTCCCAGATTATGTTCCTCTATCATAGTAAGAAAATATATAAATCTTCTTGTGAATGTGTATCCCAAGGTGGAAGAATCAGAGCCAACAATTACATTGAACTTCTCTGACTTTATGGAAAGTAATATGTGGAATATGATAACAAAACGGTATTTCAAAAATATAACATGTAACACTAAATGTTGGCTCGAGTTGCTGCTGTCATACAGGCAGGTTTTGTTTTGTCTTTAAACATTAGCTCTTGTAATGCATCAGATATAAACTACACATGTAGAAGTAAGAATTGTTTTCCATGAAGGAATTTTTGGTTTGCTTCTAGAGGAGAACCCATGAAAACAATAGTTAATTGCTGGTATTTTAAAAACATATTTCATCTTTTACCTATATCACTGTACTGATAGGCAGGTCTCTCCTCTTATTACTGGATTTTAAAATTTTCATCCTTAATATGTAGAATTTGAAATAGTTTTTAACATATGATGCTATATATATATTTATCATGAATATTTTAATTATTAGAGAAATGGTAACTGGAATATGCAAGGACTATACTTTGAATGATGCTCTTTGCTGGTACATTATTAATTTATCTTTTGAACACACTGGCATAACTTTGCTTTGGAAGTTATTCAGTGTTTTGAAACACAAGACTGACGAGCACATCAAGTTCTAAACTCAACAAAATGAGACGAGAGTAAAGAGTTTACACACACGCAGTTCTATATAGTTCACTTGTGCCTTGGAGGGATAGTATTATTATCATTATTATTAATAATAAAAAACACAATTTGTCCCAGTAGTACTGGCCACCCTGTTTTAAGAGTTTTAGGAGATCCCTGAGCACATTGTTTCTGACTCTTAACCCCAACTCCAAAATGATAGGGCTTCTATCGTTGATACCAAGATGGATTGTCATTCACAGTAAGTCAATTATAAGGTGCTTATTTACCCTTGTTTTTCACCAGTCAGCACAAAGAACTGTCAGAAAATAACTTTTTATTATTATCTTAAAATAATAGCATTGGAAGGACATATGATTTAAACAATCAATGTTGGAAACAGTGGCTTTAGGATTATTATCTGGCTGCCCCTCAACAATAACAAGTGATTCGATCGACATTCCTTAGCCAAAAACAAAAGGCAAAACAAAAAAAACCAAAAAACAAAAAAACCCCAAAAAACTGTACAAATATGTATTTTTCCCTGAGGGATCAAGGTACACCCGCAAGTGCTCTATGTACATATTGCACTAGAGAGGAATGAAGAACATGTGCAAAAAAGCAACAATGAGAGAAGCTTACATACTACTTAAACCTTTTCATGAAAGATACTACTAGGTTGTTTTGCATTTTGGAATGTCGGAACACAACAACTAGCTATTCCTTAGTCTAAAACTAAAAACACACATTTCTACTATGGCACATTCAATGAAATAAAAAGTTTTCCAAAGACAGATAGACAAATTCCATCAAGAAAATAATACAAAGTTTGTTTGTTTGTATTTTTTTTTTTAGAAAATTACATTACTTTCTTTCTTTGTTTCACATTACAAAATCTTTTTTTCTTTACACAAATCACATTTTATTGCAGGAATATTTCAAGTGCCATCAAATATTTATAGAAGGGTTAAAAAAATAGAAGTCTCTCTAAAGTGGTCCAGACAAGGCTTTGTATAGAATAAATCTTTTTTTCCCCATCTTCTAGTTTTGATTTAAGTATTTTGAATACATTTTCTTTTCCATTGACACTTAGTAGCCTAGAAGCGGTCCGACGCACACACATCATACACATGCAAATCACACACACACACACACACACACACACACACACACACACTCCTTCCTCACCTGACCCTCAGCCCACCCCCATACGCTCACAGATAACTGGGTATCCACACTATAAAGAACAACCAAACTTAGAAGCAGTGTCTTAAGTCATGTTTTTCTTAAGTTAGAAAGGGTGAATTAGGATGCTGAAGACTTTAAAAAAAAATCCATAGCTTTAATACACGTTAAGATGCTGAACACTTTAAAAAAAATCCGTAGCTTTAACACAATTTGCAAACTGTCCAAAAAGCACTTTCATCTGTACTTTTGTTTGCATTGTGACCAAGGCCAGGTTTTTCACAATATAATAACCATTTGGACACCATTGGAACAGAAGGTATTCAGGCTTTGTACAAAAGCCTTATTTGCCTTATGTAAAAAAATTGTACAAAGGCATTGTAGCAGCGGGGCTGACAGTGATGTGGTTCCAATCCTTAAAAGACTATTGGAGACTGAAGTTTAGGAAACTTTAATTATAAAAACTATTAAGGATAATTGTTCTGATATCACCCAAGTATTTTATGTCATCACATAGGTGTTTTTGTAATAATGAAGAAAGGAAAATGCAAAGTTTTTCACATCCTTTTCTGAGCTCCATATTTTTTTTAAACTGAATTTATTGTTTAACATCAGATCCCAACTTAGATCCAAATAGTAGTCAGTTGTTTCCTTGTTTCATGGAGCATGTCTCTGTCTACAATTCCATCCTATTATGTCAATCAGTGGACTTGGCTCTTAAGCTCCACCGCTGCTTTTCTTTCAGAAACACCTGGGAAGAAGCATCATATTACCTATCTTGGTTTACCGTAAAAGCAATGTCACCATGGCATGACTATTACTGTGGTTAGAGCATGATTGTTTGTAGGTACATGCAGAATCCCTTCTGGGAAAAGGAATTTCTTTTTAAGTTCATCATTATGTTCTCTCTCACCCTTAGAGAAATTCAATTAGCTTTTATTATTTCACAAATCGACACTGGAATTAGGTTTAGTTGCTCTTTAATGCGCTAGCACCTGAGGCTGGTCATATTCAGAAAGCTTTGGTTAAAAAGAAGTTAATATACTTTAATAAAACCATCCCCAAATTTAGTGAATCTGAATGACAAAAAAACAAAACAAAACCAAAACCAAAAAACTAAAACACAAAACTCAAACAAAAACAAAACACCATTTCCCCCCAGAGGAGAAACAATAGAAAAAAAATGGATGAATAAATAACTGAACTAAGCTTGGTACTCTTTTCAGAGTATAAATACTACTGATCTTTAAAGGAACTATGCTTACTTAAATTAAAGATTTGATTTAACCCTTCTTGCCCCAATATAAATACTATATGCTGACAGTTAGCATCTCTCTATAAACACATAAAATTTTACATGCCTGTAAGAAATTTAAAGGAATATTACTCTTCTATTTATGGTTAAACTCTTACTATGTTTTTGGAAAAAAAGTTGGATGTTATTTAGGCTTCATACACACATCTGTGTGAATAATACCTTCCCCTTTTCCAAGTCCCTCAAGAAACAAGTCAGAAAAGTCAGTGGAGTTAGAAACAGAGTGAAGTGCTCTGGGAAGCCCATGCTGGTAACCTAGCATGACGTGAAGAGCTGCAATTCCTGTAGAAGATTCCGCAGGGACCCCAATGGCAGAGGAGACTATTTCTCAGACATAAAGGGCTGCATGGAAACTCCTACCTTAACACCCATCGGAGATGTTCCCTTTTCTGTACAAAATGGTCTTTGACCAGTAGTTTGAATCCCACCCCTAGTGCGACTAAAATCATCGTCTAAATGCCTACATTCCCAAAAGGTCACTTGTTTTTAAAATATGCACATCTGTTTATCAGACTATTCCTTTCCCCTTCCCCCACTAGGGATCATTAAAAAAAAAAAAACCATGAAATTAAACAAAAACAACTCAGTATTTCTCACCTGAACACACAAGCCAAATAATCTTCTAAATATTTAATAAAATAAATTACAGTCCACAGTTTCCTAGTGAAGATAAATACAAGAGTAAATGTTTGCAGCTAGCATCAACTTCACTTTAAAGGCTTAAAGTATTTAATATTTAAATAAGAGAAACTGGTTCAACATTGTATGCTTCCCTCACCCTCCTATCCATCGTTTTTCAAATATGGAGAGCAACATTCTTGAATTATAGCATCTATTGACAACAAATCTAGAATTAGTTCACTCTGAGATAAACTCATAGGGTTCCTAGATTATACCAAGAACATAAACATTCACAAAGTAAATACTTCATGTCCTCACATGGGGAGTGTGCATTTGCTCAGGATATAATCTTTGGGTCCTTCTTATAATAAAAGCTAGATTCCAATAAATATTCTGGTTGTTGATTTGTTCTCAAAGCATAAGAATTCCAAGTTGAGACCGAGTCCATATTTAACTACTGAATTGTGTAAAATGAGCTTCTCCTCCCCCTCGCCTCCATGAGGTGGCATTTTAAAAAGCTTTAAAAAAAAAAAATGAGCATGATGGTATATGTCCACCACGCCAATCAATCATTCAACTTTGTATGAAGCATAAACACATCTATCATTAAACTTACCAAAAAGCAAAGTATAATTTAGGGAGAGTTCCGTTTCTAATTCCAAATTCACATGTTAAAAAAAAAATCCAACGTGGTGATTTCTAGATATGACCAGCCAGTCTCTTAAAAATAATTTTGTAAACAGCAGCATAAATACCTCCCAACGTACCTTCCAAGCCTTCTCAGTTAAACTTGTGTTTCTGGTGCACATGCGACACGACAGTGAACACGCTAGCATTTAATTTAAAGAAAAAGGTGCAAAATGAAAGTGCCTTATCAATTCAACAGGAAAAGCTACACCAGTAACTACATTTTATATTACTTAAAACAATATATAAACAATATCTCTTTTAGCTATATATAGTCTTCATGCCCATTTACCCTGTAATATATTATAATGCTATTGTTGCTACTGCTATGGACCCTTTTCATGCCATCCTGCGGACTGGCAATAATCGGTGAAAAAATAAAAACTTCCTTCATGAAACAAAGAGCTAGTTGTGCAAAGTAATGCCGCAACCTCCGCTATGCACACCAGTCACCGATTATTGCTGGACTCTCTGTTGTTACTGACAGATTGGTGACTCTGTAGAAAGTCTGTGGGCAGTGAGCTACAAGAAAAGGAAATCCTCCGACTTTAGTACCCTCCTCCTGTTGTAAACAGAGGTCAATGATCAAGAAGTCAAGACAGAAAAAGGGTCCATATCTGTAGGCATAATGGAAATCATATGCATGAGAAAAACAAGTTCAACTTTTATTTGTTTTCATTGTTTCCCCTCCTTTGCCTGACCCCGATCACCAAAAGATGTGCAGTGTGTGGCGCTCCAGGTCTGTGCAGGGCCATATAAAGTGTCTCGGTTAATTTTTTTGTTTGTTTTTCATGTTTGTACTTCAGACATTCTAGAAGTGCTTAGGTGATAACATTTACCCATCAATTTGCATTGCTGGCTCAAATTCTGAAGTGAACAACTCCTTGTATAATGGAGGAAAATGAAGTCGCACAATGTCTGGGTATATTGCTTTAAATGCCATTAGCTTTTCTGTATGTCGTCCACATAAGGCTCTTAAGGTAGACACCTTGCATATTAACTGTAAGTGAAAGAAAGGACACACCGTCAGGCAAGAACAGGCATAAGCATCAAAGATCAGGGAACCTGAATGATCTTTATGACATTGTTTATAATGGTGAAACACACTTAAAGCAACTTAAACATCCAGTAGCAGAGGATTGGTAAAAATAAATGATGGCTGGGCGCGGTGGCTCATGCCTGTAATTCTAGCACTTTGGGAGGCCGAGGCGGTTGGATTGCCTGAGCTCAGGAGTTCAAGACCAGCCTGGGAAACACGGTGAAACCCTGTCTCTACCTAAAAAAAAAAAATTAGCTAGGCATGGCAGCGTGCGCCTGTAATCCCAGCTACTCGGGAGGCTGAGGCAGGAGAATTGCTAGAACCCGGGAGGTGGAAGTTTCAGTGAGCCGTGATCGTGCCACTGCACTCCAGCTTGGGTGACAGAGCAAGACTCTGTCTCTTAAAAAAAATAAATAAATAAATGATGATATAGTCATGTCATAGAATGCCAAGTATACATTAAATATGATTTTCAAGATGAATAATTCAATAACTAGAAAAGATGTTCATAAGCAAAAGTTGGCACAGCTTGTCAGCAGCAGACTCATACAGAACCCAAGGCTCTTGACTTCTTCTACTCCAAGATGCCTTCTGCTCTACTTCCTGGAATCCTGCCTTCTACCACTGTGCAAAAAGATGTCTAGTGATGGAGAAGCGGGTGAGGGGCAGTGGTGGGTGGGTAGTGAAGGCACTGCAACTGGAAGTGATGGCATCCTCTACACATTTTATCCAGAACTGGCACTAGTCAACTCCGATAACTACACGTTTCTTTTCGATAAGGAGTTTTGCCTGTAATAAAGCAATGCTGGGTCTGAGCAAAATAATAGAGTCAGAAGGCCTGGATGGAGGCCCTAGCATTGACCATTTACCAGCTGAGGGTAATGACACAATTTGCAAAATTACTTTTAGATTCCAAAGCACCTCACAAAGGCAAACTGCTTATTATTTTAACCCAGAATAACCTTCTCTAGGAAATGTTTTCACCAGATCTTGTCCACATGTTAAGTGCTGTTTATAATCAGAGATCCTAATGGTACTCTTGCATTTGGGCAAAGAGATGGAGAGTGAAGCTCCTGACAGGGCTCCTCCCTTCCACTTCCCATTCCTGCCCGTTTGCTCATTTAACAGGTGCAAAATCAAAAAGCAAAACAGCAATTAACCCCCAGTTACCCCTTTCTGGTCTAACATAGCTATAAAGGAGAAAAAAAAAAAAAACAAGCAAACAAATAAACAAGAAAACAAAACCAAAAACTTCTCACATCATCTCACACAATAAAATACATAAAATAAGAAAGAACAGGGCTGATTGTTCTAAGACCAAATACATACTACTAGCAATGGCACTGAAGGATATTAGCACATTTAAAAAATTGACATTATAATCATATTTATTGTGAAAGATAATGATTGGTAAAAATGAAACCTTATGCTTTGAATACAGAGTAGTGATGGGAAATTGACAAAAATGCAAAAGTCATTTACTGTTGATGACTAGTGAATTTAATGGAAGTAGAACTAATATTAGTATATATGGTCATCCTGATTAAGTCTTTTAGTCCTTTATAACTTCTTCCTAAATTCAAAGATTATAGGCTGGGCACAGTGGCTCACTCCTATAATCTCAGCTCTATGGGAGGTGGAGGAGGGAGGATTGCTTGAGGCCAGGAGTTCGAGACCAGCCTGGGCAACATAGCAAGATACCCATCTCTACAAAAAATAATTAATAAATTAGCCAAGTGTGGTAGCACATATACCTGTAGTCTTAGCTACTCAGGAGGCTGAGACAGGAGGATCTTTTGAGCCCAGAAGTTCAGGGTTGCATAGAGCTATGATTGTGCCACTTCACTCCAGCCTGGGAGACGGAGTGAGACCCTGTCTCTAAAAAATTAATAAATTCAAAGATTATTTTTACAGTTTATGTCAGTGCAGAATATTAACTCTGCTTTATGCCTAACTTTGATGGAAGAGAATTTCTAGAATGTAACTTTTTTTCCTACATTGCCTTATTGCTGCAGGACACTTTGTAATCAACGATAGTAAGTATAATTTAGACTGAATAATGAGCTGTGGCTCAACAGAATTTTTTTGAAATGGAAATTTATTTCTTTTTAGTAGCCTGTTGCCTTCTGATACTTTTGGGAATTGGTCATATGACTTACATGACCATATTGGCAGCATGATTTGTGCCAGGGGATAGTTCAGGCCATGCCAACTAGAAGCCTTTGGCACTCACCTTTGTTAGTATTCCATCTTCTCGGTGATTCTTCTGTAGGACGTGTTGAAGAGCTAGCTGAATTTTCTGTTGCAGTTTTTCAATTTTTACCTTTTCTTGCAGCCATGAGCGATCTAAGCATAAAAAAATGATATTCTTTAGCATTCCTCTGACATGGTGTCAGGATCCTTCTTCTCCGGATTCTTTTGATACGGATAATTATATCACAATGAATATTTAGAGACTCAGAGGCCAGTTTCACTCCTCTTTCAAAATTTCTCCTAATGGAGTGAAAAGTGATCCAAGGAAGTTATAAAACAGGGTGTTAAACCTTTCCATTTTTACCAATACTTAAAGGAAGGATCCTCCCCTTCCAAAGGATAAACAATTAAATATGAGGCCATACTCATATGAGTGCAAATGAAACCATCATGGCCCCTCGAGACGTTCTAATAATTATACTTTGGAATGAAATATTCATTATCGATCCTGCTAGCTTTTTTGAAAAATAGGAAAGTTTTCTTGTAATCTTTGTCAACTAAAATTGTCAATAGAATTCCAACTGACTTAAGGGTTGTTAATTTAGGATAAAGTCTTTATGTCTAAGTCTTCCAAATAGAAGGTAGTAACTTAGCAAAAGTGATTATCCCCAAACATGCACTACTGGTTGAAAACACAGATTAAATTCAGATAATCTAGTGGATGACATCTAAATGGATTTTAACAAAAAAATAGGATGTCTTAAAAATCTTGTTATCCTGGAGACTGGTGTTAAGACAGGCAACCCTATTCCACCACAGCATTTCTCTTGGTATCAGGAGGTTAATTCTGGACTGGATTTTGTTCAATTCTCATTTCTTTACATTTTGTCTGAAAGGCATGAGGTTTTCTCAAAAGAATATATGTTTGTGTTGGATGGGTGGAAAAGAGAGGGTGTTATTTGAAGACTTAAAATCCAATTTAATAAGGGTGGAGACCTCTCTTAGTAGCTCCCAAATATTTTATAGCTATTAAACGTATGGGCCTTGTAAAAATTCTTTATCTTAGACAATTCGAAAACCATTTTTATTTTTATTTGGTTGTCTTACCTGCTGACATCAGTACAAATGCAGAAAATAATGCAATTTCATCTTCAGTCAGGTGCATAGAACATAAACTCTTTCCAAATTCAAACACAAAGCTAATAAAGTCTTCACAACCTGCCAAAATGAAAACAAAGACAGTTTAGAATTTTGATTATTGTCTTAGGAGAAAAACCTAGGTCTTAGGTTTTCCTAAGGTTCTCCTAAGTCCAATAGAAGGTCTTAGGAGAAAAACATGGGGAAGGTGAAGAGAGATCTAGTGGTTGAAGATCAGAAGGAATAGTAGTAACATTTCTACAGTATAATAGTTTAAAATCTTAAAAGAAAAATCTGTTTAGTCATCACCACCACTTCCATCACATCACCATTGCCACTGTCATCCTCATTGAAAATAATGAGATTGAACTTTTGTTGTGTGACTACTGTGGCAAGTATTGCTCTAAGGTATTTCTTTGGGTTTCTTCTTATTTTAAAACAGCTCTATGAAGGAGGGATTATTATTATCCCAATTTTAGAGGTAAGGAAACTGAGACTTGGAGAGGAAAGTAATGCACCTAAGGTCACACAGGTAGAAAGTACAGCCTAAGAAGAAGCAAAGCTAGGCTGACTGATTTCAGAGCCTACACTTTTAACCTATAGAGTCTAATAGCCATATTCTAACTGATATGTTAAATTAACTCATTTTTGTTTTCAACTCTATTTCATCTGAAACATCCTTAAAAATGTTAACAAATGACATATTCTGGTGGTAAAACTATTATAACTATTTACCAACCTGAAAACACAGAATGTGAAAGTCCCCTAGAATAATAATCCGTTTTCCAAAAGACTGGTTAAGTTTGGTGTCTATTCCTTCAGATTTGCATATTTTACATATAAATGTATATATTTAAATGACAATGTGCTACATGACAGTTCATTATATATATCATCTGTCATATAACTTTTAAAAAAATCACTCATTTTAGATACTTATCCATTCTTCTTAATAACTATGTTCATTTTATTTAAATTATAGAAATCCAAAATTTATTATTAATTATTCTGAGACAGAGTCTCAATCTGTCACCCAGGCTGGGGTGCAGTGGCATGATCTCAGCTCAGTTAAACCTCCACCTCCCGGTTTCAAGTGATTCTCCTGCCTCAGCCTCCTGAGTAGCTGGGACTACAGGCGTGTGCCACCATGCCCAGCTAATTTTTGTATTTTTAGTAGAGATGGGCTTTGCCATGTTGGCCAGACTGGTCTCAAACTCCTGACCTCAGGTGATCCGCCTGCCTTGGCCTCCCAAAGTGCTGCTATTACAGGCATGAGTCACCGCACCTGGCCCCAAATTATTTATTATAAATTATATATCATGGTTTCACTTAACTGTAACTTTTATTTCTTTGATATCTGCATTTCAGTCTCATTAATGGTTACTGTTTGAGGGGGATGGAAGGGCAAAGCTTTTGCCCTTTGCTTAATTTTATGTATCAGCTCACATCCTAAAGGTCATCCGAATAATATATCACCAGCAAATCTGGTTTCTTAAAATCTGGAAGGGAACTGGAAGGACACGTCATATAAATCCCTTTGATTACCAACTAGATAAAATGAAACTCTACATCTTTACAAGTAATGTAGACAAAAAACTTTTGAGCTATATGACTTTTCTACAGTGACTAACTAGAAAGTAAAATAGGTATAAAACCCCTTAATTTTTGTTTCTAAATAAAGTTTTCATTTTGTCCAAGCAGAGCTTTCACTCAACCCGCATCTTTTCCTATAGCCCTGATTTGAAGAAAAGGCACCTTGATATCCCCTTACCTAAGGATTTGAAGACGTCGGGGCTGGCATACTTCCCATCAAAGTACACGGTGTTGTTCTGAGAGTCAAAGGCACGGCACATTCTGATAAACACCACCTCTAGAGAACCTAAGCAGAGGCAGAAATGGTTTGGGTCATTTGGGTCATCTGATGTTAGTGAGTTTGTTTCTAAGCTGCTCATGTAGAGACTCCTTCTGCAACAGCATGGTGGGTGTCGTGTGCAGTTTAGCTAGCGGGTTCTCAGTCACATCAGCTGTCTATCCAAAAGGGCAGAGTTTTCTATGTAATTAAAAGACTGTTGTGCTGAAGCTAAGCCCTGTTTAACTGAAGTGAGGGTTGATTTATAAATTACTTCCTTAGCACTCTTCTACCTCGCAATGCAGAGTCTCAGAGTTGCTAGGAAAGCATTTATTCATATGTACTAAAACCAAGAATCAAAAACAAGTATATCTTTCTGAGTTCTACTTTCTTCTTCCTAACATCATAAACTCGGAGGACTTGGAGTGTAGAAACAAAACACACGTGATGGGAAAATTTGGGAATGTAGGTGACCTTCAAATTAATCTTTTCACCCAGAAGAGAAGAAAAGTGGGGGGAATGTTTCCTGAATATATCTTAAAACCTTTGAAAAGAACTCCATTTCTGCTAAGAAAAACCTGAGCTATTATCATTGGAGAAAAACTGTTCCCGACACCTTCCTTACCAAGCATTTCTTTAATAAGCGGGTGAAAGCAGGTTAGGAAGAGATCTCAAAATTCACTTGCAAAGCACATACCTGCTTTTAGAAGCACAATTTGATCATTTTGACACAGTTCCATAAATCCATCAATGCGTTTGGCAAACTCCACCACATACTGTATAGCTTCTGTAATTTTGATGGCACACAATTGCCACATCACCTCCCGCTGCTGTTAAAGAGGGAAACACATTAACATCCTCCAGGAAGATGTTAGCTTTTGTAGCAGAAGCTGCAGAGTTATGAAAGCAAAGCATGCCACTGCTTTAGCCCTGGGCCACGAAGAGTGGCAAAGTGGGATCTTATTTTATTTTATTTTATTTTTGAGATGGAGTCTCGCTCTGTCACCCAGGCTGGAGTGCAGTGGAACAATCTCAGCTCACTGCAACCTCTGCCTCCTGGGTTCAAGTGATTGTCCTGCCTCAGCCTCCTGAGTAGCTGGGATTAGAGGCACCTGCCACCACACCCAGCTAATTTCTGTATGTTTAATAGAGACAGAGTTTCACCATGTTGGCCAGGCTGGTCTTGAACTCCGGACCTCAAGTGTTGTCTGCCTGGGCCTCCCAAAGTGCTGGGATTACAGGGATGAGCCACCGTGCCCGGTCTGGATCTTCTTTTAAGTAATTATTTTGCCTTGGGAAATTTAACACCACTTTACTTTGGGGGAAGGGAGAAAAGGAGAATCAACTGAATTTATTGTGCACCTACTATGAGCTAGGCGCTTTATGACATCCTTGTTTTAATTCACTTTCATAAGAATATTTTTTCTGGCTGGGCACGGTGGTTCACGCCTGTAAACCCAGCACTTTGGGAGGCCGAGGCAGGGGGATCACTTGAGGTCTGGAGTTCAAGACCAGCCTGGCTAACATGGTGAAACCCTGTTCCTACCAAAAATACAAAAATTAGCCAGGCGTGGTGGTACACACCGGTACTCCCAGCTACTTGGGAAGCTGAGGCAGAAGAATTACTTGAACCCGGGAGGCGGAGGTTGCAGTGAGCCGAGATTGCGCCAGTGCAAGTGTCAGCTTGGCGACAGAGTGAGACTGTCTCAAAACAAAACAAAACAAAAAACTGGTGGATATGGGAGCCAGGATTCAAATCCAAGCATCTCTGACTCTAAAATCCTATTTCATATACTTTGTTGCTTCTTACTGTTTTCTTGCTTCTCCTTTGTAGCTTTGGCTGCTGGCATTACCTGCTACCTCAAAGGCAAACAAAGCAATGTGTTGCTATTCCCCAACATGTCCTGTTAAATTCCTTTTATATTCGCACTCTCCATTTCAGTTACAGAATGGTCTGGATCTTTTTCGTTGCTAACTTGTTTCCCCAATCTTAGTTTCAGACTGTTCCCACCGATATGATGGGGTGGAAGAAACACTGAATTAGGAGCCAGGAGTCAAGGTCTGGTCTTGATGTTTCACTCTCCAGACATGCCAGTGGATGTTAGTTTTCCTCAAATGTAAAATGGATTCACTTAGATAATCTTGTTGATCTGGGTGTTTTACAGAAAAAGGCAAGTAGGGTACTATTTGTCAGCCTCATATTGCTAGGTTCAGACTGGAGTTATGATCACAGCTTCTAAATTTTTTTTGTATATACTCCCTAATACAACTTCCAGAAACATGAGGCTTCCTTGTCAACTTCCAGAAACATTAGGCTGAGATTATTTTACATAAACTTCCAGACCTTAAAATCTTGATTGTGATATTGAGACAATTCTCAATTCATTTAGACTTTTGGAAGCTGCTTAATCTATTCTCCTGTTGACAAATGGAAGGAGGTATGTGTATACCTAGAAAGCACAATAGAAATTATTTGCTATTGCTGAAATTTTGCATCTGAGTTAAATGGCAAAGCCTCAAGTACATTAGTAGCTTCAGAAAAAAGATATTTAAACAGAAACCTGATGACATTCATTCTTTAGTCTGTGTGAACTCTTGACCAACTTTCCTATACCAACACCCTTCCCAATATTGCCTCAATCCTAGGAGGAAAAATTCCTCAGATCATACCTTGTTTTGATAGTTCTCAATTTCTTCCTGTAAAAAGGTCTGCCACGTTATCTGCTGGAGCTCTTCTCTCAAGTATTGGCAGGTTTCCAGATGCGATTTAGATATATTCTGTGCAAGGTGTTCTAAGGAGAAAACGGGAGATCACAAACACGAAAAGCGAAGTTCTTTGAATAATTGGTGATTTAATATTTGCTTTAAGAAATAACAAGTAGAAAACAATGTGCTGTGCGAGTTTTGACTGTCTTTACACATTTAAACAAGTAATTTGGAACTGTTTTGTATTTGGGAACGTGAAGGAGGACAGGGACTTTGCAAAGCCAGCATTTGAAGATAAGACCTGCTGACTTCAAAGACCCTCCTGACTTTGCCCTTGTTCTGTGCCTTTATACCAATGTCTAGGAATGAAAAAATATTGACCTAGATAGACATAGGAAATGATTGACGTGGTGCTTCTTCTTGGCATTTTTATGAAGACACATCTGCCACATAACATTGACCTGGGAAGGATTATTCTTATTCTTGAAAAACTAGAAAATGATATTCTTTTATGGTGACAACTAGGTATTTCTTTTGTTTTTCCTGCAAATTGCAGAACAAGCATTACTGAGGGCCTACCATGTGGCTATGCATAGTGTAGTTGTGAAGCCACATACTCTGGAGCTAGACCATTTGAGTCTGTATCTCAGCTCTGCTGCTTACTAGCTGTGTGATCTCGGGTATGTTATTTAACCTCTTTGTGCTTGGTTTCCTCATTTGTAAAATGAGGGAAATGGTACCTATTTCACAGGGCTGCCATGAGAATTAAAAGAGTTGAGCCCTTAGAATGGGGAGGATTACTTAGAATGTGCTACAGAATATTAGTTATTATTATACTTGAGCATAAGGAGTTTGAAGATATGAAAGACCTAGAGGCCAAAGAAGTTTTCTCTAGGAGCTTGTAATCTGGTGAACACGTATGAACACACTGGAAGGACAATTCAAGTCTAGATAATAAGGTATAAAGTTGAATTACAGAAGAAGAGAAAGAAAAAAGTAATTGAAGCTGTCAGAAAAGGAAGAGATTGGCTGGGTGTGGTGGCTCACGCCTGTAATCCCAGCACTTTGGGAGGCTGAGCTGGGCAGACCACTTGAGGTCAGGAGTTCAAGACCAGCCTGGCCAACATGGTGAAACCCTGTCTCTATTAAAAATACAAAAAAAAATTGGCGTGGTGTTGGCTGTCTGTGATCCCAGCTACTTGAGAGGCTGAGGCAGGTGGATCACCTGAGGTCAAGAGTTCGAGACCAGCCTGGCCAACATCATGAAACCCTGTCTCTACTGAAAATACAAAAATTAGCTGGGCGTGGTGGCGGGTGCTTGTAATCCCAGCTACTTGGGAGGCTGAAGCAGGAGAATCGCTTGAACCTGAAAGCTGGAGGTTGCAGTGAGCCGAGATCACACCACTGCACTCCAGCCTGGGCAATAGAGCGAGACTCCCTCTTAAAAAAAAAAAAAGAAAATTATATCTGGGGAAATGGAACAAGCAGTTTTGTGCTTGGTGTATTGGAGCACAGAGAAGCTCAGGCAGGAGGACCACATAGAAGGCTGCTAGAATCTAGATGCCAGGAACTAACAATTTGGAGCAGCTTGGTAATAATTGTTCTGGAAGGGAAGGATGATTAAAGAAGTATTTTTTAAAAGAATTGACAAAATCCCATGAATATAAAACCATATCAAAAAATGATCCCTCTCCCTAGGGTTTTGAGTATAGAATAGGCAAGTCATTTTAAAAGAACGGTGCTGAATGCAAACTTGGCAACACTAGGGAGAATATCTTTTTGTTTGGAAATTTGTTACTGCTTTTGTCAAACAGAAGCAGACTTGTTTGTGTGAAAACAGAGCAGGTTCACCTAAATGGAGCTGGAAACCAGAATCTCCTTAGAGACACTGAAACATAATAAACCTGAATGGCCCTACTTGGCAACACATAGACACTAAAACAGCATGAATAAATAACATAAAAAATAAAACACAAATAAAAGAACAAATGTAAAGGAAAGAATGAGAAACTGAGAGTGAGAGAGAGAAGCCAGTAAATTACATGTCTTAGAATCAATGACGCTGGAGAATAGGTGAGTAAAGACAAAAATAATGGGGAGTAAGAAACAAGAAAATACATAAATAAGGTAGTGAACTACCTCTTTTGGAAAGAACTCTCACTATATAAGGTCGTTTCTAGAATGTAAACCAATTTTTGCCGATAAAAAAATGATGAAGATGAAGAGTCTTCGCAGGGAAGTAGGGGGGGATGCTGTGGAGTGAAGGATGAGAAGAGGCTCATATCATTTCCTTCCAGGTTATGTTTCATTTCTAGTTAATAAGATACTTAGCATCTTGTGGTTTCACTTTGTCTTAAGAAACTGTGGCCACTTATCCCTACCTATTTAAAACAGCCAATAAAAAGTGAGACAACAAATCATGCAGTGTACCTGACATACCAGTAGAGGGCAGTGGTTGCATTCACACCATCTGCTCACCAACAGCCTTTCATTCCAATTCATAGTCGATTTGGCAAGTGTAAGATTTTAGACACTTTGCTATTTTTAAATCTCCATTTCAGCAAAGGCGAGTATGGTCAGGCTGAATAAAATTCGAGAATTTAAGCGTGGTCTCTCAGATAAAGTCTGGAATAGTGAAATACCTTGGGCTAGGAGTTAGGAGACCTGGCTTCTGTCTGAGCTCAGCAGATAATCTATAGTCTACCTCACTTTGTGACTGGGGCAAGTCATGTGCCCCAACCATGACTGCTTCAGCAATACAGCCAGCGCCTCGATACTTCAGATGGGAAGTCCTCGCTTCTGAGTTAGTCACAGATTTTCATAGTGGGAAGGAACTTTAGATAGCATCTGGTCCAAACTGTCCTTGTTTAACAAATAATAATGACATTAATAATTATGATAGCAGTTAACACATATAGCATTCACTATATGCCAGTCCCACATAATTTGTGTCTATCCTGAATATGTATGTTTTCTCACTTAATCCTTATAACAACCCCAAGAGAAAGGTACTAGTATTATCTCCATTTTACAGAGGAGGAAACTGAACCACAGTGAAGTGACTTCTTCAAGGTGTCACAGCTGGCAAGTAGCAGAGCTATGATTCAGACACAGACCTTTATATTCTAGGAGTAGAGAAACTACAGCTCGCAGATGTTACGTGGTGTATACTGGGTTGTATAACTTATATTAATGCCAGGACCACAACCCATATAAGCGGATTTCTTGTCTCATGCTTTGCCCAGTATATCAGCTGTTTCTCCTGCGCAAAGCTTTAGATATCAATTATAGTAACAAACCTAATTTGCACTTAAAACCTAGGTCGTTTATCTGGAATGTCTAATTCAGGTACTAATTGTACACCAAGGGCAAAATTTCCTAGCCAAGGATGAAGTCATATTTTTCACTAAAAGTAATAGGTTGTGCATACTACACTTGAAAGAGAGAATTGGACTTAGGATGTGTTGGTTTATAATTTATTTTCCTATTATACAATTGGTTTCACTTGTTTAAAATCTGATGACAAAGTTTAGCCTAAAATGAAGTCAAGAGTCTTAGTTAAAGAGATAGCAGGCTTTAAGCCCCAAAAGAAATACCAGGGAAATTTAAGTAGCTTTGGAGAAGCAGCAACAAGACTTGGGCCACTTTCATGATACTCTTAGCTCCCTGAAACACTTTGCATGTATAAATGGGATAAGAGAATTAGAGCCCAATTATATACTTTCCAGATAAATGCTAGTTTAGTTTTGGGTTTGGGAATTCTCCTAGTGATGATCTCATTTAATTTATCTTGGTAAATACCACAACACCTGTGAAAAATCCCTAATTTAAAAGCACATAGAGCAAGCATGAGGGGGCAGGGCTCCCAGACTGCACTGGAAAGTGAGACCATGGAAGAGGAAGCTGACTTGTCCGGGAGCCTCAGGGAATCGGCTCAGCCATTTCTGGCCCCACTTCGGTATGAGTGCATTTTTTAGCCAAAGTGCCATGTTCAAGGGCACGCTTTGCCTAAGGCCTATGGATTTATTTCAGGATTGAATATTTGACAAGCAAACAGGACAGAGTCACTAGTATTTATGGTAAGGTGGAGGCAAACCTAAAGTGAGTCAGGTCATTTTTCATGGTATCATGTCAGCTTTCAATCAAATCCTTATTCATATCTGAAAATTGTACTTTCATTACAGTTCTGCTTAAGGCTCAGCCAACCAAGATTTCATGACAAAAATGGAAGGTTTTTGTTCTAGTTCAAGAAAAAAAAAAAAAAATCAAACCTACCTCTGCTCAGCTTGGCTTCTAGTTCAGAGGTTTCTCTGTTAATCAAAAGAGCTGCAATACACCTTTTAATGCTGTTCAGTGGTTAAAGACCAGGCTTAAAATGTCCCTGCTCTTGAGGATTTAAATTTAGACCCATAAAGAGATGCTTGTGTAAAAACCGTAAAGAACATTCAATTTGTTCTATTTGGAGAAAGATTTTACTGGAAATATAAATTTTCACTTAAAAGATGTTTTATGGGGTGCAGAGGTAGAGAAACCGTCTAAAGAACACAGCCATTATTTCTGTGAACTGAGGATTTCTGTGCTCAAGTCTGAACCTGCTGTTTCTTTTCCGTCTGAAGTCTTCATTCTCTCCTTGTATTAACTTAGTCATCTCCACAGCAACTAATTGACATATCCCAAAGGATTATAACCTTGTGTGAGGAACCACCAGGAGGAGCAGATCAAATTTAAAAACTACAAAGGTTCTTATCAAAGTTTTTCTAATAATAGTGCTGTACTTAAAAATCGATTAAATATAGCAGCGGATGTTAACACAACTTCCTCGAAATGGAAAGTTGCCCATTGTCTGTGTTATCAACATTTCTAGGTCACATCTCCCAAGAAGCAGTAATGTTCCAGCAATAAGAAAAGGACAGTTTTTTGTCTTTTGCATGGTGAGCCTTATATGAATTACATCAATTTTGTCACCAATATCCATCATCAGAACATTTTGGTAAGTAAAGAAGCTGATTTCTGTTGAACATTTATACTATATATCAGAGTTGCAAAAATGAGATGCCTACAGGGGCTGTGCATATGATATAAATGGCGGGAGTCAGGTGGGCCCATTGAAAGGTGTAATCCCCTGGCTGTTGCCAGTTGGCTGTTGACATTCACAAATGTTGGCTCAGTGTAAATAGATCATTTTTTCCCCTCCCACAAGAAGCTAAAAAAGCTGAACTTTTGGGTATAATTATCCAAATTTAAATATTAGCAACTGATTCAAAAATTTTAAAACTCTGCCCTGGGCAAAAAAATATGTCTGTGGGCCAAGTTCAGTTTGTGGACTGCCATTTTTTTTTTTGTCACCTTAGGTATAAAGCAATCCTTGGAATATAACTAAAGTAAACCACTAATGAAGTTAATGTAGCCATTTCCTGAACTTACAGTTTTCTGCAGAATTCAAAGACTGCTTCCGTTGGTTTTGCCCCATTTCTAATGCTGAGAGGTCAATGCATGTATTGGATAAACCATGGGAAACAGCAGAGGGTCAAAAGCAAGGGGGCAGGGCAGAAAATTAAGTGGCCCAAATGGTAAAGGTGAATTGCATCATTTAGCAGAACTCATTAGAGGAAAGTCAGACATACCCCTTTTACTTCAAAGGGCATGAATAGAGCATCCCAGGAGAAGCATGCATGCCATTACCTAATTCTGCCATGGACACAGTTGGGGAAGTCTCGCCGTTGGTGAACGAACAGTAGGGAAAGAAGCCTGATGCTGGTGTGTAGTCACATATTGGTTCTGGTTTGATTCCATTGATATCAAGACCTGACTGGTCTGGGGAAGGCTGTATGTCCAGGTAGAAGCTGCTGACGGCGGAGTCTGCCTTACTCCCCTCAGGGGTGTGCCCGTCAATGTAGTTACTGAGGTCGTCGTGAAGTTCCGTCAGCCCGTTGGCCGAGATGTTGTAGGTGGGCGTCAGCGGCTCAGCCTCTCCAGGCTGCTGCTGGTGGTCGCGCTGCTGCTGCTGCATCCGGTGTTTCTGTACTTCTGCATACAAGCTGTCTCTCTGCTTTTTTGACATTCGGCCAAATTTTACAGCTGGAAGAAAAAAGCCAAACCATACTACATACAATGCGCTTTTCTTCAATATTCTCTCCTGCGAGCTTTGGGGTTTCCTTTGAAGTCTCACACAATCTCAATCCAAAACTGCATGACCACAAAATAAGGACATATTCAGAGGTGAAAACAGTTCCAACCCACACAGACTCGCTCCAGCTCCCCAACAGCAAACACACATCCCAGAGAAACTCATGTTTCAGAAAGAGGCCTGGTGCAGGTAGGAGGGGCCCAGAGAGATGCCACTTCTGTTTCCCTGCTGTCACATCCCCCGTTTCCACTGCGCCCCACTGATAACTTAATGGGCTTGTTCACTCTCCCCCCGTGCAGCTGGCTTAGGCTACCTCTTTCTCTCCCACGTTCAGACCAAGGCACAGGGAAGCAAAGACTCACAGGGTTCATCAAGGAATAAGCAGTCAAACCTCAGCGTTCATTCAGTTCACCGTCTTGTACGCTCCGACAGTTCTCCCTGATCAAATGGCCACTTCTGCAGCTTCATTGTGAGGTCTGAATGAACTGGATGAGGCCTCTGTAATTCTTTGAATTACATCAGAGTACCTGACCTAAGAAGCCCCCTCCTCCAGTCATGGGTCATGGGTCATGGCAGCCCCTGTGGAACCCTGAGACCCATCTTTATTTTTATTTATTTAGTTAGTTATTTTGAGACAGAGTCTTGCTCTCTGTCACCCAGGCTGAAGTGCAGTGATGTGAACATGGCTCACTGCAGCCTCAACCTCCTAAGGTTTGAGCGATCCTCCCGCCTTGGCCTCCTACGTAGCTGGGACCACGTGTGTACACCACCACACCCAGCTAATTTTTTCACTTTATGTAGAGATGGAGTTTCGCTATGTTGCCCTGGCTTGAGGTCTGGAACTCCAGGGCTCAAGCAATCCTCCAGCCTCATCCTCCCAAAGTGCTGGGATTACAAGTGTGAGCTACCACTCCCAGTAGGACCCATCTTTAAACACTTTCTGCTGTTCCCATTTAGCCTCAAGTAATCACAGCATCAGGATTTGGAAAGGACAAATATGGTATTATAATATAAGATCCTTATAATGTATGATCCTTGTTGGGCAGATTTCTGTTTGTAATGCTTCTCTTTGGGATGTGTCCCCATATTTAAAGTGGAGCAGTCACTATAATGAATAACTTTCCAATTCATTCAGAATATCAAATGAATTCTTGTGAAACACCAAGATAACTGAAAACAAAAACACACAAACAAAAAACCCTATGATTTCCTGGTCTGAATTCTTCCATGAACTCACTTATTTTTCAGCTAGACTCAGTCTTTGCTGGAGGGACTTAGTTCTCCTAATTGATTGTGGTTAAATTTATAGCTGATGGGGTGGATGCATTCACCCATTTGACTATGATCGTAGTTATAAGAGTCTAGGGCAGGAGGCAGGATAGATGGACACGAAGTTGGGAACCAAGGCCCTCACAGTGGCCAGGTGGTGAATTCTTTTCTTGCCAAAGAGGACGCGCTGTCCTTGTTCACAGAGGAAACAGGTGAGCTGGAATACTGGTCACTTTCCAGTTTCCACAACTCAGATAAGAAACTTGGGTGGGGCTGCTCAGGCAGCAACCAGGCTGATGTGGGATCTGAATTTCAGAACCATAATTTCTTAACCTCCAGAATTCTTTCTATGCCTACAACAACTTGTGCTATTTCTTATATGCAAAATTTTCAGAAGGCATACTGAAGGTGCTTAATTTTTTTGAAAAAAATTTTCTAGGACACTCAAGGGGCCTAATACCCACAGGTGAAACTTTCTGCTGTGACTCCGCAATTATGATTTAACTTTTGTATTAATATTAACGACAGTAATTATATCCTGTAAGTGAAATAAAGGGACCAGCTCTTGAGAAAATGCACACACAACTTGTGATTTAAACTTACAAATTGATGAGATATACCTAACTTTGTCAGTTTAGTACCATCGGAAGATGAAATCTGCAGAGTTGCATGTCACAGGAATTTCTGAGAATATGGTGGAAGTTCTGTGATTTGTATCTTCCAATGTCAAAAGCTTCACTTTTGTAGTGGTGCACAGAGTGCCTCTTAGAATACGCAGGAACAAAAGTGAACTCGTGCCTATGTAGATCTACAGGCGCTAAGAACATCAGATTATGGGGAAGGCAGACTGTTGGAAAGCCTGCTCCGCATTCTGAAGTATTTTTCCACAGGCTGAAATTCCACTGGAGGAGACATTTTCCTTCAAAGGGATCTCTTAAGAGAGCCAGCTGGTATATTTGGAAAAATCCTTAAAATGGACCCGCTGTGCTTTCTGCCCAGTTTCCACGTATAAGCATAACTGTCTTGAAATCTGGTGTTGATTATTCAGTGCACTTAAGATAGTTTTCCAGGAAGATCTTGAAATGTTTTGTACTTGAATGGTAGACGGTCTCTATTCCTTAAAGTAGCTTCATTTAATGAAAAGAACACTTGTCATTGAGCCATGCTTTGCACTATTTTCACACATTCTGTATGTACAAATATTTGGCTTTGGCATGTGATTCAAAATATCCAGTTAGCATAAAAGCGGCTTCATCCCAACCTCCAATAGACTTACTAGTGTAAAGCAAGTAACAGTTGTGGTTCACATTTCCTGCAGGGGAAAATGCCTAGAGGAGACATCTTTATTAAGGCCTTCAGATGACACTTACCGTCAGTCAATCGACCCACCTATAATGGCTGAAATATCAAAAATCTGAAGGTGTTCTGAGCACAAGACACTTCTCCTCCACACCACCCCCACCCATCAGCCAGCCAGCTGACTCTGAGGATGAGGAGGAGGAGGAAGCAGCTGCTGTGAGTTCCATGTAGCTGCCAGAGGAGCATGGGGGGCGGGGCGTAAGGTGGAATAATGAGGAGGGGGCAGGCGGGGCAGATATTGGCAGATCTGAGTCCAGGTTTCAGAAGGCACTTTCACAACCCCGTGCAACTGTACAACTCAAGCTGTGAGAGCTCACCATCTCGAGACATCCCTACGGCAAGGCATTTCTGTAATCGACAGTGTTGGCAGCGGTTTCTACTGGTTCGATCAATCAAACAGTTCTTCTGACGAGGACAGGAGTAGGTGGCATTGCTTTGCTGACTTCTCCTGAAAAAGCCCTGTGATATGGTTATAAAAT
Source organism: Homo sapiens (assembly GCF_000001405.40). Taxonomy (NCBI): domain Eukaryota; kingdom Metazoa; phylum Chordata; class Mammalia; order Primates; family Hominidae; genus Homo; species Homo sapiens. The sequence goes on from NC_000015.10 coordinate 60,514,778, forward strand.
ATAAAACAGGTTAGTGTCAGAATGAGTGGTATGATACTAAAGGCAGGATGCTAAGCACTGAGTGGCATTAATATTTAATGGAGAATTAAACTTGTAGCAGAATCATCCAGGAGACCATTAATGAAATTAAAGTCACTTCTTTTTCCTTGAGTAAAATTGATCCCCAGAGCCTAATCCTCCATCCCTTATACCTGCAAAACTTTCTTTAACTTCAACAGACAGTTGCCCATGTAAAAAGGCACAGGACCAGGTCCTTGTTCTTGGCTTCTGATGATCAAAAGCAATGTGCCTGATGGAATGATACAAAAGGACTTACCTTTAGCCTTTATCTCTAAGAGATTGTTTGTAAAATAAATACAAAACACTTCCCTGGAATATCCAAGTTAAGGAAAATGCAGCCACACCACAACCTAGGGCACTGTGAACCTGGTGAACCATGGTAATCTTCACTAGCCCACTTCAACACACGGCCCTTTAGGCGTTTCTCACTCCCCAAGTCTGAATCTGCTATCGCAAGCATTAGATAACACTTGGAGGGATTATTTTGGCAGATCAGATTGGGAATATTCCCTCATCCCTGGCAGTTTAGAAATACCACATGTTCAGAACCATGGCCTTTAAAGATGGAACAAATCCAGTCCAATGCTCATCAAGTTCCTCTCGTGTCAAGTGCTGTTTGGGAAATGAGAGGGGATACAAAGATGTATAAGGAGCTACTGACCTCAATAACTTTATTTTTGTTTGTTTTTGCTAACTTCCTGAGCTGTATTCTTAGCTGATTTTCACTGTTTATTCTTAGAGTGTCAAGTTTTCCTTTTAGTGATGTTTTAACAGCAACCCAAAAGCTTTACTACGTAGTATTTTCATTCTCATTCAGTGAAAAACATGTTCTAACTTTCAATAGATTTCTTCTTCAATCCAGATGTGATTTAGAGGCATATTTCTTAATTTCCAAACACATGGGGGCTTTTTTTCGGGGGAGGGGGCAGGGTCTTGCTCTGTCACCCAGGCCAGACTCCTCGGCTCAAGCCATCCTCCTGCCTCAGCCTCCTGAGTAGCTGGGACTGTAGGTGCACACCACCATGCCTGGCTAATTATACATACATACATACATATATATATTTATATATATTGTATTTATATATATATTTATATATATATTTATATATATTTATATATTTATATTTATATATATTTATATATTTATATATATTTATATATATTTATATATATTTATATATATTTATATATTTATATATATTTATATATTTATATATATTTATATATATTTATATATATTTATTTATATATATTTATATATATTTATATATTATATTATATATATTATATTAAATATATTTATATATATTTATATATATATATTTATATATATATTTATATATATATTTATATATATATTTATATATATATTTATATATATATATTTATATATATATTTATATATATATATTTATATATATATATTTATATATTTTTTTTGGTCGAGATGGGGGTCTCGCTGTGTTGTCCAGGCCTGTCTTGAACTCCTGGCCTTAAGTGATTCTCCCACCTTGGAGTCCCAAAGTGTTGGGATTACAGGCATGATCCACCTTTTTATCTTTTTATTGCTCATTTATCTTTCAGTGGCTTTGCAAGCTAGGGATGTATGCAGAAAAAAAATAAGGTAAGTAGAGTCATTTCCATGAAGCAAAGCCATGAAGGGTACAAAAGAGAATTATTACCTTCAAAGCTTTAGTTGTGAAGATAGATGACCCCAATGAGGGCGACACTAGTGGGGAGAGGTAAAATCCTAAAGAATTAACAGAGTGGTAGGCAAACTGATAAGGGTGCTCTCCCACTGAACGATTTTTCTGGAGGTCAATTTGGCAGTTGTATCAAAAATTTTTAAAAAGCCTACCCACTGAGCTAGGCTTTTAAGGAATACACGTTAAAGAAATATTTAGAATGCTACAAAGATTTTCCTACAAGGGTGTTCTTCACAGTACTATCTATAATATAGAGAATGTAGAAAGATCCTAACTGTCCAACATTACTGAATTAAAAGAGTCATATTGTATACTCATACAATGGGATTCAACCACTACAAATGGTATTTCAGAAATATAATTATTGATATAAAAGGTGATAAAAATATACCATTGAATGTTTAAAAAAGGAACTAAAGAGCTAAACATAGTATAATCCAAGTTTTGTGGAAAAAAAGGACACCCATATATTTACTATAAAAGAAGATTTGGAAAATTATGCCCCAAATTGTTGGCAGTAGTTGGTGGGGCCAATCAGATTTTATTTTTCTTTTTGTTCATCTGTGCTTTTTTTTTTTTTCCCCCCTACAATAGGCAGATGGGAAGTTATGGTGGGCAGCTTGAGAAGAAGTGCACCTGCCTTCCTTTGTAATGGCTGGGGGCCTTTGTCAACCAAGTTGATGTATATGACCTCAGTTTCCAGTTCTTTGGAAAATCCAACCTGGGATGGGACAGGGCAGGACCCTGACTTCTCACTCCTCTTGCTTTCAGCCAAGGTGCTTGCTAACCTTGACATGGGCAAGGCTGGGGGCCTCATGTCTCAGACTGTCTCTCTGTTGTACTTTAACTCTACCCTTGATCAAGTCCCGCCTCTTCTGTAAAGCAATCTCTCTCTTCTGAAAAATATCTAAAGCTATGTTTTTTATTTTATTTTATTTTATTGTTTGTGTGTGTCTGTTTCCCCTGTGAAAAGGAAGTAAGAAGAAGTAAGGCTTTCTTTGGGGGCTTACTAGAGAGAATTCAAGAAAATATAAATGGTCACAGAGGCAGATAATCCTTAGAAAGAGATACCAAGAGGTCAGCTGTCTAGGTATTCATTTTCCCCTGAGACACATAATCTCTGTCCAAGCTGAAAGGTGTTTATCTCTTTCTTGAGACTCTCCCACCGTTCATACCCTTGTGTAAAGGCATCACTGTGGATGCTTAAAATCAGGAATGTATTTGTTTTTGCTTTAGCTGAAGTTGAGTTTTGTTTGCTTCACATTAAGCCTGCTACAGTTTCTTGTGTGATCACCGAATATGAGGAATGTCTGAATGATCTCTTCTTTTTTTCTTTAAGTGGAGCTAGTACTTGAGGGCTGCCATGCTATTTCCTAGATATCTCTTCTGACGACCAAATCCCAGCATCTGTCACCTTTCTTTCTAGGCTCTTTTCCACCTTGCATATTTCTTCTCAGAATCCTTTCCAATTTCTTCACTACTTCTTTTTTTCTTTTTTAAAACTGAGGCAGGGTTTCGCTATGTTGCCCAGGCTGGTCTCGAACTCCTGGGCTCAAGCGGTCCTCCCACCTCGGTCCCCCAAGTAGCTGGGATTCCAAGTGCGAGCCCATGTATCTGGCATTATTTCTTCATTTCTTTCAAAAGTCTGAAGTCCCTAACTAGACATAGCTCTTGAATAATGGTTGGGTCATTAATGAAAAGGATGCCACTTTTTAGTTTGCATACATACATTAAGTTAACTTCCACCCACCATTAATAAAGTCCAAGACTGTTAACATAGAAGCATATATTAATCATCAGTTAGCTCTGCTTTAAGGGCATGAGGATGATGATGACAGATTATCAGTCTTACTGAGTACTTGTAGTAACCATATCTTTTTATTCTGTATTTTGGATGCAGACATCTTCGGGCTTTGCAGACACTGGAGGGACTGCCCTTGCAGGGCTGGATAACTCCTACATACAGCAAACAACCTGCTGTCAGCCACCTCTCACACAAAACCAAGTGGGCTAGAGCCCACACCCAGCACACCTTCTTCATCAGGCCCTTACGCTTCTCGCCATGATTCCCCTGCCCTGGTCACCCTAGGGCTAGGTACAAGACAATTAGGGACAGCCCCTACCTCCTAGCGCCGTCTGTAATGATTCAGACTAGCTACTTATCCTAATCCTGCTCATCCTGCTGCACCTTCCTTCCTGTGGAAAACACCATGGAGGCTCTTGGCAGTGTTTCCCCACATCCCTCTCCCCTTCACTGACCCTGGCGCTTCCCCATGTGTCCCCTGTATGGTGTGGCATGGGCCCTGTCTCTAGGGATTTGTGAGTCCAGCACTCCCTCCTTAATCGTCGTTTTGCTTTCCTCGTTTCAGTTACTTGCGTCAACTGCAGTAAAAGAATATTAAGATATTTTGAGAGAGAGAAGGGAAGCAAAGAGAGACCACATTCACATAACTTTTATTACAGTATATTTTAATAATTGTTCTGTATTATTATTATTGTTGTTAATCTCTCATTGTGCCTAATTTATAAGTTCAACTTTATCACAGGTCTGGATGTATGGGAGAAAACAGTATCTAAAAGGTTCGCAGTTTCAGGCATCCCCATGAGGCTAAGGGGGGACTACTGTGTAACAAACTTCTTCCTTCATGACAGTCATTTCCAGATCTGTGTGTCTTATGGTACCTGATTAAAACAAATCCCAAATACCATTAAAACAGCACTGACTTCATACTAGGCACTCTATGCTTTATGTGGATTGTGTCATTCACTTGTGACAAGGGCAATATTGGGCAAATCCTATCATTCCCCTGGTTTTAAGGCTGAAAAAACAGAGGCTTAGAGAGGTGTAGTGACTTGCTCAGAGTCCTCGCTGTAGCATGGGGTAAAGCCAGGATATGACTTCACATAGTTTAACTCCAGAACTTACACTGTCATCTTGTTTTGTTTTTCTGCTTCTCTTGTGTGTCAAAAGAATTCCTCCTTAGTTGTTCTCATATGGGGCAACCATTAAATTAGGCAGTGTAAAAAACAAGTTATGCAGAATAAAGTAGCAAGAGCAATCTACTCTGAAATTAGTGTTTTCCCTCACTTTAGCACCTTTAGCTGACCCAGCTTCCTACCGCCCAGACATTTTACAAAAATCTCTCTCTGGAGTTGCCTCCTGATCTGGATTAGGAGTCACATAAGAAAATCAGTCTCATGAGTCCATCATTTTTCCTCATTTCTGACCAGAAGTATTCTGCCCCATTTGCTTCACCTTATTTCTAAATCACTCTAGCTCATTTAAACAAACAAACAAACAAACAAACAAACAATGAAACTTACTGCAAGGGCACAGAATAACTATCATTAAAGATGTCTGTGTAATTATGCCATAAGTTGCAAGGCAAACTCATGAAGCATTCCGTATGTTCTTTGAGCAGTGGCACTGTGGCTCGAACCAATGTCCAGCTTCCACACTATCTGCTTGGAAGAGGATTACCCTTATTTGGAAGTCTCAGTTTTGAGGATTTGGGGAAAGCAGGCACGCAAGCAGACACACCTTATTCTCTACAGCATCATTTATACCTCAACTAAGTCAGCTGAACAAATGCCTGCTGAAAAGTTCTGGGAGTGGCATAGCTAAGAACCAGAAAGGCGATCTTTCTTTTGGATTAAGTCAACAGAGTCATACCCACAAGGAGAACTATCAAATATCAGATGCGAGAGGTGAAGTGGGGTTATAAGGTGAGAGCTGAGAAGGGAGAAACAGGGTGAGTAAACCTCCATGACTCAGACGAATACTGAACTTTGCATTTCAGGAAGAATGAGGGTTTGGGTTGCTTCTTTTTCTTTTTAAAAACCTCTTCTTTTCAGTATTCCTTGGGGGGCGGGGTTCTCAGAGGATTAAGGGTTTGGAAAATTAAACAGATAAGATACTAAGAGTTAAATAACACATAAGAGGAAGAAGGATTAGAAAGAGGAAGAAGAAAAGTAGAAAGTGTGGTAGGTACCTTCCTACCTCAAGGTAGAAGTAGTGTGTTTCTAAGTACAGAGATAGATTTTGTCTGATTGGGGAGAAATCCTGCAAAAGGATTAGGAAGTGAGTGAGCTGAGAGATGAATTCCAGGGATTGGAGGTCATACAGAGAGCAGGGGAAGCACAAAACTAGGGCATGGAGTTTTGGGTGGAACTGAGGAGGCGTAAAAAAAAAGTGCTGAAGTTGTGAGCTGGGAAAGGTATCAAGTACATAATTTGGCAATTTTGTTATTTCTAAAAGATAAGCTAACAAATTACTTGGCTGTCATAAAAGTTCACTTTTTATGGATGTTAAAATACATGGAGATGTTCATTTACAAACATGGTGAGCTTGAGCCAGAGAGCCACCATGATACATTTCAGGTAGTATACGTTTAGTGTGACTGTGGCGCACTACCACCACCTAGTGGCAGCAGATTACCATGCAGCTATTGCAAATAGAAAATTAGAATAAAACAAACAGGCCTTTGGTGCTGAAAGACTTTGAGAGATTATCAGGTACAGCAGTTGACATATAGGTGATGCATCAGAAACACCCACAGAGCTTTTAAAAGATACACCTTAGATATATCAAACCAGAACTATATATCAAACCAGAAACTTTTGGCGATGTCGTCCAGGCATACATAGTAGTTTGAACAATGAGAAATTCCCATTTTTATAAGTCAAAAAAGAAAAAAATTGTCATTTTTTTTTTTTTGAGACGGAGTCTTGGTCCGTCACCAGGCTGGAGTGCAGTGGCATTACCTCGGGTCACTGCAACCTCTGCCTCCTGGGTTCAAGTGATTCTCCTGCCTCAGCCTCCCGAGTAGCTGGGACTACAGGCGTGCACCACCACACCGAGCTAATTTTTGTATTTTTAGTAGAGACAGGGTTTCACCATGTTGGCTAGCATGGTCTAGATCTCTTGACCCCGTGATTCGCCTGCCTCGGCCTCCCAAAGTGCTCGGATTTACAGGCGTGAGCCACCGTACCTGGCCACAATTGTCATTTTTATAGTAAATATTTTTTAAAAGCTCCCCGAAGACTTTGACTTCCTTTTGTTAAGAACCAGAGATTGATTCGAGTTTTCTGATTTGCCAAAAACAAAAATGAAGTTTAGAATGTTAAATGACTTGTCCAAGGTCCCATGGCTGGGACTCAATCTCTTGTCCTGATTTTAAGTCCAGTGCCCTCTTACTTATATGTATCTTCTTCATTGTGGGACAAACAAAACAATGTCACACATTCTCGATTTCCTGACACAGAGTCCCTACATATCCACCTTTTGTTTCAATTCCTACTGTCTCAAAGACATCTCTCCAGTGTTCCTCCCTTATTTCACCTAGCTTTTCAAAACGCCTTGTGCTTTTATTTCTGATACGTGTCTTACCTTCTCTGGAAATTCTATTCCCTAATACTTTTTCTTTAAAAAAAATGACTGTATACTATGAATTTTTCACTGATCCCATTAGATGGGCGCTTGGCAAACTGGGACAGAGGCCATGGTGTTTAGGAGAAGGCTCATACCAGGTTGCAAGAGCTGAGTGCTAAAATGTCAGGAATTTTGTTATTAAGGCTAGTTATTAAATCTGTTATTACACATTAACTGATGCATTCCTGACATAAAAAATTAACTACTTTTTAATGATTATTTTACTGTTATCAATGTTCTTCAGGTTGTCTACATCAATTATCCTTATATCTGAAGGTGGAAATACTATACCATGCTGTGCATCCCTTCCCTACTCTGTATTCTGTGAAAGAGCGGGTCGGGTGGCTTGAAAATGGCCATTGGTGGGATTATTTACACCACAGAAATTGGCAAATGTTACAGATCAGGGTTTGATTTATTATTTTGCTTTATTGTCTAGATTTAAAAAGTGATGGCCCAATGCAGTGGCTCATGCCTGTAATCCCAATACTTTGAGAGGCTGAGGCAGGAAGGTGATGGCCCAATGCAGTGGCTCATGCCTGTAATCCCAATACTTTGAGAGGCTGAGGCAGGAGGATCACTTGAGGCCAGGTGTTCGAGACCAGCCTGGGCAACATAGACCCTGTCTCTACAGGAAATAAAACAATTAGCCAGGTGTAGTGGCATGTGCTTGTAGTCCCAGCTACTTGGGAAGGTGAGGTGGGAAGATTGTTGGAGCCAGGAGTTTGAGGGTGCAGTGAGCTATGATTGTACCACTGCATTCCAGCCTGGACAACAGAGTGAGACCCTGTGTCTTAAAAAAAAAAAAAAAAAAAGACCAGGTGTGGTGGCTCACACCTGTAATCCCAGCGCTTTGGGAGGCCGAGGTGGGCAGATCACGAGGTCAGGAGTTCGAGACCAGCCTGACCAACATGGTGAAACCCTGTCTCTACTAAAAACACAAAAATTAGCCAAGCTTGGTGACAGGTGCCTGTAATCCTAGCTACCCAGGAGGCGGAGGTTGCAGTGAGCCGAGATCACACCACTGCACTCCAGCCTGGGCAACAGGGCGAGACTCTGCCTCAAAAAAAAAACACAAAAAAAAAAACTGATGAAAATTATAATAATGCAGATTAAACTTAACAGTACATCATATCCAGTGCTCCCATTGTGAATAACATAAAAAGTGGAAGAAATGTTCTTCTGGTATTTGAAAACTATTAACTGAGTCAGCAAGGAAGTGGTTCATGTCATTGTTGGCGAATGAATGAAGTTCCAAAATGTCTTCGTTGTTTCACTCCCTTCTTAGTCATTAATGTAAACAAAATATCAACCAACATTCATGTTGGAACTAGTCTTTCCTCAGTTGTAACCATGCAGATAGATGTAGGAGTTCAGCAAAAATCATGAGAGCATTCAGTGAGAATCATTTGTCTATATGAAATTTAAAATAAAGAATATTGTATATTTTATTATTGTTTGAAAATTATGTGAAATTATATCAATGAGATAGATACCAAAGTTATCTACATACAGATAGACACTTTTTGCTTTCCAGAGAGCCAGTTGTTCACAGCTTACCAGCATGTGGCTGGCCTGAGCCTCATCCTTGCTGTGTCACCAGCTCTCCATCACGTTGTTTCAATGCTTCCCCCTGACTTTGGATAGGCATTCACCCAAAGTTGTGGTTTGGCCTTCTAGAGCCCCCATTGACTTTCTGGAACAGAATATATATATTTAGAGATACGGTCTCTGTCACTCAGGCTGGAGTGCAATGGAGTGACCACGGCTCACTGCAGCCTCAACTTCCTGGACTCAAGTGATCCTCCCACTTCAGCCTTCTCAGCAGCTGGGACCACAGGTGTATGCCATCATGCCTGGCTAATTTTTAAATTTTTTGTAGAGGAGACAGGGTCTCGCTTTGTTGCCCAGACTGGTCTTGAACTCTTGGCTTTAAGTGATCCTTCTGCCTAGGCCTCCCACAATGCCGGGATTACAGGCATGAGCCACTGCACCCGACCTAGAAGAGAATGACCCACAGCCTGTTTCCCAGCTGTCCTCTCCAGTGTTTTCTTGCTCAGTGACAGGCATCATCTTTCCCTCAGTTACTCAAGGCAGAAAGATGGGCTTCACTTAATCTCTGCCTCCTCCCCACCCATATTCAAGCATCACCAAGTTAGGCTGCTTCTTGGCACCTTCCTATTTCTCAGATCCATCTACTTGTCTCCATCTTTACTGCAGTTTTCTTAAGTTTCCATGTCTTTCACTTCTTGAGTTGGTTATTATACAACCTTCCAATTGGGACCCCTGCTTCCATTCTCATTCCCTCCAATCCATTTCACACAGTTACTAAAGATATCTTTCTAAAACATCAAACTGATCAAGTCACTTCTCTGCTGATGAGCCCTTAATGGCTCCCTGCTGATGACCAGGCAATGACCACATGTCCGGGCAGCTCTTCTCAAAGTCATAGAATGACCAAGCGTAAACTTCTATCTCCACAGTTCCCCAAAGAAACTCTCTCCTTCCCTTCAGGATTCACTGAGAAGACATTCGGTTGCTCTGGGAACCTCTCTGACCTGGGCCCTCTCAAAGCTGGTTGAGGGGCCCCTCCCATGTGTACCTTTAAGAGTCCTGTATTTATCCCCCTCCTAGCCCTTACCTTGTTGTATTATTAATGTCTACCTTTTCCAGGGCCTGACTGCCTTGTTTCTTTGTTTCCAGTAGCTAACCCAATACTTAGAGAAGTCAATAAATACTTGTTGAACAACCAGAGGAAAAAATGGTGGCAGTGATAAAAACAGTGGTGACGATATGCTGAGCACCTGCTCCCTACTAGGCACCATGTTGGACACTTTGCCATCATTATTTGCAATCCGCAACAACCTACAATTGGCAAAGTAGGGATATGTATATCTGCTTTACAAATGAGAAAGTTAAACTTAAGAGAGGTTAAGCCGTGTGCCCAAAGTCACAGAGCAGGTAAGGGGAGGGCCCAGGATTTGAATTCCTGAATCCTAGGTGTATCTTATTCCAAAGGCCATAGACTTCTTAATACACCACCTAAAAAGCACCAAGACAAACATGTAGGGCCGACTGAATAACAACAACAACAACAAAAGATGAACAAACAACAAAACAAACACGCAAAAAAACACTTTTCAATTTCTGTAGTCCGAGTTCCCTACAATGGTTCAGATGAGGGAGATGGCATTTTATAGGGTATCAAATACCAGGTTTCCATACAGGTAGGAAAGCACTCATTTGTCAGATAAATTTTAAAAGCCTGGAAATATGCCTGGCACTTCCTACTGGAGTTTTAATAGTTTTGTCTAAGTTCATGGGCTGGCTGGACGCTGCACTGTGGGTGTGGCTGGGAAGGTGAACGGGGGTCTGATTCTGAGTTGTCCCCTCCTGTGTGGGGCTCCTTCTCAGTGAAACAGAGGCTGAAATGCTGATCTGATGTTTGGTCTTTTGACAATTTTCACTTAATGAATTGATTCCTACAGTTCATTAACATACCCACTTCCACTTCTGTATACACATATGTCTTAATTAGCTGCTCATTGGCTGTTTAATTACAAGAAAACAGCTGACAGCTGCCTTGCTGAATTCTAATGGCAGACGCTTTGGAACGGCTACACACTTGCTTTTGACAACCAAGATTTATTCATAACTCTGTGATTTATTGTGAATGCTCGTATGCCTGCCCAAATTATTGTATTTTCCAGTACAACTAAAAATTTGGAATTTGGGGGACTGCTGAAGTGGGTGTATGTCTACCTTTCATTTTACGTCTGAGACTAAGAAAAGTAGAGATGAGAAAAGCAGAGAATCTTCTATGTAGAAGCATGTACTGTGTTGCAATTTTATTTATCTTGGCAACTTTCTGTTGAGAATGTTCAGAAGCATGGGGGTGAGAAGGAAGAAATATCTCTGGATCAGTGTGGGCCAAAAGTTAATTATCTGGCTAGAGGGGGAAAAAGAGGATAACTTCATTTTATTGAGGGGTAAACATAAAGGGCATGCATGGATTAAAATCAAGCAGATGAAATTATAAAATTAAAGTTGGGTGGGGGTCAGAAATAAGAGTCCTCAAAGAAGCATATGAGGAAAAAAAGTTGTTCTTTAGAAAGAGCAGGCGGCCTCATTCACGAAAGTTAGCTGGTCCAGCCCTATACTCATACATCTGGCAGCAATAAATCACAGAAATTCAGATTTCCTGAGCTACGTTTTTGTTCAGTAGTGACTGGCCTCCCTGTAGAATTGTATGCGCAAGTGGTCTCTGATTAAAGCTGCCCACGTGTCATATTTGGTAAGTGTCGATATCTGCTTTTGACTGTGCTTTGCCATACTCAGATCCAATACAAGTGAAGACATTCAGCAATGGTTATTCCCAAGCACGCACGAGGGACCTGCCCCAAGCCAGGTGCTGTGTCAGGGCCCTATCTACAACATGGCTTCGAGCCAGGCGTTTTCTGTGAGCTGAGGAAGGGCAGCAGTTACTGGGACATGATTAAGATCTAAACAAACAAATAAAAAAAAATCTGAATCATCTTGATGCAAATTGGGTTTTAACACAGCCCTACCACTTGCGCATTTCATCACAGGACTGGAAGATTTAGCTAAACAAAAATTTTCGCTTACTGCCTGTGTATAACAGAACCGAAACTCAGGCATCGTAAGGATGCAATAACAGCTTGTCCTCCCCCAGGTGGAATTTTCATTTTAAATGCCCAGCTCTAATACTGGGGCCACGTATTAAAATAAAAATGAGCATGAATGTATCAATGGTGAAAAGTGGACAGAATTAGTTCACGACTAGCAACATTTCACAACTGAGATAATAATATTAGAATCCTCTAAAAGATAATTTGAGCCTAAAAGGAACATTCATATAAAGCTGCTTTTTAACCTAAACATAAAAAGCTCCAGAAATGGCTTTAACTACTTCAGTGGGGGAAGGTGTCACTTATATACTCTAGATATTTTTGAAAAGCCTTTTTTATTGTTTAAGAAAATATATTTGTTAACGCAGAGACATTGTCTCAAATTATCTTTAGTGGGTAGAAGAGGAAGCTTTGAATAAGACATCATCTTAAATGTATTGATTGGTAAGTGTATATTGGACAAATGAATGCCAGTTTGTTCTTAGTGTTATCAAGAGGAAAAGGTTTTAAATGTAATCAGAAACCAATTCACTAACCCCAATACTGGATCGTGCATTATCATTAAAAAACTTGCAGTTAAAATTGTGTAGCCAAAATATCTAAAAGGATATGGATTAAAAAATGTATGTGTGTCTTGAGATCAAATGTTCACCCTCATCATCTGAGCAGCCACTGTATCTCATGATGAAATTAGGAACAGAAGTTGAATGGCAAACAAGATGATTTCTCAAAAGCAAACCTTAACCAATGATTATTTTCCTCCTAACACTTCATATTTTTATTCACTTTGAAGATTGAACTTTAACATCTACAGCCTCTAGTGTTACCATGGCCTTTTCTTGTGCTGGCATGGGGCACGACCTGCCCCTCCTTCCTGGCAGGCCTGCCCCAGCTCACGTTATGCCCCCTCATCATGCTCACCCAAGGCTGAAACTAAATTCTTTTCCAAGAGCTCAGAAATGTCTGTATGAACAGAACTAAAAACCTTGCAGGCCTGGATTCTAACATATGTTCTTCCGAAATGCAATATTCAGGCTGAAGCAGTGCCAATACATTGTTCCCTGATTCTTTCAAGAGAACAAGTAAAATACGTTTATAATAAAAACCTTGGCATAATGGAGTCCTTAAAAATTTGAGGATGGTGTGCCTGTCTACCCTCATCTTCCACTAGCCACAGAAAGTGACCCTTTGCTTCAATCAAACTGAGTTATGTGCTGTCCCCTAAATACAACCAAGACTGCCCTTTTTCTGGGCTTTTGCCTCTGCCATTCCTTGTTCTCCTTCTTCCTCAGCACAGAATGCCCTCCCAGCCACCTTGACTGGGAAAATCCTTCCTCAGCTCCAGCCCACGGTTGGTTCCTCCTCAATGAAACCTTGCTAGGCCAACTCTCCTTTAGACCACCTAGGTATGCTGTCTAGTGGATATGTGCTTCTTTTTTCTTTTTTTTTGAGACAGGGGTCTTGCTCTGTTGCCAGGCTGGAATGCAGTGGCACCATCATAGCTCACCAGGAGCCTTGAACTCCTGGGCTCAAGCAATCCTCCTGCTTCAGCCTTCCGAGTAGTTGGGACTTCAGGCAAACACCACCATGCCTAGCCAGTTTTTTTTATTTTTAATTTTTTTGTAGAGACAGAGTCTTGCTGTGTTGCTCAGGCTGGTCTTGAACTCTTGTGCTCACATCTTCCTCTCAGCTCAGCCTCCCAAACTGCTGGGGCTACAGGTGTGAGCCACTGTGCCCAGCCTATATGTGCTTCTTATGTATATCATAGATTGTGGCCTTACTCTATATTAGTTCTTGCATTGCTATTTAGCTTTCCCTACACAGGCCTCATCTCTACAACTAGACCATAAACTGCTTGAGGGAAAGATGTGGTCTTCTATGTCTTTGGATCCCTTACAGTGCTTACATAGTGCTTGGTCCCAAGGGAGTGCTCATAGTATTCTTTTTTATTGGCAGATTCTACATAACACATTGCAAATGGTCACAACAATCAAGACTATATCCATAGATGTCCCAGAAATAATATCTGACTATACAGAGCAGCATTACCAAGCCACCAAGAAGTCTGCCTAGTAATGACAATGATAACAACAGCTAACACTTAGTAAGTGCTTGTGATGCATCTGGCATTCTTCCAGGTACTTTCCTTAAATGCATGTGACAACCCTATGAAGTTATTACAATTACAGTCCTCATTTTACAGATGGGGGAACTGAGGCACAGAGCAGTGGTATAGGTGCTCAAGCTGGTAAATAGCAGAGCTGGGATTTCAACTCGGGCAGTCTGGTTCCAGAGTCAGAGCAGAAGCATGGCACCTGCTGTCTCTCTACAGACAGCAAAGGGGTTGGGGAGAGGATGAACTAGGAAGAGCCAGAAATGACAGAAAGAGCTACTAAAGCTTCTACCATTTTTGCTGTTCATGTGCAATGCTTAGCAACTATGTGCCAAAATAATTATTTCAGCAATTAAACAGGTCCTCTAGTTTCTTATGGTGTCAGCTTGTTAATTTAAAAATGCAATTTAAAATACGTTCACAAAATGATTAGCTCAGAAGATGACTGATCACCTTTCTTCTCTCATTAGATATCTATTTGATATGTCTAATGTGAAATTTTTCTTATGTTTAATTACACTATCTCAGCAAAGTTATTTACAATTGATCATGATAGAACCACCTTTACCTGGTTAGAACATGATAAATAATTAACATAAAATGGCAAAAATAGAAGTCTTTTGACTTCTATTTTTATAACTAGGAATAAAAGTGTTAGTTATAGCAGAGAGAAATTATAATGGAGAACAAAGAGTATATGTATCAAATATAAACATGAAACATTGTTCAAGTCCCTGGCTAGGCATAGGCCCAATCTGTTAATAAAATTATGTTTTATTTATTTTGTGGTTTTCATTGGATAAAGTCAACAGAGCAGAGGAACAGAGCCACAGATAACTGAAAACCACTTTGGCACTGAGGAGGTATGCAGACAAGATCTGGAAGGGAATCTAGAAAAATGGCAACTTTGGAATAATAGATACCTTTTGTTTTCTTATCGCTTTTATTTTTGTCATGATAAATATTAAGAGTAAAAAGAAAATTCACATTGTTTGTGCCATGGTACTCAGTCAACTTAGGTTTTACTCAATAGCATGTTGTTAATTAATCTTCCAAATTGTTGGGGTATTTCATATGAAGTAGCCCCTACCCCCACCTTGTCCTTTCCCCAGACTCCATTCCTAGATAATCACTTCTGTCAATTCCTAGATAATCACTTGCCTTACTGACAGATTCAGAGGAAGCCATCAGTTTTTTGGGCAGAATGAAGGGACAAATGGTGAACTGGTATCCGGGATGCTGCCTAGAACCCTGTCCATTTAAGAAGACACCCAGGTGATACGCAATGCACAAAAAGCACTGGAACTCCCAGCAGGCAAGCACTGCAGTCTATAAACCCTCTATTGAGAAAGGCCATGACATGTCTACCAGGGACACAGATTTGGGAGGCAGAACACAAGACAGGGTGAGGGTGAAAAGCAATGGCTACCTGGCCACGTCAGCCAAATCAGCTCCAAAAATCAATGCGATGACAGTGGTCACAGGCAGATCACTCTCACCTTATAACCTGGGATGGCACAGACCAGACAGATTATTTCATTTTGTTTTTTCATTATTTTTATTTACTTTTTTGGAGAGAGGGTCTCACTCCATTGCCCAGGCTGGAGTCCAGTGGTGTGATCATAGCTCACTGTAACCTTGAACTCCTGGACTCAAGTGATAAACCTGCAGCTGTCTTCCCTGAGTAGCTGGGACTACAGGTACACACCACTACACCGGGCCTCTCATTTTGCTTAATTTATTTAATTAGTCAACTAATTTTGAGGGAGGGCAGATTTTGGAAGTAAAGGGCATAGATGGTTCTGTAGTATGCGGAAATCTGAAGCTTTGCTAAGATGGGATCAACATGAAGCATCTGTACATGTACAAATTAGCAAATGTTACCATGACTAACAGTAAAATGAAGAATTAAGGAAATTATAAGGTTAATTTCCTTGAAGTCTCTCAGTAGTCATTTGTGTCTATAGGTGATTTTGTATTTTACAACATTGTATTTTCTAATTTCATGAAAGGAAAGCTAACCAAATTCGTGGATTTTATTTTTTGCCTCAGCCTCAAAAAGCCTTAGGGCTGATTCAGGCCTGGTTGTAGCAATCGGCTGTCTCAAAGGCCTCCTGCATGTTTAAATAGCTTCTCTCCTGTTTATTTTGCACTGTTTTATCCTGTAAGCTGTCTCGAGGCCCTTCCAATATAAGCATGAGGATTTAAATCTTAATAAATTGAGATTTGAATAACAGAGGTAATCTGGGCTTGGGGGGTCTTGAATTATTGGGATAAACATCTCTGTTTCTCATCTGCACATTATGCATGTGCTGTACACATTGCCCCATGACCAAGGTCAGAAATAATAAAATAGTCATAGCAGAAATAATACTGATAATATTTAGAGTTAAATAGCACTTTTCTGTTTGTAAGGACTTTTTTATGTACAGGTTCTCCTTCTATTCTTGGAATAGTCCTAACCAGTAGAAAGATCAGGTGTTATACCCACTTTAAAAATGAAGCAACTGAGTGACAAAGAGATTAAGACACATTCAAAACAATATGGACAAGTGGAGGCAATAGGACTGGAACTCAGGTCTTCCTGATAGCTTTCCCACAATTTTGCCAGATGTGTTAACATTATGTGTGCTAACAATAAGACTCAACTCAGTGACATTCCAATTAAACTTACTGGAGATGTCTTTTTATAAGCTTATGACAGGGACATTGTAGAAGTCTGGAGTTAGCTCTTTTTTAAAAAAGATTGCCACAGAGATTGCTCATGAGTTCAACTCTGGGGTTGAAAGTGATAAACAAGCAATGCTCAAATACCTTTTTGTAATCTCCTATTATTTTGAAGGAAGGAGTAAAAATATATATAACTTCTTTAATTGTAATTTAACACCAAAATATTTCTTCTATCCTGTAATTTCTTATCATTCAAAATTCTAAGGAGTTGAATTTTAAGACATAAGTGGAGACATACAAATCACAAAGATATATTCTAACAAACATTAATAGAAACAACAACAATTAAAAAGGCTTACCTTGCAGCCTTCACATGTAATGACACCATAATGGATTCCTGATGATTTGTCTCCACAGATCTTGCATGGAATAATTTCAATTTGAGCTGCAACAGAAGCACGCAACCAGTTAATTACATTTTCTTTTAAACACCTTATAAAAGCGTTCCCTGATCAGCATTTGTATAGTGAAAACTAATAACCTGCTAAACATTATACTGCATTAACTATTCATTGCTGAACTGTGAGGGTCCCCCTAGAGCCCTGGACTAAATTATGGCTGCTCGTTATATAATAGCTTTCGGGTTATTAAAATGGGTCATTTGAGAAGGTGTTTAAGAACCCACAAGAAGACTGGAATCAGCATTTCAAAGCCTTCAAGAACTGGAGAGTTCGCAGTTTAGGCCTCAGAGCAAAGCAGATACTGAAATGTTTCCTCCAATCTCATTTTCTATCATTATTTTTAAAAGATCATAAATCTGTCTTGGCTGAGCATTACAGCTTGACTGCTAGAGAAAAATACACTCTAAAAAGTCAGGTCTAGTTAGGAAAATGATTCAATTCAAAATATTAATCAGTTACATATGATAAGAATTCCTTATCTTTTAAAAAATTAACGCAGTTGCCATGTGTTAAAAATTAGTCCATTTGTGTACAATCAGAACCTTTCAACCATAGAGTTAATATCTTGTTTGAATTTAATAATGATGAATCCTGACAAATAGGATGTGTTGCTTCTGAGTTCTTTACACTGGAAATTTAGTTCCTGGTACAGAGGGCATGTGTTTCTACCCAACTGATTACTTAAAGATGCCTCATGCTGGAAGACCCGCAAATAACATGTATCACACCAAAGTTCTCAAATAAGGCAAAGCACATTTCTAAGCAAACACATTATACCTCAGAGTTAAAAAGAGCATAATTAAGGATAAAAAATAAGGAATAATTAGGCAAAAGAAAATCCTTAGATCAACTATTAAATAGAATTTATATGTGAAATAAAGACCAATGCTGAGCTGTATAGACAGGATGGGAACAGTCACCAGTTTACCTGGAATGTGTCATTACGCTAAATTCATTTTCCATGGTTTTCACTACTGGGTATCATGTTAGATTACCTACTGAGTTACACACACAAACACAACTGCAAGTGCCCAAGTCTATTTCATTTCTGTACAGCCCTTACCTAGCCCCAGACCTTACACAGAGTAATTTCTTTGTCCAAAGAATATGTCACATAGTGTAAGTACCACACAGAGACACACAGCCCACTCTTTCTTCTAATGTAATCCCATATCCTGGGATGATTTCACAACCACTTACTTTGGATTTAAGGTGATGTTGCATTCGATACTTAGAGCACACATGAAACTATTGGATTTAACCTCATTATAAACCATGTGTACTGCTAACTCCCTTTCTCAGGGCCTAATACAAGTACTGTGGTGACTTTTAGGGAGTGCAAGCTATTCTAAAAGCTATCCATCATTTTTTTAGTGCTTGCATACTGAGTTTCTTTGCTGTCCAAATTTAGAGATTGTTCCAGATCTCACATCCAGTGTATTTTCTATACTCTGGAGGCTTTCTAATACCCCAATAATGGTGACTTTGGACACTAATAGGTATAGTTTGAGTTAAGCAACTTAAGCAAGTTAATATGTTTAAGGTTGCATTCAACAAAAGTTGTCATTTGCAAGTCTGCCTCATGTTAACACTTGGCTTGACTTCTTCAAGAAAAATTCTTTATGAAATATGGTATCTAATAATGTCTCATACTGCACAGTCCTTCCATTATGTTTAATATAGTCAAGGCAAAGGTTTGTGCCACAGATCTGCAACTCTAGAGAAAGCGAGTTACGCCTAACATTTTTCAGAGACGTGGAAAAGCCAAGTGGAAGTAGAGAAATCCTGAAAGGTGCTATCAGCTGAGAGTTATTGCCTGCTTTTCCCTACATGAATTGAGTAGGCTAGAATGAGAACCAGCCTCCTTACCCTGATTCCTAGGAATGTAATAATTAGGCACCATGAAGTCCTTGAACCACCTGTTAAACAGAATTTATACATGAAATGAAGAAGACCTACTTGGAGCTGCTTCTGTCCATGTCTCACCTCAAGGTGTAATGACAGAAATTAGGGATGAACAAAAACCTCTTTAGGTCCTAGCATTTAAGTCAGCATCAAAACTACCTGACGCTAAACTTGGGCCTTTCAAGAGTTATCTTCATTCCATCTTAACAATGAGGGAGATCAAGCATGTCTATTTAGTCCTTTACAAGAATATGAAGGCCCTGGGCAGGGCATATTGAGAACAATGAGTAGAACTGCATCTGGACAAACTGAAAATGATATGCAGTATTCCTGTACAGTCGGCCTGGACTCACAGTGGATTACTAATTAGAAGTGAAGCAACGATGTTTAAGGCTGTGACCAAGATGCCTGCCTGGCACGGAGGTCTGCTCATGATGGGGGTGGCCTTGGGAGTACTATACTGGCCCCAGCACTTCCACCCTTGGAATGGCTCATGTCCTGGCAGGGGTGAGGGTAGGGGTGCGGGTGGGGAGCAGTTGTAGTACAGACCCCAGAGTTTGGTGCCACTGTGACACAGGACTGATGGCCTGAGTCAGGCTTCAGCTTGCAGGGGTTTTCAGATCTGGAGGATATTTGAGCGGAGACAGTCACGAGATCTGTGGAGGCCAAGACGCTTAGGATAAATGGACTCACTGTAGATTGACTTGTATTTCCAAACAGGGGGGCCATTCACTTAGATCTTTGTCCCCATGTGTCTGTGCTTAGTTCCAGTGGGCTAAAGAATCAGATTTAATTGAAACAGGCTTCACCGGGAATCTCTCGGTAAGGTGGTAGAAGGGTTTCTGGATAGCAAGTTGAGGTATTCTGATTGGTTAAACTATTCTCCTAGGCTTCCTCCTGCTTGGTTCTCTTATCTCAGATGACAATTTCAGTTGCAAATGCACTTTAGGAAATGACTAAAATCCTCCTACTCCAAAAGCAAACCCTCTGAATGTGATCTGATCACACGTGTTGATATTCCCAGAAAGCGAGCATTTGCAGATTGGAGCAGGGCACTTGCTCAGCCCTTCATTTAACCCAACAATGCACAAAAGCCCTCTCCATCCCCCATTTTAGTCAATTTCCAGAATTCAAATGAATCCATGAGAAAAAAATGCAGTCAATGCCTTGCAAATTTTTCAAAAGGAGGCAGTTTAGTTTTGTCAATTTGAGTTTTCAGTCCAACAAGAAGGAGGAAGACAAAAATCCCTCTGCCCTTTGCCTTTCATCGTGTAGGCTTTTCAGTTTCCCACCAGGTAGTGTGGTGTCTTCTCAAAACAATCTTCTTTTAACACAAATTATGAATCTTGGCCCATATATATACTGCACACATTAACTCAGCCAGCATTTCAAAGGATGAGTTCTGTCAGACAGCACTACTGTCAACGTTCACAAGTATATTGATTAAATTAGCCCACATACATATTCATCCCAGCAAAGAGGTTTATTGTGTAGTGGAATATCTGGAGCAAGATGCGCACATATAATCATGAATTGGCTTCACAATGAACAATCTTGCTATGAAAAATTCTAATTTGCCCACATTTTCAGCCCTATTGCCTAAATAATTTGCTCTCTCATGCACCCTGTGTAATTCAAGCAGGCTCTCCACACCTGCAGAGGCAAATGCAGTTTCAAGGAGCTGACAACAAGTGGCAGCGGGCATCAGGAAATCCTGGAATGCAAGGGTGCTAATTAACCAAGTGGTCCTTGGGGCTAGGCTGTCATTTAGCACTGCACTTCTAGAAGAAGTTTGCTTTGAATTTTTAATTATAAAAGGAACAAGAACTTGGGCACTAGCATTCTTAAGATGACATTTATTCCTCAGGACCTATCTTAGGAGATAACATGGTCCAGAGAACAATGCCCATTTTCCCAAAGAATTAAAAAAATAAAAATTGTATGACAGGCACCCAGTACTTCATTCTGTGGGTGAGTAGTGATCTCTCAATAATAATCTAATTTATAATAATAATATCTACATGTATTTGTGCTAATAATGTGTCACGCATTATATCTCACTCACTCCTCCAATACCCTATGCGGTAGGCATCACTTACTTAATTGTTACTGTCATCATTGTCATCATCATCATTGCACTCTTATTAAGCAATCACTAACCAGGGCTCAAAAGACATCCCCTAAGTAGTTTGTTTAAACTTAACACACTACTCAGGAATTGATGTCAACATCTCTTGCTGGGAGTTATCCCCGTAGTTTATAACTAAAAATAACCATCAACCTTCTAGGCCACTGATCTCAGTTTCACAAAATTCTGGTTAGAATTTTAACCCTAAAATGACCAATGTCAACGTTTGACAGTTCTTAAGGCCGGGCAGATTACTTAACCTCTCTGAGCCTCAGTTTCATACTTGAAGATTCAAGGATGTGATACATAAATGACATACCATATATATGATATCTGTATGAGCATTTTATATATGTATTCTCTATATATGCCCATCACATAGTTCTTAGAAATAGCTGGCACTCAGTAAATAGTAGTTATTATTATTGTTGTTGTTGATAAGAAATCCTGCCTTATAGTGAAATGAAATTCTTTCCTCCAGACTTTAAGCTCTTTCCGAGGTGGGGATAGAGAAAAGCTGCTTATCCTCCAAATAACATGACAGGCAGTTCCTACCAGCTACCACAGCAATCCTTCACAACATTGCTGCTTAACTGTTTGCCACAACACAGTGGTATGTTGCAATAAGTTGCAGGAGTGTCACAGGGAATTGGTTACTAATAAAAGTTTTACAAAATTAAAGTTTTTTATTGGTTCACATAAAAACTAAACTAATATAGACCCAAGGTTACCCCAATAATATCGTTCACTCTAGCTCAATTGCACAACCAAATATTTTCTTGAATTGGACTGAATGGGGTGGGGTTACTGCTGGCTTGCCAGGAAACGGCCAATGGCCGAACCTTGGGTACACCTATGAGAACATGTCTGTCATACTTATGAATGTCAACCAATTTTGTGTGTCTTGCAAAAACGGTCAAAAACTAGTGCTTTAAAAAGCCTATCTATCTTTTACACAGATCTGTTGATGGTGTTTTTTTCTGGAGTGCAGAGAATATGGAGGACTTTTCACTTGCTATGTTAGATATTTCTCTAATGTTTGAATTTTTTACAACCAGCATGTATTACTTTTCTAAGCAGAAAAACCAATAAAGATTAAAAAGAAAAACCCTAAGGCATTTGATTTTATTTTCAGTAAAATGGCTTGAGTCCTTTATGGATTAGTCACTTTATTTTATCCCCTGTTTAAAACTGCCAGGGTATTAAAGGCTTCTGCAGCTGCCTGAATGGCGGCCTGGCTTGCGTGTCAAGGTTAGCCGGGGGAGAGCTGCAGAGTCTTCACCTTATTCCCTGGAGGGACTTCAGGAGCACCAGGCTTCTAGAATTTTGTGGCCCCCTTGTTTCAGGGCTTCTAAAGATGGTCATGCAGGTTGTGCTCTGCCCAGTGCGGCCTAGCTGAGGGGTCAAAAGTAGAGGTTGAAATGCACCTGGCTGTGAGCCTTGCTGCAGAGTGACTGCAACAGCCTGGAGAGAGGAAACCTTTCTTCAATCTGTCTACCCAGACAAGCTCCCTTTTTTCAAACCCTCCTTCCAGGGGTAGTGCCCCTTCTCTACAGTGCTAGGAGTGGACAGTTCAGGGAGCAACATGCTTTCTCTCCACTCTGCCATGGGAGGCCCCAGGACACCATAAGGGTTTGCAGAGAGCTCTCATTACATCTCCATGTGGAAGGGGAACAGACCATCGACCTGGACCTGTGGCTTGGAATAGAGTATGGGTATGTTCCATAGCACAGGCATGTTCAATGGCCATCAGGGATGAGTAGAGCCGAGTTATAGCTGCATCCTATGCAAACTAACGATGAACTTGTTTGGCCACTTGGTCTGCTAAGTTCATTTTAAATATAACACTAATATGTTTCCCTAGTACATTATTTTCTTCTCTTGATTTTGGATTCTTTCATGACAGTATTTCATCCTTGCTGAACCTCACCAAAACAATTAGATCTCCAAATAGAAAGCCCTACTCCTTCAGTAAGCAGTCTCGCAGTCATTTTTGGCAAAAATAGTAATGCCTGAGTTTTTGCAGAATTCTATATAGTTTTCAAAGTTTTTATCCTTGTTAGCTTGCTTTGATTTTGGTGCTTTCAACATCCCTAAAGGAGGCAGATAGGTATTATCATCCCCATTTTACAGATACGGAAAATGAGCCTCAGGAGGGTTAAATGGCTTCTTCTCTATGTCCAGATTTCCCAGGGTTTTGATGTAGACATAGCCACAAGAAAGAGAGACTTGGTGTCTCTTTCCTATTCAAGATTATTTGATGTGTTTAGATTTATGCCATCACTGATCTGGGGCTCTCAAGAGGACATGACACCAAAAAGAAAGCACTGGGAGTCAATTCAGCTAAGAGGTGGAGTTGGCCCTTCCAGGTCTCCCTCTGAGACTGAACTCCCTGGGTGGCCTCAAGCAATTCACTTACACCTCCACTTCCTCCATCCATAAAAATGGGAATAATTCTTACCTCCCAGGCAGGTGGTGGTAAATGAGTGCTCACAAAGCTCTTTGAAGATGAAAAACCTATATAAATGGGAAGCTTCAGGAAGCTTGCCACATCATTCATGGCAAAGATTGCGATGCTGTGTCCTATTACCCATATCCAGCTATGCCACAAAGAGAATAAAAATTACACAGTACCATAATTCTCATCTGCTAGCTAGACTTACTTAAATGTTTTTTAATCATTGGTTTCCAAGATGCTTTCCCAAGGGACTGATGGGTCCAGATGTTACTATCTTATTCACAACTTAGAAGAAAAAGAGCACTTAGATGGAGAGGTCGCCTCTCTATGCAAAGTCCTTGACCTAGCTTTATCTAGGGCTTGTACGGTCTTGTCGGGGCATCATGGAAATGGCACGATTCCCACTTGTTAACATAATAAACATATATGTCACCCTCTGACAGACATCCCAAGCCTTATTATTAAGTTGACATCTGACTCAAATGAGTCTATCAAATTATAGCCATTAAAAAAAATGTTCTGCATCTTACTAAACAAGCCACTTCTCAAAAACTTCAACTGGATTGTAATTTCTCCGGAAAACTTAATGGCTTTAAAAAAAACATTTTTCAATAAAAAGTGTTGAGTATACCTGCCAAATGCACACACACACACACACACACACACACTCCTCAAACCATCAAGAGATCAAACATTTGTGAACTAAATTTAAAATAAGACAAAATTGAAGTTTTGGAACTTTGACGATTTTTCTTCAGTCTTTTAAAGACTTAGTTGTGTAAGAGTTAAAATACTGCGCCAGAATGTCCCATCTGAATTAAGAGAAAGCTGAGCTGTGTGTGCAGGAAATCTCTGAAGAATAAGGAAGCCAGGCACATCTTCTCATGTGGCTTTCTGTGAATATGCAGGTGGTTCTGACAATGGGAACTGAATATTAATCCTTTGTAATATATTTCCATCCCTACTAGATTAAGCTTTCTAGAGAAACTGACTCACATTCCCTGATGCATATGTATCTCTGCTAAAAGCCAAATCCAAATGAGCACTTTTATCCCTAGACAGGGAAATTCTGTCAAATCAGAGAGGAAACAGATTTTTCATCTAGAAGAACAGTGGGTGGCTTTTTTAGATCCAGTTCTCTCTAGAATTCTCCTATCACATAGTAGTGCACAAACTGTTTAAGGCAGTTGACTCTATACCTTTTTTGGTATCTACCTGGTAACCAGTTTAAACCTTGAGTGAAAGACCTGAACAGCAAGAGAATAAGCTTCCTAATACTTCATCCTACTCATCCAGTGGGTCAGATACTAAATAAGTAAGTTCTCACCCAATAAATGATACCACCAGGATCAGCAATACAATCCTTTTTTTTTTCTTTTTGTTTTTCCTCTCTTTTGCCTTTGTAAACAACAGAACGTATTTGTTGTTAAGGATTTATGGGGTTATGTGATATCAAGGGCTAAGATAAAGGTAATTGGCTATTTAACCAATGGTTCTCAGTTGGCGTAAGGTCCCTCTAAGATTCTAGAATTAACTACATTTTAAAATATAAAGTCCTTGAAGATTTTCTAGGACCCTGGGATCAGTAACATTTAACAAAAGTCCTCTTTCTCTAGAATCTCTCGGGGTGGGTTAAATGTCATTTCATATCAGCAGGAAAGAGAACCCATTTATTTTGCTAAGTGATTAGACTATGCTCAAGGGAAATTCCTAATAACGTTGTTTCCAACAATGGTGTCCCTTACATAATTCTGGATAATACTAGACAAAAAAAGTCATCTGACTCACAGAACTGCATACGTATTTTCTTGCGATCAACCTCACTCTAGATACCAATTCCTTTTTTTCTCCTTAACAGGAACAATTACGCTACATTTAGGTGAAATCCTCCTTACAGCTGAGAGCACTGGGGTCAACTCTTTGCTTTCATTGCTCAAGGTCTGTTTTTCACAACAGAAAAGAACATCTTTAAAACCATACCAAATCTGGTGATCTAGTTTCTGCTCAACCGAAAACATCAGAATTACACTTACTGCATTTTATGAAACAATCTTACTTTAACCAATTACCCCCAACATTCTCACACCTAAGCCTACGAGAAAACCACTCCACTTTGCAGCTGTCTTAACTTCACACCAAATTTCACATAACCCCACAAATTCTTAACAACCATTGATTACTAATTCCACCTGCACAATTTCCATGACCCCCCCCCCCCAAAACTGTGCGGTCACAAAACCCAGCTGCATGAAGTAAGATGTGCAGAAATGGGTCAAAATAACAAGAATCCAGATTAAGTCATAAAAGCTTACCAGGCAAAGGAACCCATCATTTCTTTCCATGAGCTCCGATGGCATTCTGAAGATCTGCTACTGCTCATTGAATAGATGTCACTCAAGAAATATTCCCCAACTAAATAAACTGGATTCATGGTAAAAGATTGGAAATAACTTAGAACATTAAACCTTGAAAATGCATTTACATCCCTCTATAGCAAGCCCAGAACACTAAAAAGACAACATATTTATAGTCACAGGAACATGGTGTCATGACACCAAAACTTCCTTGGTCCACAGATCATTTTAGTGGGTGAGGACTGTTAAGAGAATTAGCCCACAGCCTGTATTTCTGCTCCACCTCTGTGCTGTTTTCCATTTCAAAAAAGTGTCCTTAGAATTAATAAGAGGATGAAGCTTTGGATGAGAGATGAGGGAAGGATCCGGTTTTTATTAAAAATCACAGGCAAATTATTTAGGCTTGCCAGAAGCGGAAGTGTAAATGTTTTCATATTAACCACTTTAAGATTGTAAGATCTTGAAGAATTAGAACTCCTAGAAATTCAACTAGTTCCTTCACCTCCAGTTTCCAGGACATGGTCATTAACATCTAAACAAAAAATATGGCAAGTTCTAAGCCTTTCAAATACATCACAGATGTATTTCTGAACTGTGGCTCAATGGTATTTCAAAAAATTCTCTTTTGTAATGCTTTTCTAAGACAACCAGTTCAGCCAGGCATACTAATGACCAAACAACGTGAGGACTTGTTTCTGACTTTCCCTAAATGCATGGTCTTTAAACTTGCTGATTAAAGAAACATTTCCATTCTTAATTACAACATATAAGCTCAACCTGAGAATGGATAGCAATATTTGTGGATAGCTGAAGCACAGTTATTTCTGTGCCTATTCCCAAGGGGAAGTGGCAGGAGCTGGTGGCTATTTCTTAGTAGGAAAGGGAAATACAGAAAGAGGCAGCAGAGCTTTGGGGATTTAAGTAGTTGCGAGACATAAGGAGAAGAAATGCTCTGGACTAAGCTAAGAGATTGTCAGATTTATTTTAAGAAGGTCTGACATCTGAGCATCAATGCACACACTATAACACCTCATAAATGTCATTTTTTTCCCCAAGAAAACGAAATGTATAGCCTGTGTATTTATCTTGAAGCCACTTATTTTTATGTAAGTCATGCACTAGAGGCAAAGTAAGAACACAACAGCCATGTAAAGATATCAAAACGAGGCCCGCACCACTGTCCTTCCTATTCCATTTTCAGTTTCTGCTCCTCTAGTCCAAGGTGCTTCTTTTGCCTACAGAGACAAACATTTCAGATGACATTCTATGACTGTCCTGAAAACACTGCTATCAGCTATCCACTGTTTGGCAATGTGTGTCTCTGTCACTTAAGATAGCTTGAGTGAGTGAGTGTGACATTATCACTGCAATAAGTGAATCTTTCTAATTTGCAGTAAAAGTATACCATTCACACACTTTGGTACTTCAGTACGGCAAGGTTTTGAAATCCATTTCACAAGTGGTGGCAGCACATTTCACATCGGATGGAAACACACTCTGATTGCTAACAGCTGCTGTGGGCACAGCTTACTGTCAAAGCCAGAGCTCAGAATAGCAGGTCCTTTTTAATGCCAATAGCTGCTACCATCTTAAATGGTAACACAGGCACACACACACCACACATACACACACATACCACACATGCACACCGTATGCTCACATGTACCACACATACGTACACTACACACATATACCATGCTCACACACACCACAGATGCACACCTCACAGCACAGCACACAGGCACACCTCACACACACGGCACACAGGCGCACCTCACACGGCACACAGGCACATCTCACACATGGCACACATGCACACCTCACACAGATGGCACACATGCACACCTCACACACACGGCACGCATGCACACCTCACACACACGGCACGCATGCACACCTCACACACGGCACACATGCACACCTCACACACGACACACGGGCACACCTCACACACATGGCACACGGGCACACCTCCCACACACGGCACACGGGCACACCTCCCACACACGGCACACAGGCACACCTCAAACGACACACGGGCACACCTCACACACAAGTCTATTCAGCTGCAAGTCCTGCCTCCACTTGCTGAGAACCTGCATGACTGGGCACCAAGGATACGGCACACACACGCACCCACCCCACATACATACAGTCCACACACACACAACACATATACACCACACGCACCACAGATGCACACCACACATGCCACACACACATACACTGCACACGCACCCTACACACACCCCCCACATGCTTACACATACACCTCACCCCCCACCCCCAACATGTGGGCCTACACACGAGTCCATCCAGCTGCATGTCCTGCCACCACTTGCTGAGAACCTGCGTGACTGGGCACCAAGGACACGGAAAGGATACACAGAACCCACCAGCGCACCTCGTCTTGTTACGTTAGCTTCACTGCATAGGAATTAAGGATGAAAGTGAAAACTTTTTTTTTTTTTTTTTTTTTTTTTTTTTTTTTTTTTTTTTTAAGGAAAAAGGAGAGAGTTGATTATGACCTTGAAGACAAAGTGTAGAGATTTGATTTGCAAAATCTAGAGTCTGGGGTTGAATCTCTACCCTGACATTTGTTAGCTATGAGAACTTGGACACTTTCTTAATCTCTCTGTGCCTCAGTTTCCTCACCTTTAAAACGAGCCCTATCTCATTATTACAGGGTACACAAGTAAAGTGCCTGTAGCATCAGTGCCCACCACATAGTAAGGGCTCCATAAATGTTAGCTATAATCATCATCACTGTCTTTTTTTTTTCTTTAGACAGGGTCTCACTCTGTCACCCAGGCTGGAGTGCAGTGGTGCGATCACAGCTCACTGCAACCTCCACTTCCTGGCCTGAAGCAATCCTACCACCTCAGCCTCCTGAGTAGCTGGGACTACAGGCACACACCACCACACCTGGCTTTTTTTTATATTTTTTTCAGTAGAGATGGGGTTTCACCATGTTGCCCAGGCTGGTCTTGAACTCCCGGACTCAAGTGATCTAGCTGCCTTGGCCTCCCACAGTGCTGGGATCACTGTCTATCTTTTAAGGATGATAGTATTTGGCAGGGGCTGCAGCTGGAGTTGAGGGAACTATCAGAAGAATGAAGGATAGGTCACTGTATTCCTTTTGTTGTGTAACGACATGGAGTTTAGCAGCTTTATTTCTAACACAGAGGCCTAATGTGAGAAACAACACTAACCAGGGCACGATAGAAAGAAACCAGTGTTTCTTTCTAGGGAAAGCCCACAGTGAGGCTGGCATCTTGGAGAGGTGGTAAGTGGAGGAAGTGGGAGAGAGGCCTCACACACTGGTAAAGTGGGGAAAAGACTGAACTACAGGGTTCGGAGGCTCTCACAACTGCCTGTGCAGTGAGCAAAATTCACCAAATGCCTGTAACGCTTTGTGACCCTCTTTCTCCAGAGCTCAGCCTCCTCTTCTGTTCTTAGGCATAGTGCTGCACTACATAATCTTCCAGAGCCAGTCCTGCTGTATTACACTGTGATGTGAAGAGTGAGCTGAACTCTCATTTCCCCAACAGGGACCTCTTTTTATGGCAAAACCCAGCAGGTTTCATCTCGTCAGGGAAAAGGGATAGAAAGTGGAAGAGAATTCTACCTAGTAACTAATTTTTCATTTTCATTGGTTTAGGAAAGGAAATACAATGAACTGTTCTCTTCGAGATCCAGAATAAAAGTTCTGGCAGCTAGAACACCGTTTTTATACACCGAACCCCTCGTGCTCTCCCTGCTTTTTTTTGTTGTTGTTGTTGTGCTTAATGTTAGAAAATAACATTACTACTATGAAACGAAGAGAATTTTTTTTCAAAACCATGTCTTGCCATTACAGATGAGACAAGGCAACACCATGCTAATACGCTGTTGATGTAAAAATAAAAGTTTTTTTTCCCTTCAAAGTAAACAAGTTAATTGAACGTGCTAGGACAGAGTTAGGTTATTTTTTTTTCCCCTCTCTTTGAAGGCCACTAATTGTGCCCTTTTGCTTTAAATCAATAGAGGCAAAGCCCACAGCAGATAGTGTCAGTAATGCAAATCCATTTCCTATTGTAATTCACTTTTCAGAACAAAACCTTTTCCATCAGCAAAGCATTTTAGAACCTCAAGCTACACTGTTCCCACCTGCAACTGTCTAAGGTATTGGAGGTCAAGGACAGTCCAAGGCCAAGTCAAGGACCATCAGGACACAGAGGAGTAACTTCTGAGGCAGCCCCCGGTGGTAACATAAAAGCTTAATATGCATCAGACAAGTGCCTTCGCTGTGAGATGTTGGGGAACCAAGCCCAGTGGGGTGGCTGGCGTCAGCTCAGTGTTCCAGAAAAGCCAAACTGTTCACCACGACTTGCCCTGATTTTGCCTTCACTGCTATTCAAAGAGGCCTGAAGCAGTTACTGAAAGCAATTCCAAGAAATTGAGTTAAAAAAAGAAAATTAAAGTTTAGAAAAAAATCATTTGAATAAGTGCGTAGACTTACAAATAAATTCTGAATGGAACAGAATATTTGGGGGGTTCATAACCTTTGGTATATTTGTTTTAAAAACCAGCCGCACCTCAAACACACCCACCAACAATGAGACGAATGGCTAGCACTTATGAGGAATTATTATTCATTTAAAATACCCTTTAAACTATGTCACAAAGATAAATTTGTTTAGTCCTTACCTGTCCCCACGCTTCAAAATAAACCATAATATTTCTATTGAAGCCAGTTTCTTGTTCTTGGAATCAGCTTTTTGAGTTGTCAGTTAGGCTAGATGAGCTGATTAGTATGGAACTTAACACTGTCAGTAGCAAAACAGGTGCTCTATCAGAGAAATATCAATCCATTTTAGGAATGTTTTTGAGAGTGAACTGTGGTATCTATGAGAGAAAAATCAAGCCTTTTCCCTCTTCTGGTCTGCTACGGTAAATGGTGTGACACAAGGATGTTTCACTGCCCAATTAGCGTGGTCCATTTTAAAGTGAATCTGTTATTTTCCTTTCCTTCCTCATTCTTGACTTTTAGACACTGCAAGTTAACCTCAAAGAATGTCTTCTTTGGGCATAATTTTACAAATATTCTTTAAGATCCTTTATCACATTTCAAAGCACTTTGCGAAAACAAAATGTCCTCAGTGGGGCAGGCGAGATCTCAGGAATAGTGATAGAATTCATTTTAAATAAGTCTGTGTGATTTTTCTACTGTATCATTTCAGGGACTTTGCTTAAAGAGGCTTTAAGGAAGAACTTAAAATGGAGAAAGCCAACTTTTGAACGTGGTGATCAGGTTGCCTTCAGTCTCTTCTACGTCAGGGAGTCAAGGGGCTGTGGAACCATCCGTTCCACCTGCTACATGCTTTCTCACCCTTCTTCTAACCTGACAAATACTATGTGGCATCTCCATCATGGTTGACATTGCTAGGCCCTACCTTATTCAACTCTAACTGAAAAATGGGGAGCAAGAAGGGATTATGTAAGAAAAAATGAAAAACTTTGAGGGCCAACTAACAGATTTCCTAAACTAATGATGTATTTTAATATTCCAGGGATTTGATTTAGGACAAATTGTTATTTGGATGGATGCTTGTCTATTGAGAGAGTAATTGTTAAACTAAAGGAAACTGGTCACAAATACTTTAGCAGTGGCTATAAATGACCAGTGGGCCAAGGATTTTGAGATCGTGAGAGACTTCTCCGGGAATGTTGTCATTCATTTCACTCCAGTGTGGCTCTTTTCCTCCATCTGCGGTAAGCCAAAACAGTTCCCAGGAGAAACAGATAGAGACAGGAAAATAGGTAGCAGTTCTGTATAGTCTTCACTAACAGCTCATAAACCTTAAAAAAATGGGATTTTAATAAAGCCCATTTTTATATTTTTAAACATAAAATGGAATAAAATGATAGTTCCAAAGGACTTCCTGTGGGGAAAGCTTCAATGTCACAACTAAAATTTACATCCAATTCCCCAGCACACCCTTGTCCTCAACCCGAGTTTGCGTAACAGAGGTTTGCTGAGCCTGGAAACAGGGAATTCTGTGTGACTGCAGTAAAAGCACCAAGCGGCCTCATGATCAAACTCTCCTGCCTCTTAGTGATTTCTGAACTGGTGGCTGAAGTCAGAATTGTCCGTGATTACTATCAGATTATGACAATGAAAGTCACCATTCTGTGTTCTTTTGAGCAGGATTTTCCCTCGTGTTGTCCCTCCCTTCAGCTTCCCACACTCACTGCTTGCGTAGCATTTTGTTAGGGGAGTAGCAGTTCTGACACAACCAAAGATGTGTACGATCAACAGTGGGGTAATGTGGATAACTGACACGTACTGTGGGCGTGGAGATGCTCCTATGTTGTGGTGGATGATAGCCTTCGAATGCTCTTTGTTGTCTTCATTGTCATCCACTCTATTAATGTTCTAGAAGAAAGCTAGTGGCCAATATTTTCTTCCAACAAATTCACTGGCTCCAGGAACCTTGACACCAAAATGAGGATTGAGCGTCAAAGTTCTTATGTTGTCATTGCCCCAAACTACTTGGAGCTACTTCTTATGCAGCTGCTCTCAGTGCCAATGAGATAAGACACAGCTGTACTTTATAGTCCCTCTCCTCCTTTTTTTTTTTTTTTTAAAGATAGGGTCTCGCTCTGTCACCCAGGCTGGAGTGCAGCGGCGTGATCTCGGCTCACTGCAACCTCCACCTCCCCCAGGGTTCAAAGGATTCTCCTGCCTCAGCCTCCCGAGTAGCTGGGATTACAGGCGCCCACCACCACGTCTGGGTAATTTTTGTATTTTTAGTAGAGACGGGTTTCTCCATGTTGGCCAGGCTGGTCTTGATCTCCTGACCTCAGGTGATCCACCCACTTTGGCATCCCAAAGTGCTGGGATTACAGGTGTAAGCCACCATGACTGGCCTTTTTTTTTTTTTTTTAAGGAAAATGGCCTGGTTTGGTTTCTTCACTTACCTTTTTCAGCATATTAACTATTGGTTGTTTTCAAATATCAAGCTCACTTTTCTAGGAGAACTATGGCCACTATGGAGAATATGAAAACATTGCTGAAGGAGGTGAAAGCCATTTCAGAAGAAGAGTTATATATTAGCTTTTGGCAGTGACAGCGTTATGGGCACGGACATTCAGCCTTTCCAGTTGACTGCTTTGAAGGGGCAATGTTCACGTGGAAGTATACCTCCTAGTACGTTTGCTAAAATAAAATCAGCTTCATTACCTAATAACATAAATGACTTTGGGAGAAAACTCTGAGTCTCATGTTTTATTTTTCCTGATAATGCTGTTCAATTAGGGCAGACTTTGTGGAAATTCTGATTTCATTACCCATCACTGCTGCATGAAAATACGCTTTCTGAAGTCACGCTCTGAAAGAAACTAAGTTGTTTGCTACAACTACCCCTACACAGAAATTAGAAAATTATATGAGAAGAAGTTTACTTCAGCCTGCAGTTGGGACACAGGTTATTACTGAAAGTAGTCGTCGGCATGGTTTCTGGTTTCACAGTAAAAGAAGACGACTTGAAAGGACTCAGTGGTTTTGATGCTCTTCTGAAATGAAAACACTCAGTGAGCACATAGCATTGGGTTGTCATTAATGTCAGCCAAGCGAAAACACTGTCTCCATGAACACTGCAGTCATTTCCCCGCCGAGACCATGACTTTCCACTCCCTGGCATTTCGGGCACTGTGCTAGTACTTTTCCAAAAGAGACTCTTAAGGCAATTCATTCTAGATAATCAAACACACACAACAGTCTTAAATGAATAGGTGGCCTGAATTTGCTAAAGTCAGCCAACAATTTCCAGGGGAGAATGTGTTATTTTCTGAGAAATACTGTAAGGCAATGATGAAACCCTCAAGTGCTGGGAGGCACGAAGTATAACTACTACACTTCACGGTAAATAGCATTAGTGTATTTATTTATTTATTTATTTGAGACAGAGTCTCGCTCTGTTCCCCAGGCTGGAGTGCAGTGGCGCGATCTCGGCTCACTGCAACCTCCACCTCCCAGGTTCACACCATTCTCCTGCCTCAGCCTCCCGAGTAGCTGGGACTACAGGCGCCCACCACCATGCCTGGCTAATTTTTTGTATTTTTAGTAGAGACAGGGTTTCACCGTGGTCTCGATCTCCTGACCTCATGATCCGCCCGCCTTGGCCTCCCAAAGTGCTGGGATTACAGGCATGAGCCACCGCGCCTGGCCAATAGCATTAGTTTAAAATCATGTTGTGGATAAAAATGTAATCAAGTAGCTTTACATTGCTCTTATTAAACTTGATACACACAGTTTAACATGGTCTTGTGGAAGAAAACAGGAAAAATCTCTGGCATTCTCGATATGTTCTATGATATGTAGCAGCTCTTATGTTCTGTGTCTGTCGCCTATTTTGTAAACAGGCAACAAAACACCATACTTCATCCCAAAGTTACGAGAAACAAGGAATTAAGCATGTTGTGTTGGATGGAGTTAATGATATAACGTTAAAAAATAACCCCACAGTTTCCATCTACTCTCTTGCTCTCTGCAATCAAGCTGGGCATGAGAGAAGAAAATAAAGTGATTTTCTTAGGTAGCGAGCAAGTGTTGGAAAGTGGCATTTACTATATCACCAGGGCATATTTGTTGTTGTTATTTTTCCTCCCCCATTCATTGCCCATGAATTAATTTAAGAAACAAGGCATCACGGAATAGGCTAAATATAAAAGAGTATTTGCTATGTTTTTTAGTGTCAAACACTATAAGACCAAGGTACTAAACTTTGAATGAGAAAATATTCTGCAGTTTCTCAGGATCTCACATGTTTGTCATACTTCTTACAGTGGTAGTATACTATTTTTAATATCACTTTTATATTGCCGTGATTTTTAAACACCAAGGTAAATTCTCACAGAAAGATTGCCTGGGGATAGGTATGTGTGTGTGGGAGGGAGGATCTGGTGATACTCATATGGTAATCTTTTTATTTCATCCATTTTCTCTGCTTTCAAATTATAAATTCAAACTATAACGTCACTCTCCACCCCCTCCCATCTCCTTCCCAATCAACAAAACAAACAATAAAATTCATATTTTACTATGTGTATTGTGAAACAGCCTACAATAGGACACCAGTGCTTTTTAAAGTCCTACTTTTTATAAAGGGTCTGATTTTCTTCTGGCCATCAACTGAATTGTAAGGACAACATAGCTCATTTTATGAAACGAAAGTGATATTAAAAAACTAAGTGGCTGAAGATGTAATTGTCTATATGTGAGCTGCTTCCGACCTTGAAAAAAGTGTAGAAGAGGGGCCGGGCGCGGTGGCTCACGCCTGTAATCCCAGCACTTTGAAAGACCGTGGTAGGTGGATCATGAGGTCAGGAGTTCAAGACCAGCCTGGCCAAGATGGTGAAATCCCATCTCTACTAAAAATACAAAAATTAGCCAGGTGTGATGGCACACGCCTATAATCCCAGCTACTCGGGAGGCTGAGGCAGAGAATTTCTTGAACCTGGGGGATGGAGGTTGCAGTGAACCAAGATCGTGCCATTGCACTCCAGCCTGGGCAGCAGAGTGAGACTCCGTCTCAAAAACAAACAAACAAACAAACAAAAAACCAAGAGGCACATTTAAGACTTGAAATTTAGATGGAAATTTTAAAGTTTTAAGTTGTTCATATTCTACCCCAAACACATTCATCTCAAAAAATAATATTTAAAGCCATAGAATTTATAATTTATGCGTCAATAGTTTCTCCTTTAAGTGGTCACCAAAAAGATATCAAACTTTTTTTGCTATAAGAGCATATTTAAAAAATATCAATGAAAGTGTTACCAGTTTTCAATCCTCCTCACTTGGACATTAAAGGGATTAAAGTTATTGTCAGCACACACATGGATCAGCTTTCAATGGAAAAAAATTAATGTTTTTTGATGTTGTTTCTTTTCCTTAAGGCTTAAGGACACTAGGAGAAAGACATAAATAGAAGTATATATTATCATCTAGATGGTGACTCTCCAAGGGGATGATGAGGGAAAAGAAGTAATGCTACCCTAATTCTGAAATAATAAAAGCTCAAGCAATGAATGGCTGAATTCACACCTCAAAATTTCATGGAAGACAGGCATACAAAGATAAGCTTTCAAAATTGAATGAACTCATTACCACAATTAAAGAAAACAAAAAGAAACATTTTGCATAACTGCTGGTTTTGCTGCTCCTTCTGCTAATTTAGTTTGTCTGGAAGAGCCACTGTGTGGACCACCCATGCTTCAATGCACTTAACCAATACCTTTAGAAGAAAACAGGATAGCTACAAAGTCATAAAAAGTGGTATCTTTTTATGTTTCAGATTTCCATAAGGCGATTTCACAGTATTGCAGAGTGAAATCAATTAAGAAATAACTATAGCTATATAGGGAATATGCAACACATTAATATATTTATGGAGACTATATCTAGGCACATTTATTTTCAGCATTTGAAAATTACTGGTGAGAGTGAGTAACGTCCCTTCCCTGTTGTTTTGATAATCTCATGTCTTTTAAGCAAAAGGAAATGTATACTGCAAAATAGCTTTACCACTCTGACCTCAATATGGAGTAAAATGACAGATAACAAGCAGAAGCCGGTCAGTTTCACAAGTAAGTGATTCTGATGCTTTGGCTCATCCTGGTCCCTGCTCGGTTCCCACATCCTCATCTGGCTGACTTAGTTAAAACCTGCCATTTCTAAAGTTTAAGAAATTAAACATAGTTTGGGAGTACAAAGAGCCATCTTTGCTCTGATCTCATTAACAACCTCATAAGAGTTCATTTCCCTCACTAACTGTCCTCAGGAATGAAAGTTAAAAGACCTTGAATAATTTTTCCTACCGCCCCACAATGATACTGTACTACTGTCCTCTTTCCTGGTCTGAAACTCCTCTGGAAAGAGATGCACAGCCTCTAGTAAATCATAGTTTTTGTTTTGTTTAGTGTACTCTAAAGAGCTACATGGAACCTTTTAAATCATTCAATGCCAGGTCCATAAAGACCTCTGTGATTAACAAATCAAACCCCTTTCTTTTCAGTCAAGGCACCTGAGACTGAGAGGTAAAGTGACTGTCCTAAGGTTACCAAGCTTGGGCAAGACCAAGGTGATACTGCCACCATCTGTTCATTCTCCTGCCACCTTTTCAACTGGGGTTTATCCCAACCTCCTCATTTCACAGAGAAAAACAGAACCAGTGTGAACAGAAACAATTCACTTGGGAAGAGTGAGCCGAGGCTCTTTTATCAGTGTAGGTGGTTGAACTTCGGTAGCCACAGGGGACCTGACTTTGAGGACACAAAACACAGGATCCTTCGTGGTTCACAGTGGTGGTGTTAGGGAGAGGCAGTGAGCCTTGCATCATAGGTAGAACACGATGCAGCTGCAGGTGCAGAGAGTTATCAGGGAGAGAAGGGCCCAGAAGACTGGGAAAATGATAGTGGTGTCAAACAGGAAAATTACACTGAAATTACACCATGTCTTTTTACATTTTCCTCAGTCTCCGTCTGAGCCACAAGTGCACTGCAGTCATTTCAGAGATACAGAAGCTTATCTTGCTTTTTGAAAAGTTTTTCTTAATATTTGTCCTAGGGTCCACAGGAAATGAAAAACCCAAGGCATCCCTCGCCCTCTCCCCGCAAGTCACCTGCTATGAATACCTGCATTCATTCTACAAAGCCTTTATCAGTCCCTGGAATGCCACGTATTTATTAGCTGTCTCCACACATTAAGAATAAGATGTATAGAGCAGGAACCTGTCATTCTTCTCCATCCTGTCTTCCCAGTGCCTGCCTCAGTGCCTGACACATAGCAGGTGCTCCAAAGGAATAAATAAATTAGGAAATCCTACCACCTGCTTCTAGCATGTAATATCTACTACCCTGGAGTGGAATGAAAGGGTTATTAAAATACCCAATGACAGCCTCAGGTCTTTCCTTCTAGTGTGGAAACTACAGCAAGAACCAACACAAATTAAAGTGTCTAAAAAAATCAATTGGGGCAGGCATCTTCTTCTGAACTACATTTACTAGAGCCTGCCACCCACAGATGTCAAAGGAATTCACAGGATTAAAAGAAAAGGCTGGAGGTGAGAAAGTTAATAACTACTCTTGTGACATCTAGGGCTGGGCTACAAGTGGTCAGCACATGGACCTCTCCATATATGTTGTCAGATGTCAAGGAGTGGCTTTACAGATAGACAGCCTTGGACCCCAATGCTAAATCTTCCACTTATTAGCACTGTGATCATGGGCAAGTTATTTAACCTCTCCAAACCTCTATTTCCTAATCTCTACCACAGAGATAACAGTACCTACTTCACAGGGCTGTTATGAGGCTCAAATGCAAGAATATATGTAAGCAACTAGCTCAATGCCTGGCATACAATTGTAACTGCTATTACTATTGTTATATGAGCTATTGATATTTTTATCTGATCCCAGATAATACTCAATAATCAAAGTTAATCTCCATCTGCTTTTCTGAACCAGGAATTACTGCTTTATCCTGGGATTACTATAAGGTCAAGATGGCAAGTGAGTTTCAGCTCATATTCCGAGTCACATGGATTTCAAGTGAATGCTTGGGGGCTGGTTGAGATGCACTGTGCTGTGATTGATTGTGACATGTGCCAAGGGTGTGGAGCCAGGCTTGTTGGTTGGTTCTAATATTAGAATTGGTAAGCCTCTTGTAGTAGTATCACAGAGACTAACAGCTATTTTAATATTATATAATAAAGCATAGAGAAATCAAAAGAATGGGCTAAGAGTCAGATGGTCTAAGTTCTAATTTTAGCTCTGCAACTAACTGGTGAGAAGATCAGAATATGCCACCCCAAATTATGACACTTTGGCATGAAGATTATTTTGAGCTGAAAGCAACTGAGAAACAGCAGAAAAAGCTCTCTACCCTACCCCTATCTGCCTATAGGCAGGGCATACATTTCCCCTTGTAAAGGTGCCCTCTGCCCCAACCCCATACCAGGAAGAGGAGACAACCCTTATCACTACAGATGGGCACTGACTTAAATCTGCTAAAACAAACCTTATTGAAGTAACCCTTGTCTTCCATTAGTTCCCACATATATTTACCTTCCCACAATATATGGCCCCTAGAAGCCTCAAACCATTTTCCTTTATCTTGTCACTTCTCCATAAGTTTATTGCCCTTTGTTAAAATGGTATATAAGCCTCCAGATCTGATGACCTTCTTGGGGGTATTCACTTAATTTCTGTGAGGCCCCCTCACATACATATAAAATAATCCTTTTTCTCCCGTTAACCTGTCTTTTGTAAGTTTATTTTGTGGGGCCCCAGACACTGAATATAAGCGGGTAGAGGAAGAAGTTGGGTTTTTTCCTCTCTAACACTGAGTAAGTGATTTTAATCCAGTCACTTCTCTTTCTCTGTGAAGTTATTTCCCATTGAAGTACTGTGATTTGCTGATAATTGATTTTTTAAAATGTAAGTAAAGTGAAACACATATAGCTATGACAGGGCCTGGGGTACAGGATGGGTATTTGTTATGATTATTTGAAAGAAAAATAAAAGCACAAGGCTATTATATGGAAGTGTAACAGTTAAATATTTTCTGTCCTCATTCAAAAAGATTGACTCTTCCTATCAATGAGGAATATATTCACAATGAGATAAAATTGCAATATTTTTGGCACTAAAAAAAAATCAGCAAATGCTTAGTAATTCTCCAAGAAAGACAAGACTGTTGTGAATATGGGGGCTCTTTAATAACCAAGGCACCATTTAAAAATAGCTAGAATTAATTACAGGGCTAATGACCCATTGAAAGGCTTATTTAAATACCAAAGCCAGCACTGAACAATCATGGAAAATATGACTTAAAAGGGCTTTAGAGAGCAGAAACCAGGAACCGCAGTTCAAACAAAAAACACATTATCCTAGAACTCTAGCTACTTTGGTGAGAAACATTCAGGATGCGAAAAATCTCAGGGGAGTTCTCAGGCTGGGTAAGAGAAGCCACTAGGATCAACAGAAAGACAAGAAGATGACACATACGGTCACCTGTTTGGAAAAGAAGGACTGCCATTTAGCATTCACCCAAAGAGAAGAGAGAAGAGCCCTTCAAAAACCATTCTCCCCCAATCATCAAGGCTTTCTTTCCCCCACGCTCACCCCCTGGTTTTCTGATGTACCCACCCATTTTTAATGTACCATAGGATAAAATTAAAATTTCCACAGAGAGGAAAAAATATATTGTAATAAGTCTCTGTGGCCACTTTAGAGCTGCATTATCTCCAAGAGCTTCCTGTGTCTTGGTCCTCTGTGCCCTGCATCCATGCCATCATAAGCCAAAGAAGAGGTGATAATCTTCAGCGTGCCCTACTTGCCAGGCAAAAATGATGCCACTGCAGTTCTTAGCTTCTCTCTGTACCAAAATGGCCTTTCTGTATGTCAGTATCCTGGGAGCACACCAGGTGGCCAGAGCTGAAACAGTTTCATTACTTCATTCATGCCCATTGATTAAATGCATTACTCTTACCCTTATTTACTGTGGCCTAGACATGCCTTGTAGTTGCCTTGCTAAGTTAAAAGTGTCATAAAATCAAAAGGTTCCAAAGCCCTTGAGAGCTCAAGGTGGGGAGGTAGGAGAGGGAGTGGGGCACTCTCGACATATATTGGTTTCAAGGAGCAAATATAAATTTTAGTATAAATTGCTGTTCACAATAACGCTTTTAAACCAGCAATTGTTTACACTGTACTACTCGAGGAACCCTATAATTATTCTGAAAGCACTTGCCAACGTCTACCCTGTTTCATAATTGCCAACACAGCCTTGTTCAAAAGAATTAGTGGCAATGTTAAAATTCTGTTTGGTACTAGGTTACTGTTTGAAACAATTAGTGATTGCACGATGCTGGGATATGCAAGCAGAATGGGGCCAATAAAGTACCCTAAGAATGAAGTGGTCTTGTGTTCATATTCACAGGTGGGAAGAAAAGGAAGGTGGTGGCTGAAACGGAAAAAAAACTGCTTGAATTTTTTTTTCCTTTTTTCTTACTACTTTCCCAAGAAATACTGTCATCTGTTGAGCAAAATGACTTTAAGAAAATGTTTTTTCAAATGCTGGAAATGGTAGTGATTTGAAGGAAAAAAGATAACCCACTTCTCCCTCTTCCCCACTCCTTCTTGCCTGGAAAATATGTTTCTATTTCCGGCCTTTACTCCTGATATTTGTAAGTGAATCTGGGTAGTGATTGTGGAACCTCGGCTTACACATCTCAAAACACCCATCTGTGCAGGTCACTGGACTTTGCTGACCTATTTTCTGCTGTTTCTTTCTGTTACACAAATCTCCCCCACTTGAAAGAGCAATAGTCCCTCTACTTTCCAATGAAGCACAGACAGCAGAGAGATTTCTCACTCTCTGTAAATGCAAAAGCTTTTGGAATGTCTGGCATTTCAGGTGAGTGTTTAGGAAAAAACGGATCTCATCCTGGGTGTCTCTCCCATCTTTATTTCATGCTTTCTCTTCTTATAAACCCACAACTGTGGACAAGGGGATCTGTGTTCCCCATCGCCAAGTGAAAATACATTCTAAATCTACCCTCAAAATTGAGGGTGCTGTGCAAAGTTTCATAAATAGAAACAGGGAGGAGAAAAATCTGGCATGACAACTTCTGAATTTAAGCCATTTATTCTCACCTCCACCCCACTTCTATCCCGCCTTTTCTCTTTTATGAACAGGTGATATAAAAGCAGAGAACTAAGGCAGTTACCTAAATAAATTTTGTATTACCTGTCTAAATATTTTAGGGAAGTGTTTTTTCTATTCTGAGTGTCCAGGCTATTTTCT
The DNA here is from genome assembly GCF_000001405.40 of Homo sapiens. Lineage (NCBI taxonomy): Eukaryota > Metazoa > Chordata > Mammalia > Primates > Hominidae > Homo > Homo sapiens. The sequence continues at coordinate 60,556,563 of NC_000015.10, forward strand.
TAGTTCTCGTGTTCACTCTGCAGGTGAAGATATTGTCACTGACTGGGGAATGTGCCTGTGGACCATAACCCAAAGGTGGCATCTTTTGTGATAAAACAGGTATAACCCTGTTTCATGAGTCTATTGGCCACGAAAGAGATCCTCTATGCCTGGAAGTTCACGGCTTCCCCTTTCTCTTCATCATTTTCTGGTTCTGCGGGAGGCTCCATCTTTGATTCAAACCTCACTTCTTCCTAAAAGCCTTCGTAAATGAAGAAACCTTGCAAATTACAGTGGATGTTTCCCCTCACCATTCATGTATCCAGTTTGTACTTCCTTATCTTCCTTTTGTGAATATGGTGGCTTGCCATTCTGCCTCCAGGAACACTTGTTTGTCCACCCCAATCCAATGATAAAGGACAAAGAAAAGATTTATCAGAGCATGTATTTATGCATAGCACATCCCCAAATGCTTGAACAGCAATAAGTACCCAAAAAAGTACTGTTTAGGTAGCCAACTCCCACTGTCTAATTTAATCCCACTGAAACTGGATGTGTCTTTTTCTCCTTTTGTTCTAAAGAAACTTGTTCTACTACTATTTGCTGGCAGGAATAATTTTCTGCCACCTGTAGTACTCTCTGCTTCTGTGAAGGCTGAACTTCAAGTTGCTGTGAAAGAATTTGCATTATCCCTCTATAGTCATACCTAAAATTAACCCACTGTCTTAAGTTAAATAAGATATAGAATGCTCACAACTGTTATGGTTATCGGAGAACTAGAGAGTGAGGCTTTCTGGCACTACGAGAGGATGTAGAAGATGACACATGTGGTTTGGCCTTTATTTGGAAGCAGCAAAAATCACAGAGGTGGTGGTTACAAGACAAAAAAGGCCAGGGGAGTGAACACAAAGTTTTGGCTGAGTTACTTTGTACTATTATGTAATGAGATACAAGCTCGGCCTTGCTTGAGTTTAAATAACCATAATGAACTGTTATAAACTCTGGGATGGAGGCATTATAAACATAGGAAATTCTGTACTTGGTCCTCCAGTTGGTCAAGTCTACTTGTATTCATAAGGAACACATTCCCTTGGGCTACAAGAGAAACATTCTGCAAACTGGAAATAGAAGTTACTTTCTGGATAGTTCTCTCAAAGAATATAATGAAGTAAACCCGAACTTCAGACATCTCTGTGATCATGTATTTTAGAACATCACCAGAGCAAACAGCAATGAATCTCAGCTGATTAGAGCTTTAGTAAGTAATTGGGATAGCTGAATATCCAAATAACTGGAGTGTTATCCAAGTAAACACATGAAAACAAAGAGGGCAGTTATCATAAATATTTTTAAAGAAATATTTCTAAATTATGACCTATTTCTTTTCTCTGTAGAGAATTTTGAATCGAATTTACTTTCTTGATGATAAACAGTCATCAGAAATTTTATTTTAAAATTTATTAGAAATTTGGAGAGCAGGATGTTTGGCCTCTGAATGGGAACCTTAGTAGTGCCAATGACGAAAGAGAGAATTAAATATGGGTGATGTTGAGAAAACCAAGATTTTTGTCTAGAAGTATGCCCAGTGCCACACCGGGGGAAAGGGAGGCAAACACAAGACTGGGCCACATCTCCATGGTCTCTGGATGGAGGACAGGTCAGGAGGCCTTTGGATTCACTTACACAGACGCCAGTAAGAACAAAAGCATCACCTGAAGACAGGATACACTGATGGAGTATTTGGAGAATCCCAAAAAGTTCATCCCTGGAACGAAAATGATAGCCTATCTCAAAAAAGCTACTAATGGGCATTAATTAGTTGGCCACTGCCTTGTTTATTACAAAACAGGAACATCTCATGACTTTTTTGTGTGTACCATAATTTAATAGATCTCATACACCAGAATTCAGATCATTAATGTCTGACTGAATATTTTTGTTGGGCAGTCCTGTTAACTAAGACTGGATTGTGGTTAAATGCGTATGTTTGATGTTTCTTTGAATTTTAATAGTAATTTCGATTCAGTAAATGCTATCACTGTTTCCCCCTTCTAAAGATATGGTTGGACTTCATTAGTAATGTTCAACTTTTCATAAAGATGGTGAATACCACCTTAAAACCTATTGGAGATTGGTTTTATGTTTAGATTTATATAACTGGTTATGTGAATATATTTAAATACTTGGGAATTTCCTTCACTGTCTCAGAACCAAGCAAGAGTCACCTGTATTTTGTGTTCTGTTGCCTCTTAAAGGCAAGGTCTGAAGATCAGGTAGCAATGTCTACTTTATATTTTTGGCTTTGACTGTGCCAATCTCATTAGAATTCCCTGTATCTAAAACGGTTCCCTTTACTTACAGAAAGGCATTTTAGTGTAGGCTTTAGAAAAGTGTGCAATATTTAGAGTGATATTATACACTAAAGTGTAATAGTTGAGAAGAGTTAAATATTTTTTATTTGATATTACACTTTGGTGTGTAGTGTAATATCAAATATACTTTATAAATAATAAAAATCTTATAAACAACAAAATCTAATAAAAATCAAATAAAGAACATTTAATATTACACATCAAAGTGTAATACGAAATAAAGAGTATTTTACTCTTCTCGAAAAAATTTATTAGACACTTATGAAAAAAGTATAAAATTATTGTATATGCTGTAATGCTCTGAAGGCCTTCTAAGATTTATATGACATTTTGCCCCAACACTAAATGGCCCTGGTTTTTATCCTTTTTATGTTTTTTCTTCCTCCTTCATCTGTAGTTTTCCTTCCTTCTGTAGTCATATGCTAGATCTTATGAGGCCCTCCCTCTACTTGTAATTAATATTTTGTCTTAGAATTAGCTATGTCTTGGAACCCAACCAGATAACTAAGCTTGTGTAAAAACCAATTATAAATAGGATGTACTGGGTCTAAAGAGATTTCCTCTGAAATCAAGTGCATTCACTGTAGTGCTTGAACTTTGGGTCTCTGTTTTGGCAACCTAAAGGCCTATTTGCTTACTTCCTAACTTCTCAGATGGTTTGTGACAGAGAAGGTTGCCAGAGGACAGATTCATCACAGGTGAGGTATTGCTGTAGTAGGAAGGCAAAAAAGGTAATTGAAAGACCCTGTTCTTCAAATTACCAAGAGAAAGATGTCGTGCAAGGAATAGGACAATGACCTTTCTGTTATTTGCATTACGGCTTGATAATTATCACAAGTACATTCAGTTTGAGAGTTTCTCGATCTCTTCTCAATGCCTTCAAATAGATATGTTACAAGACATGGCAAATTGATTCTTTACCTAAGCGAGGCCAGTTTCATGTTCCAAAAATATTTCAAAGCCAAATACACATAACTTTATAAATTTAGCCACTGTTTTTTTTCCCCTTGACTGTTTTATTCTTGACTGCCATAGCCAAGAGTTAATATAGTTGCGTTTTCTTAAGGAAGCAACATAAGTTCTAACAATAAATCTGTGAAAATGAATTTGTGATTTTAGTTCATTTTTGGATGATTTCAACCAATCATTGTAGCCCATACCTGGCAAAGCAAAAAGTTTATCACAGCAACTCCTTATTTTGCTCCCTATGAGATTGTATTAAATTTAGATCTCTCCAGAACATTTGACTCCCTTCTTAAGGAGATTTATGTTGAAAATTCTCACATAGCCACAAAACGCAGTCCATTTTATATTAAAATGTGAGTGTATTTCTAAAATTTTTTCTTTTGTTTTGTTTGTGTTCTCAAGAATGCTTTCTAAAACAAACTCATGTGACATAAACAGGGCCAGCTTGCCCTAGTTACACCCTTACTATTTCATTAACAAAGGAACTGGGCTGCCATTCTGTTTTTGTTATGCTTATGCTGAATAACTGTACTCAGCCAGCTGCCATGACTTGTCTGTAATCCCAGCACTTTGGGAAGCCAAGGTGAGAGGATCACTTGAGCTCAGGAGTTCAAGACCAGCCTGGACAATATAGTGAGACCCTGCCTCAAAAAAAAAAAATTAGCCGAGTGTGGTGGTGCCAGTCTGTGCCTGCCTGTAGTCTCGGCTACTGGTCGGGGAGAGGGGCCTGAGGTGGGAGGGATCACTTGAGCCTGGGTCACGGCTGCAGTAAGCTGTGGCAACAGAGCAAAACCCTGGGTGACACAGCAAGATGTGTCTCAATAAAAATAAGTATATAACTGTATTCAAATGACTTTCTTCTTCTAATGTGGCTGCCTGGGCAATTTGTCCATTTTTTCCCAGCAGCAGCTGCTAATGTTTAAGTGTAATTTTACGCTAAATTTTTTTTAATTAAAAAAATTAAAAGTTACACCAGCTTATTGAAGCAAATATAGAAAATACAGAGAAGTATATGGAATAAAAAATAAAACATATTGTCTTCACTGCAGAGACAACCAAGTCTTTAAAAATGTACATGTCTGTATATACACATCTGTACTCCCACATGAGCACACACACGTTGGCAGTGATGTTTTAAAATGTAAGTGTTTTTATACATGGGAAGTTTTAACTTGTGTTTTTTTTTTTTTTGTTTTGTTTTTGTTTTTTTTTTTGTTTTTGAGACGGAGTCTCGCTCTGTCGCCCAGGCTGGAGTGCAGTGGCGCGATCTCGGCTCACTGCAAGCGCCGCCTCCCGGGTTCACGCCATTCTCCTGCCTCAGCCTCCCGAGTAGCTGGGACTACAGGCGCCCGCTACCACGCCCGGCTAATTTTTTGTATTTTTAGTAGAGACGGGGTTTCACCGTGTTAGCCAGGATGGTCTCGATCTCCTGACCTCGTGATCCGCCCGCCTCGGCCTCCCAAAGTGCTGGGATTACAGGCGTGAGCCACCGCGCCTGGCCAACTTGTGTTTTTTTAAATATGGAGAATGCAAAATAATAATAAATAATGAGGCATAATTATAATTGTGATGACAAGAAAGTAATAAAAAAAAGTTAAACTCTTTAACTCTGAAACTAACATTAAGAATTTTATCCCGTGTTGTAGATCCAGGAACACATGAGGAAGATGCTTTAACATCTTTATGTTAAAGCTTTAACAACATGGCTCTCAAGGTTTTTGGACCCCCTTCCATAATGTAATAGATTCTGAATTGCAAAATACCAATACATTTTGTTAAAGGGTCAAGAACTATAGAAGGAAAGTACATCTCAATCCAAAACTATATCCATTGAGAAAAGAAAAATAGCTCAGAACCATATGAGCTATATAAGTGATGCAAAATTTATCACGCCCTGAGAGACATAATATGGGACTTCAGTGACACTCCCCCCATGCAGGGGTGGTGGTGGGGGACTATTTAAAGCCATTTTGTTCCTGACTAGATGCTGCCTCCATTATCTTCATGTTACTGGAATCTGTGATACACAGAACAATAGCTTATGGGTTTAACAAAAAAAAAAATTTTTTTTCTTTTTTTTTGAGACGGAGTTTTGCTCTTGATGCCCAGGCTGGAGTACAGTGGCGCGATCTCGGATCACCGCAACCTCTGCCTCCCAGGTTCAAGCGATTCTCCTGCCTCAGCCTCCTGAGTAGCTGGGATTACAGGCGCCTGCCACCACCACATCCGGCTAATTTTGTATTTTTAGTTTCACCATGTTGGTCAGGCTGGTCTCGAACTCCCGACCTCAGGTGATCTGCCCGCCTTGACCTCCCAAAGTGCTGGGATTATAGGCATGAGCCACTGCGCCCTGCCAGTTTACAAAAATTTTGTTGAGACAGAGTCTGACTCTGTCACCCAGGCTGGAGTGCGATGGCACGATCATAGCTAACTGCAGCCTTGACCTCCTGGGCTCAGACAATCCTCTTGCCTCAGCTTCCTGAGTAACTGGGATGACAGGCATGTGCCAATATGCCCAGCTAGTTTTTACATTTTTTTTTTGAGGCGGGGTTGGGGGGGGGTTGCTTTTGTTTTGAGACAGAGTCTTGCTCTGTCGCCCAGGCTGGAGTGCAGTGGCTCTATCTCGGCCCACTGCAACCTCTGCCTCCCGGGTTCAGGCGATTCTCCTGCCTCAGCGTCCCAAGTAGCTGGGACTATAGGCCCGTGCTACCACGCCCAGCTAACTTTCTGTATTTTTTTTTTTTTTTTAGTAGAGATGGGGTTTCACCATGTTAGCCAGGATGGTCTCGATCTCCTGACCTCGTGATCCACCCGCCTTGGCCTCCCAAAGTGCTGGGATTACATGCATGAGCCACTGTGCCTGGCTTTGAATTTTTTGTAGAGATAGGGGTCTTGCTATGTTGCCCAGGCTGCTCTCAAACTCCTGGGCTTAAGTAATTGTCCTGCCTCAGACTCCCAAAGTGCTGACATTACAGGCATGAGCCACCATGCCTGGCCAATAGCTTATGTTATTTAAATATAAATTCTTGGTAAACAATTTAGAAACTGCCTCTTATTTCTTCCTTTAAAAATTCACTTGTAACTGCTGTTAATCCGAGTGTACAAGGCAACTTCAATCTATTCTCCCAGGTGGCTATCCTCAAGTTTGGGCTCAAATAAATGCTATACTTAATCATATTTTCTGAATCTTGTTACTTAAGGCGGACACGTATAAGTTGAAATTCTCCCAAAGTGAACACGGAGTCAGTCTACCAAAGTAAAATCAAACTAAGGTGAATATTTAAATATTCAGACAAACATCCCTGCTATTGAAAAAAATCACAAATATTTGCTTAGCATCCACTAAGTGCAAGATGCTGATGGTGCAAATACCAGGTGTGCCAGACAACTGCTCAGCCTTTTATACCTCTTGGCCTAACTAGACACACCTGCAGTTTTCCACATGGAATTCCTCTTCTTGCACTTTGGCCTAAGCACGCATTTTTTCTAATGGTGGAAAATATTAAACAGACTTTTGCTTTAGAAGGTATCTCACTTCACTTCAAAGCAAAGTCTACCTTGTGAATTTAATTAGGGAACCTTCATGAGATTTTACCCCTTATGTATATTTCCAACTATTTTAGTCATCAAGAACACTTACTGTTCCAATTCTGCCACGGATGTGGTCAATCTTAGGGAAATTTCTTTGAGCCTCAGTTTCTTCATTTGTAGCATGGGGATCTTACCCACCTAAAACCAAACTGAGACAGCACAGTGCTTGGGGGACAGGAGACTCTCAGTAAACAGCAGCTCTTATTGTTGTGCCCCAGAGAGTCTCTTAGGAAACGGGCTCCCCAGAGCTTCAAACCATGGCTTTTCCTGTGTGGCTACATCACAGACATTGTTTATCAGAGGACACATCTTCTAGTTCACTGTGGTTCATTCTTGGTGGTCATTGGAAGTTTGCTCCATTACAGCAAGTACACACACAGGTAGCGATGGCCTACATATTTATTTTCAAGCAATGTTTTCCAGCAGACATGGCATTCAGTGTTGTATGAAACATCCCCATACAATTCCACAGACCTGCATGCGGCTTTCACTTTGCCCTCTATTGTACAGCCTTTCATGGGCTGCTTGACTTGAGCACACTTCTCACTACATACTTCATTTTATTAGGATATGAATTTTATATCCAGATAATGAATCCAAAGTCTGAGAAAGATGCATGCTTACAATTGGTATACAGCACGGCTGTGGAGACATGTTGAGAAGCTCTGGGATGAGACACCTAAATTCAAATCCCAGCTCACACTTCTGTGTGAACTTATGCAAAAATTTTAACCTTTTTGATTCTCAGTTCCCCTCATCTGTAGAATGGTTATCCCCATTATGGGTTATCCCCAGAGTTGTTGAAAGTTAAAAGTGATCATGCTTGTTCAGTGTTTAGCCCAGTGTTTGGCATAGAGAAAAAAATGCAATAAATGGCATCTTATAATGCAATTGTTACTGATTTTATCTTAACATAATGCTCTTTACATTTGGCCCACCAAATAAGATCATCTTTTGGAACCATTTTTTACTGCCAGTGAGAACCATTTGGTCAGAATGATCCACACTCTCATCTAGTTGCTTTTAACTTCACTTATGAGAGAGCTGACTAGGGATAGGGGTAAACTGAGGGTGACAAAAGACTATTTTCCTGTGTTCTAAGTCTGCTGGGCTATATTAAATCTGATCTTTTGGTCTCATCAGGACAATCCTTTAACCAGGAAAGGTGGGGGCCTGGGAAGACTACAGCTTGCTAGAGCAAGTCATCCTTGACATGTTGAACTTTCAACAAGTTTATCACTCAGATATATTTGGGGGATAGGGAATCTGAGAAAACCCTAGATTAAAAGTATTTTATCAGCGCAAAACAGTGATTATTCTAAGACAATTATATGACAGCATAAAAGTATTGATATTTAAATATCTCAATACCCCAATGGCACCCGAACGAAAACCCTGCAACCAGTACAATAATAGCATTATTATACATTTTTGCTTCACTTTGTGGGACTTTAAATTTAATGCCAGAACCAACAGCTTACAAACTGCTGTGGACAAGCAGTGACCCCCTTGTGAGCTCGGTAAATGTTATCTATTGTATTCTACCAATATCTCAGCAAAAAGACAGAGTGTTCCTGAAACAGTCTCTAAAGTCGTCCATCAGAGCTTTGAAGAAGAACACTGTCTTCTTTTCATGTGGGCTGATTTTAAGGGACAATAGAGGTTTAACAGAGGACAACACAATTGGATTGAGATAAAACTGCTATATTCCCAAGAATTCTCCCATAAAGGTAAATTCCACAGATAAGACATTTACTTTTTTCTTTTTACATTTTTTGGTTTTAATTTTTAAAGTTGCTTTTTCTTGCAACTAGAAGCTCAAGTACCATTGCTATTCAGTGTTGGTTTCAGATAGTGCTAGAGGTGGCAAAAATAATTCTGCAAATGCGACTCACAGTGTGCACATTATATGTAATCTGTTTTCATGTATTCATTAGCAGAGACATTTGGAATACCTTGTTGCTGAATAATGAAATAAATTGCATTTGTCCAATATCGTCCCATCTATATCACATTTATTCCAGACTTGAGCCTACACCAATGTTATTCAACAGCCAACTCTGTCTCATTCATAATGGATTTTTCTCCAAATGGATCTGTTTCATGTTAAAATTAGTGATAAAGTTAGTTTTTAATGGAATAGGCAGCAGGCAACAGCAGCTTCCGAAAGTATAACCTAATGGGGATAACTTAATTATTAGCCATATCACCCTCAGAGAACCAGGATTATATTAAAACTCAATTTGGTACAAACATATATAGATACCACCCCTGTTTTTTCTTTAAATTAGCTAATTATGATGTGGCCTGAATTGATAAAGTCAACACATCCTCTCAAAGAACCACTTAAACACTTAAGGAAAATGAATAGTCCTTGGATGCAAGGCCAGGTATTTGACGGATTTATGAATGTCACTCACCTCCTGGCTTGAACAGAAGTGAATTCTGATACAAGTTTCTTGCCCACCTACACTCTTGATGCTGGTAAACTGTTAATTAAGCATTTCGGTAATATAATGCAAAGTTAATAACAGAGACCTATAATTAACATACACTCATATGTGCACTCTAAAAATAGGGTATCAAGGAAAGTCTTCCTATTAGGTGATGTGATCAAGATTAATTGGTTAATGTCTATATAGCCCACCTATACATAAATAAGCTTATGATTATTATAATTATGGAGAGCAGAGTTCAAAATCCACTTCAAGTTCAAAGAATAGTATTTTATACATCTAAGTATAGACGCAAATATTTAACTCTGTAAAAATACTTATTTTAATGCTATTCCAAATGTTTAATAAGTATTACTCATCACTCAAGTTTTCCTTTTTCTTAGTAAAAAATCATAGATGTTTCAAAAAATAATTCCCTTTTGCCGTTAATAACATTTTAATGTTATTTTAATTTTTTTTGAAAACTTGGTCATAGGCAGGGAAGAGGGAAAGTTTGGTGTTAATGCAGAAACTGCCTTGTTAATTAATCACAGTGCATACTGGTGGATGGATAAGCAGAAGGTGATTTAAATTTACTGAAAGCTAGGTTTATATGAAAAATAGAGCAATAAAGTTGGCTTCCCAATAAAGTTGGGTTCCTAGCCTCCAAGTCTTACACATTACTTGAGGTTGGGGAGATGACTAGATGAATACATGGTAGCAACTTATAAAGATCATAATAACAGAATATACCAAACCAGATTTCTTTTAGGGAATTCGGGAAGATTATTTGTCATTTGATTTGGGCCACAGAGAATGAATATCGCACTTCCCTAGGCAGTGAAAGTTGCGATGGGAGTGAAGAAAAGCCAAGGAGAGGTCCCAGCATGAACATGCGTGATGTGTTCAAAGAGAGGCTCACTGTGTCTCAAGGGCAGGGTAGAGTGGAGCAAATGGCTCAATATAAGGATGGAAAGTGGGTAGCCAGGTTGGCGGGACCTAATCCTAAAGGGCCTTGAATACTCTGTTAAGGAGTTTGGACTTATTTTCTAGGTGACTTAAGCCTTCAGAACAGAAAGGAGTCTGTTTAGATTACGTGTGAGAGCTCATCTGTCCAATGTTCAACCACACAATCTCAATAATGATAAAGATACTAACAAAGATGAACTAGCCAAAACCATTAATCTGCTTCCATAACGAGCTAGCCTATGAGTTTTTAAAATATGTTTCTAGCCATTAATAACCAGGGAATTTCACATTAAAGTTCAGATTTATAGATTCTCTTAAAAAAAAAAAAAAGACCTGGTGATGACAGACCAGTTATTCCAAACGGCGACAGAGCCAAGGGAGGTGCTCCCTTTCCAAAGCATATGTGCCGTCCAGCGGTCCAAGTGCCTCCTCTACCTGCCACACTCACACCACCTGCCTAGGGGCACTAAATGTTTGGGTTTGCACCTTTTCTTTTAGAGAGATGCCCTCTTTTATTATCATTATTATTATTATTATTATTATTTTTTTTTTTCTGAGACTGAGTCTTGGTCTGTTACCCAGGCTGGCGTGCAGTGGTGTGATCTCAGCTCATGCAACCTCCATCTCCCAGGTTCAAGTGATTCTCCTGCCTCAGCCTCCCGAATAGCTGGGACTACAGGCATGCACCACCACACCCAACTAATTTTTGTATTTTTAGTGGAGACAGGGTTTTACCATGTTGGCCAGGCTGGTCTGGAACTCTTGGCCTTAAGTGATCCGCCTGCCTTGGCCTCTCAAAGTGCAGGGATTACAGGTGTGAGCCACCAGGCCCAGCCGATACCCTCTTTTATTAGCAAGAATAATTCTACCATTGCATGAGTTCATACATACTGATTATCTCCGGCTTCTTTTGGTAATGCATTACTTTCCCTTTTTTTCTTTCTCATGCCAATAAAGTTTTCCATTTATTCCTTTACTTAAAATTGAAGTTATACGGTGTTAAATAAAATGTGTTTGGGTTGAAAATGAAAATGAAGATGTCATATGTAAGGGGCCTATGATGAACAGAAGGTAGAAAGCATGCTCTGTGGCAGGGTTTCTCAGCCTTGGCACTACTGACATTTTGTGTGAGATAATTCTTTGTTGTGGCTAGATGCTAATAGCACTCTCGAATTGTATTAATCAAAAAATCTCTCTAGACACTGATAAATGTTCCCTGGGGGTCAAAAGTGCCCCCAGTTGAGAACCACTGTTTTATGGAGAGAATGGTTTCCAGGAAAATAAGCTCTGGATAGGACAGTGGTGCTCTGCTGGAAAATGGATAGGACAATGCTTATGTCTCCTGCTGTTACCTCTGCCCCTGTGCACCTTTCTGTTCTGCCAGAGACAAGGGTTGCCCCACCCACAGAAAGGTGGAACAGCCAGGCATCCTGAGGGTAGTGATGCCAAAAGAAGCCCAAAGTCCTCTCCTACCTGGGAGAAACTTCAGCACCTCCATGAGGCAGCATGGCAGTGAAGGCTTTCTCTGCTCTCTACTGCTGATGTAGTTAAGGGAAACAAGAAAGAAATTTGCATGATCTATTCTCAAGACCCAAACCTCCCTGTTTGCATACCCCGGCTCAGTGTGGTGTCAGAATGATTCTAAGGAAGGAAGAAGCCCCTTTTCTCTGACAAGGCACTGGGGAAGTCTAGTCGAGATCTCACTGGGGAAAGCAGGACTTGCTGCTGCTATGGGAGGCAGGAAGCAGGCCAGGCACAGATCCTGGAACACATCAGACCAAAGTCCAGGACCTCCTCTCCTTTGGCTCGAAGGGCCTTGACCCAGAGCTCACTCACCTGAGAGCTTCTTTCACTTTTCTTGTAATATACATTTATCTTGAATCTAAGCACTGTTGTTGTATTATCAAACTGTCAGGATGGTTTTATATGTTTTCCTAGTACAAGTAAAAAAGATTAGTTGCTTTGCAAGGACGGAACAGGGAGTTGTTGATGACAAAGTGAAGTAGGTAAAAGTTGACTGAATAGTTTTGATATTTTTCATATGGATTTCAGTTTAGATGGTTTTGCGCTAAAAAAAAAAAAAAAAAAACTCAATATTATGGCATTTCCTGGAGTTTAAAATACGCTGACAATACAATTTACAAAAGGCCTTTTTGTGGTTAGTGTCTTTTCACACCTCTATCTTCTGGCATTTAGAATCTAATCATTTCTTTGTGGTAAGAGGTATTATATATAGAAAATTGGTTGAATTAAATTAATCAACGAAAGTGCCTTGTTCATTTTGCACTCCTTCTCAAAAGAAACCACTGAGGTGGGAGGACTGCTTGAACCTAAGAGTTCGAGACTAGCCTAGGCCACATGGAGAGACTCCATCTCTTTAAAAAATTAAAAAAAAAAAAAAAAAAAAAGCCATGTGTGGTGTCACATGCCTGTAGCCCCAGCTACTGGCGAGGCTGAGGCAGAAGGATCACTTGAGCCTAGGAGTTCCAGGTTACAGTGAGCTATGATGGCAACACTGCACTCCAGCCTGTGAGACCCTGTCTCTTTAAAAAGAAAAAGAAAAGAAAAAACCCAAAGGATTCATTTTTACAAAATTCAAGTCTTCTGAATGATGCTTAGTAAATATGTAGTAGATGCTCAATACAGGCTAGCTAATGACAACAGTGATTTTGGTCCTCACCATAAAGGGGCGGAAGGGTGGTGGTTAAAAGGGGGAAACAGGGCAACAGCAAAGAAAAATGACAATTAGTCTCCTCATTCAGTAAATAATGAGTAAATGAAATAGCAGTCACTCCCTTACAGTAACGACAGCTCAAAAGGGTGAATGGCTTGAACAGGGGAGGATGAACAATACAAGGGTAAAAGAGGGATGCAGACAAGGAAGGTTTTGAGTAAGTTAAACCTACTGGCGACAAAGAACGTACAGAGAGCAGGGCCAAGCAGCTGAAGCATTCTTTTATTCACAAATCAATGGAAGCTATTCAAGCCAATATGGTTTGATTTAGCAGATATTAACTGCAGCTAAAGTGATGCAAATACGTCAGCAAAAGGAGAGCAAGATAAACATGAGAAACCCACACTCGTTAAAAAGGAAGATGAGAACAGAGACTGACATTTAAAGATCAGATTAAAAGGATAGGAAAAACGAGAGAAAAGTAAGACAATGTGAGCGTGAGATCCTTCGACAGAAGGGAGGTGAAGGGGACAGATCCAACAATCCCCCTGCTTATTTGACTCCGAGACAAGAGAGAAGATAGCCGATCACGGGCCATCAGTAACACAAACACAGCCCGGGCACTTCATAAATATTTGTTGAGTAACTAAATGTGCATGAAAAATGCCTTCCTTTCTGGATGTGAAGATAAACTGAGATTTTATATGGTACCGTATTAACAAGTTTTTGTCTTCAGGAGAATGCTTAAAACCATGGACAGTATTATTTTTGTTTTGTGTGGGTGTATGTGTTTGTTTTTCAGACGAGGTCTTGCTCTGTCACCCAGGCTGGAGGGTAGTGGTATGATCACAGCTCACTGCAGACTTGACTTCCCCAGCCTCGGGTTATCCTCCTACCTCAGTCTCCTGAGTAGCTGGGACTATAATGCGTGCCACCATACCCAGTTTATTATTATTATTATCATCATTATTTTGTGTTTTTTGTAGAGACAGTGTTTCACCATGTTGCCCATGATGGTCTTGAACTCCTGGGCTTAGGAAATCTGCCCACCTTGGCCTCCCAAAGTGCTGCGATTACAGGTGTGAGCTACTGCGCCTGGCCCATGGACAGTTTTAATGATGATTTTAAAACAGCTATTCATTTGGATAAATTTCCATGAGCCTCATCTTGTACCCCTGACACAGGTGCCGTCATAGATTCAATTAGAGGGTCACAGTACAGTAGTTGGAGCACTAGACTGAGAGTCAAGAGACTAAGGTTCCAAAATTGGCTTTGCTGCTAAGTGTGTGATGCTGGGCAGCCACTTAACCTTTCCGAGTTTCTGTTTTCTCTGGGGTAACAGGAGTGGCTTGGACCAGGTAACTCTCAGGCCTCTCTCATGATCCTACATGTGCAATAAAGTACATTACCATATTAATCGGCTATTTTGCCCTGTCTGTATCCTGCCTTGTATGCCCAGTGTTGAATGGCAGATAAAAGTTCTTTTTTTTTCTCTCCTCATTTTGCCTGCTAGTGGCTTGTCAACAGTAGTTTCTATAATCAATTCTGGAAATGTTTACCCATCTGTATTATCTGAAGGCTGTTATTTACTGTTCTTGCTATTTTTTTTTTCCCGGGGAGTGTAGTAATTTCGATGTGCCTCCCACAGGAGACCACAGCAAACAACAAGGATACATTTTCACAATACTCAGCATGAAGGGACACTGTTTTGCTGATGTCCCTGACACAGTTTGAATTCATCGTAATGGTATATTTGAAGTGGTTTCCTGTGTTTTTGTGTGTGTGTGTGTGCCTGTAAAGACTAAATTAAAGCTCCAGTGCATATGAGTCCTACTGTGTGCTGTTACTCTTAACTAGAATTAGTTTTTTCTCTTTTCTGTGAAAACACAAATAATTGTGCAGGCCAATTAAACCTTTTGATAGAAATGAATAGCCTAGTTTTTAAAAGAGTTAAAGAGGCCTAAGACATCACTTACAGCACTTTTTGGTATCATAATATTACATCTGAGCTCTCTGTGGCAGTCTTAGATGAAGCATGAACTATGGAAAGATCATGAAGAGGCATGAGGGGTCCCTGATTTTAGTCCCTGCCACTAACTTATCCTGGCATGGTGTTTAATCTCCCAACCACCCGATTATAAAGTTAGCAGATTGCACTAGATGACTGCTAAGGTCTCTTGCAGGTCTAATAGTCTATAAAATGCCCAGCTAGCTATGGGACTGTTGTATTTAGCTATGTCACCTTCTACGATGAAAATTTTCTTTCCTGCTGGGAAGTTATCAAAATTCACTTTTTAGAATGTTAGGCCAACACATAAATTGACCTCACTGCATTTCTGTTACCTCATTAAAAAAGTAATAATCCATGAAAAAGTACAAGATGTCAGGGTGATTTATGTAAACAGAATAATACCTTACCTTAAACACACCAGAACGTACTGCAGAGCACATAGGAGTAGCTCATGAATCCCAGCACTCCCAGATGAGGACAGGGAGGCCTGATATCTAAATTCCATGCATGAGATTCCATAAGTCTATGGAAAAAATACTAGGTATACCCTCATCCATTGCTCACTAGCCATGCTTTGAATTTGGGAGCCTTACAATTACATAGCAAAGTTGAGTAGCTTTAAATGTAGAAAGCAGGTCAGTGAGTGGCTTTAATGTGGATTCATCTGTTGGAGAAGATGTGGTCCTGCATTTCACATGGCCAGCAAAGGGCAAAGAGGGGACAATCACTGAGAAATGTGTATGTTGGGGGAAAGAACCCCATAAGAAACCTACCAGAAAATGGGCATCATCCCTCATATTTGCAAAGCCTTTCACAACTTTACTAAACACTTGAATGCTCTGGGCATAGTGAACCATAAGAAACAGAGGGGTTATAACCCACAGGGTTTAATAAATGCATGGCTATTATAGACAACTGGATCATCCGGCTTTTACCATTGGTAGCAAGAAAAAAAAAAGAGGGGCTTTTTAGTCATACTCCCTCCTACCATTTAAAAACAAATCTATACATAATATAGATAACAAAACTATATTTAGGAAGAAGCGCTTATTGATGGGCCAACCACCTGAAATGTATTACCTCATTTAACAACCTCAAAATAATCCAATGTGGTTGATGCTGTTTTCATCCTGGGTAGGAGATGAGAGCTGAGTGAGTTAAGCCACTGGTCCTGTGGCAAGGAAGTCAGATCACCACTATTCTGGATCAATTTGTCAAGTTTCAAGTGTTTACCTTGAATACAAAAACAACCTGAGAGGCAGCTGGCAACGAATACTTCTTCACAGTTTGGGCATGAGTCCTGACTAACATGTACTAAATTACCAAGCATATCTTTAAATAAACGTGTACCACAGCAACTCTAATTCAAACAACAATCTTTAATGTAATAATTACACTGGCTGTGACACGAGCTCAGCCGAGAGTGTATTTTTATTTTAACAAGGCTGAGTAAGTACATGAGTGTGGGCTGAGCTTTTTGCTCGATAGTCAATACTTGAAAGCTGGCTCCAACCTTTAATTTAAGCATTCGCTTGTAGCACCAACAGGGCTACAGGGTTTCTAGTATCAAAGACACAATCCTCCGTCCTTTCATGGCCCTACTTCTGTAAGCAGCATGATTGAACCGCGGCACCACAGAAACTTGTTTTCCCTCCTTCTGGCAGCGTTAAGCCAAAACACTACTGCCCCATTCATCTTAGCGACATCATAATGAAGTCCCTGAATCAATTTATATCAAGCAAAGTGCAGAAATCCATTGAAGACTCGTGGCGGATGCCTTTCATACATCTCTCAACACCATACAAGAGGCAGAGCGGCCGCACAGAAACCCAAATCATAACACAGAAGAGACCTTTGCCGCATCCAAAAAGCTTTTTTATCTCTTGAAATAATTAAGGGAAAGGAAGATACTGAGAATATCTGATTGTTTCTCGTGTTTCTTCATGTGCCTTAAAAATATCTGGCAGCCTCCCTCCGTGGCCTCCCGGCACCTTCAGTAGAAAGAACAACTCCCGTAGAATGAGGGTGAGAGCCTGTCATAGTTCAGACCCCACCGGTCTCCTCTACATGCCTTGTCTCCTGCAGTCCCCGACTTGCCTTGCTCACTGTCTAGCTTTCAAGGATTTTCACAAACTACCATTTGTTGGCAATAACCTTCCTTTGCTTCAAAGCTCAGCTAAGCCTTCACTTCTTCCAAAAAGCTGTTCCTAACCCCTCAGTCTGATTTGTGCTCCTCCTCTGTGCTCCTATCGTCTCCTGCATTCCTCTGCTCTAGCATTTACACTATGTCATGATTTTATTTCCACCTTGGGCCCTCCCTGGCCTGTGAGCTCCTTGAAGGCAGGGACCACTTCTTTTCATCTTTCTGGTTCCAGCACTTTTTATAGTGCCTGGCACACATCAGATGCTCAATCCATTTCTATGTGTATTTTGTCTACTTCCATTCTACTGCAGTGTTCAGAAAAAGCCCCTAACCTCAATTTGCATGATGACCTAATCTCGGAATCTGGAACAATGTGAGTTTCTGAGACTCCGGTGGTGCTGGGGCTGTTGGGTCAGAACAGAGCAGGGTTAGCCCAGCCCTGCGAGTCTGGCAGACTCAGCCCCCAATTGGAGCTATGTGCTAGCCCTGTGATCCTAGACAGGTTGCTCTGCGTCTCTGAGTCTCCGCTTCCTCCTCTGTAAAAAGGAGGATGAAAGGCTAATGTAAGTATTAAATGTGGTAATCCATTTCATGGTGCTTGGCACACAGGAAGCGCTTTATAAATGATAGGCTTAGAACATATATTACTGGTTACAAATAGCAGGGCTTGGAAAATGCAGAATTAGAAGCCTCTTATGTTATATGATGAGAAATTTCATGCAAGTTCTTCTTCCATCAGCCCCCATCTGACCAGACCACATAACTCATATGCTTGGGCACTGGCAAAGGCCCCTGTTAAAATGCAATGTGTACCGGCTAAGGCTGGATGAACTCATTACCCTAACTTCAAACTTGAATACGTGATGTGTACCATTTACCACGTGTACAAGAGGATGAGAGGATGGGGATGTTAATAACAACACTTCTTCAGTGCCTGCCATATGCTAAGTGCTTGTCACATGTGAGACATTGCATTAAGTACCTTCCATGTGTTACTTCCTTCTTCCCAAAAATCCCTATGAGGTAGATGTTATTATCATCTTTATTTGATAGATGATAAAACTGAGGTTTAGTGAGGTTACATGACTTGCCCAAGATCCATCAGCTAATACGTGGCATTTCTGGGACTTAAGCCTTATATTTGGAAAAATTTCCAGATCCATGCTTGCTCTTATGCCTATGCCAACTTTCTGAGAGTCTTTCTTATTTCTGTATCTTGTGTCACCCGGAAGAGCCAGGAGAGAACGGGACAGAAGATCAAACTACTGAGTCAGGGGCAGGAGAAGAAGAGGAGGTCTGGAGATTGTACTACTCGATTTTTTATGTGGTGATTAGGCAACTCTGCCTTCAGCTAAACCAGAAGGCCACCGAGAGCCCTAAGAGAGGAGATGATAAAGTTTGAAAACATAGCTCCGTTTGTCTAATGCCAGCCTTAACCTAGGGCCAGAACCTTCAGCAAAGAGCTAGAATGTACACAGACAGTATTAAGTCTTAGAAGACCTTCCTATTCCTATAGCAACGTCACCACATCGTCTGATTCACTTTTTCCTTCCCATTTGACTAGCAGGTCATTCAAAAGCCAATGGCTATAAAGCAAGAAAACAATCCTGTAAAGGCTGATACTTGGCCTTCATGATACGGAGTTACAGCTTTGTACGTGTACTTGAAGTATAAATGCCTTCAGTTTCCCTACTGTAAGGTCATAGGTCCAGTTTACCTCTGTGAAGTGGTGGTACAAAGGAACTGAGAATAAACAAAATGTTTAGTAAATGACAGAGTGGAAAATTCCAAAGTCGAGTCTAGAGAATATTTTCAGTACTGAGAGTATATGATTTACAAAAAAAAAATTACTGGAATCCTCCTGCCCTTTGGTAAGCTTTTTATTGAAGTGCAACATGCAAAGAGAAACAGACACAAATGATAAATGTAAGCTTTATGAATTTTCACAGGCAATACTCCCAGATCAAGAAAAAAAAATGTCCCTTTGGTTTTTTAAAATAGTTTTCCATGCCTGGGTCAAAATCACCGAATAATGCAAAACTTAGCTTATAAAATTTATTGTTTAAAGTTCAGTTAGCCAGAAAATGCTAAAAGTTTAATAAAATACAATGCCTAAACATGAGCCATTTTATTTTACTTCAAAGAGAATAATTATCTTACACTTCTGTTTCCCAAATTGGAAAGTTAGAAGTTTTGTTTTCTTTTTAACCACGAATGGGCATGTAGTTATTTCTCTCACCCTTTAAACGGCCAGGGTTTCCTCAGCTGCACCTTCCCAACACCCTCTCCAAGAACAGAGCGTGGCTTGCCTTGCTTTCCTTCCTCTTCACTCCCATCCTTCCCCCACATCACCACTGTGAGTTGTTCTGAAATGGGGCCATCTCATTCTCCTCAGCCCTCCTAATTTTGGGTAGATCCATAGAAGACAGGAGGTGCTTTTTCTCATGGGCAGCGTGGCTGTGGGCCATTGCACAACCTCTGTTTATACAGTGAGTATGCTTCAGCCTATCCCTTTAACTGGCTAATAAAACTATGCTGGGAGCAACGTATCCCAGTGTTCTGAGACTGATTTGGCTCTGGGGGCACCAACTTCTCTCTTAGTTATAACAGTCAGAAGCAAGACCCTGGAAATGCAGAATGTGCCAAAACACATTTGCTCCCACTCAATGGACAGCCTTTTGATAGGAAACCAAATGGAATGCAAGACCTGAATGCCCCCTATTTGATAATAACAAAGAGGCAGATGGCCCAGCCACAAAGGGCAATGTGAATGTCTATATGTTAGATGCCAACAAAGTGATTATAAAATTAAGGACAAGTATTTGGGCATTGCTTTCTAACTGCATGTTATTTTTCACAAGAAATTTCAGGGAAGGTTGGGCTTTCACATATTTAATTAGTGTAATGGAACTGATTCTGCCAAGTGTATCTGTTAGTCGAGGGCTTAGCCTCCTTGTCACACTCAGGTGCTGACAGCTATCTGGGCAGAACTCTTCCCCCTTGGAGAAGGTCTGAGGGGGAGTGAATGGTGTATGTGTTAAGGTGCCCATCACTTGCATGGTCGCAGGCCTGCAAGGGCTTTCCATCTCTACACACAGTGATAAAATTCTCCAAGGTGCCTACATTCATGACAAAAGTTTCACATCTTTCAGGAGCTGGGATAGCTCTGGAAGTGGTACTAATTGTATAAAAGCTTTTTCCTCCACACCAGCCCAAAACAAAAAGAAAAACAGCCATCATTTACTAGTACTATTTTTGCTAATATAGGTTGCAGATGATTAAAGATAAACTGTAAAGCCTCTGTAAACCACAAATTTTATGCCCAGGTCTTTGCTATATTAATAAAAAAAACAAAAACAAAAATCTCTGAAAATAGAATATCACCAAAGATTCTGGTCTTCCACTGTTATGAAAGATGAAGACATTATAAAGAAAACGAGGATTACAAAATTTGCTCTTGAATTCATGTTTGAAAGTGCTTTCTTTAATATAATTTATAGCTCATCTGATAAATCTGTCTGAATTTAAAGCCCCTTCTATTGTTACCTTGTGCTTTGTCATACAATTTTCAGACTATGTCTCCTACAGTAAATTGTAGAGCAAGAGCTCTCAAACTTTTTGGTCTCTGTATACTTTTATGCTTCTAAAAACTGCAAAGAGGCCTGGTGTGGTGGCTCACGCCTGTAATCCCAGTACTTTGGGAGTCTGAGACAGGCGGATCACCTGAGGTCAGGAGTTCGAGACCAGCCTGGCCAACATGGTAAAACCCTGTCTCTACTAAAAATACAAAAATTAGCCGGGTGTGGTGGTGCGTGTCTGTAATGTCAGCTACTCGGGAGGCTGAGGCAGGAGAATCACTTGAACCTGGGAGGTGGAGGTTGCAGCAAGCCGAGATCGCGCCACTGTACTCCAGCCTGGGTGACAGAGTGAGACTCTGTTTCCAAAAAAAAAAAAAAAAAAGCTGCAAACAGCTTTTGTTTTTGTAGGTTATACATCAGTCATTGCCATATTAGAAGTTAAAACTGGGAACATTTACACAATTTACTTATAATTCAACTTAAAATAATAGTAATAAACACATTGCATATTAACATATAAAAATAAGTATATTTTATAAGACAAAAAGTTAGCATGAAGAATACCATTATTTTACATTTTTGTGAATCTTTTTATATCTGGCTATTAAAAGAAGACAAGTAGATTCTCATAGCTGCTTCTGCATTCAATCTGTTGTGTTATGCTCTTATGGTTGATGTATGTGAAGAAAATCTGGCCTCACAAAGATATGTAGCTAGAAAAAGGAGAGGTATTATAATAGCCTTTTCAGATAATTTTGGATATTCTTCTGTGGTACTACACTAAAACTCAACAAGTGGTAGTTTCTTAAAGATTAGTTAGAATATGGAACCTGAAGCCATATCACTGACTTTTTGTACTTTGTTAAATTAAAATACACCGGTATATTTTGCACTTTGAGTGGATCATTTACCTACATATATTTTTATAATATCATCCATGGGTCACTTGGAAACTACTGGTTCACTGGGTTTTGTATATCTTCCAGATTTTGACACATTTCATTATTAGATGTGGTTATATCAAGGAATTATGTTGATTAATATCACTACCCATACCATCAGAAAAGTTTTTAAGTATTGGGAAGCTGTCAGATTCCTGGGGTTGGATACAAGTTTTCCAAAATTCAGATTTTTGCCTGAATGTATGGGCAGTAAATACTGTGAACTGTTTTTCAGGAGATAACAGACTCAAAGTTCATTTTTGAGAAAATATATGAAACATATCCACATCTGAATAATTATAGTCTGTTATTCTATTAAGTGGCATTCCATTCAAAAAACAGCTAGTTCAGCTCTTAACTCAAACAATGACACAAGTACTTTTCCCTGGAGACAAACATGGTACTTAGTAGTATAAAGCAGAAGTGCTTTATGCAAACTTCCAATTTTGTCATAAAGAACATTAAAAAGGTATGGACTTGAGGGTCAAAATTTAATAAAGTTAATAAATTTTTCTGCTTCATCAAGCACATTCTTAAATGAAACTTTTTTTTTTTTTTTTGAGACAGAGTCTCGCTCTGTTGCCCAGGCTGGAGTTAAGTGGCACAATCTCGGCTCACTGCAAGCTCCACCTCCCAGGTTCAAGCCATTCTCCTGCCTCAGCCTCCTGAGTAGCTGGGACTACAGGCGCCCGCCACCATGCCCAGCTAATTTTTTGTATTTTCAGTAGGGATGGGGTTTCACCATGTTAGCCAAGATGGTCTCGATCTCCTGATCTTGTGATCGATCCGCCTGCCTCGGCCTCTCAAAGTGCTGGGATTACAGGTGTGAGCCACCGCGCCCGGTTTTTTTTTTTTTTTTTTTTTTAACAGCAACTGCACAGTAATGAAGAATACCATGACTGCTGGTACAGCTTGGCATTACCGTCCTGCTTCCTGCTAAGGTGCCAGCAGTTTTACCCACCAATGCTTTGCACCATTAATACAAATGGTCACCGTAGTAAAAAGGGGAAACAATGCCTCAGTATTGTTATGGAACTGGTTTTTATCTCTTGGAGCTTCTGAGAGGGCCTTGGGGCCCCGCAGGGGGTCCCTGGATCACACATTGAAGACCACTACTGTAGAGGATAGTATCTATAAATCCAAACGCTCTCTAATCTGCTAAATGCTTATGTCCTTGTGGGGTTCACGTAAAGAAGATTTAAAAGGTTTATTTCTGTCTCCACTCTCCTGCCCTTCCTGCTTAAAAAAAAAAATTCCATTGTGGTAGTTCAACATAAACTGTGTGTATAGAACAAAGAAATTACAGTACTGTTGATTTCATCAGCATTTTCTCCTAACAAAGAAAACTAGCTATTCTAACATGCTATTGAGAAAACTATTGAACTACCATGAGTTATAGGAAATATGACATGCTCAGTGCCCCCTCCATCTCACCTAAGTCCCAACTCTTTCCCAAACCTTTCACTTTGGGGGTATTTTGGATGAGCTCTTAGTAGTGTCCTCAGAAATAATTGGTTGTCCTAATTCAGCCCCATGCAAATTAATGCTCCCCTAAAGAGGCCTTATTATAATTTTCAACCCTTGATGTCTACATAATCCCCTATAGTTCTTTAACTTCTTGCTTTCTAACTTCTGTTTACCGATGCACTACTTTTGTCAGCTCAGTATAGCATCAATTAGTAACACAGTTGTGTTTATTAGGTCTCCCTAGAGCCTTGAGAAAGCTGCTTTGTATTTATTAATGACTACACAGAGCACTACTATTTTTCAATAGCACTTAAAAATGAGTAAATTACTGAAGATGAACTATAAAAGAACTTTAAATTTCAAAGGCAAGCAAAAAAAAAAGCACATTATTTAAAACCACTCATAATACTTGCATGGTTAATTTTATTTTCAATGTAATATCAAGAGAGAGGGAAGAAAGTCAAACCCAGACTCTTCTTCCTGTTCTACTTTTGGCATTTTGGAGTACACATGATTTGAGTTAGAGAACTGAAGCATAGATCTGGTGATTAATTAAGAGCTGGTTTAACAGGTCTAAATTTCATTATGTCACACACCTGTTAAGTAATGCACACCTGATTCAGCAGACATCCACCCACAAGGTTAATCTCAAAAAATTAAGCAATCAACAGGAAAGAAAAAAGAGGCATACTGCACTAACTTAGGTCCAGTTTTATGTTCTCAAGCATAATTCCAATCCACCAATTTGAAATGTATCCACTTTGTTTTCTCTTATTTTGTGAATAATTCCCTGTACTACATTAGGTGAAGTTAGAGTTGCCCACACTGGTATAGAATTCACTACTCAAGGAAACCAGAGAGACCAATCGCTCCTGTGATGAATCTTTCCGAACCAAACTTAAAGTGATGCCAGCAATTATGGCGTTCATTTGCCCTGCTTTTATATTCCTGGTCATTTATGAAATGAAGACGCTGATCTGCAAAAATCACTATGCATTCATGAAAGGAGCTCTGGGAGCTCCCCCTGAGGATCTGGCTATGAGGCAGAAACATACCTCAGTGCACTTCCTTTGTCTTGTGCTCCCTCTTTGATGTGCAAGTCACTGGTGGAGTAAGCTGTGATCGCTTTGATGTTGAACTTCTAGACTTTATTGTTACTAGCATGCCTACAAAGAGAGCTGTCAGTCATTTCTTACATCTGAACAACCATGTTTCTTTACAGCGCCTCTTTTACAAGCATCAATCCTTAAATACATGTTTTCACATTCCTGCTGATTACCACACTATCTTTGTTGGGGGAGGGCTGTGCTCAAATATAACTACAGCACCCACATTTTCTGTAAACACCCTGAGGCATCTTCAGATGGCTGGTAACCAACCTTCTTCAACAAGAGAAGCCCCAGTGCAAAACATATTTCTAGCAAACGAAAACATTCTGAAAACACTCGATCCATCTTAACAGTCGAAATGAGCAGTTTAGCCAATATTTCCCCTAAGCAGCCACTGAAATTGCATAGAAACTTCCAGGCCACTTCAAAAGGGATTCTGAACGTAACAGCAGCAGGGGGCTTAGAAAGACTGCCAAAACCCTGAGACATCTTAACTCATCTTAAACAACTTTGTTTCTCTGCAATAGTGGAAACAAAATGCTTCTGTTTTACGAGATTTTGCTTGTGGTAGAAACATTGCTTTTGAAATGGATTTCTATCAAACCAATTGTTTTGTTAAACAATATCATTTTCAAAAGTTGCTTGATGTTACGGATGCAACTTAAGAGGAGGAGGATTTTTCATAATCTTGTGTCTAGGGCAAACGTGGCTGTGAATGCAATGGAGGTACAATTTCTTAGATATATACAAAATAGGCGGTATGCAAATCTTTAAAGATCTCTGTTGAAAAAGATATGGCTCTAATTTCATTTACCAGCTCCCATCAGATTTTCTTTTCAAACTCCTTTATCGCTTCTGAAACTGCTGAATATTATCAAACCCCACTGGGAAATTCCACACAAGGAAATAAACTTAAGGTGCTTACATCACACCATGCTGGTTTATAATGAACTGCTGTCTTTTTGAATAAATGTTTCAATGAAATCCAAGTTTTTAAAGATGCCAGGTCTCAAATTAGGAAGTTAAATGATATTTTTTCATGCTGGAGCTTAGTTCTGTTTTTCTTTTTTATAAAATAAGATGGCATCACAAGAGATACATTGTTTCTGCTTGCTAATAAACTGCAGACGATACATTGGGAGAGACTCAATTTCTTTGGGTTCCTGGCTTGGAATATTTGGTAAAGAATAAAATTACTGTGGTACGCAATGGTTAAGGCTACTCCATGGTTTCCATTTTTAAACAACTGCCCCCGCCCCTTGGTTTTAAATCAACCATCAAAAACGGAAAAAGCTTTAGGCTACAATTTGATAAATAAGGTATGACTGTAATTTACTAGAACTAAATCTGGGCATATTTATTATTAATATTAATGAAAACTTGCTTGTTCTTAAATTTATTTAAATAGCATAAAGTAATTACCTCTTTCTGTCTTAAATTTTCACTTCCAAAAGGAACTGATTAGCTGATAGAAGGACCTATAGCAATTAAGGGTAGAGACAGGGAATAAGGAAAGTAGGAGGCATTTGTTTGCCTCTCCCAAGTCTCAAACAAGAAACTAGAGCATGTTTCTGTTTTAATAGAAACACTTTCATAGAACGGTAGAGATGGAAAAGATCTTGGTGACTACCAAGTCCAACCCTTTAACTTTAAAAACAGGGAAAGTGAACAACTGAGGTTTAACCTGACAATTATTGCATCGCAGATCTGGGACAATAACCCATATCTTCATCTTCCCCCACCCTATGTAGGGGGGTTTCCACTACTCAACATTGTTTTGCTACACTGCGGACAGGGTGACTCATGTACAAAGTGAGGGTGTTGGGCTTCAGAGGTTTCTCAACCAGAATTATCTGAGTTATCTTTAAAAATGTAGCAATACTTGAGCTCTACACCTTGGGACCAGTAAAATCAGAAATCTGTAAGAGCACAGCCTGGGCTTATATATCTTTTAAAAACTCTTTAGATAGATTAATACGCAGACCAGGTTGGGAGCAGATGACCTGTGAGGTCTATTGCAAAATGTTCACCATCAGTTGGGAAAATTTTTTGATTCAGTTCCCTGATGTTGACCCATGAGGCCATAAGCATTTCTAAACCATTATACTGTTTTTACATTGGCCTAGCTGTTGTTATTATCTGCATTTATCTAGTTCATTGATATGTTTACTTAAGTATTACCTACCTCTCCCACCAGAATGTACACTCACAGAGACCAGAGACTGACATGATCACTGCTGTCCCCTCGGCCGCCAGCATCACATCTGCCACAATAATGAGATAGATACTACACCAGCATTTTCAAAAGAAAAAGGGGGCTGGTGTCGCAGTGTGGAAGCAGGCAGGTAGTCCTTCTCCACACCAGCCAGAGGAAGTCTACTTTCATCTATCCCACCAGACTAGAATCTAAGCTGCACGAAGGCAGCATTTGGTCTCCCCTGTTTGGATGTCACCTCCAGAGCCTGGACACTGGCAGATACACACCAGATGCTCAGTGCCTGAGAAAGGCCATGTGCTAAACAGGAAGCACTGATCAGCTTCCAGGGCACTGAAACCTTTACTTTGTCGCTGAATAAAGCAACCTTGAAAAGACATCACTGTTTCCACTGAGTTGGCCTTGACTTCTGCAGTAAGACTCTTAGCCTGCTCCTGCTAAGTGGTCACAGTATTGGCAAGACCCAGCCCAGGCACACAGTGAAGGCTAAAATACATTGTGTCTATGTCACATGCAGAGGCTGGGGCTTCTGGACAAGGCTTTATGACGAAAAGGAGTACAGTATTTGAAAAGTCTCACAGCAGCCTCCAGCACCAAAACAGCCTCAGGGTTCTCTCCTGTTTGGGCCACTTGGGGTAAGAGATTTGAGGGAACAGTCTGCCCACTTGCTTCTGCATGCTGGTTGATAGCAAGGCCAAAGTTAACAGAAAAATATTTCAAGTGTGTTAATAACAATGCCAGAAATTGCTCACATCTGGCACCTCTTCCATGCTGAAGGGAGTGAACTAAAGAGAAGTGAATGGTTACCTTAATATAATTTACCTTTCTGAGATTCCCTTTCCTCGTGAGTAAGAGGAAAGGGTTAGCCCCGAGCAGTGGTTCCCAAACCTGTCTTATCCTCACAAGAGGATCTTTTACAAAAGAAGATTCCTTGGCCTCCCCTCCTAGGCTTTTGGAAGCAGGATCTGTGCAGGTGTTGCTGGAGAAAGGCATTTATTTTTTAAATGCTTCCCAGATGACTGTGAAGATCAATGACATTTGGGAACCACTAGAGGACTGGAGGACTCTGCGGTCCACCTGGCTCTGACAGGCTAGAACAGAGAGCTTCACAAAGTGAGGCCTAAGGACCAGTTGCATCAGAAACATCTGAGATGCTGTGTAAATACATGCCTTCGTGGGCCTCACCCCAGACTGACAGAATCAAACTCTGTGTGAGACCCAGGGATCCGCCTTCTTAAGACTCTCTGGAGTATGGGTTCTACTCTACAGTTTCAGAACCACTGTTTCAGGCAGGATTTTAGAGCTAACTTATGGCTTATGTGGAAGCAAATCATGTTCATCCATAAGTATAGGGTTTGACTTTATCCAGTTACATTAACATTTCATTGCATTGTTTGGCATGTCACAGAAATCTCCTTTGTTTTAAATGGCATGTAGCTTATAGCAAATGCAAATGTGTAAGTCCAACAGCCATAAAGCAGCCTTCTCTGACTAAGTGTGGCTGCCAACTTCTCAGTGCATTTTTTAAATGCTGATTCATGGCTTAAGACACTTGATTGGGAGGAAGGTGTCTCAGCTCCTATTATAAAAGCACAAAGGTGGTACCTGAATTACCTAGCACACAATAGGCACTTAAGTATTTGCTGAAACAAATTTATTTACTTATTTTCACCCACTGTTCTACAGAAGATTTGAAGTGAGATGAACAAATAAAAAGAAGGAGAAAAAAAACCTTTCCAACAACCGAAAAATGAAAATAACATTCTGTGAAAAAGAGAATACTTCTCATGTGGTGAAAAAAAATCACACTTCTGGGTGGCGCAGTTTGTAAAACGGTTGGCTTCAATAACTGATCTGAAACTTAACCACAAGTCTTCACTTCTGAACCACTGCCTTATTTCTATGATAGAAAGGTTTAAACAGCAGTTTTTCCTTGCTTTTTATTTTTTTTCTTCTTTTTCATGAAACGCTGCAATTTCATCTTTCTAATAGGAACACGTAAGCACTATTATCCTTTACAAGCCTGGTGATTATTTGTCATTATTATTACCCTGGTTATTCTAGCT
Organism: Homo sapiens; assembly: GCF_000001405.40. Taxonomy (NCBI): domain Eukaryota; kingdom Metazoa; phylum Chordata; class Mammalia; order Primates; family Hominidae; genus Homo; species Homo sapiens. The sequence continues at coordinate 60,585,079 of NC_000015.10, forward strand.
CAGATCAGCTTTGACTTCTTCAGCAATGCAAAATTCATATAAACGTGCATTCTTATACCTCTGTGTAGCACCAGGAACAAATAACATTTAAGCAAATAGGAAGATCTATATTCATTCCTCAGATTCCGACACAGAAATCAGATTGTTTTACCATTGTTTCACACTTGTTATAACACCAAAATCCAAATCCACAATCCACTTGTATTATCTATTTATCCTAAAAAATATGCAAATGAATGCTTGTCGCTACCTCATGCAGAGTTTCTGACATATCCTCTATCTTATTTTTTAGGCAAACTGTATATACTTAAGTGAACCAAATGATCTAACCATAAATCTTCAGAAACCAAGGGGTTAATAGTTTTTTTCATCCATGTTTAAAATTGTTTTATTACCCCCCAAAAGCTACTGTAGTTTACTTTTTTACTAAATGTTTATCATTTTTGAAAAAGAAAAGCTCTAGATTTAAAAAGGGGAAACGCTGAATTTAGCTCATCAAATGACGACCTCTTTTTAAAAGATATTCAAGGGTTGGGAATTAGAATGGAGTTTGAAACTTAAAAAAATACGAGGATTACTAAAAATGTCATAACAATTGTTGACTCACAAACCAAATTTCACTTAAATTTAATATTGAGCCAAACAGCAAATAAATCAGCTTTAAGTTAAAAATTTTTTTTCCTTTACTTCCTGCCAAGCAAACTTTTAAAATTCAGTATCCCTTCCACAGTTACATTTCTGATAACCATGAAGAACAACGAGTTAAACTTTTGAATCTGGAATAGAAATGTCTCATTCCAATTAAGAAAATAACTACAACCTTTGACCTTCCCACTAGCCTGATGGGAAATTCACTGGCACCATTATGGGTTTAGCCGTCCATGTGCAAGTAACCACTAGAGGGCAGCCTTATCTCATATCTGACATGCGGCAGAAAAATACCTGAAATGCTTCTAATGTTCCTTTAATTATTTTTGTAGTATCTTTGATTTTCCTGGATACTTAATAATCAACTTCAAATGGAACTAAAAGTATTCCTAAACAGTTCAAAAGTCCACTTTCACAAACAATGATATCACAAAGACTGGTGGTGAGAGGTGCTAGAGATACAGCTAGCTGATGTTATCTTTAAAATTTTAAAACAAAAGTTTTTCATCTTTAAGTCATGGCTGCCTCTTTACTATGTGCTGGGTTAAGTGCCAAGTCAATTATATCACAACTGGCACTTGGGGTCCATCTTTGGCATTAAAATTTCAAGTGGTTCTAGGCAAACTGAAGTGTGTTTGAGGAAGAAACTGACCAAGATTGTGGGAAGGCAGAACCACACTTACAGCAAAAAGGACTGGAGAGGGACAGCAGATATTACGTATTAGAGGGGTGTGTGTGTGTGTGTGCGTGTGCATGTGTGTGTTACAGTACTAGTCTTCAAATGACTTACAGTCTTTCATTTGAAAGATGGATTAAATGTGTTCTGCACAGCCCCAAAGGAAAGGATCAGAATTAAGGGATTAAAAGTACAAAGGAGAGAGTTATGCTTGATATAAAAAGACTTTTCTAATTCAAGATGGAGTAACCTACCTTTAAAGATAGTGAGTTCCCCATCGTTGGAGGTGTTCCAGCATAACCAGATAACTACTTGGCAGAAATATTGTGGGCAGGGTCCAAATCCCAGTGAGACATTCATCTGAGTGACTTTAAAGGTTTCGTCTGAGACTGAAATAATCCTTATTTGCTTTCAGACAAACACACCTTAATCCAGCAGTCATTAAGGCCATTCCCCACTAAGTGAGAAATGAGATTTTTCAGATCTACTTGAAAACTTTTAGACTTCACGTGATTTTCTAAAAGACAAACGATTTCTCAAGAATAGATCTACAATCATGCCCCTAAGCTGTCATGAAAACAAACACGACAGCACTCACAAGCACGAGAATTCGTAAGCTTTATACTACACAAAGTCATATTAAAATTAGAAGATGCATTTGTGAATGTTCCCTTTGCCTAAGGATAAGTGGAACATATAGATATATCTCTCAATTCTATCATAATGGCGATTGGTTACACAGGTTAGCTGTACTTCATGGTATTCTGTATTCTTGGGGAAAATAATGCTTATATTTCACTCATATCCTCTTAAAACAAGCAGACTTAATGAAAATCATGGTTGAAGAGAGCTAATGATAAGCAAATAAGAATAACCCCATTTGTACCAAACTGATTTTATTAAATAGTAATTTAAAGATATTAGGCTCAGCAAAGCATTACATAATTGGATCTATTTTTTTCCCATATAAATGCCAGAGTTATAATTTCCACTAACTAGAGACAAAGTTATATCCAGGACGTTTTTCACAGCTTCCTCCAGGGGAGGCATGAAGATAGAAATTAGGGTTGTAGTTCTTGTTTCACGTTATCAGATGGAAAAGCTAGGCTATAACGCAACCTCTGTGAGCCTCAGTTTCTTCATCAGTCACTGATGGGACTATCAGTGACTCTCTATGGAGGATTAAATGATGTAAGAGTGTTTGTAAACCATAAAGCACAAAATAAATATAGATTAGCATCATCTCCCTATTTGTTTATGAAATGCCTAGTAAACTTCAGAAGCAGTAACATTTTAAAAAATGAAATAACTGGAAAACCTAGGGAATAATCTTGACATTATTTTTTATACCCACAGGAGCAAAGATTTTTAAAGTTATCGTATTATCTCCTGAAAATATGATGAGGGCTAACAAATTTCATTCCAAAAAGAAAATCCAGAAACAAAAGATTTCAGCTGCTTCCTTGCATTTTGCCCATTGGATAGTATATGCTATTATCCATCTATTTAGACCTCCTATCTCTTGACAATTAACAGAAAAATCATGTTCTATCATGTCACACAAAATACTGACGGATAGAAAAAGCTCTGACTACGACTCTCTCAGTTCATGAATCAAAAGGTTGGGATGGAAGGGAGTTATCTTCAGTAGAATAGCTAGATGGGGGAGACAGAACTTGTAAATCATTCCTCAGAGGGTCTGTATGTGGTCTTTGAGATACTATCAAATGTCAATTCACACCTGACTTGTCACTGGTGGATGGCTCCAAAAAAACTGTTTTTTAAGTAGAGAAACATAAAAGTGGTGTAGCTGCTGACTCTGAGTGTCTAATTATGGCTTTAAAATTATTAAATATGAAATACATAAAGGCAGCCTTGATTTCTTACTAATAAGTGCTGTAAATAGTAAAAATGAATGCAGAAAACATTTCCATGACAGAGTATTCTTAGGAAATTTGTTCCACATAAGGGGTTTTGTTGATCCCTATAATAATTTAAGAGATTTTTAAGAAAACTGAACCCTACATCTACCTCTGCAAATCTATTCATCCATCCATCCATCCATCCATCCATCCATCCAGTAACTTTTCTCCAGTAAGTGGCCATTTATAAATATTATTTTCCTAGATACCCCAGAGCAAATAAGAAAGTGGTTGGGTGCTATTGTAGGTGCTTTGCAATTATCACCTTGCTGATCTCATCCACTTTTATTGTGTCTCACTTGAGTGGGAGGGAAAGATAGGAGAAAAAGGAGACTAATGAGAATTATTAATATATTTACAAGTGTATCTACTACATATTAAAGAGCTAAGGTTTAGATGACATACTGTATATTTCTAAATGACTATTTCTGTTTAGAAATTACATTATTTCATGACTGGGCAGCATTAAATAAATTATATGGTTCTCAATTCAAATCGTGGGCAAAAGGGTTTACTTGTGCATGCTGCTGCTTTGTATCTCAAGTAACGTGATTGAAATATATAAAATCAAGAGGCTGCCCATGAAAATGGTGCTTTTAAAATACTCTCTACTTCATGGAGGGTCCAGGCTTCTCCCTCCTCCCATGGACAAATGGATTCAGAAATCCTCTTTGTCTTTAAAAGAACTGATCCCTTCTTGCCAGATAAGCATTCTGCTCAGTAGTGGCAACCATTTGGGTTTTCTCTTTTCAAGATCCAGCCATCACCTTCTCCCAATCCTTCCCATCACAAGTAACAAAAATGGTACAAAAATCCCAGTGAAGGGATACCAGGCAATGGGTCCTTACAGTGAGATCAGAGATCGAATTCTAATTTCATTTCGTAGAAAGAAAGGCCAAGTTCTTCAAAACTACAGAATCGTATTTATTACAGTTGGACATACTACCAACACATACAGTATTTTCAAAGTGGTGAGGAGTCTTGCATTTGCACATGAATCAGGCCGGACGAAGAATCTACGGGCCAGAAATTCCCTTTAAGCCTCCCTGTGCTCTTATAACTCCATTTGCACAAACACAGGCTGAGCACTCATATGAAGCAAAGGGGTATATCATCTACTGAAACTGATGAACGTCTTACATTTCCTTTCAGTACTCCGCTGCCGCGTGACATCTGGCCAATGCACTTTTATGATGAGCAGAACAAGTGCTCCCCCGATTATAAATGTTATAGCTGGCTCTCTCCCTTTGCCCAAGAAGCAATCCAAATGGTATTGGAATTTTGTTGTTAATTAAACAAAAGCAAAATTGAAGGATGAGACTAGAGTTACTCAAATGAAGATTTATTACATTTGAGCATGAAACTAAGCCTAAACTTATTTGACAACTAATGCAGAGGAAGGATTTTCTTCTTTGGTGAGTTCAAAGGGCCTGATTTACTGATGTTTAAAAAACATCAGTAAATCAGCCAACAAAGAGAATCTTTCTTTTATGGTGGCTTGTTCTCTCCTCCCTTGTCCACATGCATCCACATACCAAAAAGCTATATTGTAAACAGTATTTCTGTTTTGCACGAAAAATCTAGTTATACAAACTGTCTTACACATGGAACCAATTTAACTATTAAAACTGAGAAGCAATAGGGAAGTATTTAATAAGATTCTAAGCCAGTTTTTTCCTCTAAATCTGATATGGAAACATTTACAGCATTCCTCACTTCCCCACAAACTATTTTCTCTTTCAGCTTAAGTTTGCACCAAAGCAAGATAATCCCATTAAAATTCAGGATATTATGATATTGGGAGTGAAATATTCTAATTGTTCAGATGCATTCTCTCTCCCTCTTCCTCTATCTCTCTCTCTCTCTCTCTCTCTCTTTCAGGCAGCTGAGTTTATAGAAAAATTGCATTGCCAGTACTTCTGAGGCACTTTTTTCAAAGCACAATACTATGAAACTATTATTTTATGGCAGACAGAGGTCACTCCAAGTGTGGGGGTAGCGTGTGTGATTCTTATTATTCTATTAGCAAGGGACAGTATGGAACTTCACTTTGTAGAATTACAAAAGCAAAAGCCTATGTACTAGGAAACATCAACTTTAAATCAAAATATTAAAACGTACTTTCCTTTTTTTTGGTGGGTCGTTACTGTTCATTAGGGGAGAAAGCAGTTTAAAATGTCTCAGCCTCTCGCCTTTCCTCCAATCAACACAAAGTATATTAGACAAAGTGGATAAAGACTGGCATTGACATCTTCCAAATAGCAAAATCAATTTTATAATTTAAAGACAAAAAATGCTTTAACTGCAGAGGGCATTTAAGACGTTTCACACTTACAGGGCTAATGAAATGCAGGACTAGCATAAAAGTTTTTTGGGGGGGTGGGGGAGAATAGATTTTTTAACATAAGAAGTCGATAAGAAATCTTAATAATTTTTCCTCCCAAATAATTTTAAGTGCTTAAGAGCGCGGATCACGGGAGGTTTCCTCTCTTTTACTTATATGAATTACATATTCTAAAAATGATTAAATCCCATTCCCCTCAAGCCACAGGGGAAAAGAGAAAATTTGCTGTGGGCACATTATATAGAAAGATTTCATCTCAAGCAGCTCATCTTAACGTCCAGTACGTTTCGGCCTGTTAATAATTAATAAAAGAGATGCCACCCAATCTCTAGTGAAGAAAGGCAAAGCTCGGTGATCCGAAAGTAAACCCAGCGCAGATACCGAACTGGTGTCCTTCATTCCAGATTGCAACACAACCCCAAACTAGCAAACGTTTAACAGGCGCTTGGCACCCGCACCGGTGGCTAGGACCCGCAGGACAGTCTGGGTCTGCACAATTGCTGCGCATTAGGGAAGCCGCGTCCGCCGCAAACAGATGGGGCTCTAAATCCCCAAGCCTGGCGGCCGGGCCTGCGAAGCAGCTCGGGCAGATTATCCACGGCGAGGAACCTGCGGGCGCACAAGCGGGCGGCGGGCGGCGGGCGGCGTGCTGCGGGCTGAGTTTCTCCGGAGCTGTTTGCAACCGTCCCAAGAGCGAGTCTCGGTTTCTCCGGCAGCACGGGCGACTTCCTGAACACCTCCAAACTTTAGCTTTCCCATCAGAAAGTTCCCTGACTTGCCACGGTTTCTCTCCTTCTCACCTGAGAGGACCTAGAGCCAGTCCTCCCTCCAACCAAATCCCCCTCCCCTCCCGCCCCCGGCCCGGCTACGGAGTCCTGATGAGGGCGGAAGGCCGGGCCGCCCGGCAGGATTGGCCGCGACTAACCCGCGCCCGTCGGCCCTCACCACGGTCTAACCTCCGCCCCTGCCCGCGGATCCCGTGGGCTGCCGAGTTCCTCCCCACCTCCATCCACCAGCCAAAGTGTCAAGCGGGGTGCGCCGCGGCTCCCTGGGCCGCCCAGAGCGTCTTGGCACGCTCGAGGCGCCCGTCTCGCTCCGGCCCGCGCGCTTTCGGAAGTGGCCGCGGCGGGACACAGCGCGGGACACAGCGCGGACCTGCGGCACTTGCCCGGCCGGCGGCCGCTGAGGCGCTCGGGGACGCAGGGGCAGGGCGCAAGGCCTGGGGCGCTGACCAGTCCCCGGGGATGACATCGCGACAACGCGCACGCACGGCCCTGCCCGGCCGCGGCGCCTCCCCGACCTAGGCCGGAGCTGTCCCGGGTGCGGGCCCTGGGGACCGGCCGCGGGCGTCCCCGGCTTCCTCTGAACTCCGCAGACCCTCCCCTTCCTTTCCGAAGCGCGGCGACTCCCGGCAAACTTTCTTTTGGGAGACCCGCCCGGTGCCAAGCGGACCCAAGAGACTGACAGGAGCCGGAGGGGGCAGCAGAGGGGGATCCACCCCGTGCGCCTTTGCCCCCCAATCGGAGGCAGGCCGATCCCGTGGCCGGGCTCAGGTGGCGCCGCGGCGGTGGCCCAGAAGGCCCTGGCAGGGCCCCCGCGCCGAGCCCCGGGCAGTACGTGCGTTCGGGCAGGCGCGCCCACCCCTCCCCCTGCGCGCCCTCCTCCCCGCCCCCCGGAGCCGCCAGCCCACCCGGCCCCGGCGGGGCGCCCGGGCTCACCTTTCATCGCTGCGATCACAAAATACATCATTTAAGCCGCGGTGCGGAGAGCGCAGGGAGAGCGGATGGTCCGACCCCGGAGCCCCCTCTGCCGCCGCCGCGCCGCCGCCGCCCGAGCCACAGCAGCAGCTGCCGCAGCTGCCCGCCCGCCGAGAGCCATCCCGAGCCATAAGAGGCTCCATGTGACCGGCTGACATCACGGCCGCCGCTCTGTTTACACCGCGCCCCTCCGCTTCCTCCCGGGGCGGGAGGCGGGAGGCGGGAGGCGGGAGGCAGGCGCGCCCCAGCGCCGCGCCCCGCCCCGCCCCCGCGGGCAGGTGAGTAGCAGCGGCGGCTCTGCTGGCCCACCCCGGCCGGGCCTGCCCTCCCGCGCCCCGGGCCCTCGCCCGGGCGCCCGCCTTCCCCTCGCCTTCGGGATCACCTGTGGCCGCCGGTCGCTTTTCTGCACGCAGCGCCCCGCGGAACGCGCCTCTGACCACTTTCTGCCCCCACTCGGTGGGGCAAGAGGCTCGCAACCCGACGCCACTCTCCCGCTGGCTTGCCGGAGCACTCGGGGGCGATAAATGCGCCAGCTCGTTGGTGGAAAAGACAGGTTTGGTCTGGGGAGCTACGGTCACCCGCATTTCCTAGAGTGCCCCAGCTCTAATCGGAAGGTACGGCCCACTTCTGGGCCGTGGAGAACGAAGCCACTGGGACCGTCCGGGGAGTGGAGTAAGCTCCTCCGAAGTCTTTCTGGAGAGACTCGGCCTGGGCGGGGGAACTCCGCCCACCCAACCCTTGGCAACCCTTGGATATTGGCAGTTATACCAATAACCAAGGTCCTGGTCTACACCTGTCCCCCCCAACCCCCTTCCCCGCGTCCAAGACCACTGATACCTGCAAGGAAAGCCGGAAATTGTATGTGAATCACCTAAATGAACTCCAGTTGCCAGCTGATTTGAGCCGCTAAATTCCCAGGCTCTTCCATATCTCTCCAGAGAACCCATCTACAAGTAGGAAAAGCTATCGTTTTCATACCCTAAAAATGAAACACTGTGGTAATTCTGACAGAAAATAAAGACCTCTGAAGGTGAACTTTGTACATTTTAACATGCGACTAAGACTTAATTCCCTCTAAACTTTGAAGCTTAATTCTTCTTACTGTCCTTACGGAACTGTAAATCATGACGTTATTATTTTACAGGTCAATCTCTTTACAATGAATTTCAGATGCTACATACCCAGAGTCTGCATTGTTTAAAACTTTGGTCAGGGTGTCTATAGTACCGAGCATAACAGAAAAAAATTCTGAAAAGCCAAGTTTGCGTACCTATTGCGGTTCCTTCACGAAATTTCATTCTGCTTGCTTTTCTGTTGGTCTGTTGCCACGCACAACTTAAAATATCAGATGGCTATTAGCTGTTGCATTCATGATGATTAAGCAAGGATAATTCTAGCATATTTTTTTCTCCATGTAAGTGAGTTGCTCTTGCCCCTGAGTTGGGCCACAATTTAAAACACAAGCAAATAATCAGCACCGTAGAAAACAAGGATTCATACACTCCCTCCCCAGCCCCCTTTCAAGGCAAAATTGAGTCTTCCAAACATTTATACAGCGCTCTGATTTAGAAGGTCAATAAAGTTCGTTGTCCTTCAGTCAAGCCATGGCTTTATAAAAGTTTGATTTCAGATAAATTCATTCTAATACAGCTTTTTTTCTTAAAGATTTTTCCCCCAAAAAAAACTACAAAGAAAAGAAATTATAAAAATGTGAACCCAAGACCTACCCATGTTAACTCAGCTGTCCAGCCATAGCAAAGTGGACAAGAGTTTCAAATGAATCAGCCATACCCACTGTAATGTTTACAATTATGAAATTAAATCACACCACGTTCCTATGATGCAACTATATCTCCCAATGAGGCAACGCCCCTCAGTTACACTGACACCATCATTCACATTTGGTTATTGATTTCCCTTGTGCTAACGACTAATGCCAAGCTATCCTATAAGCAGGTCCCAGGTACAATTTTCTTTCTTTTGTATCGTTAAAGGATGGAAAACCATCGGAGACTGCATCCTCGGAAGTATGTTCTTCCCTACTCAATGCAAGTGAACCCAGATATACAACTCGGATGATTCACAATGCTACTTTAAAACAGTATCCTGCTTTAGAAAACAATGTTTTCAAAAGAACCAAATCTATTAGCTCTAGCGTGCCTTGTGAGACATCTGACTCCAAGGTGAATAATCTGACATCACTAGTAATCAGTATTTATTTCCAGATCATTTCAAATGAAATCAGTCATTGGGAACAACATGTAACATGACATCTGCTCCTGCAGTTATAAGTAGAATCATTCATTCTATAGATATGTCCCCAATAGAAATATAATCTCAAGTACTTATCTGAAATATTTACACATTTATTCAACAAAGACATTTCCAGAATAATGTAATACTGACCTTGCCCTTTGGAGATGTACTTCATTCACTTCCTACAACTAATGAGCAACAGAATTTCAGATATGAAGTCCTAACCTTCCAATGTAGCTAGATGCTATTTGTAATACATGCCTCTATTAAATGTCTTCAGCTTTTAACCCAGGTTATATTACTGTTCTTTATATTAACACAAAGCTCTTTGAGAGTAAAAACTATAGGCTGTTTTTTTTTTTTAACCACTCAAAATGCACATTTTCTATGACATTATAAGGCCCCAACCAAACAAATCAGTCAGGAGTAAAAGGGAACATCTCCCATATTGAAGGGACATCTCCCTTCAATAATACCAAATTGGAGCCATAAATGATACATTTTAGCACAAACTTTTACCCACTGTATATTAAAATACAATCATGTAAAAGCCGGGCATGGTGGCTCATGCCTGTAATCCCAGCACTTTGAGAGGTCAAGGCGGGTGGATCACTTGAGGTCAGGAGTTCAAGACCAACCTGGGCAACATGGTGAAACCCCATCTCTACAAAAATACAAAAATTAGCCAGGCGTGGTGGTGCTTGCCTGTAATCCCAGCTACTACTCGCGAGGCTGAGGCATAAGAATTACTTGAACCCAGGAAGTTGAGGTTGCAGTGAGCTGAGATCACACCACTGCACTCCAGCCTGGGCGACAGAGCAATAATCTGTCTCAAGGAAAAAAAAAAATACAATCAAGTAGAAATACAATAAAATATTAAAATGCAATAAATATGTAGGAATAATCGTTTGGATTTTATTAAATAAATGCTTATGAGTACCGACTGAGGGAGAACACAGTGCTAAGGAACATATTCTTTCTTTTTCTTTTTACCAAGTGTTCTGAAAAAAAAAAAAAAGTAAAGTAATATTGCTTACATGAAGATAATTAAACAGAATGGGACTTCTTTACCAGGAATGGGAGTTTGTTATATATTAATTTGCAGCTCAAAGGTTTCTGTTGACTAATCTCAGAAAAAGAAGGCACACAACATACTTATAAACACATGTAACTCATCTCAGAGTCTCCCAGGATGGTCACAGCCCCACGTGGTGTTCCTGTGTGCTGGGTTCCACACTGAGTCTGCCACACAGTAAGAAAGTAGAGAGACACTTCTAATGCCAAGTTGTTCCCAAAAACACCTAGGGGAAAAGATGGGTGCATTTTTGCAGGAGTCTAGACGGTAGTATCACTAGTAAATTGGTGCCAGTCTTCCTATGTTACAGTTTAAATAAATGATACTTGACTTTATGAGCGTATATTTTGTTTTTCACCACACAAGTTCTGATCTCATAATTTGCCACCCCAAATCACAGATATAATGCTATTGGGGAGAATGACAAACCAGTGGACTGGCAAACTTATCCCGAATCTGCAAGTGGCTCCTAGGACAAAGGTGATTTCAAAGTTTGCTGATGCATGTGAGGCACAGCATTTTGGTTTTGTCTCACCCAGGCCCTGCGTCTCTCTCTCCAGTGTGCGTCTGCTTGCTAATTCAATTAATTTTGTTATAGCTGAACAAGAAAGGGATCAGTGAAAGGTTAATGTGGTCCTAGGCAGCTTGATTCAATGGAATCCTTAGCCACCACTGCACTGTGACCTTTAGGAGTTGAGCCATTCTGGTTGACATAGAGCCAGGGGACCAAGTTTCCTATAAACACAATAGGGTCAGACCCAGAGAGTTCTAAAGCAAGGATACTTGGGAAGCTATGGACACATCACAAACTAACCTAGAAGAGATCACAGCCTTGCTTAAATATGAGTCCAGAAGGAGCCAGTTTCTCATAAAGGAACACTTACAAATGGAGTAACACTGGTGAGACCCAGAAGCCAACAGTAAGACAAGGAACTCTGCTGTTTATGAGTATAAAGGGGGACGGGACAAGTGGATTAATGTGGTTTATCTGCCTTATTCATGATTTTAAAATGAATATAGATGTAGATTGAAATATGCATGTATGTATACATATGCATAGTTCATGAAATATCGTGAAATAGACTACATTTGGGTGGCAAGAGACACCTACACTTTTACACACTCACACCCACCCACACACACATACACATATTTCTCATAATCAGCCACACTTACTGAGTAGGTATTATGCTGACACTGTGATGGATAATCAAACAAGAATAAGACAGTAGCCCTGATTTTGAGAAGGTCACAAATCAGCTGACCTGTGCTCTGAAAACTGTAGAGTTCCGTGAGTCGGTCCAAACATTCCTAAAGGTGTAACATGTCTGGTTGCCCATTGAAAAGATGTTTGCGCAGCACTGTGCCACTCACTAACAGTTGATAGATGACTGCAAATCATTAGTGTGGCTATTAGTGTAATGGGATGTTGGAGGTGAAAGATTTGACTAAATGGAGACAATGGTGCAGGGCTTCTGGGATTTCTGGAACCATATATTTCATACACCTATTAGGAAATTCAGAGGACTGGCTTATGTTTTGTAATCACCACAATAAGGAAAAGGGTAAAGTTCACAGGCATACAGAGCTGAGCAACCTCCACAGAATAGGTGGGTGGCAGGTGCCTCACTACACACACACCAGTCAAGGCAGGAAGGGGAGAAATGCAAACCAAGGCCAAGAGGGACCTCCATTCCTTTATGTCCCCATGCTGTGTCCTCACCCCATTCCTATACCTGGCAGTGGTACAGGAGATACACACACACACACACACACACACACACACACACACAACATATATATATATATATATATATACACATATATATATATATATACACATATATATATATATATATATACATACATATATATACATATATATATATATATGTAAGCAAACACAAGAAATACAAGTGAACTCAGAATCTGGAATCCTGGGTCCAGGATAGTTTCACACTTGTCATTAGCTTTCTACATCACATCGGGCAAGCCATTTTACCTTTCAGGACACCAGGCCCCTCAACTGTAGCCTGATGGAGTAGGAACTGACTGCAACGGGCCCCTACCACTCGAACATCCTGTGACTGCTTTCAGAATCATTCCCCATCCACTTTTCGGGAACACTTTCTTCCCTTTCTCTATGCTGTGCCGTATCTGCTTACTTCTCCAAGAAGCCTTCTTTGTTTGCTTGAACTCCATGGTATGGTGGAATGGGCTTTGGCATTAGATGAAGTTGGGCTCAAAACCAACCTACATCCCACTCACTAGCTGTATGAGCTTGAGCAAACCTTTGTTTCACCATACGTCAAATAAGGAGAGTAGAGCCTTGTAGGGCCACTAGGAGGATTAAACAGTATACAGAAAGGAAAAAGTGATATCTCTCAGTAGAGCTTACAAGTGGAACTGCCATCACCACCCCATCAGCCCTTACATTGTTACACACACAGCACCTGTGCCTGACATAAAATGTTAACCCTTAATCAAAATTTGTTGAAATGTTTCTCCGCATGCACTTTTGCTGAGCGTTCTACAATTTTGAAACTCGTGTGTGTGTGTCATGTATATAAAACAAGTATAGTTGACCCTTGAACAACACAGATTTGACATGTGTAGGTTCACTTATGTGAGAATTTTCTTCCGCTTCTGCCACCCCTGAGACAGTAAGACTAACCCTTTTTTCCTCCTCAGCCTACTCACTGTGAAGACAATAAGGATGAAGACCTTTATGACAATCCACTTCCACTTAATGAATAGTAAGCATAATTTCTCTTCCTTATGATTTTCTTCATAACATTTTATTTTTTCTACGTTACTTTATTGTAAGAATACAATATATAATACATATAACATACAAAATATATGTTAATTGATTGCCTATTTTATTGGCAAGGCTTCTAGTCAACAGTAGGCTATTAGTAGTTAAGTTATGGGGGATTCAAAAGTTATATGCAGATTTTTTACTACAAGGGGGTCAGCACTTTTAAACCCTACATTGTTCAGGGATCAACTGTATTTATTAAGCACCTGCTAAGTATTGAGGACACAAAGATGGATAAGAATTAAATTGTCCATTGGCCTAAGAGGCCCTGTGGTCTAGCAGGCTTTTTATGTCTTATTTCCTATAGGAGAGAAAGTTCTCATCCAATGAGCAATGACTAAACACCTTCTGTGTGCATTACACTGTGCTAGTATGTCGAGAGGAAAGGACAAAAATCAAGGTATCAGTCTATCCTCCAAGGAGCTTGCAATCTAGTAGGAAAATAAACGCAATGCTTATAATGTAAGGCAGAATGTGTGGCACATACTCGAAGTGTTCCAGAAATAAAGTGCCATGTAAGTCAAGAATAAGAGTGGTTACTATGTGCGGGGTTCATCTGAAACTTTAAGAGAAGGAGGACTTCATGAAGGATATTTGAGCTAGACCTTGAAGGCCAAATCACATCTTGGTGGATAGAAGTAAAAATGAAGAGCCTCTTAGAAGGACGATAGAACACAGTTGTAAAAGTACAGGCTGGGTGCTGTGGCTCACGCCTGTAATCCCAGCACTTTGGGAGGCCAAGGTGGGCAGATCACCTGAGGTCAGGAGATTGAGACCAGCCTGGCCAACATGGCGAAACCCCATCTCTACTAAAAATACAAAAATTAGCCAGCTGTGGTGGCAGGTGCCTGTAATCTCAGCTACTTGGGAGGCTGAGGCAGGAGAATCACTTGAATCCGGGAGGCGGAGGCTGCAGTGAGCTGAGATCGTGTCACTGCACTCCAGCCTGGGCGACAGAGCAAGACTCTGTCTTAAAAAAGTAAAGAAAATAAAAGAACACAGTTGTAAAAGTACGAGACAGAAAATGCATTTCTCACTCAAGGAAACTAATAACGAGCATTTACCAGAGATAAAATACACACAGATAAGAAGGGGAGAAAGCCCAGAATGTAGGTTGTAGCTATTTCTTCTGCCTTCCCTCACAGTGCCCAGGACAGAGCTCTGCAAACTATACACTTTCAGAGAATGATTTTTGAAAAAATAATTGGAGGTAGAAGAAGGGAATTGTGCTTCAGAAAATAAATCTCTTTGCAGCTTGCCTATTTCATAGTCTTATTGTAAGGATTAATCGTTGGTTTGATAGTCATAAAGTTAAATTACACTTAATAAAACACATAGAGCAAAAGAGTTCCACATCACAGCACACCAAGGAAGAATAAAACTGGAAATGGATGTTATTTCATCAGAGTGAAAAGCTAAGCAGAGCATTTTAGGATGAACAAGATAAATGGAATGTTATTTGATTTTGTATCTCATCCATTTCAGTTCTGAAAATTATCTGAGACAGTTCTATTAATATAGATGCTTCATATATAGGCCATATTTTATTTTTTAAAGAACTATCTTAAAAATATATTTTCAAATAATGGAGAAAAGATAAGCGGTTACAGATGGTTTTCCCTATTTTTGTCATGCATGATCAAGGACTGCAGAGTAACGTGGGCTTCATTGGGAAATCCAAATCTCGCAGCTAGGAGCGTTCCAGGAGCAAATGCTGGCATTATTTTGCTTTCACAGGGAAAATATGTTCCTGTTCAGTCAAGCAAAGTAATCAATTATTCTGCATTATGAAATACTCATTTTATAACTATTGACATTTCAGACAGTTGTGCCACATGTCAATAGTGGTTTTGATGCTCACATTTAAGCTCCAGCTTATAGGATGGGATTCATCTGGGCTGACAGTGTCTGACCAGAAGTCTATTCTCTGCTCTCAGAAGTCCATCTATTATTTATGTCCAGTCCTACACTGTGGAAGTCTGTTGTGAGCGCTAAAACAAGAATAGATTTGGGTATTTTTTGTTTTAATAAAAAGGTTAAAATTTTCTCAATATGTTAGATCCACATTTTAAAAAATCACTCTTCTCTTAAAATCTCTTCCTACATTTTGTAAGATGGAGGTAGATTAAATTAGGCATTCCAGTCAGAAGTTCCAAAATTCCTGTTAGATTTTTAGTATCTAGTAAAGCCTTGTGTCCTCAAAAATAATTTTGTGAAATCAAAATGGGTTTCCAATCATTATATAATACTGTTACTGTTGCTGCTACTACCTCTCCTACTGGTTAACTATTCCTTGGAACTTCCTGTGTGGCAAGCATTGATTTTATGCTCTTTTTAAAAATCATTTCATTTATGGAAAAACATTCTGTACTTTTATTACATTCATTTTACAGATGAGGAAACTGGGGCACAGAGAAATTAAGTGACTTGTCCAGGAGGACAGGGCCAATAACCGGTGGAACCATAAGAAAAAAATCCAGGTACACTGATTCTAGCATGTGCACTCCTAAACATTATGCTGCAACTCTCAAAAATTGAATTAATTTTTCCTTCAATTCAGCATTACTTAGTATTTCAAAAATAGCAAGCTGACTTCTCCAGAAATCAAGAAGTACTACCCTCATAACATCTAGGCATGTGTGCAAGAAATTCTTTTATCACTGGCTTCTATAATTGAGCAAGGTTAGCATGTGTCATTATGAATTATTGCACAATGTAGTAAATTATTTAATTACTACTAATGAGGAAACATACTGTACATGGTTGTAATTATTCTGTTGGAAAACAATGTTGCCATTTGTACATTTAAGAAACACTTGCTACATACCAAATTAACTCTTGAGGGAAGTTTATTTTGTATTTCGGAATAATCAAACAACTCTAAATGTTGTTAATGGATGTTAGATAGGATTACAAGGAAACTAAAAAATACACAAATCAAAGCTGACGTTCCTAAAAGACTCCAAACCAAAAACATCTGTTAAAAAGGTAAAAAAATAATGATTTCATAGTTCATGATATTCTACAGAAAAAGCACAAGATATATTTACTGTTTTTACTTTTCCAAATTGTTTCACTGCTGCTCTTTTCACAGTTTTTGCAACATATATAATATAGCAGTTTGTTCACCTACTTTAATCACCCAACAAATGGCTTTGATAGCTTAATAATCTTAAGCAGAGCCATTTATTTTCAATGTACTTTGAGTAAACTGTTATCTACGTTTATTAAGTGACTGTAGTTATGCATAGTCTTGTTATTTATAAAAGAACACAGTACATACATAGCCCTGGGATGTTTTGACAACACATCTTAAGTAAAATATTAGTAAAATAATTTTCAAAATATAATAAAAGTGAGAAAGAGTGACTTGTTTGTGTTAGCTACAGTATACATTATTGAGAAACTACTGATATGCATTATTGAATTTGTTGTAAAGCCTTAAGTACGTAATAGTCTTGGAAAGCCCAACTCGCCCATTATTTCAAAGGTTAGGTACATGTTATATGGTGAAACTGACTTTCATAGACCAGAATGTAACGGTGATTTGATTTACAACATCTTTGCTCCTTGAAATATAACAGAGGTAATGTAGCAAAGCCATTATAAACAGGGAAGAATAAAAAAGGGAAATATCAGAGTTCAAGACACTCAAAGAGGGCATTTGGTAAGTCTCTCTGCTTCCAAGGACACGAACAGTTAACTGTCTGTTTCTGACAGTTGCCTATCATTAAATAATCATATTCAAGCAAGATAAGTGATATTATCATATTTGCTCTGTTGTCTTGTTTGTTATATTATCCCAAGGTCAGCTGCCATTAAACTGGGTAATCCAAATCAAACAAAAGTTTTGTCCTCTTATGAATAATGCATATATTGGAATCATATTATGATTTGCAGATTTCAGCACTTGTCAAAAAACTAGTAAGAAACTGTTTCCTGTCACCATGTTAGATTTAGGCGTAACAAAACAAGAGAAAAGAAAACATGTTTTATATGTTCAGAGAGATCGCTGCTCAGTTTGCAGTATAACATAAATTACTACATAGTGGTTATTTTACACTAACAGTATTTTATCAACTAGAACTACTGTAAAACATATAGAGTGCTCTCTATTTTAATGGTATTTTCTGATGTCACCGTGTCAAACTAGAAGAATTGCACTTTGATTCGTCTTTCAGATCTCAGCTTTTTAATCTTATTAAAATATAATTTACATGTTGGAAAACTCACCCTTTTTAGGATACAGTTCTTTGAGTTGTGACTAAGGCATTTAATTGTTTAACCACAATTAAATTAAAAGACACAGAACAGTTCTATTCCCCTCTCCCCCAATATTCCTCTGTGCCCCTTTATAGCCAACCCTCCACCCCAAATCCTGGCAACCAGAGATGTTTTGTGTCCCTACAGCTTTGCCTTTAAAGAATATTATTTCAGTGGAATAGTATATTATGCAGCCTGTTGACTGGTTTCTTCTACTTAGCATAAAGCATTTGAGATTCATCCCGTGTTGTTGAGTACAATAATTTGCTCTGTTTTATTGTTGAGTAATATTCCATTCCACAGTTTGTTTATTCATTCCTCAATTGAAGGACAGTTGGGTTGTTTCCATTTTATGGCAATCAAAAATAAAGCTGGTATAAATATTCATGGTACAGGCTGTGGTGTGAACCTAAATTTACATTTATATTGGTAAATACCTAGGAATGGGACTGTTAGATCATATGGGATGGATATATACATTTAATTATAAGAAATGCTTGATGGTTTCCAGAGTAGCTGTGCCATTTTGCATTCCTATCAGCAATGTATGAGAGTTCCAGTTGCTCCATATCCTCTCCAGCACATGGTGTTGTTGAATATTTATCCATTCATTGCTGATTTTAGTTCTTCAAAGTAGTTAAGTTCTATAAAGTTCCCAGGAACACTGAATTTTAAAAGACAAAATTATTCGTCCTAGAGGAAATAGAGGGTTAAGTTTCTGTGAGTCTGTGCTCATAACTTTTTTGTCAACTGATCAATACCTAACTTTGTTTTATGTGTGTTTCTGTTTAAAGACATCTTATTTAGTATGTATTGTTGATTCAATAACATTGCACTGGCAGCCAACAGCAGTATAACTCATGGCTAGAGACAGCTTATGTAACACATTGTATTTTCTCCATTAAGACATATCACAATCTTCTCGCGCTTGAACACTAGACAGCACTTCAGCAAGCACTGTGCTTGGGGATCATTTTAAACAGTGAGACTTATCAACAAAAAGCACAAACAGGGCGGGGCATGGTGGCTCACGCCTGTAATCCCAGCACTTTGGGAGGCTGAGGTGGGTGGATCACCTGAGGTCGGGAGTTTGAGACCAGCCCGGCCAACATGGTGAAACCCCGTCTCTACTGAAAATACAAAAGAAATTAGCCGGGCATGGTGGTGCGTGCCTGTAATCTACGCAGGAGGCTGAGGCAGGAGAATCGCTTGACCCTGGGAGGCGTAGGTTGCAGAGAGCCGAGATCGCACCACTGCACTCCAGCCTGGGTGACAGAGCGAGACTCTGTCTCAAAAAAAAAAAAAAAAAAAAAAGCACGAACATTAGAAAAATATGGCATTGAATAGACTTTAAAAAGGACACCTGTTTATAATATGACAGCTGAAACAAGAGGGCAGAACATCACCTCAATGGACCTCAGTGGGGAACCTGTTCTAGGACGCTGTGTGCACATACTTGTCTGCCAATGACCGCATACCCAGTGTTGATTTTGGGGTTATAAATAAATTTTAGTGAGTATGCAAATTTGTAAACACAAAATCCTCCAGTAATGCGAATGGACTGACCTTGTTTATCTGCTTTTTTTGCCATTCTATGGTCTAAGTTTAAATGTCACTGCCCTATAGACATCTTGTTCTTCTCTTTTTGTAAACCTGATTCGTCACTCTCTTTTCAAATCATTTATTATCTTTTCTGCCTTCTTCTTTAGACTCTCCACACTAGAGTCAGGAAACATACCTGTCTTACTCGCCATTGTATTCCTTATATCATTAAGGCTTACCATAGTGCCTGGCATACATAGATGTTGAGTAAATATTTGTTGAATCAGTGAATACTTCTTTGAAAGTAGCATGTATGGAAGAAAAAGCACTGGAATTGGAGTTGGAAAATCTGGTTTTCCATTCTAGTTCCAACAGTGGCTTTGTGATTGGTGACAAGTTACTTATATTCTTTGAGCTTCAATTTCCTCTCCTGTACAACTGAAAAACTAACACCTATCTTTAGAGATGTTTTTAAGATCTTAAAAGTCAGGCAATAAACATGAAACCCATTAGTATCTGGCACACTGTTGATACCCAATAATCACTGGATTGGAGTGGTTTATGACCTACCACTAGACATTTATAACTGTATGAGCAATATAAAATATACTAACAAACAGTGTGAACAGGGAGTTTATTTGGACATACAGATAGTGCTAACTCTCCATGTATTTGGCATTATATACTCAGAGCTCCCAAATAATTAAGATAATTTTTCACTTTAGAAGTGGATCTTTTGTTATTCTGTCAACCTAGCTATGTTCTTCAGAGTCAAAGGTTCTACACACGATATACTATGTACATGTCACCATGAAAACTGATAATTTGTCTACTCCATTTCAAAAAAAAAAATTCCTGAATGTTTAAAAGCAATTCTTCGTAATGTAGTTAGAGTTTGTACTCTCTGGAAACAAGATTTTTTTTTCTTTCAAACACTCCTAGACAAACAAGGACATTTAGTTAAGAAGCTTATTATGATTCTGTCTGAAATGCTTTCTTACCAAAACCTATTGTATCCCTTAGGATTTCAAGGCAATAAAAACCAATAATTTTAATAAAATTATGTCAATCTTCCCGCATACAACTAAGGCTAACAACATAATCTAAATGTTAAACTATAGTGGAAAAGAAACTACGTAAACAATGCATAAGGTTACTTCACTCAAAATTTATACAGATGGTTTTCTTACAAAATTACGATGATCAGATATGATTAATGATACGATTTAAGATTATTGGTCTTTAATAGAGGCAAAACATGATGACTCACTGACAAAGCAAGCTAATAGCAGGGAGGGAGAGAAGGTAAGTTTGTATATTTGATTACAAAGCAAAACAGATAAGTAAAACCACAGAGTAAATAATGATTATATTATATGAAACTTTCATTGTTTCCTAACTTACATTTATATTAACTTTTCTGGAGATGACGTTTTTTAAACATATAAATCGTCATTAGGAACCTGACAACAGTTCTAAATCAAACCTAGGGTTTAAAACATCATTTGCCGACAGACATCCTCCAAGTGTTTTCCGCAGAGGCACATCACTTCTGATTATTCCCAGGCTATTTTAAATGATCTTGGACAGGGCTACTGAATGACTTGTCAGCGAACAGGAAAACATTATGACACCACTTCTCCAGATTTCTTCCCAGAACACGAAATATTTGGGATCGTTCTAATTGAATCAAGGCTAGCTTGAAAAAACAAGTTAAGCTTCACTTTAAAGCTTTCAGTTTTAACTGGAGGAATGCTTCTAACATATGGCAGCTGGGCTCTGACTCACAGCAACCTTCAAATTCTGGCCAAAATGTCTGTTTCCTGAGATTGTGTCTGATATGCCTGTGTATCCCTGGTGGGGCCCAGCAAGCATTCAGTAAATGCTATTGTTGGAACGAATGAATGAATTAAAGGGCTCCTAATTAGGAGCTACAAATTCTTCCAGCAACAAAATAATCCCATAGGAAAGCTGCAATGTACTTGGAATTGGTATCTACGAAGAGTTCTATTTTCAGCTCCTTTACAAATTATTTTTATCATTTATGCTCAACTTGGTCTTTCTTGTTGTTGTTTTTTTTAAACCAAGATGTGAAAAGCACAGAAGCATTTTCTAGAACATGAAAGACCAGTATACTTTGTAGAAAGTTTCATTTGTATGTAGCTTGTGTGTGATAATTATTTTTAAATCTCAGTTAATCATCATATATTTTCTCGGAGCAGACTTTGGGTGAGGCACTACGTGAAATGTTTGAAAAAGATAGTTAAAAGGAAAAAGTCCTATTCTTGACTATGCACCAAAAATTGTAACTAACACTAGTAGAAGGTAAGCAGTTTCCAGTAAGGCAAGTGGTTATCTAAAGAAATACTAAATTAGAACTGCTATCTCAGAAGTATAAACAATTGCTATAATACTTTTCAATCAGACATCTCTCACATGAAAGCCTTGTGAAATAAATGGAAGACAGAAGCCGAAAAAACAGAAAAGAAAAAAGAAAAGAAAGAAACAAAGATCAGCAGAGATACCACTAAAACTCCAAGAACCAAAAGTTTGTATATGTGCTTTAAAAAGCATCCCTTTGATATTTACTCCGAGGCTTTTTTCTCTTATGTAAGACATAATTCTGACAACCTTGATGTCTGAACTTCCAGTATACCGGAGATATTTTGGAAGCACAACAGAGACTTGTGCTCATAGGCGCAAAGAGAGACAATAAATATTGAAGGAAGAGATTTAAAAAATGATAAAAAGTTAGACCTAAGAACTCAAAAAGTATGGCAGCATGGAGCCATTTAGCATAGGGGCAAAGAGCCAACCACACCTGCCGAGTTTCTGAGTGCATCCTGTATTACAGCATACTGTACACACCATAATAATTAATGGTTATAATGACTTTGAATCACTAAGGACGTATTAACCCATGAACTCTAAGAAGACAGGGACTTACATAATATATTTTGAAAGCTCCCCTTCCCCCTATAAAGTGATTTAGTTTAGGCACTTATAGAAATACGCTGCAGAAAATTAATTTTTTATGATGTACCTCATTTTCTGATACTGCCTTGAATGTGACATGGTATACATACCTAAAATAATAACCCTAACTATTTAAGACCTTACACTCAAGGACTTAGGTGTTCTTGTTTCAGTAAGCTGTGTTCTGAAGCATACTGGAAAAATAAAGCGTGTTCCATAGGAAGCTACCTGCATTATACACAGGCATTTTATTTAACTCTAATATTAGCCAAATATCAATAAAGTAAAAACTCTTCAAACACAACCCTTTCCCCCTATTTAAAGCTAGAATGTTTTTGTAAATATTTACTGGAGTGATGAGTGTTCAGGGCTCAAGTTTATTTATACATCATTCTGTGAAGGTATTTGTTGCAATTGCTATTTATATAATAATGTTTAACCTGCCAGAATTCTGGAGAAAGAAAGATTAGCAGTTAAAGCAAGTTCAATGGGAAAAAAAGAAGAAAGCCATAGACACAACTTGGCGTTGTTTCCATTCAGTGCAGGTGAAGTGACAGGTTTCTAAAAGTATGCTTTATCCATGCACACACATGATACCGATACCTTTTTCTTGGCTGCAACGATTCTTTTTCAAAACTGCTAGCCTGTTTCCAAGGCAGCTGCAAAACGTCCGTGAAAACTAGTTAATTTGTAAGAGGCATGGAAACTGCTGCCTCTCCACCTGCCAGGCTAGATCCACATCGTACAGACTCTACAATGGCAGGAGCTGAGGGTCCTGAGATAAATTTTCTCGGCTCCTGCATAGACGGAGGAAAGGGAAGTGATTGCTGAGAATGTCCTAGACATGGACGCGGAGCTCAGATGCTTTTGGGTGTTCTGTCTCTTTCACTCCACATATTGTCCTGGATGCAGAATAATACTTTTTGTATTAAAGTCACCGTGGCCACCTCCAAATTGCTTTTACATTTTATTGTTATTATCATTATGTTGTTGTTAATGAGAATGCAGCTGAAAGGCTAAGTTTGACACTTAAAAACGACCAAAAATCCAGCAGGCAGGAATCATCCCCACTCACAGATAGGGTAAGTGAAGCTCAAAGAGGCCTCTGGTTCAGCAGATCACACCGCTGATGGTAGAGCTGGGACTTGAACGGGGGTTTCTGACTCCCACTCTAGTGCTCACTACATGTTGCAAGATGCTAAGTATTGAAAACTGATTTCCTGTTCCTGAAGAGTTTATATTTTGAGAAACACAGGTTGGCAAGTGTAAGGAAAGTTTTCCATGGTAGGACTTTGAAAAGGAAACAGGAGGCTGTTTTTTATTTCTTCTTCAGAAGATTTTTTGTCACCACTTCTATCTTTCTTTCTGTTCATACACTTTTTATATTATCTAATCATTCCTGCCACGAGAGATAATTTACATGGCTCTTCAACAACATGTCACCAATAAATCACCAAACACATTTTAATAAATCAGGCCTTATAACAATCTACAGTAAACCGGATCATATGATGTTGAGCATATACCAAGCCTGGTCATCTGATGGGGGTTTTACAGTCTCTGGTCCTTTCTGTGTGACCGAGAAACACACACAGTTTACAAAGGGCCCCCGTGTCTATCATGACATTGGCCTTAGAAGTTAAGAATATACTTGCAGTTATGTCTCTTCATTTTTATGGCCCTGTATTTCATTAATTTCATTAAGTCTTCCTTGTACATTTTAATATTTCATCCATTCACATGGTCAGGAGGTCTAGGCAGGCTGATTCATATTTGCTTACCAATAGCAGAAAGGAAGGGTTCCTATGATTAAGTCTAAAACTGACCTCCTTTCCACATTTAAGGGATTATCATTTGGCATCTCTGCTCCACAGACCTTTGCTCTTAACACCATTTGCTTGGTATGAAATACTGAATTCATTTAGAAAAGAACCATGATTAGGTACTAGGGCTTTTGAATTAAAACGTGAAATACTTAATTAGGCAAAATAACATGGAACATTAATGGCAGGGATTTTAGAGGAAACAAAAATGTGGCAGCCTTAGGGTTAAATGACTTTTAAAAGTCTCAGGTATAGGGAATGACAGACCCAGAAATAAAACCCTCAACATCTCATACCTGCTCAATGTTCTGATCATTTGTCACACTCTAGGAAGAGACAATAAATATATATCTGTGGAAAGTCCATAAGATGGAAATGAGGTGGCCTACCTTTCATCATTTGCAATGATCACAGACAAAGCCATTTATAAAAATACCTGCCATAACAGAAGCCGCCGCATCTCAACCCAAAATGGGAAGACACAGAAGAGGTTGATAAAAATGAAATCATGATACACGAATCCTCATCCTATCACCAAAGTGGTTGCCCAAAGAGGGGTCTCCACGGTTGCCTGATGAAAAGCACAAATCATGGACTACCCACTGGGAAAGTGGGGACAGAGAAGTGAGGGAATGGCCTCTTCTTCAGAAGGCTGAATGGCTGGACTCTGTCGAATGAATAGATAACACCATTGCAGAACAGACAGTGGAGATGAAAGTAGGAGCCAATGAAAACAGAAGCAGGGAGGAAAACCATCAAAGGCGTGAAAAAATAACAAAAGTCCAGGGACTGATGTGATCAGCACCCACATGCTAAAATTGCAGCTCGAGAGAGCCGTTTGAAGCTGCTAAAGAGATTTAATACAATCTGGAATGAACAGAAATTGCCATCAAATAGAACAGAAGGGCCACCAAGAGACCTTAAGGAAGGGCAACCTAATGGAATGTGAGCCCTGCAAAGAGCTCACGTGGCAATGTCCTTTTGAACATCTCAATCATTCTAAAGTGTCGTGTAAGTCACACACACACACACACACACACACTACACACACACAGTCCAGGGTCTGTGGGGAATTTTGATGGGAGGTGCTCATCAAAAGTCTTAAATAATGCAAGGCAATGGCAATCCATCCGATCTTCCACTCTGAGGACCAGGAGCAAAGAACAGACGCAGGTTTCATCAAAGCAGCCTCTCATCTTTCTAGCACATCTGCAATGTCCATCTCACCAGGGGTGACCTTCTGAGTGAACTTTGGGAGAGACGTGCTCTTTGGTTTTGTCTGGGTTGCAGTTTAATTCAGCAGGAAGCGGGCTGTGGCTGGGAACCACAGCACAAAGAAAATCACGGTAAGGAGGTGAAAAATGCGGGACTGATCGACAATAAGTGAGATGAAATAAATGACTGGTAGTTTTTTATGAGACCAGCAGAAGAAAAATATATAGGTATATATGATAGGTGATCACTTTTAAGGCTTGTTCCCCATTGCTGTTACTAAGTAGGCAGTGATAGAAACAGCACAATTGAGCAATAACACTGAGATCAGAGAGAGAGAGAGAGAAGGAAAAAAAACCCCAAAAACCAAAAGGATCAGAGAGGCTCTTTAGGACTGTGTCCAATCCAGGGCGACCATCCAAATACAAACTTTGAATTTCATTCAAGTGCCATGTGGATAAATTGCATTGTGGAGATAAAATATAGAGACTTTAGAAAATGATTCTGTTTTCATGCAGATCATTGTCGATAACTCCTCAGGACTGAGAGTGTTTTGGTTTGTGCAAGGTAGAAAAATCAGAAGATAATAAAAAGTTCGTAGTAGATAAAGCTAAGAAGTCATGTCACCTAAAGTGTATGGGCCAGTGGTCTTTCCTAATTTCAAACAAAGGGAGAAAGAACGTATTCTAAGTAGGGACAAGTTAAAGGGAATTTGCATTTGGAGGTAAATAAAATTTCTATTGCCGCTCAATTATCTTCACTCTGCCAGGCTGGGTATTATTACATAGACAGTGGGGAATGGAAAATTCTTTCCTCTTGAATGGGTTCAATCTCTCAGACCTCAGAAGATCTCCAAGGGAATCTCCATAGCAGGAGTGGCTAGACCCTTGTTTCAATATCTTCTGTCTCTAACCCTTGGTTGTTCATTTCATATCCTACCATGTTTCCAGCACTGAATCAGCCCCAGAATAGGACATGAGTAGAATGAAAAAGGGATTCGATTTGCCATAGCTTTAACCTTCCTCAAAGTCTTCTGTGTTTATGTACTACGAGTTTTCTAGTGATATGAAAATGCATCTTTTTAATAATTCTATTCTGCATTTTCTTTGTCTTGGTAGAAAGCAAAATCAACATGTATCTTTACCTCAAACAATCTTGAGTTTTGCAAAAAAAAAAAAAAAAAAAAAAAAAAAAAAGGTGGAGTCTTCTTTGCACGAGGAGTCTAGAGAACTCTTAGCACCTAGTAGGTGCTCAATAAATACCAGCCAATAGGCAGGGCTCCTTTCCTCTGACAGCTGGCCATAGACACAAGCTGCTTTGGGAAACCTGATGGAGAGACCCGCCTTTCTGGCAGAGCCATCCTCACTCTTTCATCACTGCACTCAAAGATATTACTGATGTTGGTCCTCTGGTTTTGCTGCTTTTTTCCTCTGACTGGACTAACTGAGTCTACTCTGCTCACTAGCTGCCACTTCAGAATCCTGTCACGCAGCGGAAGGCCAAAGGACATTTTCCCCTAAGTCCTTTTAACTTCCTGGCATTCCGTTTTTCAACCCCACATTAAAGGTGCTGATGTTTCATCCTAGTCCTACCAGCCAATGGGTGGCCTCAAGTTAGACTAGGCAGGGCTTCTATCGGCTCTTTCCCTGTTGGGCACAGGGAGAAGGAACCCAGAGAAATGTTTCCTCAAGCTCATTTTCTAATTTTTCCTTGGATGCTATCACTGAAGTTCTGAGATCATGTATTAAGAAACAGACACATTGGAAACTAACATACAACAGATGTCAACCTAGGGCCAGGACTGGCCAGCAAGACTGATTTTTTGCAAGTTCTCAAAAATAATTTTTTTCTTTTTGCTTGCCTTTTTTCCCCTGTGCCCTTGTCCAATGCCCAGTCATCTTATAATCCATTAAAGCTGGTATACCAATTCTGTTTCCTTCCCAAGACAAGACCTGCCAACTTGAAAAATAAAAATGAACCTCCCCTCTTTTTGGCATGTTCCTCCAAGCCTCAACTAACCCCGGGCAGAAACTAGTGGATGTATGCCCAGTTGAAGCCTGAGGTTAGAGTCATAATTTTTACCTCCTTTAGCGAACAATTCCCTGGTATGTTCCTGAATTGTCATTCTTAGTATATTGCTAGACCAGGCATTAGCAAACCCAGCAGACTGGCATTCTCTGCAGTTTGGTAGAACAAGCCTGCTGTCATACGGAAGCTGAAATCCGAGACACCTCTGTACCTAGAAGAATCTCTCTCTCTCTCTCTCTGTTTTTTTTTTTTTTTTTTTTTTTTCTCTCTCTCTGTTTTACTCTGTCCCCAGGGGTAAAGTATTTTCTGCAAACATGAAATTAGTTTATATTTTAAGGGCTTTGGATTTACTAATTTTGACTAAGTTAAAAAGGGCAGAGCAGTCTCCTAGTACTCTCCTGAGTGACTCAATCTGTGATTCTTGGGAAGGGTTTAATGGACATATTTTATTTTCGTTCAGGGTGACCTCACTGATCATTGTGCAAAATGCCTTTTCTTTTTTTTCCTCCTTAAAACAAAATAACTGCAATTTTCTAGGCATTTCCTAGAGAAGGAAACTGTATTTTTTTTTTTACTTATCTTTAAGGCCACTGTTCAGGAATTTTTTTTTTTAATTCTATTTAAAGTGTAGGTGAAGGTGATTATATCTTTCCAAAGTCAGTAAAACAAATGTGTTGCATAAGTCATTTCAATTCAATTAAGAGAAACAGGTCAGATGCTAAAATATTAGTAAAATCAATTATGAGTAATAGGTCTCCTGTATAACATGTATCACTACAACCGCCTCTCTCATAATATTTGAATAAATTTACATTTGTTTCGTATCTCTGTGTGCCTGTAATATACAGGGGCGTCACTTGACCATAAAACCTTCTCTATTTCCTTCTCTTTGTTACATTTTCTCTGGTGTGCCTTGGAAATGACATGTAGACTAACCCTTTAGAGTGAAGGTTTTTCTAAGGAGAGAAAGCCCGGTGACAAATTAAAAAGAGCTCTGGAGTCAGATCCAGCTTTGAATCTTGTCCTGTCGCTTGTCAGTTGGGCAGGGAACTTCATCCTTGGGAGCCTTGATTTCCTCACCTGTGAGGGTAATAGTACCTTTCCACGGGGTTGTTCTACGATTCAAATACAACAACTTGCTGTAACATGCCCACCAGATTGCCAGGCACGTCTGGCATTCATTAAATGAATGTCTCTTTGTGAACTCTTTTGAAAATCCTAAAAATTACTAATATATAAGAGAAAATAATAATCACAAAATCTCAATTTGATATCTGTGTGTGTGTGTGTGTGTGTGTGTGTGTGTGTGTGTGTGTGTGTTAGGATTACAGCCACAAAGTCACCTGAAAAAAAAAAAAGGTGTCAAAGGGAAAGACTTTCTTCTTACTATTTGGTAAAAGGGCACCCTCAAAATCTCAGGTAGACAGTTCATGGGAAGGCCTTATGGGACAATAAATTTCTGCTGCAACCTCAGTAGCCTTTCTTTCAGACAAACAACTGATATCTCATATGGGGAAATTATGTGAAAAAAAAAAGAATACAACATTGAGTCTATGCCATAATTGGAAAAACATGAAAATGACATACATATATGATAAAAAATGAAAAAGGAAAACTGGAAATTTTTTGGTAGGTTAGTAAAAAAATGGTCATTTTTTTTCCTTTGTAAAATCCTTTATTCTTACAGGACTTTTGAACATTTAAGTGAAAAATAGAGAATTGTGTGATTAGAAATTCATCCTTTTAGGCTGACAGGCTACAATGCCTGTCGGTTGAAAAAGATAATATCTCAGGAAGTTAAGTACAGTTTGGCTTAATGGAGTACTTTCCTCCTAATCGCACAGAGGAAATGCAAGCATTGGCATTGACTGCTGGGGAGGAGGAAGGAAGGACAATTTTGGAGCATGGGCCATCAGCTGAGGGGAGCAGACCTGGAGATAGTAGACCCTAAATCGAAATAAAAAAATTGGAGCAGCAAGGCAAATCAGTACAAATGCAACCTCTGGAAGGTTCTAGTTGTGTAGGAAAGAGCATTAAGGTTGATTCTTTTGGAGTGTTTCTGTGTATTTTTGAGGAAAAGAGGCATTCATAGGGCGCATTGATGAGAAAGTCCCAAGAAAAGCATTCAAGGGTTTGGAATGCAGTTCACGGACAATCTGGCTTATAAAGACATGGCTTCTGTGTCGGTTCTATGACCCTTTGTGGGGAGGGGGCAGCATGGCACAGGAGAAAGAACAAGGTCTTCAGGGCTTGACAGAATAAGGTTCAAGCCCATCTCTGCCACCCACTAGCCATGTGTGCTGGGCAAATGGCTTAATATCTAAAACTCAGTTTTCTCAAGAAATAGGATACTTAATATTTATAGTAATCATAAGGTTTAAATGAGATTATACACACGCACATGCAGACAGACACTGACATGCTTACATACATATAGCTGCCTGGAGCATAGTAAGCTCTCAAATAACGCACCTTTTCTCAATGCAGGGAGCAGAAAAGAGAAGAACTCCCTTAAATTAATAAAGTTCTTGGCTGTGGCTCCATCCCAGTTTATGTGCTCAAGTTGAGACCAGAACAGCCTGCTCAGGGAGCTACAGGTTGAAGAGCTGTCAGGGAAAACAGAACAGCGTCAACCCACACACAGCCCCCTTTCTGCTTCCTAGAACCTGGTGGTGGATCAGCTGCCACTATCCACAGCCACCCAAGTCCTAATGCTCTCTCGTGTTTCCTCATCTTAGTGCTAGTGCACTTGGCAGAGCTGATGGCTCTGATTCCTGTATTTTGAATCCTGTAATAGCCCATGCTGACCACACTTGGGGTCAGGGGATATAGATAAAGGGGCACTGGGTGGCTTCTCTTCTCCACGGAGCCTTGAGATCGAGTGCTTCTAAGTCCTGAAGGTTTGCCTATCTTATCTGGGAAACCAGTAATAGGAAAGAATAACACCCCAGCCGGTATCTCTAACCCTCACCT
Organism: Homo sapiens; assembly: GCF_000001405.40. Lineage (NCBI taxonomy): Eukaryota > Metazoa > Chordata > Mammalia > Primates > Hominidae > Homo > Homo sapiens. The sequence continues at coordinate 60,615,395 of NC_000015.10, forward strand.
TGCAACAAGTGTAAAATGAGAAGGGGAGGGAAGATTCGCCCCAAAGTCTCACGAGATGGGGCCTCCAAGGACTTATCAGGAGCTTGCTAAGCAGGTAACTCTGTACCGGGGGCTCCAGCAGCAGCCGGGGAGGAGAAGGCTGATAATGGGATTTGCGTTTACCCAGCAAAACCAACAGGGAGCAATCTTCAGTGGGTGGAGGAAGAATGTGAGCTCACGATAGCCCAGGTCCGGGGAAGCTGCTCCCTGCCAGCCTAGCTCATAAGGAAGTTGTTTATGTTTTCTGTTTGCCAAAAAACCTTTGTGCGCTGCTGAAACCTGTTTATCCTGAACTCCTAACAATCAACGCATGGCAACCAGTTCTTCAGATGACAAGTCCTTTTGTTAATGAGCAAGGAATGACTGACGAGGCCCTGCTGCCTGAAACCCCTTAGCTGCATGGAGTTCTGTGGATGGAGGTTGAGAGGGCTGCTTCGAAAATAACTCTGCTTTCTCACTCTCCATTCACCCATGTGCCCCAGCTCTTGACATGTGAGCAACCTATAAGCATGATTGTTATGAGCATGTCTCATTTGGGGGGTGCTGAATTTAGTTCCTCTAAAAAGTGCCATTGCTCCAGGAGAAGCAAATGCACCTCTATTGGACTCTTATAAAACTCAATGTGAAGAGCATTATAAAATACCTCAAATTTTGTCCACATATATACACTCACATGCATAAAACACTTTATGTCCTGTTTAATGTATGCATGCACAAACTTAGGCACACATATGTATTTGTGGTTTGGGGATCAACCGAGAGCAAGGTAAATTAGGGAACATGTGAATTGGCAGTGTTAAGCAATTTGATAAAAGTGTTGATCAAATCCCATAAGGGTGTGTGTGCTCAGGGTGGTGCTATGACGCGTCTTCAGTGTGTGTGAGACTAATGCCAGCGCATGCGTCTGCCCTCTCATCTCTCACCTTGTTGTCTGTTAAAATCTCATCTCCCACACCTGCCAGGCAACCTCCCAGTTGCACGAGGGCTGTCATTGGTTGGTGAGGATTGAGAAATTTTGATTTGTTTGTTGTTTTACTGGTATCTGTTGTGAACCAAAAGTTAGAAAATATTCCTTGAGTCCTTGTGAAGGCTCAGAAAGAAACAAGAGCCGGGAAGAGCAGCAGAGGGGTGTTTGGGGGAAGTTGTGAAGAATTCCAGGGGTCATGGGGTTTAAGAAATTCTGATCTTGGAACAGAAACAGACCCCAAACATGTCAGAACTGCATTTCAGGAAAAGAGCTTAGGAAAGAAAGTTTCTCAGGTACAAATGAACTGATTTTCCCTGAGTAATCTTGTGCGTTGCACAAATAAGAATGATCATACCTGCGTTCTGTGGTTGAGGTACATCCAGGTTCAGCTCGACTAGCTGCAAGGTTTGCTGAGTCAGGGGAAAGGCTGTAGGAAACCCCCTGGTCCTCAAAACCCCCCTTGTTCTCAGACCAGCCTCACGTCTACCTCTATAAGTAACAGGTTGAGTTCTCAGAGAAAATACATTGAAGAAGACTTGATGTACATGCTTTTACTATGATGGGCAAGATTCATATAAAAGACAATGCATTTGGGGGAAGACTTGCACAATATAGAATTGCTTCTGAAATCAATCAAACAAAAAAGCCCACAACAACACAATCGCCCCAAGCTTTCTCTCCTTTCTGTCCTAGCACAACTTATCAGAGGCAGGGGTGATATGATGATATGTATTCTTTACTAGTGAGTACAGTAGGACAGGGAGTGTATCTGTCTGGCTCAGTGTTATAGTCACAGAACCCATCACAGTGCCTGGTATACAGTAGGTGCCATTTTATTGCTCATATTTGTTGAATCAATCAATCACTCATACAAGGGAGAGCACCCAGCCCCAGTCTTCATTAAGTGCTTGTCCACTAATTGAGGCAAAGAAATCATACCTGGTCCATTGAAATTTGGGGGCCCTATTTTTACCACAGAAACACAGGAGCAAAGGGTGAACTCTGTACTGAGTTTTGAAGGCAGCAAGGTCTGAGGAAGCAACTGCGCAAAAGGCAGAACGTGACAGTGAGAATTCCTCTTGGAGAACATCCTATCCATAGACTCCCCCGGAGGGACTGCCTGCAGAACTGTCATTGGCCAATTTCAATGCGTGTTACAGATTCATAGCACAGTGGATGATGAGCTATATTAATCAGGAAGGAAGGAAGAAAGAGTAAAGAAAAAATACACACACACACGCACATACACACATACAGACAGAGAGAGAGAGAGAGAGAGAGAGAGAGAGAGAAAGAGGGAGAGAGAGAGAAACCTAAAACTGTGAGCTTCTTCTCAGCCTGGTCTTCATTAAGAACTTCAAACCTGGCGATGGGCAGATTTGCCCTGTGGTGGGAAGGAGGCCTCAGTTCATCCAGTTCTTGATAACAGTTGCTAAGCCCAAGTTTGGGCAGGACTGTTCCAGAGGCTGGGCCTGGCTATGTCAGGGTGTTGCTGTGGGTATGGGGGAAAAATAGAGAGGCAGCTAGGGATAAGAGGTGCTCAAGAAGTCTGCTGTACTCTTGGCAAGCCAAACTCTGGTTCTTAAAACTAAGAAGTCATAGAGAAGTGAATGGGGCTTGTAACCGAGGGCAATTTTTAATTATCAGTTAGGAATAGACTACTACAGGCCACAGATAAGGTGTTAAACAGATGTTCTTTTAATAGTTATCCATATCTTTCTTTTCTTGGCCAGTAACACTTAGCTTGGCTGGTTTTCTTCTCCTGTGTTGCTGGAGGTGGGGCAGAGGTGACTGGGGACTCTAAGAATCTGACAGTAACACCATCCTCAGAAACAGTGATGGAGTAATGCTTGGGTACCAGCATTCAAGACTCAATCAACTTTGGCCAAGGCCAAGGGCAACCTCTGCTACATTGCTCTCTGCTCTGACCCCTGCCTACCCACACAGCCCCTACAGATACATGTAGCAGGTGGTGACACAGATCCCATACACGCACATCTTGAAGCCCGTCCTTTGTGTTCAGTATTGCACCCCAGGCACCTGGCACACAGCAGTGCCCCAAAAATGTGTCAAATGTTGGATGACTGGATTAAAATATTAGGAGGCAGGATACCTACTTTATGTTATAGTTGCCCCTACCAAATTTCAACTCACTATAAAATATGTGAACACAACTTAAAAAAAAAGTATTTATTCTCCAGGAGCTTTATAAGAGGCAGGATACATAGGTAACATGTTCTTTATACTTTGATGACAAAAAGAAAAATGAATGTATTTTCTCATTTCAGGATAGGAGAAAGTCATCCTTCTTTTGAGTTTTACCTCTTAAAGATAATCCCCTTCTCACTCTCCAAATGTCACTTTCCAACATTTCTATGTTATGGGAATAGGTGATTTCTTTGTAACTTTTCCTGCCTTGCCATTTCTCCAAATCTTGCTAATCTGCTGGGTTTGAAGCTCATGCATTTGTTTTTCCCATCTGCCTTAACACCTCCTTGCTGACACATGCCCAAAGGTGCTCAGCATAAAAAGGGAGTGGTCTTCACAAACATAAACTAGGTGTTCCCTGTTCAAATGCAAACTTGACAGGTATTCTCACAGGGAATACTGGCACCTTTCCCTCAACAGCTGTACAAAAGGTTAAAACTTGTTCCTGGCAAACACAGTTACACTAATGCATCCTACATGGATTGTCCCTTCTTGTGCTTCACTAAGCTCTAATTGCAATCATGTTGGACATCAACTGCTTACTGTAATGTTTCATAATGTAAAGTGCACTCCAGGATTCAGTGGTGCTTTCTTCGAGTTAAAGCATGATCGTGGTAACGAAATGACTACAAAAATTGACACACATTCTTCAATGGATCATCTTTCTTTGGAGACAAAGACAAGTTGTGACTCCTCCTATTATTGAGGATTGAATTTAGTTTTATGCACTGTCAGCAGCCACCTCAGCTGCATTTGAACAATTTGGGGACAAACTATCTTGGGGCTACAAATATGGCAACCCATAGTCACAGATGATGTATCATGATGATGCCTTTTACGTCAGTTCATAATCATCAGGGCTGAGGAAATTTTGTTTTGCTTTGTTTCCTAAAATCTTTTAAAATTTTATTGCATAAGAATATCATAACATATAAGTCAACTGAGAAATTTAGTAGTAATCCTGTAACACTAAACACATTAGCTGCTTCCCTCCTTCCCCTCATCTCATAGCATTGAAATCTGTCTGCATACAAGCGGGAGTTCTGCCTACAAGTTGGTCCCCACATTTTCTGTATTGCCACTTTATCATAATGAGTCATAATGTATTATCACACAAGGATCATCCATCTTGACCACTTCACTGTGGCTCAGGAGCTGTGAGGTCCACCAAACCACTCAAGATTTCAGGGCTTTATGCTTTTAAGATCCAGAACCACAGGCATTGTTTGAGGCACTTTCTGCAGAAGGTGTACCGCATCTTTGCCTGCTTTTGCAGGCCTCAATGGACAGACAGCCGTAGTTCACTAGGCTGATTCTCTCTGTTCATTTATTCAGGTTTCCAAGAGCTCCATCCACCTTCTCTGACGTCTTCCCCAGTCATTCCTGCCCCTAAGATTCTTCCTGTCCCTTCAACTCCTGAAGGTCCCACGGTCAGCATCTCTCACTATCTCCTTTTGTAGCTAAAGTATAGATGCTTCGTTACCCTAACCAAACTCTGTTGCTTTAGAGTGAGGAATCTACTTTAGACTTCTTTGGAGTCCCAGGATATCTGGTGCACAGTAAGTATTAATGCATATTTACAGATGGATCTGAATAATATTTTTGAGATAACCATCAAATGGAAAGTAAGTGAAAATAACATAGAAAATGTGAAAGGGAAAAAGACCTCATGGTATTAGCTCAAATAAGGACAGGGACCACATCTCATCCCTTAAGTGACTTAATCTCTCTGTGCTTCAGTTTCCACATCCAAAAAATTGAAATCATAATAGAACCTACTTCATAGGCCGTCATGAGGATCAAATGAGTTCTTATGTGTTAAGTGGTTAGAACAGTGTCTGGCATGCAGCAAATGGTACGTATTTTTAAATGAAAATAAAAATTAAGTAACATGGTAATGTCCAAATCTAGGGTAGTACCTGCCACAGAGTAGCTGCTCAATAAAGGCTGAACTCAATTACTGTCTGTTTTGTGACACTTGCACCAGCATGGACCTGGGAGGGAGCAGCAGCTGGGACCAAGGGGCTGGCTGGTGACAGTATCTTCCAGGAGAAGTGTTTGGGAAAGCAGTAAGCTCCACACTCCAGTTCAAAGGCTCTGGAAGTTACCAGGTTCTGCCACAAACTCGTTTGGCTGGAGTGCTCCCAGGTCTGGGATGTGTGGCTTTTCGGGTTAGTCCAAGGCACAGTTGCCGGGCACCCTGGCGCTGATGGCTGCTGGGGAGAGGGGGACAGCCCGGAGCTCCGCCTCCCACTAGCAGCTCAGAGCCGGCACGGAAAGTTACTGCATGTGAACGTGGCAGGAATGATGGAAAGCCCAGGGCTGCCAAGTGCTGCAATCCCGGGCTGCGTTTCTTATGCTCACAGGCACCAGCTCTTCAGGGAGTCTAGTCTATACACGCTTCCTGCGCATAACTGTATTCTTTCAGCAGTTACTATGCTTTGGCGTAGAGGGAGGAGACAAAAGTTTGAGGGAGTGGCAGTGAGGCATGAGCCAAGATCCCATACACAATGTCTTCCTTGCCCTAAGATGTTCCTAAGAAGAACTTATAATTTCACCCACTGTATTGTGTATCTCTGAACTTTCATCGAATATATATATATATATTTTTTAAGAAAATACCTCTTTATCAAGTTCAGCCCACCAGAGGCTTCCATTTGTCTATTTGCCCATCCATTTTTTAACAAACATCTCCTAAGCATCAATTATCTGTCAGCTACCCAACTAGGCCCTGGAAACCCAGAGAAGCTCATAGTCCACTGCGGAGCCAGAGAGTAAATTGTTGCTATATAACATGAAGGGCTATAACCGGGGCACACACAGAGAGCTACCTGGCAGAGAATTATTTCTGCCAGGTGGGGACAGCAGCCTGCACAGGCTTGCAGGGGTGCCTTGTTAGAGCTGGGCTTTGAAGAATGACTCCAGTGGGGAGGTCACCAGGTGAACAAGTGGCCTAATTAGGCTATGATGTACATTTATCATCTTTGTCCCACACCTGCTTTTTAAGCGAGGCTTTAAAAATACAAAAACAGATTGTGGGTTGGGGAACAGTATTGTATCAATGTTACATTCCCTGATTATGATCATTGTACTGTGGTCATGGAAGAGAAAGACTATGTTCCTAGGAAATCTACACTGAAAAAGAGTAAAGGGTGGGGGCCGGGCGCAGTAACTCACACCTGTAATCCCAGCACTTTGGGAGGGCGAGGCAAGCAGATCACCTGAGGTCAGGAGTTCGAGACCAGCCTGGCCAATACGGTGAAAACTCATCTCTACTAAAAATACAAAAATTAGCCGGGCGTGGTGGCAGGCACCTGTAATCCCAGCTACTCAGGAGGCTGAGGCAGGAGAATTGCTTGAATCCGGGAGGCGGAGGTCGTGGTGAGCCAAGGTTGCACCGTTGCACTCCAGCCTGGGCAACAGGAGTGAAACTGTGACTCAAAAAAAAGGAAAGCGGAATGTTCCCTCCATGTAGTACCCATAGTATGTGTATACTCCCTCTATAATAGTATATATAACAGTATTTATACATGGGGATGAGAATGATAAGCAAGTAGAGCACAAGGTTAATAATTAGTGAATCTGGATAAAGGGTGGGTGGGAGTTAGTTATGCTACACTTGCAACTTTTCTATAAGTTTGAAATTATACTAACACAAAATGTTAACAAAAATGTATAAAATACAAAAGATACTAAATCAGCTTCTAAAATACCAAGATGCAGGCTGGGCGTGATGGCTAACACCTGTAATCCCAGCACTTTGGGAGGCTGAGGTGGGCAGATTGCTTGAGCTCGGGAATTTGAGACCAGCCTGGGGAACATGTGAAACCCCGTCTTTACTAAAAATACAAAAATTAGCTGGGCATGGTGATGTGTGCCTGTAGTCCCAGCTACTCAGGAGGCTGAGATAGGAGAACCACCTGAGCCTGGGAGGTGGAGGTTGCAGTGAGGCGGAGGTTTCAGGGAGACAAGACTGCATCACTGCACTCCAGCCTGGGTGATGAGCCAGACCCGGTCTCAAACAAACAGAAAGAAATACAATACCAAGATACCAATGCCTTTTATTACCATCATTCTGAAAAGGATCAGCAATTTTAAAACATAATTTTAAAACAATTATTTTTTGAGGTGCAGTCTCGCTGTGTCACCCAGGCTGGGGTGCAGTGGCAAAATCTTGGCTCACGGCCACCTCCACCTCCTGGGCTCAGGTGATTCTTCCATCTCAGCCACCTGAGTAGCTGGGAGTACAGGCATGCACCACCACACCTGGCTAATTTTTGTATTTTTAGTAGAGATGGGGTTTCACCATATTGGCCAGGCTGGTCTCGAACTCCTGACCTCAGGTGATCCACCCGCCTCAGTCTCCCAAAGTGCTGGGATTACAGGCATGAGCCACTATGCCCGGCCATGTCATAATCTTTGATTGCAAGGTTGCAGCTACCCAGTGAGACCCTGGAAACCCTGAGGAATGCCGTGTCTTCCCTGTGTCTTGCCTCACTTATTCACTCCCTTCTTTTTTTCCCTGAAACCTTGAAATTTACAGTGTAAAAGAGCCAGGATAGCAGTGAAGCCCACCACAGGTGTGCTCTGCAAAGTCCCTGAAAGAGGAGGGCCCAAAAGATGTTGCTTGCCTCTCTGCAGTGTAGGGACCCCCAGGAATCTGGAGAGGGGTCAGTCTAAAATATTTAAAATTCTTTAGTAATGCCCAGGAGGGGGCAGTCAGCTTAGCAAGGATTTGGGATCTATCAGCAACTACAATTCTATTGCACTTGCTTATGATACATTTTTAAAAGCAGAAAGCAAAAATTAAAAATAATAACAGCAGCAGCTAATATTTACCCAGGGCTGATATACCCTAGGCACTTGTCTAACTACTTAACATGGACATCTCATTGATTCCCCCATGAAAGCACCATGAGGTAGGTACTGCTAATGTTCCCATTTAACAGACAAGGGAACTAAGGCCCAGCTAGTCAATGGTGGAATTGGATATAAGCACAAGTGGCCTGGCTCCAGAGCCAGGCTGTTGCCCATAACATTATGTTGCTGTGGGCTCTGGTTACCGCTTTATGTGAATATGGACAAAGGATACAGAGGGGGATGAAAGCAGTATGATTAGTTGGGGTGGCAGGACCCCAGTAAGTTTACTTTTATTTTGATGTTCAGTGTTATTTAGGTATTAAATAATTTTTTAAAATCAAAACTATTGGTTGATCATTTTTGACCCAGGAGACGCAGTTTGAGATATGTGTGCCTAACATAGAATCTTTATCACTAAATAAGTTATAGCTTCTCTGTGACTTGTTTTCTGTATCTGAAATATGAGATGATAGTTGCCAACATTTTCCCACTAAAATTCTTGCTCGAAGGTTGGAATTCTGTGTATGGTATGTGGAGGACATGGAGCAGGTGGAGAGTAGGGGGTGGGAAAGGGTGGGGAGGCCTATGGTGGGGTGACTGCAGAAATACTCTATAGGACAATTACTCACTGGTGGAATCAAACATTATGCATGAGGCCAGGCTGTGCTTTCTATTTATAAGGTATTGTTCAACATTGGAAAGAAACATCAGATCTGAATTAGGGTTTTTATTTTTTCCACCTTTCCTTCCTTCTTTTTTTCTCTACATCCCTCTCTTCTTCCCTTCCTGTCTTCCTTCTTTCTTTTCCTGGACCACTGGAAGCAATGTTTGGTCATAGTTATATATTTTATCTGATAGAAGAGACTAGCAGAGACTTAGACCATAGAGAGTCAAGAGGCCTAAAGACCTTAGCATATCTTCCTTTGAATCCAGGGACACGACCCGCTGATATAAGTTAACCTCATTACCACATGTATGGAAGAGGTCCTCTTCCATTTGCTGCATATATATATATATATATATATATATTTGCTGTATGTGTGTGTATATATATATATAGTATATATATATTTGCTGTATATATATATATTTGCTGCACATATATATTATATATACACACACACACAAACACACACAATTATTCATTGGAAATGTATCTACAAAAGGTAAATTGTTTGAGGTAAATAAAGGGACATGCTACTATGGCTACAAACTATGTTGGTTAGTTGGTATTTTCTTCCTGGTCACCTTTCAGGCAATTTGGATAGAAAGCACAGCTTTCATTTCTGTGTAACATCCATCTGTGTTCAAAGATGCTTTTGAGAGGGCCAAGGGAACAATGATTTAATGCTGTCAAGTGCTTTGAGATCTCAGACAAAGAAGCTCTGTAAATACTGAGCATTAGCAACCCCAGTATCATTCCCCTCAGTATTATCAAGGCTTTGGAAAAATTAACCAAGAAATGGGCCCTGGCATATTGAGAGCAGCAATCGTTTCTGGAAAGCTTTAAAGACCCTCTACATTGGGAAATGTAGGGCTTAGTGAAAACACTTGCCCAAGAACTACTTTTCTTCGTTTGCAAATTCAAACCACCAAAGACTAAAACCCGCTACAATGTGGAAAAGAAATAATTAGATTAAAGCTTTTCAACCAAGCTCCAATGGAGAGAGGGCAAGGGATTGTGGGTGTGCATGTACTTAAGAGACACAGACATACAGAAAGACACAGACCGGGCTTCAGAAAAACAACAACAACAACAGAAAAAAGGCTTTTGTCCATGTTTAGATTTACCACAAAAACAAATCTTTTTTTTTGTTTTGTTAAGTAAAAAACTTATTCATTATGTTTGGTGAGGTTGTAGGGCAACAGGCACTCACATACATTATTGGTGGCCACATAAACTGGCAAAGTCTCCATGAAGGACCACTTTGCAACGTCCATTAATATTACAAATGCATTTACCATTGTCCTACTATTCCGCATCTAGGAATTTATCCTGTACCTCTATTTGCATATGTACAAAATGGTTCATGTTTGAGGATATTCACTGTAGCTTTGTTTGTATTTGCAAAGCCTGAAAACAAATTAAAAATTTATTAGGGGATTAAATAACGTCTGGTGTATCATTAAAATGGAATATCATACAGTTGTTAAAAAGAACAAGGAAATTGTGTACGAAATTGCTATGGAATTATCTCTAAAGATGTGGCGTGAATTGAAAAAATCAAGATGCAGACAGTGTGTACAAACAGATATATTTGAATATGTATGTTTGAATTCATCATGCTAACATATTTATAGAATGGATTTTCGGAAGGCTGCATAAGAAATTGGTAACTGTGGCTAAGGCATAAGGCTTACACCTCTAACTTTACATCCTTTCGTACCTTTTGAATATTGTATCATGTACCTATGTGTCCTATTCAGAAAACAAAATAATGCTAATGGTGTATGAAACCACTGATTAAACAACAAAGTGAAAATATGAGCTTTGTAACATTTTCTAGGGATGGGGGTCGACAAGTTGTGTCTTCAGAGCTCCCACGTTCTTCCTTCCTCAGCAGGGACAGGCTTCTCAGCACGCTGCTGCCTCAGGGAGCCCAAAGGGACACCAGGAATGCTCAGCCTGTGTTAGCTCACGACTATTTCCCTGCCTCTAACTTCTCTAGTTCCCCACAGTTCAACCCAGGGTGGGTAGCCTGGTGTCTGTTTGAGCTCAACCTCCCCAAACCAGGAAGCCCACAAGCTGCACCAGTCACTGTCAAACAGCTAGCTGAGCATACAGGGAATTCCCCTCTTGGAACTGACAGGGAAAATGATCCCTAGGGATTAGGGCCTCCACTGGGCTGTGTCAAACATATTTCATAGTTCCTGCAACTCTGACCAGGGATCGTTTTGAAATTCGGGTTTTGTTGTTGTTGTTGTCGTTGTTGTTGTTGTTGCAAGGAACAAAGACTCACCAAACTAAAGGGTGATTCTTGCAAGAATGCACATGGAGTAATATGAGTAGCCGCGTTCTCATGGAATTTAATAAGAATTATAAAACAACAACCTCAAAAATATCATTGATGAACTACTTAGCTGCCCAGCATGGTGCTCAGTGCTTTGCGTGGATTGTCTCCTGTCAACCCCATCATAAACCCATGAGGCTGTCGCTGTTATTACCCCCATTTGATAGGACATTTGGGCTTGTAGAGGTCACTGTCACCAGAGTGGGTGGGCCGCACAGAAACAGGATCGGGAAAATCTGCTGCTCTCTTGCTGTCCCTCTCGTGGGCAGAACAGTTTCTCTGCCTTAAGGTTACTGCCTTTCCCTGGATGTTTGCCTCTCAGTTCTGATAGTAACTGACTCACTCACTCACTCACCACCATTGGGCTCATTCATAGACTTTGCTTACTTATAACAGCACCTTCTACAGAGGGATTCACGACCTTCTCCACCTCAAATCTCTGTGCTTCAGCTGCTGCCTACCTGCCTCCTCCTGTTCAGATTTCCCCAAGAGAGGACTTGAGAGATCACCCTTCTGTTGGAGGCCAGCCACTTCACTGGTCACCTCCTGACCTTTGGCTTGGGCATCCCACCTCGGGTTCCCATTTTGATTCATTCCTCTGTGGCTGAAGGGTAACAGTCCTCATGGGCTTCATCTTTTCCTTCACTCGTCAGATATTCTTGGAGAACTGACTTTAAGCCAGACATTGGGTTGTGGGTGGTGGGGGGAGGGTACACAGTGATCAGCAGAGCAAAGAACTTGCTCTCAGTGGCTCTTACCTTCTGGCTCCTTCACCTGCAGGTGTGGGTGTGGCAGACATTCTGGCCTGTCCAGTTCGAAGACAATGACCCATGATTGACCACGGCACTCTTGCCTCAGTCTCTAAGTCACTGTCTCCTGGGGCCCCCTCATTCATGCCTTTTCCTGGTTACCCATCTGCCTCCAGAAACTGGGGCTGTGCTTTGCCCCAGTGTACTATGGAGTCCAAGGTGATCAGACAGATGGCTCCAACAGCTGGGTGGAGAATGATGGGGAGGAGTATGGGGGATAATGCTCAGAGGCCCTGTGAATCTGCTGCCATGGGCAGTGGAATCCCAGCCACAAAGAATGAGGTACTTACAATTCTCCCATAATTGTTGACTAAATTCCAAAGCTGGGCTCCTCTCTTTTCTTTTCTTTCTTCCCTTTTTTCAATACCAAATAGTTTGAAAAAATTCCAGGCTTTGTCAAATGCCCTTTCCTAGGCTCAAATTAACCTTTTCCAAGCGTCTTTCACATTCTTCAAACTCTTATTAATCCCTCAAAACCCAGCTCCAGGCATTGCCCTCCTCAGTGATTTCTTCTCTAAATTTGAGATAATCATGCCTTCATATGGACTACTTTTGTACTTGGCATACATTTTTATTGTTACCCTTATCATACTGAGTTGCAAATATTTGTTTAGATGTGTGTCTCCTCTCCTGGAGTATAAGCTTATAGAGAGCAGGGAACATGTCTTAATTATTTATTTATTTTTTAATTTAAATAAACTATTTTAGGATAGTTTTAGAGCTACAGAAATTTGTAAAAATAGTACAGATAATGCCTGTATACTTTATTATCTGGTTAACGTATTGCTTTACTATGGTGTGTTTGTTACAACTAAGGAATCAACATTGGTATGTTACTGATTATTTCGCTAGTTTTTACCTGGTGTCCTCTTCCTGTTGCAGGATCCCATCCGATCTCACATTATGTTTAGCTGTCATGTCTCTTTTGCCTCCTCTGGTCTGTGACAGTTTCTCGAACTTTCCTTGTTTTTGATGATCTTGCCAGTTTTGAGGAGTACTGGTCAGCAGTGTTGTAGAATATCCCTTAATGGGTTTGTGTGATGTTTTTCTCATGGTTAGACTGGGGTTTGTTTATTTTATGTATTTATTCTTTTGGAGATGGGGTCTTGCTTTGTCACCCAGGCTGCAGCGCTGTGGCACTGTCATAAATCGCTGCTGCCTCAAACTCCTGGGCTCAAGGGATCCTCCTGCCTCAGCCTCTGAAGTAGCTAGGACCATAGGTATGTTTACTGCACCCAGCTAATTTTTACATTTTTTTAAATACAGACAGGGTCTTGCCATCTTGCCAGGCTTGGTTATTTTTAAACACCAGCACTGAATTAAATACCCAGCAGGTACCACCTAGCACAGACCAGGCATTTAATTAATGTTTATTGAACTGAATAGAATTCAAGTATTTCTTCAGCATCTTCCACATAAATAGAAGCCTGACTGATGCCCTTGGAGAGGTGAAGAAAGGAACTCAAGTCCCGTAAAGATCTTCCACACAGCTGAATAATAAAAGACGGTATGCACCCAAATGTCAAGTAAGGAGAACCCAGAGAATGACCTATTGCAGCTCAAGAGATGAATTAATCAGAATGAGCAGGTGAAGTCAGCATCTGTGTGAAAGAGGTGTCTGGAAAGGGGGTGGGTTTAGAGAGGCCCGTTTTAGTTCTCAAGCACAAGGAGCTTTTCCCTGAGCTAGGATCTGCTCACATGCTGAGCCTGAAGTCCACAGGTATTTCTACCCCTCTTCTCTCATGGCTGGCAGGCTTCTCATTCTTGAGGCCTTGGCTTAAATGTGACCTCTGCAGACCTACACTATCTAAGATAGGCTCCACCTGCCACTCTGTCTCACAGCACTCCGATTGTTTTCTTCATAGCTTTTCGATGTTTATAAGGATTGACTGTTTATTCTTTTTTTTTTTTTTTTTTGAAACAGAGTCTTGCTCTGTTGCCAGGCTGGAGTGCAGTGGTGTGATCTCGGCTCACTGCAACCTCCGCCTCCTGGGTTCAAGCGATTCTCCTGCCTCAGTCTCCCAAGTAGCTGGGATTATAGGCATGCACCACCACGCCCAGCTAATTTTTGCATTTTTAGTAGATACGAGGTTTTGCCATGTTGGCCAGGATGACTGTTTATTCTTTATTGTCTGTCTTTCTCATTAGAGTCTAAGCTCCTTGAGGGCAAGTACTGCGTTTTGTTATTCACTCTGGCAGAGCACATAGTGGTTCTCAAATTGTCTTGCTGTATCAATGAATGGGCTGATGTTAGCTGAGACTGAGAAGGCATGAGACAGTGACAAGAAGATATGTGAGGAGTTGCTGTAAGAGGCCCTGAAATGGAGCAAGAGTGAACTGGGTAGGCAGATGGGATGCTGCCAGGTCATCAGACTGATCACAATGGTGTCAGGTCATACCAAATGGGGTGGCATAATTTGGGCAAAGGCCAGCAATGTACTAGGTGTGGGCTGCACAGATGTACGGGTCATCCAGTGATTTTCCATCTTGGAAAGGCCAGCCAGCATTCACAGGACAAAGATGGGGGGATTAGGAATAACTGAGGTCAAGGGAGGGGCAAGGGCTATAGGAGCGTCTACATAAATCAACACTGAGAATGTATTCCATGAATGAAAGTAACACAAAAGCTGTTGGCAGGCAAGGGTGGAACCCAGCCTAACTTCCATGGTGTTGTCACAAGCCCAAGAAGAAAAAGGGAACTCTGGTGAATACTTCTGAATGACAAAGATAAAATGGAAGACCTATGATTTGGCTATTGGGCTATAAAAATGGACAGCCATCACATGAGGAAACCTAGAAAAATGAGATAATGAGCTTCAGGGCTCAGAATGGAAAGAACCCCATAGAAATCTTTGATCTTTTCCACCATGAGTTCTACACTGATGCAAAGGACAGAATCAGAATATACATTCCCTGATTTGGAAAGTATATATTTTCCCATCCAAGTTCATTGTGAACTGCTGACCAAAAGGGCAGTGTTTTATACAGATTCTGTCTAGAACTAGCCCAGTGGGAAAAGCCTCGGAAAGCATATGGCAAAGAAACTCAGACTCCAGAGTATGATTTAGTAACAGAAAGAGTGGTGTGTCTTGTCTTTGTATGCCCGTATAAATAATCACGATGGCTGAACTCTGCTATTTTTCATCCAACCTAAGTAACAGCTTTGAAAAAGGAAGATAACAATGACCTGTGTGTACAGCGTCCAAGGGAACCATTAGCAGTGGAGCTCCCCAGGCTCCTGGGACGACCAAGCACATGGTCCAACCAACCATCTTCTGACAAGGTAGGGGTGGGCAGTGGAAGGCAAAAAGAATGGCTGCACTTGTGTTTCTGAAGGTCAGACCAAGAAACCAAGGAGCGTGTCTTTGTTATTTCAAATCTATAGCCTTTGAAGTCCCAGCAGGTAAGTGGGTGAGTCTCATATACAGCTCAGGAACTCCTTTCTCCTCTGTACCTCCTTAGAGATATAGGGCTAAGACAGCCCAGGTGTTAGCCTGTCCAAGCCCTTCATTTGCAAAGGAGGAAACTGATGGGCAGAGGACAACACAAACTGCCCAAAGTCACACTGGTAGATGGCATTTGGGCCAGGATGAGACTTTCTTTTTTTTTTTTTTTTTGAGACGGAGTCTCGCTCTGTCACCAAGCTGGAGTACAGTGGCACAATCTCGGCTCACTGCAACCTCCTCCACCTCCTGGGTTCAAGCGATTCTCCTGCCTCAGCCTCCCGAGTAGCTGGGATTACAGGCACCCACCACCACACCCAGCTAATTTTTGTATTTTTAGTAGAGACGGGGTTTTACCATGTTGGCCAGGATGGTCTCTATCTCCTGACCTCAGGTGATCCACCCGCCTCGGCCTCCCAAAGTTTGGGATTACAGGCGTGAGCCATTGCACCCGGCCAGCAGCATGAGACTTTCTAACCCAGCTTTCTTTTCCCAATCTTAAGCAGCCCATCTGGGGCTATGTGACTGACCGCTAAAACTGCCTCTGATTCCACATTTTGATTTTTGCTCCCATAAGCACTGTTCACAGTTTTCCCCCTCATATTACTTCTGTAACAACCTTGAGGTGGTCAAGGAAAAGAAAAAACACCATCCACATTCCTAGGCATTTTAAGGAAATGCACACCAGGTATCTGACCCAGACTCCTACTTCCCTGCCAATCTCCAGCTCATATCAATTCATTTCCCTAACAGAAAATAGGTGTCAACTTTGTAGGTGGAAAGTAATTTCCCTGCAAATATTACCGGAGAGGTTGCTGACACTACTTGACAGTTTTATTATTACTTTTGTTTTGCAGTAAGGTGGGGGAACTCTACCTTTGCCAGGTAGAATACTGAAAAAAAAAATGTAGAGCTTTTAACTTTGTATTAGTTTTAACATCGGAGGGGAAAACAAGAAACAAAGAATATGTGTGCTGTCCGCATGCCCAGTACGGCTAAGGGCAACCTCACAGGCTCCTGGCTTACCTCACTTCTCACCCGCGAACTTTCAGATCCTGGAGCTTCAGTGTGGGTTAGAGGGAATTACTCCGCAGCATCTGAAAAGCCAGCTCACAGGTGGGCCGCTGGGGCGATTTGGCAGGGCCTGCTTGTAAACACTGGCTATCAACTCCTTTACAAGGTAAGCCAACCAGGGGCAAGTTAACTCGCTTTACTCTTCTCCGGGTTTAATAGAAGGTGGGTATACTTTTATAAGAACCCAATAATCTAAATATTTCACACGTAGACAAGAAAACTAGAAAGCCCCAAGAGAACCGAAAGAGTATTTTATTAATAACTATTTATGTGTAGTAGCTACTTAAATTCATGTTTCACTACCTATTTTTTTTTTTTTTAGACGGAGTCTCACTCTGTTGTCCAGGCTGGAGTGCAGTGGCGCATCCTGGCTCACTGCAAGCTCCACCTCCCGGATTCACGCCATTCTCCTGCCTCAGCCTCCCAAGTAGCTGGGACTACAGGAACCTGCCACTACACCCAGGTAATTTTTTTCTATTTTTAGTAGAGACGGGGGTTTCACCGTGTTAGCCAGGATGGTCTCGATCTCCTGACCTCGTGATCTGCCCGCCTCGGCCTCCCAAAGTGCTGGGATTACATGCATGAGCCACTGCGCCCGGCCTCACTACCTATGTATTTTCTAAAGGGTCAGATAGACTTAGGTGTAGGTTGGCCCGAGAAAATGCAGGGTTCCCAGTTAAATTTGAATTTCAAATACACAATGAATAATTTTTTAGTATATTCCAAATAATGATAGGGCATACTTTTATTCATTGTTCATCGACACTGAGTCCATTAACCAGCTGGTTTATTTATTTATTATTATTTTTCCCCTTGCTTCATTCTTTTCTGACCTTCTGTGGCTTAATTTTAGGACTCCTATTAGAGGGTGGAGGGAGAAATACAACTCACACGCATCGGGTGTCCTACTTATCATTAGCTGAGGCACAAGTTTTGGGAGGGGAGGGATTTGCTACTTTGAGCTAAAAATGGTGATTATCTGCATTCTCTCTATTACCATATGGACAGAATTAGCCATAGACTGATATTTTCCAGAGACTGGATTTTGCAGGCCAGTAAAATCCAAAAAGAAAAGAAAAGAAAAGGAAATTGGGAAATTGTGAGAAGATCAATATACTGTTGCCAAGTTTAAATTTGATCAAAAAAGGGTGTTTAAAAAAACCCCACAGCTACCATCTTCAATTACCATTAATTCATAAAAGAAAGCAACATTTCAATACCCCAAAAGTAGGAAGGACACTCTCTTCTTTATTTCTTAAATAAAGTTGGCAGCTTTACAATGGATTGCCCTCATTTTTGTGGAAACTTCATCACAATCTGGTGCTGGCTCTGAGATCTGAGAATATGCAGACCAGGTCATGCCACAGCAGCACCTATAAAGTGACAGCAGCAATGCTGCACTTTTCACAGGTTTGTGTTGGTAGCAGATAACCACAGAGCACCTTGCAGTAAAGGAAGGAGAAGGTGAACGTGTGCCAGTTCGAATTCTGATGATCTTAAATTAATATTTAATTTAAGCATTTTATTTCTGAGATGTATATTATTTGTGTGGAAGCATAGTGTGATTTTTCTCAAACCACAAAGCATTTCTTTAACTTATAATATATAGAAAACGTTTTTCCAAACTTCCTTTGGAGCACAGCTCAATCTCTGAACTTTTCTTCCCTATCTCTATAAAATGAATGCTTCAGGAACTGGATAATGTGACGCTGAACTTAAATAGCCCCCTTCCTAAGAGAGTTCAGAGGTCTTTGAAAATACAGGTAATTGAGCCTCCTGGTTCCTGAGAGCTGGCAGAATGTGTGACCTCAGCTGAGAAGAGTTGGGTATTTGCCAAAAGGCAGGTGTAGTTGGTAGCAGTGCTCAGAGACCAAGTCCCCAAGTTCAGATTTTCTATCCCTCTTCCCATTGTATACAAGGGAAAACTATGGTGTGAAAGTGGATGATTGCCTGAAATTGCTGAGTAATTAAAAGGAACCATGATGAAAATAAACTGCCCAGCCCAAATATCATATGTAGTTTCTTTTATCTTCCTCCAACCTGAGAAATGTATATAAAGGTATTTTTACCAGGGAAATCCTTCTTTAAATAGGGTTGAAACTCAATTTCATATGCTGCAGAGAGATGCAAGGTATTATGTACCAATGATCCCTAAATATTCTTTTCTTCTTCACATGGCTGTGAAGTTACAAACTGAGTATCCTTTTCAACGGCTTGTTGAAGCAAAGAATTAAATATACATGTACAGACTAAAATATATGTTAGTATATTCTTTAGAAATATGAAGAATACCCCCAGCTTTTCACAGTGATAATCTCTGGGTGGGGTCTTTTTAATATTATGTTTTTCTGTAATGATGGAGTTTTAAAATAATTGTAATTGTCTATTACTTTTAGAATACGTAAAAAAGATACACAGCATGCACATTCTCATTAAAAATCACTTCAACCTGGACTTTTGGGATGTCCTTTAAAGTCACCTAGTACTTGCACTTTCCCACAGTCCTCTGTCCAGCCTCTCTCAGTGACCTGAGACATTCAGTGCCACTTGTGTATTCCAGACATTTGTCTTTCTGAGAGAAGCAGTGCTACCACTTTTTTTTTTTTTTTCTTTTTTTTGAGCCAGAGTCTCGCTCTGTTGCCAGGCTGGAGCACTGAGACACAATCTCGGCTCACTGCAACCTCCCCCTCCCGGGTTCAAGCGATTCTCCTGCCTCAGCCTCTGGAGTAGCTGGGACTACAGGCGCCCGCCACCACGCCCGGCTAATTTTTGTGTTTTTAGTAGAGACAGGGTTTCACCATGTTGGCCAGGCTGGTCTCAATCTCTTGAGCTCGTGATCCACCTGCCTTGGCGTTCCAAAGTGCTGGGATTACAAGCTTGAGCCACCGCACCTGGCCCACTTTTTTACCTTCTCAAAACCCCAACTCTCCTGTAATTCCTGAAGCCCAGGTAATTTTCCCCCTAGCCCCATTGAATACTGGCTTGTTTTCATTTCTCTCTCTTTGTCTTTTGCCTTACTAATTCTGATGTGATTGTTTTTTCAGCCTCAACTGAATAGCAGAGAGATTTTGGCTTTCATTCCAGAATGATGTCTCACAGAAAGTCAACTCGTGTTCCAGGTATGTGATAAACATCTCACTAGTGAACTTCTTGCTGTTTCTAAGCGATTAACGGTTTGGTTAGCAAGCCCAGAGCCCTGCAGATACCTTTTGCCTCCTACACAAGAAGTAAGCTAATGAAACCCACGGAGCACGGCCTGCCCCTCTGCTTCCCTTTAATGGTTTCTGTCACCCAGGCCAGGCTGCCGCCACCATGACTCTGCACATCGATGTGCCGCCTCAGGGCAAGCAGAATGCAAATGACGGTGGCCCTCAAATTGCAATTTAAGGATAGCTGTTATATCTTCCCATATATTTCTCTTCCTAACCTCCAAATTTGAGGATAATGTGCTGTTTTAACTTATTCTTAGTAGGAAGAATGTTAAACCTTAGGGTGATGGTAGTGTATTGCTGAATTCTGTGTTTTGGAATAAATTAGATTTTTTTGATGTGGAGAAGGGAGAAAGGGGGAGAACTAAATGCAAAGATAATTTGATTTTAAAAGCTGGAGTTTCCTGGTTCCTGGGTTCTAGATATTTAAAAAATAGCCACAATTAATTATGTAATAAATTGTAGGAGGTTGTCAAGTTGTCATCTTTATTAAGGTGTTTCTTGCCAGACATATTCAAAATCTGTGTACTCAGATGTTAACTGCATTTGACTCTATTGATTAAAATATACTTTCTGCCATCAAAATGGAACTCCAAGATGTAAAGGGAAAGAACACTTTAAAAGGCGTTTCCAAAGTCGTCTTGGATAGAGGAGCTTTCATCCAAGGGTGCTATGTGGCATTCCGGAAATGAATCAGAGACTTGGGCCCTCCACTTCCTTAGAAACAGAGACACGCTGAAGATCGTTAGGGTAAATGAGTGGGACAAAGTACACTCTGCATTTTCTTTTTAATTTCAACTAAAAAAAATGCTGCACTCTTGTCTTGGCTGGAGAAACATCCTCAGCCTGTTCATCTCCTATCCTCTGCCCAAATCAACTCCAAATTTGACTGACTGAATTTTCAGTTCCTATATTTTCAGATCAGTTCCTGTATTTTCAGATCTGGCTCTCTCTGTGGTTGTGGTGGTAGCAGTGGTAGTGGTTATGGAGTCTGTAAGACTTGCCATTTTTAAAATGCCGAAAGCTCTCTTCAGGTTAAATAGTCTCTCTGTGTGATTCTCAAATGAACTCCTTGAGGAAGAATGTTCTGTGTGTATCTAGAAACCTTAGTTCTACAAGAATGAGAGCTAAAGAAGCTCACCCATGTCCCACAGAAACCACTTCTTCCCTTTCCTGAACAAGAAACCGATGTTCTTCATCTACTGTCTGTCCACCCAGGCTTGGAAGACAGGTGAAAACAATCCCATCTTTCTATTCCTAGAAAGAGGTAGGGATGTGATGCTTACATTCCCCTGGCTTTTACTTGCATCAAATGTGGGAGGAAGGAATAAAAGAGAAGAGGAAACTAAAACCTGAGAAAGGGCAAGAAGAGAAAGTATTAGGTTGATGCAAAAGTAATTGTGGTTTTTGCAATTACTTTTAATAGCGAATCCCCGCCCCCCAAAATCATCTAGCAATCTGCCCTCTGGAGTGAACTTGAATAAAAGTAGGTAATAGTACCACTCTTGGCTTAGAAGTATCTGATTATCCCTACTAACCAGTACAAGACATAGATTTCTGAAGGAAAAGGATGCCTACCATTGGCTCTTTTTTGTTTTTGTAGTTTGATTTTTCTTATTTTTTAAAAGGTTCTAAAAATAATACATATATACCTGGTAGAAAATTTGAAACTTAGAAAGAAGTTAAAAGAAGCCTACAAAATATCACCGCATCATATTATCTTATTAGCCAAATGCAACCACCACTACCATCCAGGGAGGGTTCTTGCCAGTATTTTCTCTATTTTTTCGTATGCTTTTAAAAATCTTCACAACTAAAATCATTCTGTGCACAGAATTTCACATACTACTTTTTATTCAATCAAAAATATTTTCTCATGTGTTTATTAATTCTTTAAATATTATTTTAATGGCAGTATAATTTGCCATCATATGACTATATTATAATTTATTAATAATTTTCCTAATAAAGGACATTCAGAGTGTTTAGAATTTTAGCCATTATAAATAGTATTAAATAAACATGGTTTTTGTGTGCATTAATCTTTACTTTTTAAATTATTTCCTTAGAATAATCTACTGGAAGTAGGATTACCAAATCAAAGAGTATCATCATTTTCAAGACTTTAGTACCTATCGCCAAGAAAGCTGTATCAATTTATATTCACAGTATATTAATGTCTTTCTGAAACTGACTGAATTGATTAATGTCATTTAAAAATCATGCTATCTTGTTAGGCCTCTGATACTTTGTATTTACTGGTAAGGCTGAAAATTGTTTACAGACTAATGAAACACATTATATATTAAGGTTATTTATTTTGTGCCTTAATATTTGAAAAAATACATCTTCTTATCAGTTTGCTTTTTGTCCTTTTTGCTGATTGTTTATGATCTTTTTTGACATACAAAAATTTTATTTTTCTCTATATTTCAATGTATTGAACTTTGTATTCTGTAATTTCTTCTATTACTGTAAAGTAGAGAAAATCTGCCTGTATCTAGATAAATATGCAGAAATACATTCTCGTTATTTAATTAATTTTTCAAAAATATTTCTTGAATTTATCTAGGATTTGTTATACGGCGTGAAAAAAATTTATTTTTCTCTGATAAGCTAAAAATCATCATGCACAATTTATTACTTTTTCCCCACAGCTTATATATGTATTCTATTGACACATATGCAAGATTCTTTTTACATATGCGAGATTATGTTTTGGGGTTTTCTTTCAGCACTTTACTGATCTCTTTGCCTATTCATTTATCAGTAGTTTCTCCATCCCTAGTCCTTTTCTTTCTTTTTTTCTTTCTTTTTTTTCTAAAGTTCTTTTAACTATTCTTATTTCTTTCAACTTAAAAGGTGGCCAAGATGACATACCAGAAGGCTGTCTAAAATTATTGGAGAAAGAGAATCTTTGCCTTTAAAGTTTTAGGTCTTAGGTGAAAACGATGCAGTGTTAGCTCTTGTGTCTATAAAGGGTGGGGTTCATGCTATGACACAGAAAATCAGAAAGGACTTTCTTGACATTTGTAGAAACAGTAATATAAAGAAGAATTAGGTACCTTTTGGTTCATCTTAAGTAAAGAAAATTTCCAGTGAGGAGATTGAGACATTTAATGTTAAAAAGATCCTCTCTCTTCTAGGGCACGAGTAAAGATATCAACCCATCTATCTGTAGAAAATTGCCAGAAACTGTCACAAAATAAAAAATGAGAGAAGGCCTGAATTACGACAGTCCTGGTGGGGTTCTACAAGGTGTGTGCCAAATAATTTTGTTTTCTTTTTAAGGCTTGTTAACAGTGGATAGCTTAAGGTGATGGGGTTATAGGTGATTTTTTTCTTGTCCTTATTTAACTGTATTTTCTTTTCTTTTTTTTTTTTTTTTGTCAAATGGTATAAAAGCTTTTTTTCTTAATAATGGCCTGTTAATTAACATCTAGAACCCAGTACTGGAAGCATTAGTCCCAAGAAGTGCAAAGTTACAAAAAGTGGATTTTCTATTTCTTCACCTCTTACCTTAATAGACACAGAAACACTAAAACTCATCTCATTAGAAGAGGTTTTGTGAAAATGAGACAGGACATAGCTAAACCAAGTGCTTTTCCTCCGAATAAGATTTCACCCAAAATGAGGTTGGGGACTGGATGAAGTTATGAAAAAACTACTCCTTAAAACTGCTATTTCTAAAGCTAATAGGAATTCTTTTGTAGTGGGCTTTTTTCCCTTGACAACCAACGACTGATACATCTTGCATGTTAAAAAGCAGAGGGCTATAAGTAAGTTTTCAGTGGAAATAATTTTTTTTCCCTGCACCTTCCCTTTTTGTGATACAGTTGGCACTATTTTACTGTCTTAAAGATTCCCATTTTACTTTAATGGTCTCTACTTTCCCCTTTTCTTAGCTCTTCTTAATTTTTATGCTTTTCATTAGTAGATAATTCTCTCTGGCTGACCAACGGGGATGAGGGTCAGAGTCACGGGCAATATACTATATCTGCGTTAGTCTGGCTTGAGAACAGCGAAACCGTGCCTCCTTCTCTAATTAGTCACTTTAAGTATCAGTGATGGGCAGTCTCTGTGACAATGATTTTGTCATAGTAAGCACTTGAAATACCTGCTGCAGTTTTTTCACCACCCCCCTCCTCCCCGTTTCAATCAGGCAAGTTTATCTTTGTTCTTTAAACCATAAGCAGGTTTTTGTATTTTTTTTTTTTTTTTTTTTGCATGCCACATTGAAAAGAAATAAAAACCAAGTGCCATACATGTCAATTAAAGGCATAAACAATTAAGAGATAGTCCATTTCCCCCTTGAATCTTTCATGCTTATTTTCCCTTCTTAGAATAACACTTAAAAGCCATCGAAGCTTCAACGGGACCAGTGTCTCCCCGTTTCGTGGGGTGTAGAGCAAGGTGTGGGAGGAGCGTTTGGCATGTCAAGTCTCTGCTCTACAGTGGATCTCCACGTCCCGGCTTCCAGTGGACAGCCCTGTGAGATGGGGAAAATTTCCTTCCGCTCAGATACTGTCAAGGCCAATGTGCCTTTCAGGAGATTGTCTGAGAGATTTCGAACATTGAAACTGTAAAAAAAATTGAGCTGGACAGATCCTTGCCACCACTTTTTCTGCTAAATATAGAAAAGTTGTCATCGGGTTGCACAAGCAATTTCCAGCTACAGCACCTCAGGAGGGGAGGCGGGCTCCTGTCTCTCATAGTTAAAGTGCATAGAGCTGAGCCGACCCTGACTCACGGGTTGTGAGGAACATGGGAAGGTGGTAGAAGAGTAATGAGAGAAAGGCGTCCTTGTTTTGGTTAAATATAATGACATGGGAAGATGTGCAGTTGATGATGGTATTTGCTTACAATGTCATAAAGCATCAATAATTTGCAAGAAAAGGGTAGAAGGAGCCCTACCCCAGGAGTCTGTGCTCAGAGTTTCTCCCCTATCATTGCTTTGGAAAACACTGTTGTATCGTGGAGGGAGACTGTGAGATATGGAGCCAAACAGGCATGGGTTGGCATCCCAGCTTTATCACTTACCCTTTGTTTGATTTGGAGTTAATTACTTAACTTCTCTGAGCCTGAGAGTCCTCATATAGAAGATGTGGGTAAAATAATATTCCTCTCGCAGCATCACTAGGATTCATGTGAGGAGTAAAGTACATGGCACTACTAAGTGCTCAGCATTTGTTGGCGCCCTTCCCCTTCTCCCCTTTTAGGCAAATCATTTAAGCCCCCTGGACATCAGTTGCATCTCTCTTAGCAAGTCCTATTGGTTCTACCTCCGGAATATATTTAGAATTTATCCACTTCTCTCTATTGTCATTGCTGCCATGTCAGTCCAACGTGTAGGCCGTTGCGATGCCTTCCTAACTGGTTTTCCTCCTTCTGTTTTTAAACCCAGTGCAATCCATCTCCACATAGCAGGCAGAGAGGGCATTTTAAAAATGTAAATCACATCATGCCCCTACCCTGCCTAAAACCCTCCCGTGGCTGAACTTAGAGTAAAATCCAAGCTCCTCACCACAGCCTTCAAAGGCCCATGTGATCAAGCCCCTGCCTACCGCTTTCCTTTTAGACTCCACTTGCTACTGCTTTTTTCTTCTATAAAATTTTTTTTTTCCGGTTGTACTGGCCCTTTTCAGTTTCCAGAACACTCCAAGTTTATTTCTACCGCAGGGCCTTTTAATTTGCTGTTTCCATGGCTTGGAAGATGCTTCTTCTAGATTCTCCTGTGCTTGAAACCTTCTCCTAGGTCAAATGTTCCCTCCTAAAATTTGTCATCCTTGACCTAGTCACTCTCTATCACAGCCCTAATTTATTTTCTTCATAGCACTTGTCACTATGTGAAAGTATCTTAAATACTGTTTATCTGTTTATTTTCTGTTTTCCCCCATGAGAATGTGAGCTCCAGGAAAAAAGGGGACTATGCTTTTCTCTTCTTTTAATTTTTTTTGAGACAGAATCTCGCTCTATTGCCCAGGTGGTAGTTCAGTGGCGTGATCTCAGCTCACTGTAGCCTTGACCTCCTGGGCTCAAGCCATCCTCCCACCTTAACCTCCTGAGTAGCTGGACTACAGGTGTGTACAACCATGCCCAGCTAATTTTTTGTATTTTTGTAGAGATGGGGTCTCGCCACATTGCCCAGGATGGTCTCGAACTCCTGGCCTCAAGTGACTCGTCTGCCTCAGCCTCCCAAAGTGCTGGGATTACAGGCAAGAGCCACCACACCTGGTGTGGGACTATGCTTTTCATTGCTGAGTAAACCTAGAACAATGCCTGTACCTAGGAGGCCCTTGGGAAGCATGTGAAGAATGGATTCTGAATAAATACGTATAATGGGATAAAAATATCGTCCTGAAAGTTGGTGACTGGATTTGAAAAATCTATGTCCTTTCCATTTCTTTTTTTTTAAGATGGAGTCTTGCTCTGTTGCCCAGACTGGAGTGCAATGGCACAATCTCAGCTCCCTGCAACCTCCGCGTCCTGGGTTCAAGTGATTCTCCTGCCTCAGCCTCTCGAGTAGCTGGGATTACAGGCATGTGCCACTATGCCTGGCTAATTTTTTGTATTTTTAGTAGAGACGGGGTTTCACCATGTTGGCCGGGCTGGTCTCGAACTCCTGACCTCAGGTGATCCGCCCGCCTCAGCCTCCCAAAGTGCTGGGATTACAGGCATGAACCACCACGCCCAGCTTCCTTTCCATTTCTAAAGATTCTATGATTCCTTGGACAGAAAGACTAAATCCTGGGATAATTTTAAAGAAACACAATTAGAAAATTTTCAAACACTCAACATACAGTAACTCATATTAAGTTTACCAAGTAGAGGCACTTCGGGTATCTGCTTTAATAAAAAAAAAATAAGGACTTATATTTTGCATGTCAAGTATTTGTATGTCAAAGGATCCTTCTAACCCATTTAAAAATTTGGTACCTTTAAGTAGCATTGCGATTCTCTGAGCAAACCTATTTAGAGTTTGCTTAGCATGCCCTTTCTTCACAGATCTTGAAAAGGAAAGTGACCCCACAATATAACACATCTGCTGAAAGAAGTGGCTCAGGTGAGCTCGGGCTGTGTGAATAGTATGTCCTTTAGCTCAGGGAGTCATTCTTTCCACTGTGCTCTGTGCACGTGAGACCACTGCTGGGGCCGTGCTTTAAGAGGGACACGGTAAAGTGGATCACATCCCAGGGAAGTAAGTAGAAACCAAGTGAGGAGAAAAAAAAAAGAAGAAAATGGGAATGCCTAACTTAAAAAGGAGGGGATGGTAGAGACCTGATAGTTGTCAATTACTGGGACCAAATCTGAAAAGACAGATTTGGTGCCATTCCGTGGGACAAATTTGGAACCGGTGAGTAGAAGCTACTGAAAGGCAGAGTTGGTCCAGTCAGTGTAGGACATTTCCAACAGTCTGGCCTCATACCTAAGTAAAGCCCTGCTTAGAAATATAATGAGCAGCTGCCTTTTCTGGATGTTAAAATTTCAGGCAAGTAAACTGCTAGTCAGCTATGTCCTTCCTACAAGGATTCCTCTTACTGTAGATGGGTAACATGCACACTTCCGGGAAGCTCTCAGTGAAATCTCTTCACACTGCTCGGCATAGTGGTTCACACCTGTAGTCCCAGTGCTTTGGGAGGCTGAGGTAGGAGAATCACTTGAGCCCGGAAGTTCAAGACCAGCCTAGGCAACAAAAAATTTACAAAAAAAATTTAAAAATTAGCCAAGTGTGGTAGTGGCATGCCAGTAGTCCTTGCTACTCTAGGTGCTGAGGTGAGAGGATTGCTTAAGCCTAGGCATTCAGTGAGCTATGATCACGCCATTGCACTCCAGCCTGGGCAACAGAGAGAGACACTGTCTTTAAAAAATAAATACAGGCTGGGCCCGGTGGCAGCCATTTGGGAGGTTGAGGTCAGTGGATTGCTTGAGCCCAGGAGTTTGAGACCAGCCTGAGCAACATGGCGAAACCCCACCTCTTTTAAAAACGCAAAAATTAGTTGGGCCTGGTGAAGTGCACCTGTAATCCCAGCTACTCGGGAGGCTGAGGCATGAGAATTGCTTGAATCCGGAAGGCGAAGGTTGCAGTGAGCCAAGATTGCGCCACTGCACTCCATCAGCCTGGGCGACAGAGCGAAACTTGGTCTCAAAACAAATACATACATACATACATGCACACATTAAGTTAAATTAAAAAGAAATCTTTTTATGTATTCTATGTTGGTTAATATTCTTTGGTTTGCATCAATAGTGTTCTTTCTACTCTGTCATGTGTGGAATATGATAAGTCTGCTATTGCTAATGACCTAGGCCCAGAGAACTTTGAATTTCAAAAGTTAACCTAGAATCTCAGAGATCCATGGTTTTATATTCTGACTTGGAAGCAAGTCACTGGCTATTTCCTATTCGAGAGATTTCTAATCTGGAAGGCTGAAGGAGGCTACCACTCTTCTTGGTGAACAATAGTTTGTGTTCCAAGAATAACCCTGGGTTTGAGGATAGAAGATAAGAAGATAAGGCTGGAGAGTTTAAGAGTTGTATTAGATCTCCTTTTAATCTGCAGCCTAGGCACTATGTTATTTTCTACCTATGCCTTCCAGCAGGGGTGGCTTATAACTCCAGGCAGAAGCTGAACCTCCTTGGCGACACCCCCTAGCCTGACCCCTCTTTTCTCCTTCCTTCTTTCCTTCCTTTGCCTTTCATTAGAATTCCTATGAGCCTTTGAATGCTTAGCATGAAAATGAGCCCATTTTATTTTTGGAACCCACAGAGGCAGCCCTGAGGGGAGTTATTGTGTTGCTTTTAGCAGCTAAACAAAAAGGTGTGAAATCATTTGCTGGCTGTTCTAGAATGGGAAAAAATAAATAAAAAACTGAGAAGGAAGGTTCAGGACAGTGTGTGGCAGCTTGGACAGAACCTCGTGATGAGGGCTTCTCTGAGACTTATTAGTAACCAAAGTGACTTTGGGAATGTCTGTGCATTTCTCTCACCTTCCCAGGAAGTTACTAGAATAGCACAGGAAGCCACTGGGATTAAAAAAAAAAGATTGATTTTGCAATACTATTTCCATGTTGCCTTGAAAAAGACTTGAGGAGGGGACTAATTTGAGAAAATTCCTTAAAGCTCTTTGTAACATTTCTTATACAGGCAGCATGAGGGAGAGGAGAGAGGACTATTTTACCAAGATTTTAAGACTTTCAAACAACCAGGGAAGGCTTCTGTGGACAGGTATGTGAGTCTTTGACACAGGCCCCTAATTATTTAAACACATTAACAGTGGTAAGAGACAAAGGCCTCAAAGAACTCAAGCAACAAGAACTTCTTGTGAAACTTGAGGTTTTTGCCCCATGCTAATAACATTCATTGAAAGTCGTCTCCTGTTTTGGGGGGCTGACGGCCCCAGATACGTCTCTTCTTGGAAGAAGATTATATTTTGAAATGTCTCTTCATTAGAAGGGCAACTTCATTTTCAATTGGAATCTTTGACATGGGATTTCTCTTTTTAAAAATTATGGAATATTTTTAAAACGGCAAAGTATTAACGTGTAAACATGCAGAGACATGGTAAACTCATGTCCTTATTCCCAAATTTTCACATCTGTTTTACATTTAGACCAATCTATTTGAGCTCATTTCAAAAGAAATGAAAGGTTATGGTTGTATCCTTCACATTTCCATGCCTCCTTCTCTCTCTTCCCAAAGAGACAAACCGTGTTCTGTGGCTGGTGTGTGTCCTCCTTCCTGGACTTTTAGGAAGTCCTGACCAAGTAGCCACTTGGCCTAATGAACATGACCTTTGGAGTATTTAGGGAGCCTGATTTCAGTGGCTGGAGGATCTCTCCTTGCGGGGGCCAATCACTGGGCCCGTCTTATGAAGGTGGCTAAGCCTTCTTTTTTTCAGTATTCAAGGCCAGAATTACAGTATAGTAAAACAATAGGAAAAGGCAATCCTCCTCAAAGTACTATTTCGTTAACTGAGTCATCTATAGAATAAATAATATTGATTTTCCCTTTATTGCCAGGAAGTATGCCATGTGCTGATATATAATGAGTCACAGATGAACAAGTAGAAATTAAAAACACTGTAATTCCAAAATCTCTCTTAGGGAAGGAACTGTCCCGGTTTACAAAAATTCCATGATAAGCTATGACCTTGAGGATATGAGTGGCAGGAATCAAGAGACTGTTGGGCGAGGAGGATCGTGGCATGAGGGAGGGGGAAGGAGAGAAGGAAGGAGGAGAGGAGGAAGTAGGAATCTCAGGGTGGGAGAGAGAGAAGATGGATGAGAGTGGCAAAAAGGACAAAGGAGGGAGATGAAAGGGCATGTGGCAAAATGGCTATGATGAAAAAAAAATCTACAGTGGCTCAGCTGCTAGAAGATTCTAACAACAAGGTCTTGACAGATAAATTTTTTTTTTTTTTTTTTTGAGGCAGAGTCTCACTCTGCTGGCTCACTGCAACCTCTGCCTCCTGGGTTCAAGCAATTCTCCTGCTTCTGCCTCCTGAATAGCTGGGACTACAGGCATGCGCCATCACGCCTGGCTAATTTTTGTATTTTTTTGTAAAGACGGGGTTTCACCGTGTTGCCCAGGCTGGTCTCGAACTCCTGGCCTCAAGTGATCCACCCGCCTCAGCCTCCCAAAGTGCTGGGATTATAGGCATCAGCCAAGGTGACCAATTTCCTTACAGATCAATTAGAAGTCATTTGTGTTAATGTGAAGGAAGCCCATTATTTACTACCCATCCTCTTCTTCCCACTGCAGTAAAATGTTCAGTGAAATAGGGTTTTTTTTTTTTTTTAAAAAATTAAGGGGCTGATTTCGTTATATGTTATCATACATATATACAGCATATACATATACGTGCCATATACACACAGACGCATATACACACTTCTCTATGTAAAAGATATCTGGATAAACTGAAACAAATCAGTAAAAAGCAGAAATTCCGCACCATATGTGAGCATGAAAACACAACTTCGGGGCCTCGCCCGTATGCTCTGAAAGCTAGGAATTCTCAGACACCCTGGCAAAGTCTTGACCTTCATTTGGCATTGGAAAAGTACATTGAGGGACATCTCAAAGGACAGGGAGAGTTTATTTGTCACCAGAGTTGAGGGCCAAGCTTATTGTTTCATAGTTTTCCACTGTAAGTTATAGGGAACATGATTTGAATATGGGGGTAAACTCTGAAGTCATAATTTATCAAACCTCTACCATAGCTGCCCAAATGCTCTTTTTCCTTGCTTCCAACTCGCAAACTCTTAATTCATCTTTTCAGATTCTATTTAAATGTCACCTTATCTATGGAACCTTCCCTGATTCCCCAGGGAGGGTAATTTCCTCTCCTGAACTTCTATATTTCTCCAGATATCTCTCTATTACAGCCTGTATCACATAGGATCACATGACTTTGAACCTTAATACAAGGTGGACCTCATGGTATCACTTTTGAATTCCCATTGCCTAGTGAGACATGTGTCACTTTTGCTGAATAAAACCCGGGTATGTGAACAATAAAGAGAAACTTAAAAGTGAATGCACTGCTTCAGAAAGACCAGACTTCCAAGCCCCCGAATGGTGGCACCACTGTCCCCCAATACTTTTGTTACTACTTGCCATTTGTTTTGCCCCTTGTTCCTATTTTGAATAAGAACCCATTGCTCTCCAGAAGTAAAAGCAATGTGACCATTTGTTTATTTACTCCCTGCACCAAGACCCAGGGTGATGAGGCTGGATTGCACATGGGGCGTGGGCATCAGAAACTGGAAAGTCTCACCCTGCCCAGCCTGTCTGGCTCGTATGCTTGGGCAAGTCACATAGCTCCTGTGGGACTCCGTTTCCTCACCCAGTGATAATGACCGGCTTCACAGGGTGGCTGCGGAGCTTAATTAAGGATTGAGAAGGAGGCAGAAAATACAAAGTGCAGCATACACGCAAATTTCCCATATTTATTTTTGGGCTCAGTAACCTGTTGGTAGGAGGTGTTTATGACCTGGAAGAGGAGTCTAGCAAGAGATGTAACTAGCTATTCTCATTCCAAAATGGTTCACTTGGTATTGACTGGGAAATGGGCCATGTCATTCTTGCTTTTGTTCGAGTACATTCTGTGGCCCTTCCTGCTAACTTTCTGGGTATAGCTTGCCAACTCTAGGCCTCAGTTTTCTTGTATAAGGACTTTATCTATCTTTCCTTTATGCTCAGATATGCTGTGATGGCTTAAGCTTTTTCCTTAGTGCTTATACCCTTAAGCCGCACTCAGATAGAAGACAGAGGGAAGGCATACACGTTTGTGAGTGACCCCATGGGGTAGTTCCCTGAGCCAGAAAAGACAGAGACTTATGAAGCCCTGCATAGGTGACACCCGAAATCTGCCTGGCTTTGCGGATCCTGGCCTTTCTTCTAAGTGCTTGGAAGACCTTGGCAGATTCAGCCAGCGTTTTGATCACTGCCAGAGCCTGCAGCTTTGTTGCTAATTGTTTGCTGAATGAATTGAGCAAAAGCACAACTGGTCCCAAGGCAGGAGTGAGGAGGTGAGGGAAAGACAGAAAAACAAACCAGAAGAGAGGACTGGGTGACTGCCTTGGAAAATCTTATTATTACTAGTACATTTTTTTGTCTTTTAATCACAAAGGCTGTCTCTGCACTAGGACTAAAGAACCAGAACTGTTCAGAAAGAGAGAAGAGCCCAGCACCTTATACTCAGGAGATACTGAAAAACATCATATAAGGTGTTTACTGTTGAGAGAAAAGTACACATCAGAGGATGCCCATTATTGATATAGAGCCTTCTCTGTATCTGGATGAACGTGACCAGGAAGCCACCCTCAGCCTGCTGCAGCTGTTTTCAGAATCTGTGGGATCACACCCCAGAGGCAGTTGGGTCAGCCGCAGGCATCAGGTGAGGAGGAGGAAGAGTGAGACAGCTATTACAGGCTGCCGGACCAGGTGGCTGTGAAGAGGTGTGGGGACACCAAGGCTTATATAAGGAGGATGGAGAACACAGGCCAAAGGGGAGGCTGTAATGCTGACTTCGATTGGCTAACTTAATATAAGGCAGACTGAGGGAGGAGGAGGAGGGCAGGAGAGAACACGCTTTAGAAAGCATGACGGTGTCTCATTCTGTTTGCAAGTGAGCACGTAGGTGCCTTCCAAATATGATCCTGAAGAAGGTGCAGATAAATGAAAAATTGGATATACAATAAACCACATACCTCTTTATGTTTATATATGAACATATTAAAGAAGGTTGGCTTTAGTAGAGTATGATGCATATTCTAATTATATCAATATTGGATGCATTGTTAGTACCATTTCTCAACTTCATTTAAAAATCACTTTCAGAAAATACAAAAAATAATTCTGAAGATTTTAACCTTAGGTGCCCGTAGATCATTTTCTTAGGAAACTGCAGCTTTTAGAAATGCTGGACATACTTTATCCAAAGCGTTATAACTGGTCTTCCACAAGCCTAGGATAAAGTTTTCCACAGAAACACTACTACAGAAAAATGCCACATGCCATGGATTAAACACTGAAACCAGCTAATCACAACACATGAGAGCAAATGTAGCATGTTCAGAGAAGTACAAATATGTTGAAACATGTCTGTCATGAAATCTGATCTTAACAATCCTCTGAAGACTAGCCTTTTTGCAAAGAGAACTTATGACTAATATACCTCACGGAGGGGGTCTCAGTTTCTAATAGAGTTAATTTTATCTGCTTTGATGATGGAAACGAAAGACACCCTGGAAACATCCTCTTAATTCTAAGCACCATCCACTCTTTTTGAGGGGGGAGAGGGAAGCTTTCAGTAATTCCCAGTGTGTCTTATACTGAATATATAGAAGATGGTAAAGCAGGGCCAGGTAATTCCAACACTTAAACTGCTACTTAACCATCCACATATTAAAGGAGTTTACATGGATTGTCAGCTATGAAAGAGGTTTCTCAATCTATATCCCACTCCACAGTCAACTCTCCTCACAGGTGCTCTTGGCTGTGGGGCACTCATAATCTCAGAAGCCGATAAGGCTGCCAAGTTCAAGTTGCCGTGACTCTGAACACAGTATAATATTCCCATTCCAAGCCATAGCCCGTCACTTTTGTGGCTGTTCAGATGAGGGCCCTTCTTGGTACCACTCTGACTCACATACACTGGCTGAAGTCATGTAGCAGGTGAAGGACTTAAGTGTCACTAAGTTGGTTTCCAGTTGCTTCCAGGAAAAAAAAAAAAAATCCCCGGCATATAAGATTCTTGCTCCTGACACCTGGCACTTTCTCCTTGTGTTCATGGCTGCAGACAGAAGATCTGGCCATTACTGTTTTGGCTTCAAGTGCTGCCTCCCACACACATATTGAGGGGCTCTGCAACAAACAGAAACCTAGGGACACTGACATTTTGGAGGCAGGGTGTAGAAAAAAACACTGTATGTGTATCTGAAAACTCTGCCATGCATGTCAGCCCTGACACGCCACTTCCTAGCTCTTCTAACGTCAGAACATTCTGTGTTAGGAGTTGCTAATCAGTCCAATATCATATGTAGTTTAACGGTGTTGAAACACATTTGCCAGAAAGGAGGCCAAAAGGAAGGGCCCCTCTACTGCTATCTTCTGCAAAAGATCTGATCACTTGTGACTGCAGCCCCTCACTTTGCCCCCAGGTGTTTTCTCCCTGTGTTGTTCTTGGGCGTGTTTAATTTGGATTGAGCATCCATGGAGCTGTGTAAACATTGAGGTCCCATGAATATTGCAATATTAAACAGCAGTGGTAATTACCAATAGACCCCTCAAAAAGCAATCGAATAGCAAACTCACCTTAACTTGGCCTTTGTATCTCTGGCAACGGAAAGCTCAAAATGCAGTTCTGTCATTTTTGCACAGTCATTTACCTTGACACCCTCCCTCTGCCGTGGAATCAAATCTCCATGTATAAAAATAAACCTAGAAACTTTCTGTTCACACGTTTTGAGGTATGTGCACCAAATGACACACTTTGGGAGGTAAGCACGAGTCATGGTAACTGACCACATCCTTTATCTTTTCATCCTAAGACTTAGCAGAACTTTATCTTTACAATAAAATGGCCTTTAGAAGTGGGTATCACCAACTTCAGAATGTGAACATCGTTACTGAGAAAAAGCATTTTCCTTTTAAACAGAAACCAACAGCCATGCATTAAAAGGCCTGAGGAAAAAAAAAAAAGTGGAGCTACCACAAAACAAACAAATATTCAGCTTGGTTTCAGGAAGCTTAGAGAGGATCAAACAAGGCTTTCTCTATTGAAGTTGTTCGAGAACATTTATGGTTATTTCAGCTTCAGTTTCTATTTACGCTGCTGGCTTTTATGCCTCGACCTCAGGAGGGCATTCCAACTTCAGGTTAACTCACAAGTAGCTTCAGAAAAGTTGGCCTGAAAATCCCACCCCCAGAGTGGGGGAGGGGAAAGCACGATGGTTCACATTGGTTTCCAAACACCTTTCAAACCACTGCTTTGGCCTTGAGTCGAGGATATCTCAAAAATTGGGGAGAGAAATTCCACGGAGAGAGGGTGAGAAAGGTTTCTCATGGTGTGAACATTCATATAGGGAGACTGTCTCTTCCTGCGGGATGAAACCAGGAGAAGAGAGCACCAATTTGCGGAGCCCTCGTGAAGGTTTCCACTCAGGAGTTTGCAATTTTCTGTTGGTCCCTAGGGAGGAAGATTTAGTACATGGTTGAATTTCCAAGCAAATTAACTTCCAGAATAAAGGAGGAACTATGCCAACCCTTTGCAAACAATATTTTTGTTTTATAAATCTATTTAGTTTTCAATTCTTCGTGCCATTTATCCTCATAACCATGTTTTGGTTGGTATTTTTAATCCCCTTTTGATGGATTAGGAAATTGAGGTTTAGAGATTAAGAAACAAGCCCAAAGTTATACAATAAATACATAGAAAAGCTAAGATTCAAACCCGGGTCCTTTTGCCTCTAATGTCCGAGTCCCTTCCAATACGCCACACAGCCCCTGACCACTCCCTTCCGTTAACAATGCATATTGTCAGCGGTGGAAAGAGGAAGAAACTTTTGGAGTAGAATACTGAACAGTTTTGATTAGGGAGCGGATGTGAGGCAGAGGAAATATTATCACTTTGGTGGTTGTTACTATGTCCCCATCCTTTCATGGAAACATATGGAAGTTTTCTCTTAAACGTACATGTCAGAACTTGCCGGTGAAATTTAAGTGACACCCTGCATATGGTGCAAGTTCATCTCCGAGAAGCAAGAGATGAAAAAGCCGCTGTTTCCAGATGTATCAAATCTCATATAAATACCACACGTTGCTTGCCTCTGGAGAAGGTCTCAGTAAGGTTTGTCCAGATTTCAACATAGAGTATTCCTATTTACATATGTCCCGCTGCATACATACTTAGCTATGTCAATATCCACTTGGCATACTCTGGAGCTTAGAAAAAGTTTCCTGCCGAAGCTGAACAGCTTCCCTTGATTGCTCCTTTGCAAACCTTCATGGTTTTTTCATTGTAACAGATTTTTGATTACACAAAACATGCCACTATTCTATGGAACAAAATCAAGCTACATCCCTTTACCCAACCGCCCTTCCCCCATAACATCAATACCAAAAAGGCTTCCACTCCAGGGGGCTTCTGGGAGCATTCCCACAAACCACACAGCTTTCTGCACCCTCCTTCAGCCCCAGTCTTTTTAAAAGTTAGTACAACATGTCCATAAAGGCCACTCTCCCTTGCAGAGTTTTGAACAGCCACTTTAGCCACCTAAATCTGAGAGAGATAAATTTACAATCCACTTTAGGTTTATGTGGGGAACCATAAATATCAGGCTTGAGCCCTGAGGGCTAGAATTTCATGGGCCGTTAAGCATGTCACCAGGTGGAAAGCTGTCAATAGCTGGATGTGAGCTACACTGAGATAACCACAGGGGCCTGGCTTAAGAAAGTGTAGCCCTGATCAAAGAGGGGTGTCCTTTTACCTTGTTCCATCACTCCACTCACCAATTCTCCCTTCCCGCCTCTGATCTCAACCTCTCCTTCACTTCCTGTTAGGTGTCCTCTGTGCTAGGTAGCAGACTGCCTTTTTTTTTTTTTCCTCTAGAGTGAAAGGTTGGGTGACATATGGAAAGAACAAGAGACGTGCAGTTCTGGCAGACCTTGATTTAAATCCTCGCCCTGCTATTTAGTAGCTATGTAATAATGCACAAGTTACTTAACCCAACTTAGCTCATTTTTCCAACTGTGAAATTATTAAAGATAATTAAAAGCATAAGAAAGGCATAAGTAGGGCCAATGGGTAGAGACTGTAAAAAAACAGATTGCCTACTTAGTAGACAGAAGAACTTTCTAAAAGCCAGATTGGCTCGAAAATAGAATGGGCTGCCTTGAAAAGAAATGAAGAAGTGAATATTCTCTGTGACAGGTTTTGCGCATAAGCCGGATGCAGGGTGGTAGATCCCGAGAATAGACAGGAGTTTAGACTGGCCACTGCAAAGGATTTCTAATCTTGAAATTCCATGGTTCTATGATTTGCATATGTGTCCTTCCAGAAAAGCTAAGATAAATCTTCTCAAATCCCCTATGCGGAAGAAAAGTAAATTGGCATCATATTTTTTCATTTTCATTTTCCTTCTAGAAAACTAATCCCTTCCATGTTTTCCCCCTTCCCTCAATTAGTTGGTAGAGAATCCCATTTCCATCAAGTGCACAGAACACATTTAACCATTTTGAAACACTTAACATTTAACACAAACCACATGGCCGTAAGTTTTAATTAGTTCCCGCTATACAAATAGGTCCATTTTTAGAAAAATCAAAATGCTCAATGCTGGTGCTTGCTCTCTTCCTCTCCATTGTTTCTCTGTTTGACTAGCTCAGTGGCACTTTCCCATCCTGCCCTCTTGCTGTCTGAGCCCATGGCACCTGCCAATAAAAGTGATGACAGGCTTTGATGCTCACACAGGTTTGCAACAACAGAGTTCACTTCATAATCACCAGACTTCAGCCCGTAAGCGTGATCTGAGTGACACTGGATTTTTTACCTGAGATGTTACGCTGTGGGCTTTCGTTTCTACAGGTTATGAACCACTTTGAAAGTGATTTTTTTAGCTTGCTAGGGGGAATGACCTATGAGCCTGCAGACAAATCTCAACTGATTGGGCAAAGCCCAAACCCTTATTAGAGTGCTTGAGTTTGCTGGGAAAACTGGCTGCCACATATGAGCCACAGATACAAGGTCGTCCTTTGGCATAATGTGTACAGGTGCATGCGTGTGTGTGTGTGTGTGTGTGTGTGTGTGTGCGTATTTGAACATGTTCAGGTCATGAAGCAAATCAGAAGTACAAACCAGTGTCTTCTGTTTGGCCAAAGTGAATATCAAGGGAAACCACAGAAGACAAAGTGCACTCGTACAACAAGGAGTGATGGGAGGGCTAAGCCTAGGGCTCCCGTCCTCACCCTCATCACAAAGTGACTGCTATGAATGACTGCATGTTGATTGGCCAGGCATGGAGGAAGCACATACTTATACCAACATGTTATTTATTCGGCCAGATATTATTATCTTACTTTTACGGATAAGACTCAAAAAGATTAAATAACCTGCCCACAGCCACATTACTTGTAGGTGGTTGTGATGGAAGTTGAGCCCATGGTAATGGACTTTTCATGGCACTGTCTACTTTCAGAGGCTTTCTCAGCTCAGAGTCCGACTGTGTCTGCCTCTCAAGCCCTGTTTCAGCCACCTTGTCTCATTTTTTTTTTACTCTGATATCATATTTCCTACAAATAGTGGCCAAATTCTTCCTTCTCCATGTTGGCTGTCTTATTTGCCTAATGTTATGATTTGTGTTTCAGATACCCTAGGGTATCATGTTTTTCATCTTTTGAGTGTCCAAAACTACAAACAGCTTTAGGGTCAATTAAAATCTCAACAGGAGCAAGGATTCTATCAGGAGACCCTGACCTTTGCAGCCAACACTTTACATGAAGAAGCAGCTTCTCTTCTTCTCCCGTGAAGGCCGCCTCTTTAGATAGCTGGGATTTAGCATGCCTGTCATTTTAGTCAAAGGAGCTGCTGAATAAAGACTTGTTGACCAAAGCTTCTCACCGGCTAAGGACAGAGAAGTCTTATTTCTTCTCTTTGCAAATGAAGATTCCAATCTTCTCATCCTGAGACAGGGGTAATGCAACTGTTTTGATTTGTACCCTAAAATGTTCCATGGTACACTGAACTGTTTTCAAGGTAGAGTTTTAGAAGAGGCCGATTTATTTTTGACCTTGACACAATTTGAATTTAACAAACATTTTTCCCATATTTCACTTTACACATTTGTTTGCACTGAAACTGCATGACTAGAATAAAGCATTCAAAACAAAGCAGGCAAGCAAGCAAGCAAACAGAAACCCATCCCACTTCTCCCTTGCTATGCAACTAGGCAAGTAGACCCGAGGCTCTCTGAGATTTGAAATGCTGTGTTCCTTAACGCAGTAAACTGAGTAATGTGTCCCCACCCCCACTCCCCAATGTCCACATCTTAATTCCCGGAACCTACAAATATGTTATTTTAGGCAAAAGGGACTTTGCAGCTGTGATTAAATTAAGGATCTGGAGATGGGGAGATTATTCTGGATTATCTGGGTGGGCTCAATGTAATCACAGGGTCCTTATAAGAAGTAGACAAGAGGGTGAAACACAGAAGGTGATGTGACCATGGAAGCAGAGGGACAGAAGTAGACTGGACGATGCTACGTCGCTGACTTTGGAGACAGAGGAAGGAGCCATGAGACAAGGAATCCAGGTAGCCTCTAAAACTGGAAGTCGGGAAGCAGATATTCCCCTAGAGCCTCCTGAAGGAACTGGCTGAGTGTTAGCTCAATAAAACTGGGTTTGTACTTCTGATCTCTGGAACTTTAAGAGAATAGTTTTGCATTGTTTTAAGTCCCGAGTTTGTGGTATTTTGTTATAAAAGCCATAGGAAACGAATACACTTGTTTACCACTTACTGCATCTCTTATGTCTAGTATTGGGCTTGGTATATGAGATGGACTCGTAAAGTAATATTTGTTGGATGCACTGAAAATATAAGGGAAAGATGTCATGAGAATGGAATGTACCAAATTCATGGCAACTTTTTAAATTTTTATTTATTTATTTATTTATTTTTGAGACAGAGTCTCACTCTGTCGCCCTCATGGAAACTTTTCTGATTTAAAAAATTCTCTCTTTCTTAGGATGAAAGAAACATTCCTTTAAGGCTCAGAAGGGTGTACAGTTACCCAGATATCCATGGCAAGGCCCCAGCGGTTACAGAGTTGTGTTTGAGCCCTTCAGGCCTAGCAAGCTCTTTCCTGGGAGCAAGTAAAGGAGACATAGGCCATGATAAACAGCACTTAGCGGCCAATTGCTTTAAGAATACCTGTTTAGTGTTTCCAGGGACTCAAAGCTCCAGGGGGACAAGCAGGAAGGAGAGGCAGTGTCAATTACTGTACAATACAATTAGCAAATACCAGCACCTTGAGGAATGTTTGGTATACAGTAGGCAGTCAGGAAGCAAATGCTAGAATGAATGTCATTCAGAGCGTGTGACCCCTTTCTCCTAAAGCTTCCTACAGTAGAAGTCAGTCTCCTACTACTTCTACCTTCTCTGTCTCTTTGGATGTTCATTTTCGTCGGATTTTACTCATACCTGCTGAAGAAGGGCAAAGGGGAGTACCTTTCAACCTCAGACACAGACACATGTATTTGTCAACAGGCCACACATATTCTGGGCACAGGGACTGCAGACCATAGCAACGTACCTCACCTTTTCTGAGACCCTCATCCTTGTTCAGTATTTGTAAGCCTTTTAATTTAAAGAAAAATAAATTAAGCCATGCTAGCTGATTAAAGAATAATTTCAAGGAATTTAACACTTAGTGATTATATTAGCGATGTACAATAACTTCTCACTTTGGATTCTTTTTGATGTATTATGGAGGTAAAAATCAATATTTTCTACCAAACTGGAGAAATTTAGATGATCTATTTTTGAGATATAGGTTCAGAGAAAAATTGATGATAAAGACTGGAATAACTCTAGTTCCCCCAAGTCAACATCTGATTGGCCCTTAGAATCAGAATTTAGGAAGAGAGAGGTTTGGGAGACCACGCAGTCCTGCTTCCTCACTTCGCAGATACGGAAACCAGGCCTAGCTGGAATTTCCCCAGATCACACAGCCAGGAAACAGCAGGCTCAAAACTAGGGCCTTCTGAGTCCCCAGTGCAGCATGCATATGTGTCTGCCTTGTTTCATTATGTAATGGTACAGCGAGTTTGGAGGCATACAAAAACAGACAGACACCAATCTTGCCTTCAAGGCGTTTACAATTTAGCAGGGGAGATAACACATGTATATAAAAAACTTACTAGACAAAGTAAACAGCAGTATGCTCTATAAGACAGGTATGGATTAAAAAGGAATCTTTAAGTCATTGAACCCTGAGATTCTTTTTTTTTCATTTTTTAAAACAATAGTAATCAAACTTGTGAAATAGTGAACTTCCTCCATTTTGCAAGATTCCTCGAAACCAAGTACTTGGAATATAACTTAGTTAAGGATTGCACAACACACACCATTTGAGTATCTGATTTGGAAAACTAAGCCACAGAGCCAGACCACACAATGCACACTGGTTGGAATCTGCTGGGCAGGTATCTCCCCGTCTGTCCAGGCAAGCCAAATCAAATAAGGCCCTGAGTTAAAAAGGAAGGAAAAGTAACAGATAAATCTGTTGACCACCACTCTAGGAGGCCAAGGCCTCTTTCCTCCCCATTAGTGGTGGCTTGCTCTAAGATAAAAATACCACACTTAAGCTGTGATAGAGGAAAGCCCGTGGTTTGGGACCCAACTACAAA
This sequence comes from Homo sapiens, assembly GCF_000001405.40. Classification (NCBI taxonomy): domain Eukaryota; kingdom Metazoa; phylum Chordata; class Mammalia; order Primates; family Hominidae; genus Homo; species Homo sapiens. Next base: position 60,656,925 of record NC_000015.10, read on the forward strand.
GTAACAGCAAAAGAGAGATTATTACTCCCTAGTGACTCTCTTTTTGGTATAATTAGAAGAATAGAAAGACCACTGAAGAGTGGGATTTGTGAGAAATATGGGTCATGTGTCTGCAGCACTAGTTGCTTGCAGAATTGGCTATGTGGGTTGGCACACAGCACCGTGAATATTAGAAACCACAAATCTCCAGGGTTTCTTGAACAAAGTAAAAGGCCTTGTCTTCAGATTGCCAGGTTGGAGGCTGGCTTGTGGAAGAAGCCCCTGGGTGAGCTCCAAAGCTACCTACGCATTTCTGCCTTCTCCGTCTCTTTCTTCTCCTCCTCCTCTCCCTCTCCCCATCCCTCTCCTCTTATTTTGGATATTGCATCTTGGTGGGTCTAACTGTAGCTTTGCTTATGCCAATACCCCCCTGCCCCACCCCCTGGGGAAGCAGGCCCTCTCCATGACAACTGCCGACGCAGAATCCACAGAGCTCTGGACAATGGGACAAACCATATTTCTATGAACAAAGCCAAGGTAAGTGGATTCCTTTGCCCCTGGAGGACTAAAGGAGTTACTCCCCAGTCAGATTATGCTGTAATTGAGGGTCCAGAAAAGGAATGAACTTCCCTGTGTAGACAACAGAGCCAGTTCTTAAAAAGCTATGCCAGCGTGCAGACCCTTTAGAATCTCCTCCTTGGGAGCCTGAAATGGAAACAAAGTACTTCCCTGTGTTCACCTGTCCAATCGTTGACTCCTCTGCAGAATTATTCTCTTGGGTTGTAAGTAAGCTAAGTCTTCTATAAGGCATACTTCAAGAAAAAAAGGAAAACATAAAATGAGTTTATAAAATCCTAAGGATTAACTATACCTTGGACACAGATAAATTGCCACGTTTATCACTGCACTTCCCTTTATCTCCTCCTGAGATGCTCTCTCGGTTCCTCCTTCACTGCTCTTCAGGTTCTGGAATATTTCTTAGCCAACACTTCATCCACGGTGACTTCCAGGACCCCCAGTGAGGGGTGGGGATTCCTATGTTGTCTCTTTTCTTGGCCTCTCCATCCAAAATATTTAGATGGTGCATTCGTGGCCTTTCTCTCTCTCTACCACTGCCTCCTCCAAAAAAAGGAAAAGCGGGGAGTGGCGGGTGGAAGGAGATTACATTTTTCTTTCTTTTTTTCTTTTTTTTTTGGAGATGGAGTCTTGCTCTGTTGTCCAGGCTGGAGTGCAGTGGCGTGATCTCGGATCACTGCAGCCTCTGCCTCCTGGGTTCCAGTGATTCTCCTGCCTCAGCCTCCTGAGTAGGTGGGATCACAGGTGTGCACCATCACGCCCAGCTAGTTTCATCATGTTGGCCAGGCTGGTCTCAAACTCCTGACCTCAAGTGATCCGCCCACCTCAGCCTCTGAAAGTGCTGGGATTACAGGCATGAGCCACTGTGCCTGGCCCATTTTCTTCTCTTATCCTTGGTGCTTTCCATATAGTAGGAGGTCAGGGAGATCAAGGGGATTCCTGGATGCATAAATAAAATCTGCATTTCTTAGGAATCTGATGGACAAGAGAATCCAGAATCTCTGCAATGGGCAGAAGAGAGGACCAGACTTCATGGTTGATCTCCCCACAGACCATACCAACAGGGCAAAGCCCTTCTGTATGTATTTCTGTTTTCACATGTATCTGCACAACCACGTGTTTAGAAATCAGAGGGTTGCTATTTGTAAAACTCTTGAAAACCTCTCTTTTAAATTGTAAAAATTATTTAATAAATGCCAACCCAATCTACTTTATCTCAGTGAGCTGCTATTAAGTGCAAAGAAGATAACATGTTACAGGTAAGTCTGTGCTTAAAGAGCTTTGGCCACAAAGACTAAACAGGGTCCGTTCTCCCATGTGAAGGAAAATGTTTCTATTTCAATTGTGATGTTTGGAATTTCACCTTAAAGTAGAAAAAAGGCACTGTTTCTGTAGTGCCTTTTGGAAAGGCACTGTAGAAGTGGCTGATGGTCCTTGTGGAATCAGCTGGCCAAGTGTTTCCTCCTTTCTACCTAGACTGTCATTGGAGTATATTGACCCATCCCTGACAGAAAGTCTGTGTAAGCCCGAGGAGGAGGAACATGCCGCAAACCTGCTGCAGAGCATTAACAAGAACAGAATTAAAAAGGATCACTTCTGGGACTCATCACACAACTTGGAAATCATGTTCAATAAAAGAAAAGATAATTTGGGGCCACACTACCTGAAATGAACATCTGACACTCAGTCACTGGTCTGGATTTAGAAAACTGCTTTGATCCCCGGAGGGAAGATTGTTAATGAGTATTTTAAAGGACAAGATTGGCGAAGCATGATAGAGTGGAAAAGGGTACTGATTTTGAAGGGTCCCAGTCTTGCTTCCACTTCTGTAAGCAAGTAGAACTGACTTTGAACAAGACACATTACACTGCCCTGAGAAAACGTCCTCATCTCTAACATGGGAGGTGAAGTTAACCCTCTAGTCCATCCAACAATCAAATCTAGGCCTTAATGACTATGAAAACATGGGAAAAAATTTAAAACAAGAGCAGGTAATGCTTGCACCTTTTCGCTACCTGAAAGGAAGGTCAGACAACCTTAGTATAAAAGGTAACTTTTCTTACTTGCATGCTAACAATCAATGCATAATTTACATAGCAATGCATACACTTTATATAGTTCAAGAGATCATCGTTGACTGCCTGAACTTGATATGCTTCATCCTTGTCATGTCCTCCTCACTAAATACTAACTACCCAAAGTGATCAAACCCCAAATGTAAAAATAATCATCTGATAAATCACAGACAACAAGGAGGTGAAAAAAAGAACTCAGTCAAACATTTTTGAGTTCATAAAAAAATTGAATAGCATAATCTACCACTATGTTCCCATCCCCCTGCTAAAACAATATTTTATCACTCTGGCTTTATTTATTCCCAGTCCTCCCCAACATACTTATTTTCTGGAGCATTTTAAAGTAAATCTTGGATATCTTGTCATTTCATCCACAACTACTTCAGTCTTCATCTCAACTAATAAGGATTTTTTAAAAACCACTACCACGACAGTATTATGCCTGACAATATTAAAAAATTATTTACTATCATCTAAAGAACCAATCAATATTCAAATTTCATCAATCATCTAAAAATTTTTTTTTCTTTCAGTTTTTGGCTTGAATTAGCATCTAAACAAGCTAAGAGGTGAAACTGATTTCACCCAATTCACAATCCTTTGTCTTTTAAATATTTCTTTTAGACGCTGACATTACTTAGACACAATGTATCTGGAACACAGATAATGTGAAGGTCAGCTTCATCGCAATATTATTTGAAATGTCTTATTCTATGAATCAGATATAAATGTAGTTAAAGGCTCAGAACTGGAAAAATCTCAAGTAATTCTCAGTTTTCCCAAATGCATAAATGATTTAGGCAACCTTAATGGAATGCTTTAAAGATATTTTGCTAAATCTTACACCATTCCTAGGAAGAATACCTCTGACAGACTTTAGCAGCTTTTATTTTGCCCATATAAAAGCTGGATTTCTTAGACCGTGGAGCAGCCTAACAGCACAGATAGTATTTTCAGTTGTAGTTTCACCTGCACCTTAAAAAGAAATCTACCTGCATATGCTGGCAACGAGGACATCTTTGAAAACAGAGCTAAGAGCCTCAAACTGTCAACTCCGACTTTTGGGAAGAAGGGAGGTGAACAGTTTCTCCATTCAGCTTCCATGAGGCCTCTCTGGTAACACACAGGCACTGCTGTGACTCATAACCAGAAATACTGTTTTATAACACCAGTCTGTGTTTTGTAACACACACTGAAAGAAAAAAAAAACTATTTAGAAACCAAAACCAAGCCCTACATCTGGGCATTGGTATCAAGATCTCAAGATGTCAGAGTGGCTATTTAATTCAGATAAAGTAGGCAAGTCCTTATCCCTTTCCTTGGCAAGAAAGTGGAGGCTTCCTGCCTGCTGCACATGCCCACAGGAGGAGCAACCATGAATTTAATTTTCTTAAAACAGAAGCATTTTCAGACTTGTGTTTTCCTGGACAGCTGCCTAGTGGCTGTAATCCATAATAAGGGCGTGTAATTGACAGTAATGTGAATCACTCACTGAAATTCTGGCAAAAAAAAAAAATAGAGGAGTTATTTTTTTTTTTTTTCAGGAAAAAATTAAAGAGCAGATTCATCCTGTCCATTGAAAATAGCAATTACTTTACATTTCAGCTCATTAGCTACCTTTATATAAAAAAATCACTGTAATTTGTACTAACTATCAGCAAGTGTTGTAAAGAAGTGGTGCAGTTGCACAAGGCATGCAATCGGATGTGCTGGGCCAGGCACAATCTGTAAAATGGCAAATGTAGATGAGTTACTTGATATAGCATACATGGGATTCCTGGCCCAAGAGTGAGTTACAGGACACTGTCCTAACAGTGATTTTGCCACTTAAAAAGCTGCTATCTGCCTGGGACCTTGTAATTATTATGGTAATACCCAGGGCAGACTGATCAAGCTGCCATTGATGTCTATGGGCAGTTTCAGAATTCCTTTCACTCAGACACAGGGATCTCCAAAAGAATGGTTGGGGATTTTCCCAGGTAGAAGCTGTTGGAACCATGGAAACTTTGAGACCAGGTAAAGGGTTTCTCCCATCTATTAATTCTCTTTGAATAAGGGGAAGAATAATCTCAATTAACTTCACTATCAACCTGAAAGGGCCCCCTCTTTTCCAAGGCAGAGGCACGGGAACTAAACACTGGAAAGCTACGGAAGATTTAATTCCATTTAGATAAACCCTGACTCCATCAGAACCCGAGAGGTTCAGATATTTTTCTGAAACTTCAGCACCTGTGAAACTAGCAGCCCTTGTCCAGAACTACCTGGTATCTCAAGCTTCTGGTCCCAGAGGGAACAGGGGTATTTTGACTTGTGAAAATCCCACGAATGCATGGAGAAAAACTTGGGACTTTAGAATGCTGAGGTCTGTGTTAGGAAGATGTATATTGAACCAAAGAGTGGAAACACTTAACCTCTTTTTCTCAGTCAACCACACTCTATGAAGAAGGCTTGGATTTATTTTCTCCTATTGGGATCTCCCATTCTTAGAAGAAAAATGGAAGTCAGATTTCATTAAAATAGAGGTAATGTTGGGATTTTGATGAATGAAACTAAAATTCATTTTGTGCTTTATCATTAATTATTTCTGAGAAGCTTTTTCTCATATGACAACAGTTGGGGGATGGTATTATTAGCTTATGATGGTTCCCATCTTTGATAGCCACCACTAATCTCCTACTTAATTCTGGCTTAATTTGCAAGTAGTTGCTAACAGGCAAAATGAGGGTGGAGTCTCATAAACCACTAAAAAGAGAGACTTGCTATGCATATAAATAGGCCCTGCAAAAATATTTCAGATACTGTATCTCAATTATTAGACAGTAGCAAACTGTCAAAATCTAAAAAGTAACATGGAATATGTATAACTAGTTCTTTGCAGGCATTCTTTTTGTTCCTATATGAATACATTTTATGTGAGCCCAAATGGTTGGAAATGTATTATTCATTTTTATAATTGAGAAAAATGTGTTAACGCTCTGGAATGTCCATGTGTGGAAAAATAAAACGTTATATGGAATTGCACACACATATGATTTATAATGCATGCTTCCAGGACCAGAAATCCTAACGAAGAACCTTATTCAACAGAAAAAAACATTTTTTTTTCTTCAGTATGTGCAATTCTGGTATACTGTAATGCTGAGGCCAAGCATATATTTTATTAGTTTAAATCCTAGCTAAGCAATAAAATATGTGTCATTTTAAATAAAAGAAAACATGTTTTTCACAAAAGCTAGATTTCTTGTCCATTTTTGTCCCCCTGTAGTGGATGCTGTGGTGTGCTGCATAGGTCCCTCCCTTTAGGATGGAGGCCCTCATTCCCCTGGGGCCCTGAGTGTTGACTGCCAGTGGCTCATAGCTGAATTGCTTCCTGAGATTTGTCCTTAGCTAAAGTGGAGCTGCCTTGCCCAAGGTTATGCCCTTAGGTGCAGCTGGCACCCAATGGCTGCCTGATGCAGAGTAAAAGATGCAGCCCCCTTGCTTCAATTTGGTACATCACTGAAGGGCCACCCCCACTCTGATCTCCCTGTGGCATCTGCTGAAGCCTATATTGCAACTGTTCAAGTTTTCCTTCTGCCCAGTCCAGCTTCCCTCACTCTCTATAGGCATTGTCCCTATAAGCACACTCCCATAAACTTTCTGTATGACAATTTCAGAATCTGAGCATCTATTCTCTGGGGAATTCAATCTAAGATACCTTCGTTTATTTAAGGATACTTTAGTGGAGTGATTAGCTGGGCGTAATGATGAATTTTAGATCAGAATATGGTAGAACTTCACTTTCTTCAATGTGAGATAGACCCAACTTAGCCTTTATGCCAAGAGGGTTAGTTCCAGAAGTTTTTAAAAAACTCTAGCATTGCAAGGTGAGCTAAATTAATGGTAATGGTACAAAATGAGACTTTTTTTGTTGTTGCTGTTACGGAGTTTCACTCTTGTTGCCCAGGCTGGAGTGCAATGACGCGATGTTGGCTCACTGCAACCTCTGCCTCCCAGGTTCGAGTGATTATCTTGCCTCAGCCCCCCAAGTAGTTGGGATCACAGGCATACGCCACCATACCCGGCTAATTTTGTGTTTTTAGTAGAGATGGGGTTTCACCATGTTGGTCAGGCTGATCTTGACCTCCTGACCTCAGGTGATTCACCCACCTCAGCCTCCCAAAGTGCTGGGATTACAGACATGAGCCACCACACCTGGCCACAATATGAGAAATTTTATAATGAGGCTTTGCTATTGAAAATAATAGAAGAATCATGTACGATATGTAGATGATTGGTCACACACAGAATGTGAGAAGTTGGCTCTTCTACATTTCAGTGGCATAATTAACCCAACTCTCCAGAATTCTTGTAAGTAAGACTCTGGGATAGAACGAGGAAGAACTCACTGACCACTAAAGAGTAGGTAAAGCACTAGGAAAATCTGTGAGAATGAGTCCCATATTGGTCATTTTGTTCATTAGAAATCTAACCTAAGAGAAACGTATCAACAGAATCTCAGGTGAAGCAATTTAGGGCAATAAAAACATATTCTCCTAAATGATACTGTCCCTGAGTGGCTCCCCTAGTGAAAATGAGAACATCTTCCTGTCTCTCAAATCACCCCAATTATACACAGGATTAGGTAACTTCCACAAATCAGGCCATGGAAAGTTCTTTGATTTAGAGATACCAGGCAGGACTCTTTTTTGAGGGGTGTGGGAGCAGGAGGAGAGGAGGATGGTGGTGAGGATGTGTGTGTGATAGTAACAGTTTTTCCTTTTCCAACATCAAAAACCATAGGCCTTCTAGGACAGCTTCTACTTTGATTGCACTTGGCTGTGTGAAAGAGCAGCACAAAATGAAGATAGCTCCTCTCACTGTGCTATTAAAGACTCCCATCTGAGAAAGAAAATGGGTGAAGGAGGCTATAAGAGATGGCCTTTCTATCAAAAAATCAACTTCAGAAGCCTAAAAGATCTTCTTCCTTCATCCTGTTCTCATTTAGCTTGCTAATAGACGCCTCATGAGAAAAGAATTATTGTGAAGCTGAGAAAGTAAGATTTAAATTTCCTAAGAAGAGATGGACTTTACGTTACAGGCAAGGGACATTTTTTTCTCTTTTTACAATAATTCCAAAGTGCTTTTTGACCTTGGAAGAAGAAAATCAGTGTTAAGATAGAATTGGTTAGGTCATCGCCTAAGGAGGCATAAAAGGCCACCAGGAAATAAATTAAAATTAAAATAGATTCTTTTATTGGGTCACATCTCATCCTCTCATTTATGAGCAAGGCTTCCACTCAAGCAATTGATACTGCAGGGGATAATTTTGCTCCTCTTGTTTTGACTCAAGAAAAAGTTACAAACAAAAGTAGGGAGGAAGCTGCATATGAAGGCTAAAGGACATTTTTAAAAGAATTCCAAGGAAAAGAGCACAGAAACTGTGGTTGTGTGCAGCCACTGATGAGGTGGACAATAGTTTTGAAATTATTGGTTCCTGCTAAACTAAGGAAACATACTTACATTCTAGACCAGACAAACATAGCAAGTCACGTGTTCTGACCTTGAACAAATAAATGTCATTTCTTTCCAGAATTTACCTTAAAATTCAATAAGTAATCTGGGATTATCAGGACATCTACTTCAGAAACTGTTAAACATTTTAGGATTACTTTTTCTTCTCTAGACTGGACAAATACAGGATATTTCCCTTGATAGGATACACCCTTCATTCTTGGAAAGGTCAGCCAATTCTCTTTTCTAGTAGGTAGTTTCCTACTTTGCATAAATGTAGATGCCAATGGTAACTGAAAATGGTCCCTTTACCTTTTACTCTATAGATTCGATCATCTGATTTACATGGATAATGCAAACAAATGGTGTTCAAGAGGTCACTCAGAAAATTAACACATTCTTCATATCTAGAAAGATAGGCAAGTATTTTTAAACCTCTCGATAAGATTCTGACTTAAATCTTACAAACTGCAGAAAGAAACTTTAAAGCTATCAGCCCTAAAATTTAGCCCTAATACTGAGACTCAAAATGCATATGGTAAATTGCCAGATGTCAAGCAGCCCTTTGAATTATAGTATCAGTTTCCAAACTATTATAATGCAAATCTCACAATATAATTTCAAGTAATAAATACCTATTCTTTCTTTCTTTTCTTTTTTTTGAGACTGAGTCTCGCTGTGCAGTGGTGTGATCTCAGCTCACTGCAACCTCCATCTCCCGGGTTCAAGCAATTCTCGTGCCTCAGCCTCCCTAGTAGCTGAGATTACAGGCGCCTGTCACCATGCCCGGCTAATTTTTGTATTTTTAGTAAAGACGGGGTTTCCCCATGTTGGCCGGGCTGGTCTCGAACTCCTGACCTCCAGTGATCTGTGTGCCTTGGCCTCGCCAAGTGCTAGGATTACAGGTGTGAGCCACTGTACCCAGCCTATTCTTTCTTATAGCTGTTAACAATGAAAATATCATTATTTTTGGCCAAACTGAAATGAGCAACAAGAGTGGTCATAAAATTGTGTATGTATACACACACATACAGACACACTTATTTAAAATCTACGGGTATTAATTGAGCACATAGTAGATACTGATCACTCTGTTAAGCCCAAGGGATACAAAGATAATTTTTTTTTTTTTTTTTTTGAAACAGGGTCTTGCTCTGTAGTCTAGTCTAGAGTGCAGTGGTGCACTCTCTGCTAACTGTAGTCTTGACTTCCTGGGCTCAAGCAATCCTCCCAGCTCAGTCTCCCAAGTAGCTGGAACTATAGGTGTGTGCCAGCATGCATAGCTACTTAATTTCTTTCTTTTTTTTTTTTTTTTTTTTGTAGATACCTGGTCTCCCTATGTTTTCCAGGCTGTTCTTGAACTCCTGGACTCAGCAATCCCCCCTCCTCAGCCTCCCAAAGTGCTGGGACTACAGGCATGAGCCACCACACCCGGCCAAAAAAATTAAAGAATATCTAGTAGGACAAAGCTACATAAACAGCAACTATTCTGCAATACATTTTATACTGTCACCTTAAGAATGTACTGTGGGGGCTGCAGCAATTAACAAGGTGGAATTGGAGAAGGCTTTGCACGGCAGATGCTACTTGTGTTGGCCTTTGATGGAGCAATAAGACTTTATAGGTGCAGAAGATGATGAAGGACATTCCAGGACAAACAAGATACTACAGATACAAAGGCACCGAGGTATGCCCATGCATGGAATCTCCTGGGAACAGATCACTGAGGATGGCAAACACTGCCTGCATGGGAGAAGTCCTGAAAAGAGCAGTGGAAAGATTAAGACCAGATTGTAAAAGGCCTCGAATGCCATACTTAGAATTTAGACTCCTCAGGTGACAGAAAACCTTACAGGAGGTTGAATGAGAAGATTCCACCTTGTTTCTAAGGAGGTAGAATCAGAAGATTCTAGAGAAGGCCACAGTCAAATTCTAGAGAAAGCCACAGTTTTTCTTTTTCCTTACTTTTCTTTTTTATTGTGCAGGAGCAGGAATTACCGAATGTAAGGCTGGTGTTTTCTAATATACCTCATCTCAGAGAATAGAATTTAGCCAAGACAGATTTTTATCACACTCTTAGCACACAGTGAGTCTTGGTACCACTAGACAAGACTGGGCTCTCTTCCCTAAAAGATTCACAATCGTCCCTCTTACTGTTGGTGTTCTGTTGTATTCACACTGCAAAGCAAAACAAGTGCCAAGCCACACCTTGAGTTCTCTGCTCTGCAGGTTTACTGCCTGACAAGCCTTAAAGTTAGAAAAATATTTCAAGCTGAATCTGTCACTAACAACTTTATATGGTTTGTTGTTTCCTGTGTTGCTTGTTGAGAATGCCTGGCCACTGAGAAACGAAATCGGAGGCAGATATTTCTGACAGCGAGCCTCCCTGCCGGGTGCTTTATCATTCTTTATGTTAAATACATCACCACATCTAAGCCCTTGCAAGCCGAGAAGTTAAGGTTATGGTGTGGACAATAAAAAACCGATTTTTCTCCTAATTGCCTACATGTATTAGAAGTTTTTGAATTTATACAGGCCATTGGTAGCAGAGAGTATAGTTCGTTTTTTGTTTCTTTTTGTTTTTGTTTTTGAGACAGGGTCTCACTCTGTCACCCAGGCTGGAGTGCAGTGGTGTGATCATAGCTTGCGGCAGCTTTAAACTCCTGGGCTCAAGCAATCTTTCCACCTCAGCATCCTGAGTAGCTGGGACTATAGGCATGCACCCCCATACCCAGCTAATTTTCTTTTTATTTTTTGGTGGAGATGGGGTTTTGCCACGTGCCCAGGCTGGTTTTGAACTCTGTGGCTCAAGTGCTCTACCTGCCTCAGCCTCCCAAAGTGCTGGGTTTACAGGCATGAGCCACTGCACCCAGCCCAAAGAGTATGATTCTATTTTTTTTTTTTAAATTTAATTCCTCTTCATGACAGTCTCTTGTGGCAGGAAAGTGGTTAGTTTATAGATAGAAGAAATCTAGGACCAAAGAGATGAAATAATTGGAAATCATTGTTTTGATAGAGTCAGGGGCAGAGTTTGTGACAGCATGACAGCAGCATTCCTTGGCTGCTGCTCTCAGGGGGAAGCCCTACAGCCTTGTTTCCACTGCAGACTTAACTGTCCTCACTCCACGTAGATCAGTTCGATTCCTGAGCCCGAATGACAAGTTGAACTACCAATAATGCCTTGCACAATGTTTGAAGCGACATAATCAGCCGGAGAGGGACTTGTGTCAGTTAGATTTTGTCTCCTTAAAAATCAAGAGCAAGAGTGGTAAGAGAGAAGTTTTTTAACAAGGAGGAAAACCCTAGACAGTTGTCTCTAAGGTTCTTCACCACAGCTTCAAGGACAACCAGGAAAAGAGCTGCTATTTGAGGCAACTTCATTATAAAATCATTTTTAATAAGCAATCTTAACAAAGAGAGGGAATACTCTTGTGGAGAAACCCTCCAGGGACCCAGAGGCTGCCCAGTTAAGTTATTAGGAAGTTTCACACAAGGGACCAAACAGCTATTTCATTGGCCTCGGGGGACAGAGTTTAGTTTTCACCTGTTCTCTAGAGGCACTGGTGTTATCCTGTCTACTAACAGCAGAGACTGGTAACAATCAATTATCCCGACGCCCCAACCTGGTGAGGGAAAGTGAATTTTCAGTTTTGTCGACACAAAAAGACATGGTGTAAGAGAAAGAGAGATAAATTAACTCAATATGATTCATTATACTGGAGACTAAGAACACGCAGCCAATGAAAATGCCTCATCAGGACCTTGGTATTCTTTAAGTAAAACGACAGAAACATATTCTAAGGAAATTAAGAAATATCCATAATGAGAAAAGGATGCTTAGTTGTCCTCTTACCATAATTGTCCAGCTACATGAGGGAAATAATTCTTTGTGCTGATGAAAAAGTAATAGTCACTGCAGTTGACTTTGCCTACCTAAGGAGTGAGCAAGGTTTGGAATTTGGGGTTTAAATTTTTATAAAGCTATTTGTAGCTGAGTTTAAAAGGGTTGGAAAGACAGAGGCTCCCAGGGTAGCAGAGTAGCCTGCAGCCAATTAGCAGCTCGAATGAAAGAAAGCAAGGAGAACCATTAGCCGCAAAATTCAAAGTGCTTATGTATTTTTCAAGTTTCACTGCACATTCCATGCCTCTGATTTTAATGAAATGGCAAGAACGGGTCTTACAATTAGACCTTAACACCGTGGAGTTAGAGAAAAAGTGAACATCCTTTTTCTTTAATAATCAGAAGAGCCTTCTCTTTTCGGACCAGATCTCTCCTTCCCAATAAGCGTTTTTTTGTTTGTTTGTTTGTTTGTTTGTTTGTTTGTTTTTTTAACGTAGTTGGTCACAGGAGCACACACAGAAGTAGTTCTAACTAAGGATAAAAATGTCACCTGGGTTCAGAGAAGGGACTGGAGCAGGGAACATCTGATTCACATAACCCTAACTAAATGACTGTGGCAGAAAAACATTGTTTATAGGTCACTGCTTTTTTTCACACACATTCTGTGGCTCCACATTGGTTATGAGAGAAAGCCAAAACCTGCTCTCTGTTCTTACTGGTCTCCCTTTTCCTTGTTAATACTCTACTCCAGTCAGACCGATCTACACAATCATCCCTGATCACACCTAATTCTTGCTACCCTTCCAGAGCAAGCTCAGCTCACCACACATGTTCCCAACTCATACAGCATTTAAACACATATTCTATTAGGTTGGTGCAAAAGTAATTGTGGTTTTTGCCATTGAAATGGCAAAATTTCATAGCCCTGCATTTTCCTGCAATTCTTTCATTACTGAAAGTTCCTCAAATGTGTGTGTCCTTTCTCCTAGATACAGACTAAACTATTAGACAGGGAGGAATATAAGTTAGATTACCTATACTGCAATGTGCCTTACACAATGTTAGGCACAGAGCAGGGGTTAAAAAATATCAAGCTAAGAAAATCTGCCTGGCTCCCTGCCCTATCTTTCCATAGGTATGAACTGCAGTCTACTTTCCAGCCTCTGTTCCTCAGACCCCGATATTACAGGTGTCTGGATTGCCTAGCATATAATTTCCTTCCCCTTTCCTCTAAGAAGAAAATGTAAAATAAAAGATTTATAGATTAAGGCCTTTCCACTGAATCCAAACCTTAATCTAGTATATCCTACCTCTTTTTTTTTTTTCTTTTTTTTTTTTTGAGATGGAGTCCCACTACATTGCCCAGGTTGGGGTGCAGTGCTGTGATCTCAGCTTACTGCCGCTTCGGCATCCCAGGTTCAAGCGATTATCCTGCCTCAGCCTCCCTAGTAGCTGGGATTACAGGTGCACAGTACCACACTCAGCTACTTTTTGTATTTTTAGTTAAGATGGGGTTTCACCATGTTGGCCAGGCTAGTCTCAAACTCTTGACCTTCAGTGATCCGCCCGTCTCGGCCTCCCAAAGTGCTGGGATTACAAGCGTGAGCCACCATGCCCGGCCACTCCTCAATATGCCTTCTAATCAGTATCCTTGGCTATTAACTATTTAAGACAGTAGGAGCTGGAGTTGATGCCTAGGAGACATACAAAATCAAGAAGGGAAAGAGCTATCACTCCTACATAGAAAAACATGTTTTCCCAGAAGTGGAAGTGGATTGGGTGGAGAACATTCCATTGCAAGGGATTTTGGCAGTCAAAGGAAAATATTTAATTGAATAGCTTAAAAATCTTCATCCTTATAATGTATAGATGTGGATGTCAATTATAATCCAAAGGGCCATGTGACTACAAATGCACTAACTTCCTGGCCACAGAATTGATAAAGAAATCAGTGTAAAAAATTTAGTGTCATCACTGAAAGTGAATGTAGAGTGATCACTCTCTTCTTGTTTTAAACACATTGGCATCTCTGTTTCTTCTACGTTTTTATTCCTCTGCGTACAGATTGCAATAAAAAGAGAAGCTGATATAAGTGTAAATCCAGTCCTAAGTTCAGATATGCTTAAACATCCTCAAAATCTAGATGTTAATTTTCTTATATCTCCTATATATCCCATTGATATATATATATATATATATATATATATATCTGTTTCCTGAGCGTTCTGTTAGCTTCCAGGGTTTTTTTGGGTTTGGATAGGTTTCAAAGAAACCACTGTGTCCGGAATCATAGTACTGCTTTGTGGCAATGAAAGTTATAAATGAATTACTAAGTTGGTCTAACAAAAAAGTATAAATTTATTATAAATGTCATTAATGTCCGTTAAAGGCTTTGTTTCAGAGGAAGATGGGTTTGTGCTGTACGAAATATATGTCATTACTGGTGTGGGGTACATAGCTGTCCTAGAAGCAGAAGTAACCACTTTGAACAATTGTTTTATTATGGAATCAGTTGTGTTGTATGACATTAAGTAGACATCAGTTCTTTGATGAACTAAGTTAAATTGTTAAAAAGATAAGTAATGGTCATTTAAAGTAAGAAGGTTGGCTAGGCGCAGTGGCTCACGCCTGTAATCCCAGCACTTTGGGAGGCTGAGGCAGGAGGATCTCTTGAGCTAAAGAGTTCAGAGACCAGCCTGGGCAACATAGCAAGACTCTGTCTCTCTCTTTTTTTTCTTTTTGAGACAGACTCTCACTCCATCACCCAGGCTGGAGTGCAGTGGCGTGATCTCGGCTCACTGCAACCTCTGCCTCCCGGGTTCAAGTGATTCTCATGCCTCAGCCTCCCAAGTAGCTGAGATTACAGGCGTGTGCCACCACTCCTGACTAATTTTTGTATTTTTAGTAGCGATGGAGTTTCACCATGTTGGCCAGGCTGGTCTCAAACTCCTGACCTCAGGTGATCTGCCTGCCTCGGCCTCCCAAAGTGCTGGGATTACAGGGGTGAGCCACCAAGCCCAGCCAGCAAGACCCTGTCTCTACAAAAAACTAAAAATAAAAAACAAATTAGCTGAGCAAGTCCCAGCTACTTGGGAAGCTGAGGCAGGAGGATCTCCTGAGACCAAGAGGTTGAGGCTGCAGTGAGCCACGCGCATGCCACTACACTCCCGCTTGGCCAACAGAGCGAGTCCCCTTCTAAAAAAAATAATAAAGTAAGAACGCTGTACAGTTTCCAGTAGACTACTTTGTTTAAATACTTTTTTTCACATAGTGGGAATAACATTCCCCTTTCTTACAATCAGTTTGTTCTTCAAGCTTAGAAGCCTATGGAGGTAGCATAGTTGTAAGGTAAAAGGAAACCTTGGTCAATTGTAAGAATGACTATGTTGCACTTGGCTTTCTTCCTATACTTTAGAGTGGAAGAACCACTCTGAAAAATGAAGCTCTTCATTTTAAAAGCATTTAAACTGGGGATTGCCTTTACATCCTGGCTCCACCACATACTAGCTAGTTGTAGGACCCTGGACCTCGGTTTTCATCTGTAAAGTGGGGATAGTAGCAACACCTACCTCACAAAGTTGCAGTAAAGATAAATAAATGAACACTTAGAAAGTGCTTAGAGAAGTGCCTAGCACTCAGTGCCCCACAAGTATTAGTTAATGTTGATACTGGAGATAACGGTGTGGCTCTTATGTGTGCACAAGGGGGCAATCTACTCTGTTTTGACTCCAGGCTTTGCCCAGCTGGGTGAGCTAACGAGGTTTTTCACTTCTCTAAGCTACTTGTCTCTCATGTACATTTTCTTATTTAAAATGCGGGTGCAAGCAGTACAAAGCTCCTAAAGCTGATGAGCAGATTAAATGAAATAATGCACGTAAAGCATTAAACACAATGCTTCGAATATTCAGATTGCTTGGTAGGTGGTGTTCCTGCTATTGCTGCTGCTGCTACTACAAGTAATGGTACTACTGCTATTACTTCTGCCATTATTACTGTCAATATGAAACTAAGCATATTGCAAACTTATGTCATAGACATCTAGCGCTTTTTAAAAAATCAATCTAATCATGTCTAACTAAGCATTTATCAAGTATGTAATAAGTCTATCAAGTCCACACCAATCCCTCGTAGGCTAGGCATGTTTGTTTTCTCCCTGGTAGTGATTATGGATTTTAAAGAGCCAATCACCATCTCAACACACCCTTTGGAACGTATGTTATGAAGTGGGAATACAAATACTTTTTGTCCAAATGCAATTCATGAACCTCAAGTCTACTAACTGGGCAAACTTGAATCAACTGGATGTTGGGATGGAAATGCTCAGGTAACTATTCAGTTTTTCTATGGAGTTCACAGGTCCTCGCCATGAACTGTGGGCTTTAAGACTATGCAAATCTTCTACTTTGGAAGAACTGACTGGCAGGGCCAAGTGCAATCCATTTATTTTTAATATGATGAGACAGAGAAATCCTGTTAAGCTTAGGAGGGCTTGGCTGTAGCTGAGCAGGCTGACTCTAAACAAGGCAAACGCTTCCAGACAGTACAGAGGGATTTTTACTTTCTCAGACTGGCTGATTTGAAGAAACTAAATAGATGTTACTCTGTAAGAATGGGTGGAGATGAGCAGCGGGGATAGGTTTTAGCACCCAGGGTTAAATTTTTGCCTTTTGCTTTATTGCTATTTTATGCTTGGATCACAATATGAGAATCCTCGATGTTTTCTCTAGTTTTCTTTTCCTCTCCCATACTTCCAGCTTAGTTTGTTTTCCAGTTATGAGCGACTTATGGAACTGGTACACCTGGCATTTGTGTTTTCAGATTGTTTTATGTGATTATGCACTTCTATCCCACCCTATCCCCTATCTTGTCTCCCTCTAGTCTTTACTTACAACTAGTCTGTAAACGCCTGGAAGGTAAAAAGCCTATCAGCGCAGAGTAGGTCCTCAATGAATAGTTGTCCCTTAATTAGCCCTTAAGAGGCCAGCACCTGTATTTTAGTCATGACCCACTGCCAACAAGCTTGCTGTCTGAGATAGCTGGTAGCCTTGGTAAGCTAAGCAATGAATCTTCCAGTTACTTTGTGAGTACTAGGTTATCCCTTTTCCTGACTATTTGTCAATGGGCAGACAGGATCTGGATGAAGGCCTACTAAAAGAACTTCAGCGTGGCTTCTTCTCACATCTGTCCTAATGGAACACCCTGCCAGCAACAGAAATTATAACTGCCGTGAGTCACTGTGAGTCACATGGGTTGCCACGGAAACCTACTAACTATATCACCAAAGCACCTTCCATTAGCTTTGCCAAGAATGGTTCCTGAGTTTTCCTGGACTGTGAAAACAATGTGGGTGAGCCCCAAGTTTGGGGTTGCTAAGAGTCTACAATAAAAAAGTATGGCCTCAAGGATAGGAAAAAAAATGAGAAAATAAGGTTATTCTAGTTTTTGGATCTCCTGAGTAAATGGCAACAATTGTGACAACTTGTTGGGTTCATTTTGTGATATCAATGAATGCCTATGGAGAGGAGGTTGAGGCCTCAAAACTAATTTTCTCTAAGTCAAATTCAAAGCCAAGTCTCTGGGGTGAAAAGTGAATACATTAACCTATTCCATTTTAAATGATTGCAATAAACACTTTTTAAAATGGATGCAAAAGATTAGTTCTCAAAGAAATATTTTGATTTGTGCTAAAATATTTTACTATTGAGAACTAAATCTTTTTATAAATAACACAGTGCTTTAATTTTATATTGTAGGTATTAGCCTGCTACAATCAAACATTTGAAAATGTACTAGATTACCTTTTAATGGCTATTCACGTTAACTGAAAATATTTCCGAAGATTCAGAGGCGTATCTTGTTTGGGTTTTTATTGGGGAAAATTAACAACTCAAGTTGGGAGTAAACTGACACATTTTCCTGACTGCTTCCACTGAGTAACCTGCACCTTTCAGAAGCCTGTATCTGTCCCTCAGTGTGGGAGAAAGCAGGCAGGGCAGGCTAGGACAAGAGGTACAAGGACTGTAAACAAGGATGAGAACAGAAGGAAGCAGCAATGGTCTGATGCCTCTGGAAACGGTTCAGGGGCCTACCAGATATCTTTTGGGTCTGTGTTGTGGTGGCTGTCTGATATATGTCCTCTGAGGTTAGGACTCCATGATGCTAAACTTTCCAGTAGCTGGAAAGAGCTAGGATGATTTGTTGCATCTTTTCACCTCCATATTTATCCTCTTGTAACGTTGTAGCAAATGCAGAACTATCCAAGAAGAATTAGACTAAGAATTCAGGAGTGAATGACTCGTTGTCCTTGGCAAATAATAAAAACCAACACAGCAGCTGATTCCGAAAATGATACTTATCTGCATGGTGGCTATTTCAGCAGGAAAGAGACCAGAACAAACTTGTGAAACACCAAAGCAAAGCAA
This sequence comes from Homo sapiens, assembly GCF_000001405.40. Lineage (NCBI taxonomy): Eukaryota > Metazoa > Chordata > Mammalia > Primates > Hominidae > Homo > Homo sapiens. The sequence goes on from NC_000015.10 coordinate 60,675,311, forward strand.
TCTTGAAGGGGTCCAACCAAATACATGTGCTATATAATCCCCAGGAAAATTAAATTGCAATTCCACACCACAGTGTAAAATTGATCTAATATTAAAAACTCTCTTTTATGTTTGCACACCAAAAACCAACAGCAACATTTCCTATCAACAATTGAAGAACATCACAAATATAAGAATTCCTTGAACAATTTGGGCACGAGAAACACTAGAAATTCCAAAGCTTGTCTTCTCCCACTGGCCAACTAAACAGAAAACAAACACTTAAGGTACCCTTCTCAGAAGCTTAGGAGAAACTGAGTTCTCCAAAGACTATGTCCATGGGCTCCTCTGAAGCTTAACAGTCAAATTTCCCTTCATGGGAATTTCTGCCTCAAGTCACCCAAAACATTTATTTTTTTTAAAAGAAACAATACCTGTGCTTTCCAGATAACAAGGTGGACTAAAATACTATCTGGTGTCACAACTATTCAGGCTCATTTTGCAGTATGTGCACCTCTGTCTTGTGTACCTGTGAGCTGACACTCTGGTCTGATAATATATTCTGCAGCTGTACATATTAATTTGTAAGTTGAACAATCTCTCCGTGAGGGCAGTTAGGAAACCAAGATTGAAATTGCTAATGTCGGGTGACTTCAGCTGTCGATGATTATGTAGTCAAGTCTTGACTAAGGTTTCCAGAACCCTGGCTAAAAATGGAAGTTTTGAGACGGTACAAAAATGAATTCATACACTTCACTGATAGTGAAACTTTTTGAAGAACAGATGTCAAGATGATTTAAGAGGAGCTGGAATTTAACATCTTAAAAAAAAACGTATAGGCAAGTTAGGACAGTTCAGTTTTCAAGAAAAATCCAACAAATGCTAAAGAAGAAGTAATTTGGGTGACTGTTATTAGAGAAAAAACTGACTGATTGTCTTTCTCCTCACAAGCTGTGGGCCCTGTGGAGATGCTAAGATCAGAAATACGATGGGCTGTCTGCTGAGCTGGGTGACAAAAACAATCTCCATGTTCAAGTGGCATGGAGGACTTCCACTAACATGTAACTTGGACAATTCAATTTCTCCTTGGCATATGTAAAGTTTTGTGTCAACTGTGTTTTCAGGTGCTATTCTTTCCAATTTTGTCATTCGGCCATTTTTTATTCTGGGCCCTCTCCCCCAATCATGAAAGTAAACATCAACCAAAACAATATCATTTCTGATCCAAATCTTTCTGTCCATTATATAAAAGGAGCTTTAAGTCTTTCTACATTGACTTCAAGCTTAATGCCTAAGAATTTTCTTGCTGATTTTCACAGTTAGAAAGGCACTCAAAGTCCACCCTGTGTGGCTATATCTTGATTTTGCATTAAAGCCAGTATAGCTGATGAAATTCTTTAAGCCTTTGTGGAAAGACCCACCTGGTTCAAGTGTCTGTTTTTAGAACACCAATTTTTCCTCTCTAGCCACCACTCTCATGCTGTCATCTAAGTCCCTCCATGAATTTAAACTCAACCACAGGTTATTGTTTCTGCAATAGCCCAAGAAAATTATTCTCAGGGATGACAGTTCCTCGAATGTCTCTCTTTATATGGACTGTCTGTATACTAGGTAACATCTAGATTTCTGTCTATGTTATCTTATTAGTTGGGATGTACTCTTCATGTCCAGTGGAGCTGAAGTAGTGGTTTTGTTCACTTATCTAAGAGCCAAGTCATAATGCAAACAGTCAGTAGCTTTCTGTACATTGCCAGGTGGCCAGGAGTCCATACCCCAAACCACCATAAACAGTAGGCACAATCATCAGCCCCTGTTGGGGAGAGGCCCAGGACTGAGCTAGCAGAAAGACTGAATTACTTACCACCTCTAGAGTGGGTCCCTCCGGGCCAGGGACGAGCTCATGGGCAAGGCTGTGCAAGGAAGCGCTCTGTACCATGCCTGCCCTGCGGATATACAGAGGACTTCAGTCTCCTGCACTGTCAATCTCTCAGTCATCATGAGCTCAATTATGCACCGACAACAGCAAGAACAAGAACAACAACAACGACAAAACAACCCCCAAAAAGCTAAGGGTCACAGACTACCCTGATGGAGGGACAGCCAACTGGAACTGTGCATTGAGAGATGGAGGTGCCATCCGGATCATGTGTCTAGTACGGGCCTGACCTTTTCATTGTTCCTCAAGCAAACATTCCATTGAAGGCCATGAGAGAGCCACGTGGAGAGACTGCAGGACAGGGCCCTCAGAGTCAGGCAACTTCTCATCCAATTTGACGTTTTTTGGTTTTTTCTTTTTTTTTTTTTTCATTTTTGTTTTCTACAAATACAGATAGACAGACAGACAAACCCAAGAGCAGATTTCAAGAATCAACTGAGGCACAAGATAAACTACTTTGATGTAATACAGATGTTTTCCCCCAAACGTTTCACATGAAATAAAAAAATTTAAAGTGTAATTAGGAAAAATTGGGGGATACATCCTTGTTGTCCCTGTATTGTGCCATAAATATCTCCACTGCTTGCCTTAGAAGAATGCCCAAACATATCTCATAGGTAGCACGTATCCGTGGTCTAAAATAGTCATCAAATTCTAATGACACCATTAATTCAAAGCCTAAATAATATGCTGGTCAATTACAGTGAAAGTTGACTGCCTGCATCAATGATGTCTTGTTTCATCCTGAGGTTCAAGGCACAGTCAAACATCATTGCTCAGATTGCAAATCACAACACCTTACATTGACGTGAGTTTGTAACTTATGGTGTAGTTCAAATGAAGGCAATTGATGAAAGCAGTTGAACCTGAGAAGTGGGATGAATACAGAGCATAAATCCAGCACACGTTTCCACATCAAACTACCGATGCCATTTATCAGGGCCCTCGCAGGCCATGCCCGTGGTCGAGCGACAGCGCCTCTATTCCCAGTCAGCATCTCTGCTCCACAGACATGAGTACGAAACGGCCTAATTTGTGAACTAGTGGTGAGGAAAAGGAGACCAAAGCTTAAAAGAAATCAAGGTGATGTTTCCTAGAAACATACCAGCTCTTCTAAGAAGGATCTAGGATAAGGGTGATCAGTAAGTAATTGATCCTCCTGGCTAGATTTCATGATTTTTCTAAAGCTTCATGGCTGGAAACACTGGAATTCATCAGAATATGTCTCTAGCCTCTCTCTTCAACACACACTCAGTACAAACAGGTGGAGATGTGCCACTTCCGACCACTACAGATTGAAAAAAAATGACCTCTGTTGACCATGGATCACAGCTGAAACATTAGTATATACTTGAAGGGTCACAGCAGCCAGACATATGCGAATTCCAACTCTTCAGAAAACTTTGGACAGAAAAAAAATGCATTACTTACATGTATGTGTCTTCTTCGTTACTGAGATACCTGGAAGAGAAGAAACAATAACATAGGTTAGAAAGTGCCCTGTGTGTGCTGCTTTGAATGTCCGTCATTCCCAGTGTGCTCAGGAAGGCGTTTAGTTCAGATGGGGAAGTGGAAGCAAGACCAGTTTTAACATTGCACAGGAGTGTCACTAGACCTACCCCAAAGGCATGCAACCGTGACTGATGAGGCAGCGACCATCACCTCCTGGTTTAAGAGGTTCTGTGGTAAAAGTGGGGAGCATGGACAATAACTAAACAGGGTTAAACAGGACGCGAGGAGACTCTTATTTTTTATTTTAAGTAGGGGAGACAATCATGTTTATAGGCAGAGTGGGAAAGATGTAAGGCACAAGAGAGCAATGCCAGCCTACTCAGACCAGGGTAAGATGAGCAACACGGCAATTAATTTGCTATGGCCATTGGTTCTGTGTTTACTCTTTAATGAAAACGACCCTTCCTCCTCCCATGAAGCACAACTTTTAATGGTGAGGGGGAAATACATCCACCAAATGTACCTATGTGTCTGTACTCATTAAGGTCAGAAAGGGAATCACTGCTACTTCTCTAAAAATGGCCCCCAAATGTTTCATACAGTTGAAACACAACTGAATGAAATGTATGAACACAAACTACGAAAACACGAGCGATTCATGAGTCAGCACCCTTGATATTTCAGGATGATTTATAGGTAGCAGGTGACAAATAGAACTAAGCAACATTTGGCACAGAAGTCCTGATAAAGATAGCATAAATGTATGCTTTGATGCAAACAACACTATCTCCATTTCAGAATTACTACATTTTGAATCCTTTATGCTGCATTCTTCTTGGGAGACGTTCTTGAGACTAAGTAGGCTCAAAGTCATAAAACTGTTGAAAACATTTAGCCTGTGACTAAGAACTGTGGTAAACCTTGAAATTTTTTTTTCTTTCAAGTTATTAAGGGAACTATTTAACCCTCCTTTGGAAAGTAAAAGTTGTTGAAAAATTTGGCAGCCACATCAGACCTATTACTTAGCTAGGGAACATGTCGTACGGGGAAGAAATCTGTTGTGAAAATCCACGGCAGACATTTTTTAAAAAGTTGGTTCCGAAGTTGTGAGCCAAGACCAAAATCACACACTTGCTCCCCCCAACACTTTCCAAAGGACTTATTTAGGGAAGTTGAAATTACATAGCCCAACTCAAATTCTTCTCCCCGACCCCGCAACTTTTATTGAGGAAAACTATTGTTTTGTTTGTTTGTTTGTTTGTTTGTTTGTTTTAAATCATGTTTGAGTTGGCTTCACAAAGTGAAGTTAGAACCTTCTAAAAAAATCCTTGAAGACTGTCTCACATGAAAACTACAAAAGTGTTCTAGAATTTTTTGAAATAACCTTTATCGTGGGAAGGGAACTTCCCCCAGCAGCAGCAGGGAGTAAAGTTTAAAATCTGAATACAATTTGCAACTCCAGCTCATGACACCAGCACCAATAAATTGATACATTAGTGCACTTTCAGCATTATGAGAGATATATGTGTATTTTCCTTAGGAAATAGTGCTTTCTGTAAAATCACTTTGAAGAGAAAGTGCTTAGGCTGTCTCTCCTGATTATTCAAAACCTCCACACAATTGGATTTAATACAGCCCAAAACGACCTATCTATATTCGCTGAGTGTGGAACTATTTTCTCTTGACATCCAAAGGCCTGATGAAAATACCACTGCTTTGACTTTTCTACTTAAATTTATTATACAGCGTGATGCAGTGTTCTCATCAAATATTTTCATGACGATTACATTGATAATAGATTTTGAAAATCTTCCCAAGAAAGCTGCTTGATCTCGGAGGTCGCAGTAGCTGGCATGGAGCTAAAACTTTTCATTATCTGTCTCCAGGAGGAAGCATGACTTTGGCAACAACACAATCTCTCGGTCCCTCAGTTTTGTTTAACTGTCAATTAATAATCAATATAAATAACTGGGAGCTACACTTATATTGGAGTTGCCAGATTTAGTAGATAAAATACAGGCTACCCAGTGAAATTTGAATTTCTGATACTAATTTGTAGTTTATCTTACATTCAAATTTAACTGTGCATTCTGTATTTTATATGGCAGCCTTAACCTATACAAGAAGAATGTAAATTATATTTATTATAGCCAATGAAGATATACCAATCAATTAATAAACACATTTTTATGGAGAAAAGCTTAGAAGACACACTCCTGACACAAGAGCAATATTTGTTAAAATTGCATTACAACTGCTTAATTATGGAGATACGACTGTGCATGATATTTAATTTTTTTTAACCTAGCCATTCTGAAGACAGAAGTCTATTTCCCTAGAGAAAGTGAACAAACAAAAACAATACAAACACACAAAAGGCAAATTTAATGAAAAAAATCAGAAAATGTATTGGAATTCTCTTTGATCCTCTGAAACCTAATTTCTCCATAGAAGCTCTAGTACTTCATAGTAAATGATTCCATAGAAGTACCAAAAAAAGCAGAAAACATCCTTTTCATTTCACAGATGGGGAAACTGAGGCTCAGGAAAGTTTAATTGGCATAATAAGACATTTCTCTGTGGAAAGTTATATTAAACTGGAAGTACACTCATGGCAAATCTTTAAAAACACTAGTGTAGATGTACCCTCAAAAGAGTAAATACTCAAAAAAGTTTTACTCCTTGGAGCATACCACTCAGCAGTCAGCTCTGTAAATAATTTAAACCTATGGGAGTGCCCTCAGCCATATTTAAACCAGGAAGACTCATCCTGAGTTTGGGTGAAAGATGTACTCAGATGCTGATGCAAACACACAGAAACCACAGTCCCTACTACTAGAAGAGCATATTGAATTGAATCTAGAATGTTCCGGAATATTCTAGAACATAGTATTCTGCCAGGAATCCAGCTGACCGAATTACCCACACTTGCCCACCTTAGGCCTTCATTCGCAGCAGGCATGTGTGCCTGGGTTTGTTACCAGCAGCCATTTTCTCACCCTTAAATGAGGGATGGGTCTCCCCTTTTCTTTTTCTCATTTTCCTAGAGGTTACAAGATTCCTGTTTTTCTCACCAGGAGGAGAGGTCAGCCTCAGTGAGCTCATAGCAGTCATACATTGCCAGTGTTTTTCCTCAAGTGGAAGGAGAAAGGCCTTCAGAAAAAAAATCGTATGCAAACCTAGTGCTACCACCAGCAGTAGCTCTGAATCGAGATTTTTGGGAGAATTAGGCTTACTAAAGATAAACTACAATAAGTCTCAAGGAAGCAAATAATTCTGATTCTAATGAGGAATCCAAGAATAAAGGCAGCTCTTAAGGTAACTAGATCTGGAGTCAAGCTGACCTGAGCTTGCGTGTATAGCCCATTTTCCTGCTTCTAGGTTGAGAGACCTTGAACAAGTTACTTAACTTTTCTAGTCCTGAATTTCTTGGTTTTTAAAATTGTATACAATCATGATGACACTTAAAAGACTGTTGTGAAAATTAAAGGAAATAAGGATGTATGAAGAGCTTTACAAATTGGGAAGTGTGACACAAATGACTTTGGTAAGGGGTGAGCAACTCACATAGTATTAGTTTAACCAAACTGAATTACCATGTGATAGTGAAAGCTATGCCATTGCTACTCATGATGTCCCTCAGTTTCATACTGACTCATGGCCTAGGACTCTGGTTTTCAGACCAAGTACTCTGACTAGAAAATATCCTCATATTTGATGGAAGACAGCATGAGACGGAGAACCAAGTTCCTTAAAGTAAGTGTACTCTATTCTAGATCCCAAGCTCCATTCGCTTTACTCTCTAAAGTCTAGAGAAAGAGCCTGGTATGGTGGTGGGTACCCGTAATCCCAGCTACTCGGGTGACTGAGGCAGGAGGATAGCTTGAGCCCAAGAGTTCAAGTCCAGCCTGGGCAACACAGTGACACCCAGTCTTAAATTTAAAAAAATAAACAAAAGGAAGCTGCCTACTCACTAGCAAGTGGCTGCATTATCCAAGTGGGCTGCTGATCAGCACAGGCAAGGACTTTGGTCCCCACTACCGAAGGGCATCGAACCAAGTCCAGCTGTTGTGCAGGTTTTGATTCACTTCCAAATGACTGGGAAGAACACCAAGATCCTTCCCCAGAGATTCACAAACAGACCACGAGCAGGGTAATGCTCTCTACAGAGATAGGGACTTGATAGAATTGTGGTGAATGACGGGGTGGAACCAAGTTTCTAAACCTAAAATACACATACACCCTGCGCCCAAAGTGAACACGGTGGATGACTTGGGCAAATAATTTAGCTTCTCTGGGTCTTAGTTTTCTTATATGCAGAATGAGGTAGTCAGTGACATTTTTTTTCTTCCAGACAGGTTCTCAGTGTGTTGCCTGAACTGGAGTGCAGCGGCACCATCATAGCTCGCTGCAGCCTTGACCTCCCAGGCTCAAGCCATCCTCTCACCTCAGCCTCCCTAGTAGCTGGAACTACAGGCATGTGGCACCATGCCCAGAGAATTTTTACTTTTTTTGTAGAGATGGGGGTCTTGCCATGTTGTTCAGGCTGATCTTGAATGCCTGGCCTCAAGCAATCCTCCTGCATCAGCCTCTCAAAGTGCTGGATTAAAGGCGTAAGCCACCTTGCCCAGCCAACATGATTTCTTAATTTCCCTTCCAGTTCATCAACCAATGGCTCCTTGCCCTGCTTCTAAGCTATCAAGCCAAACCACATCTTTCCAAGCAACAGGCTGTCAGATCTATTTCTCACTGTAAGAAATCCAATGTGGCTCATAATCAAAGGTAACCCCCTGAAACTTTTTTCTTCTTGCCTTTAACAACCAAAGAAGAAAAAAGACAGTGCCCACAAAAGGTTATATAAGTAAAAGATGCACTTTTCTTGGGAGATCTTTAAAAATTATCTGGGCTAGAGAAAAATGGCACCTTTTGATAAAGCTGTAAGACTCCTTCTATTTTACCCAGATACACATACACACACACACACACACACACACACACGGCAGGTGTATTTCCAGATTTCCAGGTAATGCTTGAGCACAATTTCTAACTTAACAATATGACAGAAGTTTTAAATTGCCAATTAAACCCCTAAAACTAAGAGGGCTAAAAGGCCCCAAAATATTCGGTCCAAAGCAAAGTTGAGCTTCTAATACAGCAAAAATGCTTGACTCTCTTTAACTGGCCATGCTTCAAAGTAAAGCAAAGGAAATGTCATGAAAATATCACAGATTTAGCCCTGCCATGGTTATCAGTAGGGAAGTTTCATTATAGTCATCCCAGAACAGAGCACTTCAGGAATGTAAGCTGGTATTTCCCGTCAGTGCCAAATCTTGGACCAGTTAACTTTCTTGACTGACTTCTAATTGTCTCTTGGTTTTTAGGAAATTGTCTGGGTATCCAGTTAATTTTACTTTTTTTTCTTTTTTTTTTAGTAAGAGGTGGCATTTTTCCTCTTCCCAAATTTTGCAATTACCAAACCAGCATTTCCAGAGGCCTTGTATCCTGGACAAGGCCCTAGACTTGATGCCACTCTGCCACTTTGCCAGTATTCAGCCTGTGTGTCTTCTTTTGTCCTCTTTTGCAACGAGAAAACAACTTTTGAGATAGAGATATTATAAACATGAAAAAATTCTGTGTTAGCATTAAAAAACGAACAGGCTGGTCATGGTGGCTCACGCCTGTAATCCCAGAACTTTGGGAGGCCGAGATGGGTGGATCATGACGTCAGGCATTTGAGACCAGCCTGGCCAACATAGTGAAACCCACAGTCTCTACTAAAAATACAAAAAATTAGCCAAGTGTGGTGGTGGGTGCCTGTAATCCCAGCTACTCGGGAGACTGAGGCAGGAGAATCACTTGAACCTGGGAGGTGGAGGTTGCAGTGAGTTGAGATCACGCCACTGCACTCCAGCCTGGGCGACAGTGCGAGACTCCATCTCAAACAAACAAACAAACCACTCAAAACCATGCCATGTAGATTTCCTTTTATTTTAAAAATATGTCAATATTTTTACTTTGCAAGTGAATGTGGCAGGGAGGAAGAGATGTGTTGAGTGATAATGAACAAAGTCTTGAATTGGCCCAACTCATGTCTCTACACCAGGCTTGCACATTGACTCCTCCTTTAATTCCTAGAAAAGCAGGGCTCCAAATCTGAAGGCTTTCACAAGATTTATTCTCCCTCCCTGCAAGATGTCTGAGTTAAAGAAGACACCTATTATTTAAGCTATGAGCGCTTGGGCAAATATAGCTTAACTTCTCTGAGCCTTTCTTTTCTTATTCCATAAAATGGGAATAAAATTCTTAGGACTAGGTTTATAGTAAAATGTAAGATAATTCACGTGGGGCACAGGATATAGTACCTCTTTCCTACTAAAGTATGTTTCTTATTGCATACACCTTGTGAATCCACTTTATATTAGACAAACAGAGAGACAACCCTTGACTGGACATAGGCAAAACCCATTAATCCTGTTATTAAACGGGATAATCCGGGAAGGCAGCATTGGAGAGCTAAGGAAAGAATTTTCCAAATAAAACCCAAACACTTAACCCACTCCCTGCCACATTCTCAACAAGCATGCTGCAAAGGCTGTGGTCTCCTGGATCCGCTGTGCTCTCCTTACTTCTTTTTGACTTCCTCATTGTGAGGCGCTAGCAGTTAAAACGGCAAATTTACACGCAGTGCATGAACACTAGCTAAGAAACGAGGCCTAGAATTTAGGCTTCTTTTTTGAATAGCTAATAATTGTTTTCTAAAGAAAAAATATCACTTTGTGCTGGCCTTATGTCCCCCTCCTCCTCAATCCTGAGTTGTCCCAGGAGACTGCTCCATTCTACACATAGTCAAAAAGAAAATCTATGCACGAGGCGGATCCGGAACACAGCCCGAGTAGGGCCTCGCCAAACAAAATGATGTTACAAAACAATGTCCTTGTCTAGGACAAAAGAACTATTAATGATAATCAGTACATATTACTGAAAGTGCTCCAAGTAATCTTTGGACTTTGTTTCAAAAATTCTTAATGGACACTAATGCTTAGAGTTCACTCAAAAGAGAAATAAATTATGTGCCAGGGTTGCAGGGACCAAGGACAACACGTGGAAGGCATCAAAGCATTAGCAATGTTACGACAATCAAACATTTTGTAATTGCATAAAAAGCCTTTAAAAATCATTTAGATATACTAATTATGAACATTAATAATACTATAATGGGAGGTTTCTTTTATGTTCGATTTGAGCCTAGGTTGAGCTGTTTCGGCAATAATATTTCAGCTCTTTTACCAACCAAGGTGCTTTGGACGCCATGAAAAATATTCCATTTTAGTTTGAAAAATGGTTATGGGAATGGATAAGAGGAATTTTTCCTGTTTTTTGAATTCAAAAAAAAAATTTGTGATTGCTCTCCATCTCTAGGTCATATTTCCTGACATTAGTGCCCAGAAATATCTTTTAATTTTGGACAGGCAGACCAGAAGTATGCCCTCTTTCAAGTCCTGCCTTTATCTTTAACAAAACAGTTCCAAGGACAAAGCCTCATTCCGGGTTCCCCAGCAAAGGCAACATAAAGAGACCATCAGTCTATCAGAGAAAGAAATCTTCAGACAAAACTTATTTGGGAAACATCCCTCTTCTCAGAGATTACTATTCAATGCACTACGAAAAGTCCATATGTAAGGAGGGCAATTTCTCTTGTTATTTACTCGTCCCAAAGTATGATTAGTACTTATGTATAGTAAGAATCATAAGAAGCCTTATTTTTTCAAATTGATTTCCTTTTATTGAGTGTCTGTATGGAAGATGATGCTATCCATTCGATATTACCTGGTTGATTTAAATTTGATCTTGGAGCTCTGAGGGCAGAGGTGTGAACTGATATCAACACTTTCAGCTTAGCCTTCTAGAATTGAGCAGTTTTATCTTCTAAGTGAATAATTCAGCTCAGGTAAACATCAGCAGCTTACACCATGCTTTTCCAGAAATGCTTTACTTTATGTGCCTCTGCAATCTGTTAAATCTGTTTATCTTTGTCACTCATATGGGCAGGTACGGAAGTGAACTGTCTGTGGGTGACTTGCCTGGATGCCGGCTATAGCTGCAGCCCCCAAAGTCGAAGCTACCAGAACAGGTTGGATGAGGATGGCCCAAAGATTATGGAGTTGCTGGCCCCAAAGCAAGTCAGACACTATGGGAAGTTTGCATGAATCATGCCCTTGGATAGACAACCTAAATCATACCTCATCGAGCATGGATCCTGGTCAGCATACCAAGTCAAGGCAAGTAAAGACTGAAGAAATATCACCTGGTCTGCAGCTCCCCCCAGAACGAAGTCTGCTACTGATGGCAGAAGCATAGATAGACCAAGGGTATCACTATGTAATGATGGAAGAAGGAAAAACCCCATGCATTCACTCATGTCTTGAATCACCTAGAGAAGAGAGGGAATCTGCCAAAGTGGACACAATAGAAATTCAGTTCTAAATTTGGAGGAAATGAGGCCCACTCTCAGATAAGATGAAAAGTAAAAGCCCTAGGATCCAATGGGGTATTAAACAAATATTTAAAAGTAGAGAGGTGGTGACCAGTTATTTCCTGATATATAGAATACCATGGGTCCATAAAGAATTTTTTAGAGTATCAATATTATTAACACTTTGAAGAAGACATATGAAAAACTGATTAAATTATAAATTAGGAAATCATAGATCATTACTATTTGTAGCCTCTCTACTCCCCTCTGATTACAGAACTTTAGGCAGTTTGTCTGGATTGGTGATTGCTGGATAAAAGCTCAAGAAAAGAAAGTAGCCATCAAGATACTTCTCTTGGGAGGCCGAGGCGGGCAGATCACTTGAGGTCAGGAGTTTGAGACCAGCCTGGCCAACATGGTGAAACCCCATCTCTGCCAAAAAATACCAAAAACATTAGCTAGCCATGGTGGCGCATGCCTGAAGTCCCAGCTGCTCAGGAGGCTGAGGCACAAGAATCACTTGAACCCAGGAAGTAGAGGTTGCAGTGAGCAGAGATTGTGCCACTGAACTCCAGCCTGTGTGACAGAATGAGACTCCGTCTCCAAAACAACAACAACAAAATACTTACCTTGCATTCACAGATTTTATGAAGAAAAGTTTGGTATTGTTAGATTAGATGTACAAGCTATGTTCCCATATGGGATTTTAGAATCAGGAAATCTGGATTCTTTTCCCAGCTCTGCCACTTACCAGCTATATAATTTGGGGCAAGATACTCTCTCCGATCCTCAGTTTCCTCATCACTAAAAGGAGAGGAAAAAGATTTCTTCTTTCATTCTAAAATTCCACCACTAGAAATTTTAGGAATTAATCATGAATATACACAAGAGTTATCATAATATTATTTATATCAGCAAAACATTCAAGGGAACACCCAAATATTAGCAGTAGAGGATGGCAAATAAAGCATGATATGTTTACCAAATGGAAGGCGCTACCATCATTAAAATAAAGAAAAATAAATCAGAGACAATGATGTTCCAGCTGCATTATGAGAAACAAAAAAATTCAAAGTCCCAAAGCATAGTATATCATTTTGTCAAAAAAGGAAAAAAAAATGTATAGAAAAAAGACAAAAAATACATACACCAAATTAATGAGAGTGATTATGTTTGGGTGGAGGAATTATGACTGATTTTTCTTTGTCTATGTTTTCTAAAATTTCTATAAAACACCTGTACAAATAAAATTATAATAATAAGAAAGAAAAGTTAATATTAAATAACTATTCCACAAGGTTACTGTGAAGATAAAATGAAATAAAGCAAGGCAATGTTGACCTAATATTAGTTTTTAATATTGCAAACATCTCTCTGTGACTGTTAGGAGACCCAGTTTCCTATGGCAAGTACTAATTGCATTATCCTTTCTAGAGAACCCTATGTGAAGTCTGAAGTGAAAGTGTGATAGCATAGCTGGCTACTTTCAGGAGTGCCCTATGGTGATGGATAATCTGATAATACTTGCCAAAATGGTAATCATAACCAATATGCTGATAAAGGTCTGAAAAATAAGGCTTGCTTAGTACCATGTATTTTACACAGTGCTCGAGAATGCAGTGAGAGACCCAGGGGCTGACTTGGGACAACTTTTGACTCCTAGGAAAACCACCACCCTTTAGCTACCACACAGGTGTTTGCCTAAGCCAATGACTATAGGGCATATGACTACAGTGTCAACACATACCAGCAACCAAAGGCCTGTGGAGACCTCTGCAGTACAGGTGCTACCTCAGAGACTGATCACAAAATCCTCAAGGCAGGAGTGAGCCCTTTCATCAGGACCTCCTGATAAATCTCCAGGAGTTAGTGCCCTGTAATACAAAGAGGATGACCTCTGGAGTCAGAAAGACCCAGGTTGCAAGCCCAGTTTCACCTACCAACTAGTCGTTTCACTTGAGGCAAGCTACTTAGCTTGAGCCTCAGTTTCAATATCTGTAGGATGGAAGTAAGGATACCTTTTTCATGAGGCTGTTGTGATTATCAAAAGGTATAGGCAGTGCAAAGCTGAAAGTGGTCAGCTGTCAGTGAATTCTATTATCTAAGCAATGTTATCTGATGGCAATGCATCTTACAGGAATGCATTGGAATGTTCCATAGAGAAAGGAAGGAAAAAAGGCCCATATGTCCTTGGGATGAGACACTAAGGTGGCCCCGAGCTTCAGAATAAACTATGGGTTCTTTTGGAGATTGACATACCTTGTTATATTTTGATTGATTTCAACTAGCACAGTTCTTCTCTTTTAAATTATTCTTTTTCCATTTGTCTTTTTTTAAATTTTAGTTTTAAAAAGGTTGTAACGGGTTGAGTTGCATCCCCCAGAAAGACATATTCAAGTCCTAACTCCTGATACCTGCGAATGTGACCTCATTTGGAAATCATATCTTTATAGATATAATTAAGATGAGGCAATACTGGTCCAGGGACCAGTCATCTGAATACTTAGACTAAGTATTTAGATTTAGTCTAAATTTAATTACTACTATCTGTGTAAGAGGAAGGAGAGGGAGATGTGCATTCAGGGACACAGACAACACATAGAGAAAAAGGCCACATGCAGATGGAGGAGGGATTGGAGTGACATAGCTATAAGCTCAAGAATGCCAAGGATTTCTAGCAACTACCAGAAGCTAGGAGAGAGGCTTCAGGAACTTCTTCCCTAAAGCCTTCAGAGGGAGCAAGGCTCTGCTGCCACCTTGATTTTGGGACTTCTAGCATCCAGAACTGTGAGAGAACACCACCATCCTTTAGCTACCACACAGGTGTTTGCCTGTGCCAACGACAATTGGCGTAAAACAATTTCTGTTGTTTTAAGCCACCCAGTTTGTGGCACTTTGTTACCACAGTTCCATGAAATTACTACAAAGGTCCAGGAAATGTTATGAGTGTAAGGTGTCTGGCAATAATACTCTGGGGTCCTCCAAAAACAGAGTGCAGTTGTTTTCTTGCTGCCCCACCAAATCCATTCTCCCATTCCTCCAGGGCAGTCAAGTTTTAGATGGACACATAGCCATCCAGTTAGAGGCTGTAATTCCCAGAGTCCCTTGCAGCTGGGTATGGCCAAAAGACTAGATTCTTACCAAGACATGTGACCAGGAGGGGTGTGTGTAACTTCCATGTCACTTAAAAGGAAGCTGTTCACTCTGGATATCCTTTCTCTCTCTCTTCCCATGGACTGGAACTTGCATAAGGCCATGACCCAGCTCCAGCCATGTGGGCAAGGCCACCTTTGGAGACAGGAGAGAGCACCCAGACAGGACCTGTGAGCAGAGCTTCCTTGGCAGCCTCCACTGGCTTCAATACCACAGGAGAGAGAAGCCAGCTTCTACCTCATATAAGTCACTGTGTTCTTGAGTCTCTTTGCTACAATAGTTTTCAACCTTTACCCTAACAAAAACACAGGGTTAGGAAATAACTAGTTTATAGATTAAAATCCCCAAATGTTAGATCTGGAATAGACTAAAGAAATTGTACCTTTCCCTGAAAAAGGACAGCAAACTGGGACTCAGAGGGATTAGGCAACTGTTTTCAAGTCAGCCAGCCAATTAGGAGCAGAGCAAAAAGTAGCACCCTACACAGGAGTGGCTCTGTGGGCTCTGAGGCCTGGACGCGTTGAAGTCTTCCTGTTACCATACAGGACACCTCAACTGGACCCAGGAACAATTTCACTAGCCTTACTTAGAAGCTCCATGTAAGCCAGAGTGACTTTTTGAACTATAAATCCGATCACATCAGTCCCCTGCTCAAACTCCTTCCACAGTTAAGAGGGTCCTACATGATCCGGCCTGCCTGGTTCTCCGACCTAGTGTCTCCCTCTCTCTCTGTCTCACCCATCTCATTCTTCCACACTAGCCATCTTAAATTTTCTCTAAAGCTCTAAGCTTGCTCCAGACTCACATCCTTTCTGTTTGTAGTTCCCTCTGCCTGTATCACTTTCCCTCCACTTCTCCGCAGGTCTCCTTCACATCCATTCAGATCTTTGCTCAGCTCTCATCTCCTGCTAGAATGCTTCCCAGCCGGCTTATCCACATTCGCTCTCCCTGCCCCCCTCTCCATTTTGCTTTACTTTGTATCTTCACAATAGTTCCCTCCTCCTGACATTCTATGATACAGTTGTATGTCTTCCCAACAATTTCAATTCTTGAAGCAGGGACTTCCCATCCTTGGTATACCACTGTATTTGTGATGCCTAGAATGGTGCCTGGCATATAGATACTCACAAAAAATTGTTAACTGAGGATCAGAAAAACTTGTTAAGTGAATGAAGTTGACTCCCCAAAGCCACACATCTAGTTTACCAATAGTGACTCCAAAGCTCCTGGAAGTGTGTAGAGAAGACAAGAGGAGCATAGAGGGTGAGACAAGTGCTAACTGAGAAGGTCGGGGACATCTAAAGAGAGGTTTGCACAGCTGAAGAGAAACTGGAAGGCTACATACAAAGAGTGAGAGGGGAGAGAACACACGCTAACCCCAGGACCCAAAGCAAAGGTCAGGCAATCAATAGAAAAGTTAAAATGGCACTGTTAAACACTTGTGATAAAATTGATTTGGTCATTACCAGAGCTGAACACAGGGCATGCATGCCTCATCTGTTAGAAAGATCTTTATGATCTTGTTAGCAGATCCCCAACCCAGAAGCTGTAAAGGTTATAACCCAACTTGTAAAACTAATCTCATATTGGCTCTGGGATAATAAAGAATCTGCAGAAAACTTTTTAGTTAACCATATGCTACATACAGCAAGAAGCCAGGCTTGTGTGGCTGGCTTCTCCTACATGGCAATTCAGGATAACTCTCTCATTTCTGAGATTGAGAAAACTATTTTGGAAACAGTGATTTCAATATGCATAGTTCTTAGATACAACAGCTTAGAGGTTAACTTGAGTTTAACAATTTCTCTCCTATTCAAAGTGATTTTATAATAAAAAGTCAGCATGCCATTCCCATTGAATTAAGCTGGGATCAGTTGGAATAGTAGTTTGGCAAAACTGTTTTTGCCAGATTTTTAAAAAAATACACTTTATTTTTAAAGATAGCTCTGTTTTATATTTGCATAATCCCAATTGTAAATATTTAGTTTATTATTATTATTACTTAATCTGTGAATTTTGGGTCATTCTTCCTAAATAAAACAATGCAGCATCATTTCTTGACTAATACTCTTTTGGACCACATGGCAGGTCTGTGGGGTAGTACAGAAAGGAAAAATGAGTTCACGCTACATAGCAGGTCCAGAAAACAGAACACAATAGCAATCACAAAACATTTCTAAGCAGCCTTGTAAAGGAAACAAGGGAGAATGTGAGAGCACTGGGCATTTACTTTTGAGCAGGATGCATGCTAAAATATGTAAAGATGAAATGATATGATGTCTGGGATTTGCTTTAAAATGCTTTAGCAAAGGGAAACAGGGATAGATAAAGCAAGTGTGACAAAATGTTGGTAAGGCTGAATCTGGGTGTTGGGTATAGGGCAGTTCATTCCACTGTTGCCCCTCTTTGCATTCATGTTTGAAATTTTCATAATAAAAAATTCAAGCCAGTAAGGGCTGGCTGGAAAACTTTAAAAAGAGGTTCAATCTCTCTAAAACTGTGTGACTGATCCCAACCAAAAGAAAGCCCAGGACCAGATGGATTTACAGCTGAATTCTACCAGAGCTACAAAGAGGAGCTGGTACTATTTCTTCTGAAACTATTTTAAACAATTGAAAAAGAGGGACTCCTCCCTAACACATTCTATGAGGCCAGCATCATCCTGATACCGAAACCTGGCAAAAATACAACAAAAAAAGAAAACTTCAGGCCAATATCCCTGATGAACATTGATGCAAAAATCCTCAATAAAATACCAGCAAACTGAATCCAGCAGCACATCAAAAAACAAATCCACCATGATCAAATTGGCTTCATCCCCGGGATGCAAGGCTGGTTCAACATGTGCAAATCAATAAATGTAATTCATCACATAAACAGAACTAAAGACAAAACCACATGATTATCTCAGCAGATGCAGAAAAGGCCTTCAATAAAAGTCAACATCCCTTCAGGTTAAAAACTCTCAATTAACTAGGTGTTCATGGGACATACCTCAAAATAATAAGAGCCATTTATGACAAACCCACAGACAATATCATGCTGAATGGGCAAAAGCTGGAAGCATTCCCCTTGAAAACTGGCACAAGACAAGGATGCCCTCTCTCACCACTCCTATTCAACATAGTATTGGAAATTCTGGCCAAGGCAGTCAGGCAAGAGAAAGAAAGAAATATTCTTTCAAATAGGAAGAGAGGAAGTCAAACTGTTTGCAGATGACATGATCCTATATCTAGAAAACCCCACTGTGTTAGCCCAAAAGCTTCTTAAGCTGATAAGCAACCTCAGCAGTCTCAGGATACAAAATCAATATGCAAAAATCACAAACATTCCTATTCACCAACAGTAGACAAGCAGAGAGCCAAATCATGAATGAACTCCCATGCAGAAGTGCTACAAAGAGAATAAAATACCTAGGAATACATCTAAGAAGGGGAGTGAAGGGCCTCTTCAAGGAGAACTACAAACCACTGCCCAAGGAAATAAGAGAGGACACAAACAAATGGAGAAACATTCCATCCTCATGGATAGGAAGAATCAATATCATGAAAATGGCCATACTACCCAAAGTAATTTATAGATTGAATGCTATTCCCATTAAACTATCATTGATTTTTTTTTCACAGAATTAGAAAAAACTACTTTAAAATTCATATGGAACCTAATAGGAGCCCGTATAGCCAAGACCATCCTAAGCAAAAAAGAACAAAGCAGGAGGCATCACGCTGCTTGACTTCAAATTATACTACAAGGCTACAGTAACCAAAACAGTTGGCAGCATGTTTTCAATCTACTTTCTGATTTCCTCATCTCCCTCTGTGAAGTAAGTAGTGAAGATACTGTTGGATCCATTTTGCAGTGAGGAAATTGAGTGTCAGAAAGGTGGAGGGGCATGTTTAAGGTCAAATGGTCCCTGTAAGGCAGAGCTGGGCCAGAGCTCAGTCAAAGGTTTTTGTTTCAGTGGCCATTAAACTTATTTCCTCCTCCTCCTGACACTGGCCCAGTGATTTAAATGCTCCTCCCATGCCCACATCAAAAGTCAAAGGTACCCGGCAAAAAGCACGGAAGATGAGCATCTGAATTCTGGCTCAAGAGCTCCCTGTGGTCTCCATGCCTTGCAGCGTTAACTCTTTCACCAATAGGCTCTCCTAGCTTTACATTCTGGTTGTCCCTTCTCATTTCGTACAGTTTGGATTTGACAAATGAGAGTTTCGATGGTGTATTGTTGTGCACATAACTGCCCCTCCGTTCTACCCACCTTGTATTTGTGAGCAAGAGATATAACCAGGACTGGAGGGGCCTCGCCCAAACCTCGAGGACACTCCTCACTGCCAGGGTGACAGACTGGACCCTTATGTTATTGTATTATCCAAATGCATGTGGATCAATCCTGCCACACACAGCCAAGTGTTCCCTTGTCTTTGCTTTTCCCCACATAATGTAAAACCAGCACTCTCAAGGCCTTTACAAATTGGTAAATCAACCCATATGCAGCGAGGTCACTTTAGTTACCTCTAATTTCAGAGCTGTCACTAATTGGTCCCAGAATCTCTTTAAATTCAGGTCTACAGGGCCAGAAAGAAGCTTGAAATTATTTGAATACCTCATTAATGGACAACGTATGAACAATTTGATCTTTCAGCGCAAAGTGGGATTTATTTGTCTATGAAATCTCAGGCTTGCCATCTACCCCCGGTTGACTGCATAATTGTTCTTGCTCTGCCCCACGTTAGTCAGGCACTATGTTAGGTGACAGGGAAACAACGGCAGACAAGATAGTAATGATCCCTGTGCCCATGGTGCTTAGGAGGAAAGGCCTATGTATGTATTCTAGTACCAGCCAAAGCCTCTGCTTAGTGACCCAAATTCCACTCTGCCCATACATGTTGCATCAGCCCCACCCACGTTCCTAGAAGCCATCTCTTCTCCCAACACTGCTCTTCATATCCACAACTTTAAGGAGCAAAAAGTATTTTAGGGACACTGAAAAAATTCAGGCTACACTAACTTAGCCCAACCCTTAGCATGTTCTCTTTTCGTCTTTGTCACTTGAGACCCTGTTGACTTTTTTTTGAGGGTGCCAATATCCATCCGAGTATGTACATGCCAGGGACCTCTTCTTGGCTTATACATTTCCTTCTACAAACATCTTGATTTTTTTTTTTCACTTGCATTTCACCAGATCCTGTTACAGGATCTAAATATTCCAAATAATTCTTACAATTGCTATATGATGAAGAGAACGGATCCTGTTACTCTTTATTTACGTACATAAAACCCGTGCCTCAGTTTCCAAGGTAACAGAACAAAGAAAACAAGTCATCACCCTGATGCCAATACGGACGAAGGTCAGACAGCTTTGATCTCAGACACCAGGCACTTTTCAGCCAGCGCAACATTCTCATTTTTCATGATTCCTGCCTCGCGCCCCCACGTCCCCACAGCTATGCTTCCTGTGGCTTACTGAAGGGTGCTTTAAATATGGCTCGAGAAAGTACACGGAGGAAGCAAGTAAACTTTCAGGATTTTAGTTCCAGCAAATGAAGGCAAAAGTGACTAATCAGAGTGAAGAGGACTCAGTCAGGAGCATCAGTCGCAGAATGAATCAGCCTCAGCCGGCAAGTAATGGCACAAAGCACTGTTCCCGCGACCACCAAGCCACAGATAAACCACCGGCGCTTCAAAGAACTCCTACATCACTTATAAGCTGACAGAAGTCTTATTATTATTATATATTATGCTGAAACTCTGAGCCTTACTGTAAGTCATCATTTTATATAGTTTTCACAATGACAGTAAAATCCTGCCACAAGTGGCACTGTCAACTTTTCTATGAGCACTTTCTTTTCCTCACGGTGACATTCAAAGTTCAGAGTCTCCTTCATCTAAAGGAGCTGTCCTATCAGCTCGCTAATGGGAACAATTCATTTAACCTGCACTCCAAGTACAGCCACGGAGCCGAGTAAAATATGTATAGGATCCAGGGGGAATCGGTCCTCCCAGCTGGCCCCTCCTGCCATTTGATTCATTGACGAGAGTCCCACTTTCTTTCCACTTAGGCTGATTTACAGAAAAAAAAAAGACATTCCAGAAAAATTAAGTTAACTATTAGCCAAATCCCCTCTAGCTGCTGGCTTGGATTATATAACAACTCCCTAATTCCAGAAGCTAAGGAACAGAAGGCCAGCATTTTCTCTGATTTCCTATAGTTTTAAAGCCTTTCCACTCTACCCTCCTTTTCTCCCAGCCCACCGCACCACCACATCACCACATACGCCTTTGACAGTCTACATGGCTCATATTCCTCATTTACTTTAATTATATTGGGTGCTTCTGCTTACACACTGCAATGTATCCTGGCTTCATAAAATACTCACTTTATATGACCCTTGCTTGCTGCCTTTGACCCACTCACCGTGAAACACTTGCGGAGCCAAAATTCTAGGAAAAGCACCTGCAGTTATTAATGCATTAAACCAGTGTTCTGAAATGACTAAATGCATTATTTCTGCTGTAGAAGAAAACGCTGAGGTGAGGCCAGAGCAAAGGTAAAAGACCTGGTTTTCCTAAAATGGATATAGCCTTAGAGGCATTTATATTCTCGGAGGACACAGTCCTGATTCTTCTGATCATTTTTCAAATCGACTTAATGAGTGTGAGATGGCCTGCTCATTAAACTGATATAATAGGTAAATATCACCTGCATTTAGGGTGGGCAACAGAAAGAGGGCAACTGTTTTCTGGGATTGTAAAGGATTTGCAAATGGAGCAAAAATGCGGGCCTGGTTTCTGAACGAGGTTTATGTTCTGCTCTCACTTTTGACTGGCTGCCACAATACACAGGGCGAGAGATTTTTAAGCTTTCATGAACTAAAAGCAACGCCAATTGCTATGGATTGCTTTTTATAGAATTTCAAGTAATTTCACATTACAAATGTTACCTCTGCTTATGACTTCCTTAAAAGATAACCAAATGCCAAGCCCATTGGAATAAACATCTAGAGCAAAGAGCTACATGTACCCCAACAAACTGTTTTTTCAAAAGCCACAAGCCTAGGTTAGATGCTTTGTCTACCACACTGCCGCTCAAGTGAAGCCTCCCTTCTTCCATCTTCCAAGTACAGCCAAAACCCTAAACACAACCTTTTTAAGGATCCTTTACAAAGTGGATGTTAAAAGTGAACAAAACCTCATTGAACCATCTATTCTTCTTGCTTTAACCTGCAGAGTCATCTACATTTGCTATTTCCTTCAAGTCTACTTTTTTTTTTTTTTCCAAACACTGGAAACTTCAGAGCCACTCACACATTGCAGTAATTCTGCCTGCTTGCTCTACATAAAATAAGGCCTGCTCTTGGGTTCACACAATCAGGCCGGTTACTCAGTAGAATCCGTGGTCTAGGGTAACTCTGAAGAGACGTAAATTTCTAATTTTTATACTTTCCTCAAATTTCATATGTTATTTTTGTTATTTCAAAATCCAGTGCTTTATAATAAATTTATAGGGTGCCTAAGGGGGTCTCCATTCATATTACATGGTATCTCATTCACGGCTCCTCTGGGAGAGAAACACAGAGTTATACCTCTCAGTCAGCCAACAACACTTCCGCTTGTGAAGTTCCTATATAATAATGAGAAACGAGGCTCCTGTGGGTATCCCACACATGTGTGTAAAATAAACGCCTACAAAGTGAAAATGATGCCATGCTACACTTAAAGCAGGATCATGTGGGTAAGCTGGAAAAAACACTTCCGTGTCTGTAGTCGTGAAGTGATTCTGTATTTTATTGTAGACATTGTATCAAGTCTCAGTTTCAAGTGATTTTTATATATACTCCATGCTTCAGCTGAGATGTCTTCTGTTCCTCCTTCTTTCCAGGAGCGTCAGTAGCTATAGTCAAGTTTCAAGAATGGGGAATGCTGTGGGAGTGTGCAGGCAATGGCCTAAAAACAATAAAAAAGCCCCACTAAAAGCTGGCTTGCTTTTGATTATTACTCTGTCCTGACAATTCTTAGTAATGTCAGTGATAAAATAAATTACTGGGCCGACCACTCCCTAGCCTGCCCCTCGTTGACATGGCACTGTGAAAGCACTCCAATATCTTTCTTAAGAAGGATACATTATGATTTAAATACTGAAAATACTATATATTCACTGTAGGACATGTAGAAAAAAATTTTAAATGTTTTAATGGAGAATTAAAATTTACATTAACTCTACCACTTATTGATAATCATAGCCCTTTATGTCATAATTACTTTTTTGGTTATTAAAAGTAATTCTACTATAAATATCCTTGTTACATAGATTTCTTTTGGCATTTGTGTTTTTTTTTTTTTTTTTGGAAGTACATTCTTGAAAGTTTAACTTTTAAAAAGCATTGAATAGATATCATCGTGTCCTGTAAAAAGTGTTTACCAATTTATAATTCCTAGATTAGTGTACACCTGTCCCAATGCAGAACTTTATCATGAAAAATAAATCCTGATAATTTAACTGGCTAAAAAGGTGTCCCTTTAAAATTGACATTTCTTTGTTCATTTATGATGTTGTTTTGTCTGCATTTTTAAAAAATTTTGTTTTTGTTGTCTAAGTTTCTTGACTTTTGTATTTCCTCTTTTGTTAATCGCCTGTTCATAATCTTTGCTCACTTTTGTATTGTGGTATTAGTCCTTTACTACTTACTAATTTATAAGACTTCTGTATAGTTAATCATATGTTGCTTGTCTCCCCAGTTTTTCTTTTAAATTTTGTTTAGTTTGTTTCTTGTATATGTAAACTAGCTCTACCACTTATTGATAATCATAGCCCTTTATGTAATTTCTACCTTTTTGGTTATTAAAAATAATTCTACTATAAATATCCTCTTTAAAATATCCAATCTAGTAATCTTTTATTTATGGTTTCTGCCTTTCCTTGCATGCCTATAAGGACTTTATTTATTGCAAAAATATATTCACCTATACTTAAAATATTTTTATGATTTTACTTTTTATGTTTAATTTAAAAATTCAAATAAAATTATCTAAATATACTTTTTTCTTGCTCTAGTTTAGCTTGCACAGAAATTGTTTCACTCCACTTCTCAAGATTTGAATCTAAACAACACACCAACTATCTTATGTCTTTCTTTGTTCTCCCGAGAGGTATGTCACTGTGTCTGTTGTGTCAGAAAAAAAATCAGGATATCAAAAAGGCTTAGAGCCAAATTCTAGCCCAAAACATTTACATGTAGAATCTGAGTTAGCTCACCTCTTCTTTAGAAAATAAGGCCAACCATTGAGATTTGGGGCATCTACTTCTTAAATTTGTTTTTACTGAGTAAACCTGGGCAAGTTTCCTGACTTCTTTGTAAAATGGGGATTCTAATAAGAGAAGCACAGTACTGTAGCATCTATATTTAACACTTTCTGTAACAGATTACTGGTATAACAGGAAGTTTCACTTTTATCTTTATTGTATTTAGTTTTTGCCTGCCACAATAACTACTTATGATATTTTAATATTTACCAAGAGTTTTCCAAATAGGGCTGATTCTATTAAAAAAAAAAAGACCCCTTGTGCTATTTATACAAGCTTGTTTAGATTAGGATTATATTCCTGAAGCTAAGAGGGCTTCATTTGCTGATTTCAGACAAAGTACGCATAAAGAACATGAAATGACACTGCTGAGACTGTTCCACTAGTTTTCTGTTTTTTGTCCGGAAGGAAAGCCAGGGAGGTCAGAGAGACAGAAATTTCTTTGCAGAGAAGTCCACCCTGCCCAGATATGGGAATTGTGCTCATTAGGAGAAGTAGTGGGGGAGAGGACGCACATATTTTCTGAAAAAACTGGAGCATGGGAAGAATAATGTGCACACTGGCCATCAAATGAGATTTGAATAACAATTTACCACTCTATTCAAAAGTGTCTAAAATATAACAACCCCTCTTTATTACTCCCTTTTGCCAGGACATTTGCCATCCCAGAGGTACTAAGGGACAAAATTTTCAGCAGCAATGCATTCCTTAAAGAGAAGGACAGCAGGGTAGTTGACCTTCGATCCTGTCTGACCATACCCCAAATCCTTGACATCCTTAGCTTTGCAGAAACTGGAGGAAGCAGAGCCAATGTGATGATGCTTAAGGGAAATCTTTCATGCCACTGATAGGAAACAGGAATCCAAAGGACATTTTTAACTCATTCCTCAAAGATATGGGGATGAGTATAATTTACATTCATCCTCTACTTCATGACGGGGAAAGAACAGCCCAGTAGTCAAAGCAAGAAAGAAGTCAGGAATCTTTTCACTGGTGTATTTCATCAGCAATAAACGTTTCCCCAACAAAATGCTGTATTCAAGGCATCAAGGAAGTTACTTAATGAAGAAAGGCACCTGGCTTCTCAGCCTTTATAGCTCTCCAAATGTTCCATGTTTTTAAAGACCTCCAAGCTTTTTTCTGTTCCTTCTTCTAGGGATGCTCTTTCCTTTTTCTTGACTGAGCTAATTCCCATTTATCCTTCAAGATCCAAAGCAGGGCTTCACTTTGCCATCACACCCAGAGTATATTGGTTGTCTCTCCCTAGCACATCCTTAATCCAGCCTGCTGTGGTCTGTTGTGCAGGTTGGTCACAGTCCAAGGTCATGGGTGAAGGGATGGGTGGGGACATGTTTCATTCGCCGACTGCCAAGCCATGTGCCCTGGTTTGGGTTTGCCTCCACCCCGAGGAAGGAGGCACCTTTTAAAAATCACCCAAAGGCGGCCTACTCTTCTCTGCACTTACCATTCTCTTGTTTACTTGTCTGTCTGTTCACTACTCCCACCACGTACATTCATCCCTCACTATCTTCCCTCTCAAAGAATATAGAACATCACTCCTTCCAATTAAGTACACGGACAATATCTTTTATCTCTTGATCCTAAGCCCCTGCCATTGTGTCTGGCACATAATAGCTTCTTGGAAAATATCTCTTGAATATTTGCTGAATGAATCAAATGTGCCTTCAGGAAAGGTACAGCTTTATGCAAACACCTTAGCTTCCTAGAAGTAGTGTAAAAAAAGCTTCACATGGGCAAGAACCACCATGGATCAAAGGGGACTGAAGAAGTTAGGAGAAGTTTATGGAGGAAGTGAGTCAGTATCTCACAGGATCTCACAGAGAAACTTCTAACTGGGGATTCAGTTTCTCTCAATTTAGTGTCCGGTGAACAAAGGATTTGGAACTCACCGACGTACTGCCTCTGCTCTCCCCTGTAACTGTGAGAATGCATTCACTAGCTCAATCACTCACCGCAATATTTATCCATCACCTACCACATGCAGAACTCTGACAATGCCCAGGCCCTCCACCCGCAGCACAGGCTCCGGGGAGTGCCCTGTCCCCGACTCGGTCTGCTGTGATTTTTCCTGCCCTTGTCCTTGCGGGCCCATGCTGTTTCTATAGGAGAGAGAGGAACGGTGCTCCTCTCCTTCCGTATTGCAAACATGCTCACCAGTGACCTCAGAAGTCTGGAGGGAAGAGTGATGAGGCAGTGTTTTAAAAGGGCTGTGAGGTTATCAGAGCCTGTTACATCAGTCTTTGACTCTTCAAAGGCCTGGAATACTGTAAGACAACAGCAACTTCTCATAAAGGTCACATTTCTGTAATTCCCTCTTAGACCCTCCCGAGGAACGCTTAATTGATCAACTAACATGCAGGAAATGCTCTAAAAGGCAGTTTTCACAAACTGGTGGAGGATAAAGACAAGATCTTTCTGAGAGAGGTAGTTTAGGATTATAGCTGAGAGCACAGGCAGATGATGGAGTTTGAGGCTGGGATCAGTGCTTACCAGCGGTGGAACATTGGGCAAGTCACTTACCCTCTCAAAGCCTCGGCTTTCTCTTCTGTGAAACTGAAATAATGATGGTACTCTTCTCATAGGGTTGTAATTCGGCTTCAATGATCTTTTCTTTTTTTGAGACAGAGTCTCGCTCTGTCACCCAGGCTGGAGTGCAGTGGTGCGATCTAGGCTCTCTGCAACCTCAACCTCTGCCTCCTGGGTTGATGCGATTCTCCTGCCTCAGCCTCCCGAGTAGCTGGGATTACAGGCACGAGCCACCATGCCTGGCTAATTTTTGTATTTTCAGTAGAGATGGGGTTTTGCCGTGTTGGCCAGGCTGGACTGGAACTCCTGACCTCAAGTGATCCGCCCGCCTCGGCCTCCCAAAGTGCTGGGATTACAGGCGTGAGCCACCGCGCCTGGCCAGTTTCAAGGATCTTATGTCTGCAAACCATCAAGCAATGACCAGTGTGGAATGAACTCCTTCAAGGGTATGTGAATAACCTTAGGAAGTCACATCACTTATAAGCCAGTATTAATATTAATGTTACCTAGCTTGGAAAATTTTACAAGGATTAACTGAAACAATGCATGTGCAAGTGGTTGTCACATGGTAGGTCCTAAAAACGGTAGTTCCTTAAGATTACTGGCATGAGATTTTTCTATGATGCTATGTTTAAAACTTCATTCTTGAAGGCTGACTTTAACTCGGTTTGTTTGGGAGGAAGCCCTCTCCTTCCATGGTCACCTTGTGTGGAATGGGCCTTTTCCCTCTTGCCATTTTCATTCAAAATATCTGTGGCAGTGCTGCGGAATATTCCAATACGTCCCCTTGACCTCTATCCATAAACAGCCTTTCTCACAATGAGATGTTCCGAGTTTAGGAGCCTTGCTATTTTCAACAAAGAATTAATTGCAAAGTAATTAAGTTTAGAGCAAGGGAATAGATGAACCCTGTCTATCATAAAGGAACAGTGTGGATGGTGACATAATGGAGCAAGGAGACGATGCTTCAGATTAACACACACACACACACACACACACACACACACACACAATCTCTTTTCTAAAGCACACAAAGAAACCTCCCATCACATATATTGACAAGATAAATCTAAGCTGCTTAAAGAAGCACTTAATTTTGTTCTCATTAAGTCGCAGGGTTAAGGGCTTTACCCTCAACGCCCATGGAAGCAATGTTAGGTTTTCACCTTGGAAAGTTCTCTGAGGCCCTAAGTCCATTGACAAATATAGCACTAAGATGTGTTACAGAAAATTGCATCTGAAAGCCAGTTGCTTTGCTGGCCTCATTCCCACTTGGCTCTGTGTTCTTCAATGAACATAGAACGCACAGAGAACACCAGAGGGGCACACGTGTTCATCCCTCTGCCTTAATGCACACAAATTATGATCATCCCACTGTCTGATCAGCAGTGGATCTAAGGTGGGAGGGTGTGCAGCTTAGATGGGGACAGTCACAAGCCGGTTTTACTACTAGAGCTAGGAGGCTTAATCTTCTTAATAGCGATTAAGTTGATGCCACCCTAACATTTTCTCTGGTTATTTCAGGGACTGAGAAGGTGCCAGCTCACATCACACATCCTTTCTGATGATATGAATGGAGAAGTCTATGTCATAATTTAAGGTGCATTCTTACACATCCTGTGTTCTGATTAGAGCAATATATTGCCAGATACCTCATCTTTGCACCTGAAAACACAGTACCTGGGATTTAAGAAATATTTGAGCACTTGAAAGGAAGAAAGAAAAAAAAAAAGGAAAGAAGGGAAGGAAGAAGGTCTAGAAGGACACATACCAAAAATTTAACTGTGATTGTATCTAGTAATTTTCTTCCTTTCTACTTTTATGTCTTTTCCATAATTGTTATAGTGAGTATTGTTTTACTTTTATGACGGGTACAATAAAATGAACTTGATTTTGATCATTTACTAAAACTGCTTTCAAAAAACATCAATTCTAATACAACGTGCTTTAAAAGTCTTCATTACCCTCAAGGAATTTTACCTCTGACTCTAGGCAACACAGCCGTGACAAAAATGCGCCACTCCAAGCTTCAATAGACGAAGTCTAAAGTTAAGGTTTCTCCCGAGGTGTTTACATCTCGGCTCTTCTCTGGTGCTTTTTCATGGTTTGGTTTGGAGGTGAGTTGTAGGAGGGGCCACACCGGCATGCGGTTGCAAGGAGAGAAGGGTGTTGCTGCCCTCCCGGCATCACACCCATCCTAAGAGCAAACACAACCCACAAACTTGGGTGTCATACTGCCTGGGTGGCTCCCCAAAGGTGCTGGAGGCACACTCCTAGAGGGTGGGGCCGAGGAAGCTGAGATGCAAAAAAAATAAAAACAATGGCCAGGGCTCTGTTGGGCAAGGTTTTCTGTTGTCTTCTTTCTTCTTGCCCCTACTGTTCACAGTATTTGGCTAGGTTTTGCTTAAATCTTTCAGAGAGGAGTGTTAACCTCCCAAAATGAAATAAAATATAAAAGGAAATAAAATAAAAGCTTGAAAAAGATGACCAGGAATGCCATAGAAAGAACGTAGAGATAGAACTAAAGTTTAGGGTACTTCAAATGCGTAATCTAGGTCGGACGGGCACTGATTCACAGAATACTATATTAGAGACCCTCACAGCAAGCCTTGTTGGTTATTGATTCAGTTCCAGACCATGGTTACCTTTCGGTATTGTACAATATTGGCTTGAAGTGCTCCACGTTTGCACCCCTGACTCATATTGCTCTGGATGGTAAATGAGCTTGCACACGACATCACATTGCTCCCCACTCTGACCTACATTATGTTTTGCTGTGAATGAGTTTAATGGATTAACATCTGATTGGCATGAGCTTCCACGTGTGACTGCCGAGGGTTGGCAATGCTTTTCGTGAGCCCACAGAGGCATTGCAGACGTTTGCTCTGAGTTTTCGTCTCGAAAATTTTGCTTTGTGTTTTGTTTTGCTTTCCTCCTAGTAAGAGTATCGTTCTCATTATGACATTTTTGTGCCAGAAAAAAAAAAAGAAAGAAAAAGTGAGCAGTTCCCTACCTACACAATGAAAAACCTAGGTGGTTTTTATTGTTATCCAAAACACAGGGCATGCTGAACTGGTTTCATTTGAAGGCAGGGCTTGTATTAAATGCCAAATAAGGAATTTTTACACAATGTGGAAAATGAGGCAAATACAAAATGAATATTGGGTTGAGTTTTCCCTGAAATTTCTGTGGACTGGAGTTTGGATTTAAAATTTTCCACTCATAACTTACATTATCAATTTGTAGACTATCACCACAAGTATGTGCATAATGATGACCCTGTGATTTCTGAACAGTTACTTAACTACAATGGGATTTAATCAAAGGATTCAACAATTGTAGGGGCAAAAGGCCGTAAAATGAACAAACTTAGAACTGTAGAGCTGTCTTTACTATGCAATTATGATAAAGGTCGAGACAAGGCCATTTTCTAAAAGCAGAGAGGTGATTGTAGTGTCTATTTTCTTTGGTAACTAAGACCTTAAAAACAAGCTTCTGAAGTTATGGTTAGAATTAGAAATCCATCCCATTCCCTTCACCAACCAACCAACTGACATTTTTTTATTATTAAAATTTTTTAAAATATATATTCTGTTCTATAGACTGTAAGAATTAGGAAAACTGGGAGATAATTTCTCTAAAGGGAAGTATAATCTATTTGCTTAATGATCCTACAAGGAGCTAATAAGTATCATCTCTCTTAGAAATAATAATACTTTGCTTTTATATAGAATCTTTCTCCAAGGAGTGCAAAGTATATTACAGATAATATCTAATTAATCCTCTTAGGGTCCCCAGGTGAAAGGGAAGTGGCAGGTATTATGAAGGTTCATTGGCACCATCAGCATGTCTCAGGTGAGGAAATGGAGCTATAGAAAGCACGGTAAAAAGGGCACACGCATAGTTATTTAGGCTAGATCTGCGTGACCTCAAAGCACCGAATCCACCCATTGACAAGAAGAATCAATTGAGTTTGAGCAAAAAAACAGGATCGTTTGACTGAATGCTTTGCCTTTTCCACCAGCTGGGCTCATGTAGCATGAGTTTTAGTAGGTTTGCCAGTGAAAGAACCCACATTACCTGACTTCCAGCCTGGTGGCTTCTTCAGAAGGACAGCATGGGTAGTACGGATTGCTTCAGTTTCCCATTTGCTGCTTGACACAGCACCCTCAAGCAGCACATCAGCCATGTGGCTGTGGTTTGGTTTCTCATTGTCCTTTTACGTTTGGTTGCCTGGAGTCTGTCCATTGTTCTCTGCAAAGTGGGTCTGTATGGGGTATTTTGGGGGTGGGGCATGAAGGAAGGTAGTATGGTAAGAAAGGGGCAGGGGATTGAATAATCTGTTTTGGTAGCTTCTATCTGTTGAAGCAATAGGAGATACACTACAAGTCTACATCTTTTGTATCAAGATAAATCACAACCTGAGTCTTGAGAGAGGGAAGTATTTGTCCTGCTGCAAGTGCTGCTCCATTTCACTTTTAAACATTCCATGGGCCAAATTCAGCTTCCCATTGTCACAAATCCTCTCTGGAGACAGAAGCCCATACCACTGTCTTGATCAATACCTGATGAACAGGAAGAGAGTGCTTCTGCAAAGAGGGAGCAAACCTTAAAATAAAAGCCGAAGTAGCACTTCCTAAGCTTGAAACTCTTCCACTGACAAGCTCTCTGCAGAGTTGGGGCTCAGCTAAAATTACCTCCCAAAAAGGAAAAAGCCTCCAAGAGAAAATTCAGTCAAATTAACAAACTAGTTGCCTCTGATGTGAACTACATTTTTGACAGGTTGAGATAATAAATAGTTTCTGATTCTTACTTACCTAGCTCAGGAGAAGTTGATAGTGGTTTTACAAGAGAAAGACACTAATAATGTCACTTGTTGTGCAAATGGAGGCATACAACATGCTCTGAGGGAAGATACCACTTTTTCCAATGTTGGAACTCAACAAGTCCATCCGATGGCCCTCAATTGGCCACTGGAATCTGTAACCGTTGGTTTGCCACTAGACAGGTGAGCATCTACTGAAGCTTCTCAGAATGGAAAAGCTTCCATTCTGGCTGTTGCGAAGAGAAGAAATCTCACCCAGTCCCCTGAATTCACTCTAGCCTGCTCTCTGACTCTAGCTTGCCCCTCATACAAGTACGAATATTTCCCTTTAAGCATCCATGGTCATCTATTTCTTTATTTTATTTATTTATTTATTTATTTATTTATTTATTTATTTATTTATTTGAGATGGAGTCTTGCTCTGTCACCCAGGCTGGAGTGCAATGGCGTGATCTCGGCTCACTGCAAGCTCCGCCTCCCGGGTTCACGCCATTCTCCTGCCTCAGCCTCCCGAGTAGCTGGGTCTACAGGTGCCCGCCACCACGCCTGGCTAATTTTTTGTATTTTTAGTAGAGATGGGGTTTCACCGTGTTAGCCAGGATGGTCTCGATCTCCTGACCTCGTGATCTGTCCGCCTCGGCCTCCCAAAGTGCTGGGATTACAGGCGTGAGCCACCGCACCTGGCCCACGGTCATCTATTTCTTGAAGCCACTCAACTGGTCCTTAAGTCCACCCACTGACATAAATCCTCTTTTAATAACCTCGTTGACCTCTTCCTCTCCCACAGCTCTTCTCTGTTTCCATGAAGTTCCCATTTGTGTCCAGTTCTTGGCTGGTACACTGGCCATCCTCCAGCCTGGAATATCACCCTACTCTCTAAGTTTAGCCTCTCCCCTTATTTAATACTGGGGCACATACTAAGTTCTTCCAGATCTGCTTCTCATCCTGTTCCTCTCAGCCACCCTGTAGGATTTGTATAGAACACATTGTATACATACTTGAGTTCATGTTTACCACCCATTTGCAGGCCTTTTTTGTGGATGTATGCTCAGCCTCTCCTTCCAAACTAACTGTCACCTCCTTGGACTGAGGCTTAGAGTTTAGGGTTTTCAGGATAGAGAGCTTATCTGTTAGGTCCTTTGAACCGCTCCCTAGCATTCTGGCAATAGAGGAGCCCTCTGTATTATTCGTGTTGATAGCCCAACTAGGACTCTCCTAGGTACCTATCTTCTTTTTTAAAACAAAATGTAGCCTGACCAACATGGTGAAACCCTGTCTCTACTAAAAATACAAAAATTAGCTGGGCTTGGTGGTGTGTGCCTGTAGTCCCACCTACTTGGGAGGCTGAGACAGGAGAATCGCTTGAATCCAGGAGGCGGAGGTTGCAATGAGCCGAGATGGCACCACCGCACTCCAGCCTGGGCAACAGAGACTCCGTCTCAAAAAAAAAAAAAAAGGAAAAAAAAATGTTACCAACATCACATCCAAGTGGCATTCAACTCTGGCTTGCATTAGAAGTTGAGTTCTTTGTCATTTTATGCCTGTATGTGTGTCCCAGGGTGGGTGGGAGAAACACTTACAAATAGCTTCTATTGAATAAAGGGCTATGAAGGAATTTTCCATAACACTTGCACAAAAATTATTGCATTTAACTCCCCAGGCTCTTCATAGAAATCCTAACATCTTCCCCTCCCTCCCAAGCCTTTTCAGTTCCCTACACTTTCCCCCCAACCCTGTTCCCAGGGTATAGCGGCAATAGAGCAGCTAAGTCTGTTTGGTATTCAGTTAGAATTATTTATATATCAGAGCTCAGGCTTGTTTATGCAGTAGAATGCTGAAAAGGAAGTGAATCAGATCTATTCCCTAACAGAGCATCCAGGGGTCAGGGTGAAAACAAATACTGATGATAAGGTAAAATCCATGTTCTACAGTCAGCTTTATTATGAACCTCAAATACCACAGCCACGCAGGACCAAGGCCTTGATGTAGTGCCTGCATAGCTAGCAAAGAATACGTGAGCAGCTAGTCATTCCTATCCTAGGGAAGCTCCTGAGCCCATGAGCATGGGGAAAATCCCAGAGGCCTTCAGGAAACCATTGATTTTCCATCCCTTCCTCCAGGCCTACACATCCCAAAACTTATATCAGAAAGATCCGTGGTGGGATTCTACAATATAACACACCCTAGCTTGATTAACTTTATGTAAACATATCTTTGAAGTGACTACATTTAAGTTTTTCAGCAGCAGTAATTAACAGCTACTACCATTCACTGAGTTTCTACTATGTGCCTGGTATTATTATACAGCTCTCATTTAATTCTACAACAACTCTGAGAAACCATTAGCATTACTCTCATTTTATTGATTAAGAAACTCAAAGATGCAAAATCTGATATCTATGAAGTAACAGACTGAGGATTAACACTCGAGCTCCTTTGATTCTAAAGCCCATTGTTTTCCTTTAGATCAGGGGTCCTTAACCCCTGGTACTGGTCCTGTTAGGAACTGGACCGCACAGCAGGAGGTGAGCCGAGGGTGAACCAGCATTTCCACCTGAGCTCCAGATTCTGTCAGATGAGCAGCAGCATGAGATTCTCAAAGAAGCATGAACCCTGTTGTGAAGTGCACACGTGAGGGATCTAGGTTGTGCGCTCGTCATGACAATCTAATGCTTGATGATCTGTCACTGTCTCCCATCACCCCCATATGGGACCATCTAGTTGCAGGAAAACAAGCTTAGGGCTCCCACTGAGTCTACAATGTGGTGAATTGTATAATTATTTCATTATATATTACAATGTAATAATAATAGCAATAAAGTACACAATAAATATAATGTGCTTGAATTGTCCTGAAACCATCCCCCAACACTCCTGCCCCACTCTGTGGAAAAATTGTCTTCCATGAAACTGGTCTCTGGTGCCAAAAAGGTTGGGGACTGTTGCTTTAGACCACCCTGCCTCTGTATGCCACATGTGAGGCAGTGGCTGCATTTAGAAGGTGGGGGCTGAAAGTTCTGCTGAGGAGGGAAGTAGTAACTTGAATATCATGTGTCTGGTCTGTCAGGAGTTTTTACCTTGGTTTCACTGCCTCAGAAACACTCAGGGCTGGAGGCCCGATAGGAGAGAGACTGGATTCTTATCCAGTTTATGCCACTCTGGACAAAGCCCTATCTTGCCTTGCACTTAGACTTGGGAAGACAGGTTTCTCCTTATGTTAAAAATTAGTTGGCCAGGTGCAGTGGCTCACGCTTGTAATTCCAGCACTTTGGGAGGCCGAGGTGGGTGGATCACCTGAGGTCAGGAGTTCGAGACCAGCCTGACCAACATGGAGAAACCCCATCTCTACTAAAAATACAAAATCAGTTGGGCCTGGTGGTGCATGACTGTAATCTCAGCTACTTGGGCAGCTGAGGCAGGAGAATCGCTTGAACCCGAGAGGCGGAGGTTGCAGTGAGCCGAGATGGCGCCATTGCACTCCAGCCTGGGCAACAAGAGCGAAACTCCATCTCAAAAAAATAAAAAACAGAATTAGTTATATTAAAAAATAGAACAGACAATGCTGCCACTGTAAGTCTTCAATCAGAGTGCAGATAAGTAACCCGTCTAAGATGTGGTGCAGGATATGTTCAAGTCTCAACCCAGGCAAGAGCTCTGTGATGAGAAGTTGACTATTAATGGCTGGGTGGCCTTCACCTGGCATGCATTTACTCACATTCTCATGGCTGCAACCCAATTTCCTTCCTGAGCAGTGGGATGATGTTGGTGGGCTTTCTGGACAGCTCCTGTGGTGCCTCTGAAAAGCAGGGCTCTGCTTACTACACTGGTCCCAGGGCACAGAAGAGGGAGGGAGGGCCCCGCATGAAGAATCCCAGGCAAACCTCCAATCCTCTATGCTCCAGAGCACACAAACAATCAGGACCTGTAGGTCTTTCAGCAGAAGGGGCCTCAGAGATGATCCCTCCAACTCCAGCACTTAGAGGTGGGCAGACAAGGCAATGAGAAAGGAAGCTCCATGCTTAACACTGCTGGGAAGTGGTGTGCTGAGACTAGAATTCTGGGCTTTTTAAACTCCACATCATCAGAGCTTCTCCAGCCTTGCTCTGCCCCTGCAGCCCAATTTGGGCACATTTATCCCAAAAGAGGTTTTGCCTCTGTACGGCCTCATAAGGACGGGTCACTCCTGTCCCTGCTTTGAGTAACTCCCAACACAGTCTCCGTGCCCTCAAGGCTATGTGTATTTCTCACTTTCCCTGGAACTAGTCACTCATGGACACTCTGCACTCCTACTTCTAAACTGCATACTTCTGCAGGCCCAGGCCTACATATCTTTCTTTCTTAGCTGCCAACTTCTTTTTGTCCAAGTAGCTGCCAGCATAGAACAGGTAATCAATACATATTTATTAAATAAATGAATGTATAATGAATAAATATCAAAAAGTTGCCTACAGTACTCAAGAAGATGGACAGTTTCAGGCAGCAGTTGATTAGAAGACAACTTCAGTAAGGGGTAATAAAAGGTGGCTCTTCTTCCCCATTTTTGCATCCTTCCTTCCTCGCACTCACACTGTGAACCAGAAGGGTTTACCTTTAGAGTGCTATTCTATGGTTGAAGAGGAGGCTAGGCTGAGGGTCTCCTTCCTCTGTCTTGTCAGAAGCACCCCTAATGGTGGCTAATAAATTCGATTGCATCTATCCTTCAGTTTTCTAACCTTCTGTCTCTTTTGGTCCTACCTTCAGCTCAAGGGCTTAAGAAAGAAGATATTTCTTTTGGGGAAGATGATTTAACCTTTGATTGGACCTCCAGGTTTCTCAAACCCTGTCAGCAACCCACCTTTGCATCCAAGACTTACTAGGAAAATCCAACATTTAAAATACCGCTACTGAAACAAATTATATGATAATAAAACAGCAAATTCCTTAGCCTTCCCACAGTCACCCTCAAGATGTTATAAATTATAATAGAAGTGGTTTCAATTCTTTTTTTCTGCAACAGTATAATAAAACTATTTTGTGATACGTAGTCTAATAATACACAGATTTTTTTAAACAAATGAAATCTGAATTGTCAGTGACAGTGTATTTTTCTTCTATGAATATTAGAAATCTTAGCAAGTGTGGCTGATACTTTCAAATGGGACTCATATCCTACATAGGACATGTTGATAATATCATTGCATTAATTTGGGGATGATGAAGACTTATTCCAGAGGTGGTATACCAGTTGTTCCCTACATATTCTATTTGGATTACAAGTGATTGTCTAACATTTTTAAAAAAGTTGAAGTATATTCCAACATTTAAACATCTAGATGTTTTCTTTAAAAAGGTGTGTTTTGTTGAATATAGAAAATAGGCAATACAAGGTCTTTGTTCCTGCATTATACAACTAAATTTGGTCTAAATGAGTGACTGCCATCTTTAGCCAGGACACAAACTCTCTGGTCAACATAACCCACAGCACTCTCTATTGTCTAGTGGAACTAAGGTCATGTGTCAGTTGCCATTTATCACTGGGTTTGCATGATGGTTTGGATTTATTTTGGCTTATCCTTTTGATATGTACCCAGACAGCTTAAGGTATCCACCTAACTTCTGCAGTCATCTGCGATAGGACCCAGTGTATTGCAAGGCATTACATGACGGACTGGACCCAATTCAAGCTCTGGTACTTGTTCCCGAGGCCAGAAGACAAGCCTTTCTTGCAAACTGCACAAGACTCAACACAGTCCTACTGCTTCCAGGAAGGCTTTTGTGACTGCTGGTGCTCAGCTTTTCTTTATTTCCCTGACGCGGGGTTCCCCAGCAGCCAGAACCAATGACACCACTTGGTGAGAATTCACATTGTTGTTCAGTTGCTTGACTTAGAACAGATTTGTCTTTCTATGGGAGAAAAACCCTGAAGATGAAAATACTATCTCTTGGACAAGAGAGCCTGACCTCTCTCTGCTCACAGCTATTGGACACATATCCTATTCAACAGAGCGAATACTTTGAACCTGGGTTAAGCAGGGAAAAAAAAACAACAATTTAGGTTACCTTAATCAGCAAGGCAAACAGACTTTTCATTTCCTTTACTTTTTTTCAGACTGTGGCCAGGGCTTCCCTGGCAATAAAAGATCATACCAAATTGTTCTAAATTATGTAGATGATAGTTATTAATATAATCTTCTTCCAAAAGAAAACAAATGTCATAAAGCCAGCAATCCATGCCAGAGAAGCCCAGGAATGTTCCCCCTTAGTAGGGTGTCCGGCTAACCTGGGCGCTGGCAAGTCATTCCTCCCTTCACAGTCTGAGGCTGAAGAGGTCACTTGGTTTGAGGAAATGGCTCCTCAGCTCCTCCTACCCCCACTTTACCCACTAAGAAAACCAATGGCGCCTTTTATCAGTTTGGCAAAAAGACAAAGGGAATGTTTAATTCTGTACTTAAAATTCTTGGTTCCTACTGTCAGCATTCCCAGTTCTCAGAGAACACTGAATGGATATTTGAAGAGTTTTGTGAAACTGAGACTGAACAGTGGCAACGAGGAGGAAAAGATCCAAAATTAAAAGAACATTTAAAAATACACGCCCCCGTACATTCCACTCTCCTCACTTTTCTCTCCTCCTCAACCAAGTCATATTCAGCCCTTAGGAATATTCCCACAGGAGGGAGGTGATGTAATATCCTCAGACTGTCTGTGTTCCAGTCCCAATTCACCCTACCTAGCCATGAGGACTTGGGTAAGGAAGTGAACGTCTCCATGCCACAGTCCCCATGACAGTAAAGTGAAGTTAACAACAGTGCCAAGTTCTGGAACCTGTCATCTATGAAGGGCTCAATACATATAAACTACTATCATCATTTTAATTTTCTAAGGAAAGCACCTGATTACAACAGGATCTGCAACGCAGAGTAACAGCTGCCAACTGGCAGACTGCTGACCCTAGCCTTTCAAGCTAAGACTTTGCAGGGTAATAAAGTGAAGCTCTCTAGTCATTTCAAATGAGTGAACTGTTCTCACTTGGCAAAACCGGGGCCTCTAGAAATCCAGAAGAAATTGAATTAGCACCTTCTTCATTATCTCTCTCTCTCTCTCTCTTTTTTTTTTTTCGAGACAGAGTCTCACTCCGTCGCCCAGGATGGAGTGCAATGGCGTGGTCTCAGCTCACTGCAACCTCCGCCTCCCGGATTCAAGCAATTCTCCTGCCTCAGCCTCCCAAGTAGCTGAGATTACAGGTGCATGCCACCATGCCCAGCAAATTTCTTTTTTGTATTTTTAGTAGAGATGGGGTTTCGCCACATTGACCAGCCTGGTCTCCAACTCCTGACCCCAGGTGATCCACTGGTCTCGGCCTCCCAAAGTGCTGGGATTACAGGCGTGAGCCACCGCATCTGGCCAATTCTTTTTATTTATTTATTTTTTGAGATGGAGTCTTGCTCTGTCCCCCAGGCTAGAGTCAATGGTGCAATCTTGGCTCACTGCAACCTCAACCTCCTGGGCTCAAGCGATTCTCCTGCCTCAGCCTCCCTAGTAGCTGGGATTACAGGCACCTGCCAACACACGTAGCTAATTTTTGTATTTTTAGTAGAGATGGGGTTTCACCATATTGGCCAGGCTGGTCTCGAACTCCTGACCTCAGGTGATCCACCCGCCTCAGCCTCCCAAAGTGCTGGGATTACAGTTGTGAGCCACCGTGCCTGGTCAATTATCTCTTTTAAAGAAGGATTTTTCTTCTTACATAGAAAATTTGTGTTTAAGGGGGATCTTGGGATGTCAAAATGGGCTCTGCCTTTTCAATCTGAAAATATACTGATGTGATGTGTGACCATCTAAGAACATTGCTGCACTTGAAATGTGGTCTATAAATTATTTTATAGACTGAATAATGTAATCATCCTCAGATTAGAAGGCCAGAAGAGGCTGTATGAGGCCCTCTTTTCACAGAAGAGCCATCCAATCCCTGAGAGTTGAGAGACTATGACCAAAATCAAGTGAGGGGTAAAGATGGGGCTGGAATTCAAGTCTTTTGGCTTCCCATCAAATGAATTTTTCATCTCACCAAGCTAACTCTGATAGCTAGGTTGGATGACTATGCTGTTGGAAAGTGCTGGGCCTTGTAAGACTTTCTGATTCTAGCTCTTTTTGTGAGAGAGGATGAGTTTTAATAACTACACAAACACCCGATTTATTCTCAAGCAGCCTGTGATGCAGGGCCTTGGCCATACCTCCCAATGTGTCATCATTTCCATGGGAAGACCTACAAGGAGCAGGAATCCAACATACAAGGACATAGTGAGAAGCAAAGAGGCATGAAAGTGGATAAGAATCTTAGTGGTGGAAGTTCGAAACCACTGAATAATGAGAAACTTTTTTGAACACAATGATGTGGCACAGTCAGCTGTAAAACATCTTCTTCCTTTGTTAGCTTTCTTCCAAAGTGTCCCAGCGACAGGCTGGTGGTCAACTTTCATGGTGTTTCTCCAAAGACCTTCACGTGGTGCCTCATGACAGACGTTCCTTGGAGATTGTCTAAGGAGAATAGAAGAAGCCTGGACAAACAAAGCTATGAAAACCACAACTTCATTCATTCCTGAAGGTTTGCATTCACAAAAATTGCACAAATTGTTCTGCACATTGAAAAATAACACCAAAATCTTATTTTTAGAAAGGGAATATAATGACACAATTGGGGTTCCTTTAGCTTTCCAAACAGTGCCCAACAGTAGTTTCCAAGAAAGTCATGAGCTAGCTTTTTTCTAATTGTGTACACAGTTGTGTTTGTGTAAATGTACACAACTGTATGCATGTACACAAACACACTCACCATTTAATAGCCAAAAATCCCTCTAAAATGTTAGGGGAAGGAAAGATCCATTTTCTAGTTCAAGTCATCAGTCTTAAAATTCACAGTTGGGAGAAATTCTGCTACAATGAATTATGTAAAAAAATTATGATTCTTCCTCTCAACCTAATGTAGGAGAATTGCCTTCACCCACAAATGATCTTACGCTACACTAGAACTACTCAGTCAGCATCTTTAATTATCATTTCCCACCAGCCTCTAGGCCAGTGCTTTTCAAAGTTTAATGTGCATACGAATTGCCTGGAGATCTTATTAAATATGCTAATTCTGATTCAGTAGGTCTGGGGTGGGCCCTGAGATTCTACACTTCTTATAGTTGCCGAGTGATGCCACAACTTCCAGCCCATGGACTAAACTTTGAGTAGCAAGATTCTAGACCAAGCCCACTTAACACTGTTCTCTCACTAGGGCAAGAAGTGGGCTACAGCCAATTTTATGGCTAGGATGGTAGACTTCTGTGAGGTGCCATATTCCCTGTGAATCTTCCCCTCCTTCAGAGATACCGCCTTTTGTATCATCTTTCTTCCTTCTCTTCTGAATGCACTTGCAGTTGCAAACCTAAAGGAGACAGCCTGTTGCACTGGTCCAGGGAGAAAAGCATGCAAACTTGGGTTTGAATTTCATCAATACCACTTACAGGC
Source organism: Homo sapiens (assembly GCF_000001405.40). Lineage (NCBI taxonomy): Eukaryota > Metazoa > Chordata > Mammalia > Primates > Hominidae > Homo > Homo sapiens. The sequence continues at coordinate 60,716,466 of NC_000015.10, forward strand.
CAGGTAATTCTCTCTGAGCCACATCTGTAATATGGAGCTAAGATACTGTGGTGTGATCATATATATTGGTTTTCATCCACAGTCCCTGGCTCATAACTCCCATATCCTTTGTTACAGTCTTGTTATAATGTTGATTGTGTGAGGCCTCAGGGACAGGTCTCTGATCTTCTCCTGCCCTACAGTCACCTGCCCCAAAGCAGGACTCTACTCTTTCCCCACCTTTCTGATTGTAGGTTTTAAGACCCTCCTCAGAGAGAGTCCCACCCTATACTCTGAAGAGAGATAATGCTGATATCATGACGCTTCCATAAAAACCCAGGAGGGCTGGGTTCAGAGCTGAATATGTGGAGGTTCCTGGAGAATGGTGCCCCAGGGAGGGCATGGAAGCTCCGTTCCCCTTCCCCCATACTTAACCCTAAACATCTCCTCATCTGTATCCTTTGCAATATCCTCTATAATAAACTGGTAAACATGTTTTCCTGAGTTCTTTAGACTACTTCAGCAAATTAATTGAACCCAAAGAGAGGGTGGTGGGACCCTCAACTTAAAGCTGGTTGGCCAGACGTTCTGGAGGCCTGGACTTGCAACTCGTGTCTGAAAGCATGGGGGGCAGTTGTGGGAACTGAGCCTTCAACCTGTGGGATCTGACAATATCTCCAGGTAAACAGTGTTAGAATTGAATGGAAGGGTACCCAGATGGTGTCTGTTACTTGGTGTGTGGGAAAAACTCCCACGCATGTGGTCACAGAAGTCTTCTGTGTTGATTATTGTTGTGGTGGTATGTATGCAGAGGGAAAACTCAGTTTCTGAGAATTTTTCCCAAAGTGGAAATCCACCCCTGAGCTTGTTATGGTAGATAAATGAGAGAATGTACAGCACCCAGAACAGTGCCTTGTACGCAACCATTCAACAAACAGCAGCACCCTCTTCTCTTTCTTTTCAAGTATCATGCCCCAAGTCAGTTCTTCATCCATGGTCCCAGCAGGAAAGACTTGAGGGCATAGCTTGTAATACCTATAGCATGTAATAAAAGTCCTATGGCACTGGCAGTTAGAAGGCAAGGTACAATCTTCCTTTCTTGGCAGTAAGTTATAAAACCTTTATCATGTTTTTTTGTCTTCTGTCATCACTCCTAAATTGGTATATTTGGCATTGTCATTAATTAACTAACACATTTTACTGAGCCCCTATTATGTGCCAGACAATAAATAAAAAATACAGATGAAATCTCCAAATGCAACCAGCTCCCAGATTAGCTAGAGTTTAGGTAGAAAAACTCTGGATAATTGATTAATAAGGTCACATCTTCTTCTTTCTTTTTTCTTTTTCTCTTTTTTTTTTTTTTTTTTTTTGAGACATTGTCTTGTTCTGTCACCCAGGCTGGAATGCAAAGATGTGAACTCTGCTCACTGCAACCTCCACCCTCAGGGTTCAAGCGATTGTCCTGCCTCAGCCTCCTGAGTAGCTGGAATTACAGGCATGCAGCACCATGCCAGCTAATTTTTGTATTTTTAGTAGAGACAGGGTTTCACCATGTTGGCCAGGCTAGTCTCGAACTCCCGACCTCAAGTGATCCACCCACCTTGGCCTCGCACTGGGATTACAGGCACATTGCATTTTCATTCTAAGATTTGGTGTTCTACGGATAGGACCTTCGTAACAGCAAAGTTATGTCACTATGGTACAGTTGGCATAATAAAATTAGTTCAACATATAGGCAAAAGAAATGATGGTCTGGACATCACTGGGCAGAGTTTTTATTCTTCTAAGTTCATCAGTTACTGGTAGAAGGATCGTGCTAGAATGCTCAAGTTTCCCATCTCATCCCTGATGCTGCATTCAGAAGCAAACACCACACCTGCCAACATTCTAAAGGTGGTTTTCTTGTTGGGGAATTCAAAGTGAAGGTGACAGCAGAGAGTTAAAGACATTCACTTAGAAAATGGTCACTCCTCACTTTTAAAAATGAGTCCGGTAAATGAAAAAACGTTAGATTTACAAATTGAATAGAAAAAACACTCTATAAGAAGGTTTTCTGGCTAAATGAATGAAAGGTATCCGTCTGTGGTTTAATCACATTCGATTGAATAACGGTTGTTAGCTAAATTTGACTTTCCTGTCAAAATTGTCACCATGTTGCAAACTGACTTTAAAAGACTAACTAGAGCCAGAGTGGAGTAGTGAGAAATTAATACACAAAGCTCGGGTAACAAGGAATTCATCTAACCATCCATGTCTTGACCTCTTTCTAACCCAAAGTACAAAACTTGGCAGGAAGCAGATGAGGAAGTCATTAATATGTGGAAAAGGATCTCTCAAAGGCACATCAAGACCCTGTGCCTTTCACTGATGAAAATCAAAAGGAATTGTACAAATATTTACCACAAGAAAATAATTCTAAAAGGTGAAGGATTTCCACAATTGACACAGAGCTCTGTATTACTACCTAGGCAAAGTTTCTGGTTAGTACAGGCTCCCGTGCCGTTCTGAAAGTGAGGTGTAGAGGTCAGAGTTCAAGGACTGGCCTTGAGCTCTTTAAAAAGATAATCAATCAGCTTTGTGTGTGTGTGTGGGGGGGGTGTGTGTGTGTGTGGCATTTCTAGTTAAAGATGCAAAAGGCCTGATGAAAACTGTTTGGGTCTTTACTTGATCAAATCAACTGTAAATTTGAATATGGACTCAATATTATATAACATTAAAGAATTATTAATTTTCTTTTGGTTTGATCATGGCATTATAGTTATATAAACATATTTAAAAATATATACAGTGAAGTATTTAGTGTTGAGATGACATGATGTCTGAGATTTTCATTAAAATACTTCGGCAAAATAAAAAAATGTGTGTGTGTGTGTTAGCAGGAGGGGTAAGTGAAACAACGATGGTAAAATGTTGATGGTCATTGAAGCTGAATGATGGGTTCACTGGAGCACTGCACTTTCTCTCAACTTGAGTATTTTTGGAAATTTTCACAATAAAAGATTAAAAATCCAAAACCACAAAATATAGGGTTTCTTAAAAAGCACTAAAAATAGTTTACACAACAATACTGACTCTTGCCGTGAAATGCAGAGAATAGGTGCAAAAACCCGAGAGCAGTAATTAATGGCCAATCTTATGTGCATTCCTTTAAGCACAAGCAGCTGTCATAAACATCTTAATTTAAAGAGTTGGGGTTTGGGGAATCATGGCACTGCAAAAAGCTACGTCCTGCTGCTGCTCCACAGAACTGGTACATATCAGACCCTTAAATTTTTAAACACAGCTTTCATGTTTTTGAGAGCTGAAAAACCTTTGAAAAGTCAGCTTGTTAGGAAATTCACCTTGCAGACTCCTACTTCAAGGGTTGGTGGAGGTGCTTGGGTACCGGAAAAATTGATTTTGGGATGGGGGTGGAGGTTCACAGGTAAACATGTTGTGTGCTTCAGAAGAAGCTAGCTTGCTCTAAATATACGGGGCGTAGCTACATTGCAGTGTTGCCTTTCAGCAATGCAAAATATACCACCTGGCTAGAGAGGTATTTCAAGTCTACAAAGCCCCACCTCCCAGCCTTTATTGTTCCTTTTCCAGTCTTTGTCATAAAATAGAAAGAGGCGGCATTTTGAAGACGGAAGAAGCACTAAACAGGAAGCAGGAGCCTAAAATCGAGTTTCTCATACTGCTGTGTGTTACTGTAAACACTAGGCCATGACCTGCCCTAGGTGCTTCTTCTGTGACATAGGATCAGCATCTCACACCCATGAAGGTCTCTTGAGTCCCTTAAGGCCTAACACACCTGAATACATGGGCTGTGATACGGGAGCTAGCCTGATGCCTCCATTCACCCCACAAGATGTAGTCCTCGCCCTGACGGCAAGACGGCATGCGAGAGTCCTATTTGGGTTGTAAAGTTTAATGCGAGCAGAAAGAGGCAGACGATAGCTAACATAATCTAAGTTAACCATTGAAAAACCCAGACTGTCCAATAAAAATACTGGAACGAACCCAGTCACCTTTTATCAAGGGTACATTTAACCATCCTCATTGGTGGCTACTTCCATTCATGGTCACGCCCTTCCCTCTTGCCTCAGGAACTCAGTATTTGTGTGTAAATAAGGACGTGTTGTGGTATTCTGGGTGCTGATGGTTCCCCAGGAACTTAGGGACACCTGTGTGCAGGGCTGCACTTGACAAGAAACAAAGTTGCCGGCAGCACAGGACAAGGCCTCCTATTAATTTCTCGAATCGATCCTGGCAGTGATTATCTGGTCCAGGAAAGAACAGGTCTTTGTTCATAGCACCAGATTTGAATTTTTTAAAACAACACTCTCTATTGCCCGTAAGAATGACTAATAACGGGCGGCTGTAATTTCCCAGAGTTTGTGGGTATGACTTCTTCAGCTTTCCTTGCATTTGAATTTGCCATATTTCGACTGGGGGCTTCCTAGGGCTTTCAAGCACAATGTAACCAAAACCCCCAGCCAGCTCTCGGTTCAGCCTGGAGAACTTTGTGGTACTCTCGAACTTACTACTTCCTGCCCCCACACCTGAGAGTCTCCCCGCACACTGTTTTCCCTGCATCATCCACCATCAATCAAACAAACAGAGAAACACAGAAACCTCAGTTCTCAAGTGCAATCAATACAACCTCCTTTCCTGGGGTAACGATGCCTTCGTTTTAAAGGTCATGGAATGAGTCAGGGGCAGAAGAGAGAAACAGAGGCCGTGGGTTCTTTGACTAAACATCTCGCAGAGAGATCGGTGGATCCACAAAAATGACCTCATTAAGCTGCACCAATTGCCGGGCGGGGAGAGCAGTCCAAATTAACAAAAAATCAGAGTGATCAGAAAACAGTTTTGTTATTTTACACATGGTCTCAAGAGCTAGACAAATAAATTTGCCTAGTGTATGTTCTAAGTCACAAATAGATAAGAGGAAATTGAAACCACAATAGCCAAGCACCTCCCTGAGGAGACCAAGGCTGGGCTTCCATTACAATAATATTCTTATTTATGTTTTCTCATGCACATTATTTAAGTATATATTTATTTACTCATACAGACCAGATTTGTTGAGTACTGCTATGTGGAATTCACAGTATGAAGTGCCGTGGGGCAGGCAGACCTGGGTACCCTCAAAGAACTTGGTAAATAGCTATTTCTTAACTGCTAGTAAACAAGTTTCTCTTCTAGTAAGAAAAAATAATGGCTGGAAAACTTATTTACACCTTCAATACACAAGGCTATTTTGCACAAACCAGATATAGGAAACATTTATATATGGAGCTTTTCTAAAACAGATAAAATCAGGGCTCAGTCTTCTTTATGAAAACAAAAAGTAAAACACTTTGCAATTTGAGCAAAGATTATTTCTGCAGAGGGTCATCTCTAGTAAGAGGTGCCTGCTCCTCAGACCAAGTCTGTCTCTTTCAGGGCCATTCCTTACTGGATGGTGACTCATTTTACTCAAGGACTCGCCCTAGACGGCGTGCAACCAACCCTTTAGAAACACATCAATTGTTTAAACAAACTATGCCTGTATTCATTTGCTTAGCAAATCATTTTGTCACAGATTTAGCCCAGCCAGAGTCTAAATGATCACAATTACTGAAACTATACCAATACCTTTTCTACTGAAAACCTATCAAAGAAATAACATCAGTTCACATTATCATTATTGATTCCTGCCCTTTTCTCCCTTAACTCCATTCTCTTCCCTTTCAGTTTGTTATTTATTTTCTTATGTTCTGAATTTCAAGAAGACTTCCATGTGTTGTCAACATATGGTACATCATTCACATAAGTACATAAAATTCTCTATATGTCATTAAAGAACTGAGCTTGTGTTCCAGTGAGTGAAACTGAAGAGGAAATAAAATCACAAAGATAACCCCACAAATTAAGGTGCAGCTAAAATAGCAGCACCCTTCCCCCATCACTCACTGCACTATTTCTTAGAACTTTTATCTTTACATATGTACAAATAAACAGAGTGTTTCTGTTCTGCCTTATTTGTGTAGAGGACTTACGTGCAGCTCTCTGACCTTCCTCTGGCTCTGATTAGCCCCTGAGGGACGTGGATCACCCACATGCAACAGGCTGCTGACACCAGCAGAAAGCTGTCTTTCAGAACAATCAAGAGTCCCACCTAAGGACATCATGTCCACCTGCTCTTCTCTGGTTCAGCTGACTTCCCTGGACTTGCTTTCTTGTTGCCCTGATCTGTGCTCCGTGCCAGATCTCACAAACAAGGCTGGACTCTGCTTATTCCTGGCCAGTCTTGTCCTGTAGTCATCCAAGAAAAATACTGGAAAGGAGGACCACAACCTTGGCCAGTGGAGACCCTGTCATTCTGATGAACATTTCTAACACAAGATGTGAAGACCCTCCTTCCCATTTCTCATCCTTCCCTCTCCACGTCTCACAAACACCAAGTCTATTTCCCAGAGAAGTGGTCAGGGTGCAGTGAGTCAGGCAGCCAAAGTAATCCTGCAGGTGAGCATGTTGCCACTGACCCTTGAGTTTAACTTCTTACCAGATCTCTGCAAAGATAGAAAAAAACTAGCTTGCAAGAAACCCCAGCTCTCTGGATGATCTGTCCTTAGGCTGCTGAGATTTTCAAGGGTGTGCAGACAGTTGAACTTCACTTATTTTCAATAATTATAAAAATACATAAGAATTTTATGTATTATTTAAATGATACATAGGGACTCCTTATCCAAGAAAGATATTGTCAAAACTAGATTTTATAAAAAGGCTAACCATTATACATAAATAAATGGCTTAACATATAAAGTTTTATTTTAGCAATAGCAGCTACCCTTAGTTTCGATGCGCATATAGGTTGAAAAAGGTTTGCTGAAAGAGAAAAATAGACTGTTTATCATCTCAAAACTGGTTGAGATTGACAAATGTGATCCTATCAAAACCATTCCCCCCCCCACTCACATAAAATGGCCATGTTCTTTGAAAATTTGTGGAAAATTACTTTTTTTTTTGAAAATTATTCCCCTCAGGGCACATAAGGCGCAGGGAAAAAGCAAAGGAGAAACTAAGTTAAACTAGTTGAGTACTTTCTCAGTGTAATGATTTGAAACATCAAATCCCCCTAAATAAAATAAACAATAGATTATCTGCAAATAATCCTCCCTGGAGGTTTTCACACTAAAACAAATATGGAATAAACTCATGAGACTTTATCAGAGTCACAGTTAGGACTCTAGCCAGGAGTACACACAACTCCATCCATCCATCCTGCCATCCACACATCCATTTATTCATCTATTCAAATAACAAATCAAGAAGTATTTATTGAGTGCTTACTACATGCAAGATCTTGCTCTTGGGGCTTGGAGGCTACAAGAAGGACCAAGGCAAGCTCTCAATCCACAAGGAGGGTGAGAGAAAGGAAAAAGTTTGGAGTATGTGCAGTTGTGTAGAGGTTTCTTCAGTGCACCAGAGACAAGATGGATCTGTGTGGCACGGTCAACACTGTAGCCCTTGACCTTATCTTAGAGAAACTAAGTGCTTGAGGTAAAGATGTTAATTCCCTTAAGGCTTAGCAAATGTACCAAATCTGATAGTGTGCAATCTGTATACTGACTTTACCTCTGGCTTCATGTTATGATTCCTACCTTTGTTTTCTTTCCACCCGGATTTATTCATGAATTTTTATCTTGGATACTCTATGTGGTATTATAAGCCACCTCAAATCCTCTTGGGAAATAAAGGGGTCTAAATTCTTAAAGGATAAATACAATTACCCTGCTAGATCACTAACAATGATAACAAGGATGGTAATTCTTATTATCACAGGTAACTTTCATTGAGGGCTCCTATGTGTTGAGTACTGTTCCAAGCACTTTACATGTATTTTCTTGTTTATTCTTTATAATAATCTTTTGAGATTGTTACAATTATTATCCCTATCATAGTAAAGGAAAACGAAGCACAGAGAGCTTATGTAATATGCTAGTATGTGGTAGAACCAAGATTTGAACCCATACACTTTGAATGTGGAGCGGCTCCTTGTGTTTTATCCAGGTGTTCGGGCTCTCCAGGTCTCCTGATGGGACAGAAGCCCATTGCTTCCTGCTCGGACTCAGTAGCTTTCCCTATTGTTTGACTTTAGGACTCCGATGCTGTGTCCTACCTAGTCTTAGGGAACTTCTTGAATATTGGCCCCATCTTCTCTGATGCTGTGGCCGGTTTAATAGGAGCTCCCATATCTGAGTACTGTGTCTCTGGAGGGCGAGCTCCTTAAGAAAAGAGTGGGTCTTGCTCACTTTCTAATTTTGAGTACCTGGAGGCATACATGAGCCATAGCAGGTGTTTAAGAAAGGCTGGTGTGGGTTGACTGAATGAATGAGGGTCCCACCACTTTCCGGTGAATACTGTGCCTGAGATCTTCTGGCCACCCTCCCAGAGAGGTGCTCCCAGGTCCTGGCTCCCTCCTCCCCGCTCCTCACACTGGGCCCTTCATGATAGCTCTGTAGCTTCATCTGCCTATGTTTGGTGAGTTCTACCTGTCTAGGTGACGCTTCTAAAATTAAACAACTATTAATCTGTGAATGGTAAAGCATATGCATTCAGATTTTATCAAAGCAGAAAGCACATTTTACAAGGAAAAAGGTCTTTCTGATTAGCGATTATAAAATTGACTTAATTTCAATCTAGTTTACCATATTCAGAAGTGCCACATTCAGAATTGGAATGGACACTTTTAATTATCTTACGAGTTTAGGCATTTCAATGTCTTCTTTTCCCCCGATTCAGCTTAGCACAATGCCAGCACCCCTCTCTTTCCCACTCTCACATGGGTCTTTCTCTATATTTTCTGCGCTCTTATTACCTGGACTATTTACTTGCTTATTAATCATGTGTAACTTAGTGATATGCATCATGGTGCTCAATTGTTATTTAATTCCTGCTTTGTTAGTTCATGGCACCCATGTTTCTATCGCCCATGGAAAAATTTTTTTAATTTTTAATTTTTATGAGTACATAGTAGGTGTTTATATTTAGGGGGTAGATGAGATGCTTTGATACAGGCATGCAATAAGTAATAATCACATTATGGAAAATGGGGTGTCCACCCCCTCAAGCACGTATCCTTTGTGTTACAAACAATCCAATTATAATCTTAGTTCTTTTAAAATATACAATTAAATTATTTTGACCTTAGTCACCCTGCTGTGCTGTGAAATACTGTTTTATTCTTTTTGTTCTTTTTTGTACCCCCTCCCATGGAAATTTCTTGACAAGAGATCATTGTGACTTGTGCCTTTCGGGATCTAGTCACTTGAGAACTGGTTCCATGGTGCTTCAGTAAAGGCCATGAAATTTCATCAAAGACTATGTCCCTCAAATAAATCTAATTAAATGTCCTCCACTGGGTCAGTCATACGAGTGAAGTGGAAGGGAGGCCATATAGAGCAGTCTTCAGGCAGAATTCTGGTCAGAATTGTAGAAATTCTGGTCACAAGGTAAAGGCAAGAAAGGCAAGGGGTGAATGGTAGTGGTGGTGGTTTGGGGGGCACACAACATTTTTTGAATCACCACATCAACTAGGTACCAGGCTAAATGATTTACACACCTGATTTCACTTAACATCTGCATAACCCTCAGATGTTGACATAATGCTGCCTCCCCTTCTACCCATAATTAAGGCCATATAGCTATTAGGTGATGAGGTTGGGGTGTGACTCCGGGTTTACCTGACTCCAAAATGATACTCTTTCCCCTATATTGCTTTCAGAGTCACCTTCACTTTTCACTGCATGCACTGTCCAGAATCCCCCTTTAAGCTCAGAATGAAGGAAATGAAGGTTAATAAGAGGTCATGCTGGCAAGTCTAAGAAATGAATGGGGTCAGGACCAATGGAGAAGGAAAGTGGAAATGTCTGCGTTCTTTGTTGTCTCGGGATTGCAAAAACAAAGGAGGCAAATGGTCCTAAGCAGGTCAGTAAAGGCCAGTATTGAGCACCTACTGTGTGCAAGGCAGTTTGCCACAGCACAGGGCACAAACAGAATTGGGACAAGGTTGTATTACCCAGGCTCCAGCTTACGTGAAAGCCAGCTGGGCCAGCAGGACTCATTTCCCTTTCGTTGCTGCTGGAAAATCAGCATCCAATCATCTCTTGAAAGACCAAACCAAGGTAGTTCCTCAGCTTTGCTTTGCGTAGGCCCCGCCTACAGCCTCGTCTGCATGTGTCTCCCGTGGGGCTGCAGACGCGCCACTGTGTCTAGGGGCGGGTGGGTATGCGGGGAGACTAAACCAGACTTCAGGCAAGCAGGGGGTTAATAGCTCATAAAATAAAACCCTCTAACAGAAAAATGTTATTTTAATTGTATTACATTGAGGAGCCCTGAGGGTCGTGGGGTAGATAATCAAAAAGGACAAGGAGGAAATTAAAAAAGGGAAGAAGGCAATCAAAAAGGCCATTTAGGAGAGGCCCTTAATCCTCAATAGAAAGAACACTAATTATACTACAGAATCTCCTTATAATTAACCCTGATATAAAGTGTTTTTTGAGCAGTAATAACTTTCACATTCACAATCATTTTGATCGCAAACTCCTGTGAACACCTCACAAACAGCAGCTCACACAGGTTTGCTGGTTTTTGTCCCCAGCAAGCCCAGGGATTACACTGCTGTTCATAACCAAAAAGACAAATATTTCTGCCCTCAGCTAAGTCCACTGCTTCATTGAACTCACCCATTGCTTTCATTTTTTGTTGTTATTGTTTTGTTTTGTTTTTTGGCAAGAATAGCTCAAAAGTCAACCATTCTTGTGCCTCCTTCCCCTTCTTTGCAATTGCTTCCCTGTGCTCGTTTTTAACCTTTAATATGACTTGGAATATCCCACGGTTGCAAAACCCACTGAATTCCCAACATACCTTCCTTAGTGAACAGACCCCTGCTTAGATTTACCTACACTCCTAGGGCACACATTGCTGTAATAGTTCTTAACGTTTCCAGACAAAAGCAAGGATTCAGATGGACTCTGCTCAAATCCCATCCACAATAAGAGCCTCACATTCCTCTCGCTGACAGCTGATCCCTTATGAACCAAAGCTCTAAACTGTCAACTAGAACATTTTAAGCACAGATCAGAACAAGGAAAGAATGCAGACAGTTATAGATTTCAGGGGTCCCAGGGTATCTGGAGGCAAAGCAACTGGGACCAGTGCACGAAGGGAGAAGGTCCTGGAACAGGTTGTTTGGGACTTTAAAAAAAAATGGCGTGAAAGTGAAAAGAATCTGTCCCTGTCCTTACATGAACCGGCCATCGCTCTTATCCCACCTAGTAAGAGAAGGAGCAGGATCTCAGATCCCATGAGATCCCTGGGGAGATAGTTTCAATGGGGCACCTGCCTGCCAAGTGAAACTCTAGGAGAGGTTCACGGGCACTCACTCCTGACATTCACAGCGCTCTGAAGGTATTCGTCTCCTCTGAATGCACTCCTGGACCTGGCTTCACCTCCTCCTGGCAAATACACAGTGGACGTATCTGAAAGGTCTACCTGCTCACAATGGGCTACATCCCCACTTTAACTCGGAGACTGGGACACCAAGGTTTGTGAAACACTGAGCCTAGTATTTTTCCTCTGTATCAAAAGAACGAATGCCAAAGGATTTTTTCCATTTTTCCTTGCATGTTATTGGAACTGAAAACCTTACTTCTACTTCCCATCCGGGTGACTATTCTTCATGTAGAATTTAACAAGATAAGAAGATGCTTCCTTTTTGCTTTTTTATTTATTTACCTTTTTAGAATCAGGTCTCATTATGTCACCCAGGCTAAAATACTTTTTTGCTTTGTAAACAGAATCCATAACCAAGAGACAAATATTCTCTTACCGTTCAACAATATTAAGTATCTGCAATATACCCATCCTCCCAACTCACCCTTGGACCTAGACAATACAGGATAGGAATTATATTGACCCTGCTTGTGTAGGGACTAGGTTGCTCCTCTTCAGTTACCTATTCAGTTGAATAGCAAGTTACAGCTCATTAACACAGAAAAACATAGGACATTAGTTCATTTCCACTTAAAAATATCCCTACTAAGTAAATCATCATTCGTTTCATCCAAAATACCTACAGAGACACACAATTCACTTATAAAGTTGAATGAGGGGATTAAAAATGAAGAAAAGATTATGTCTCCCATTTAAAAAATATTATAAGTAAAATGCATTTACCAGTAAAACACACTAAAAGGATCTGCAGAAACATCCCTGCTCCATTCATTAATGCAACAAGTATATGCCAAGTGCTATTCATTTCTCAACACCTAAAGGTGAGCCAGGCACAGATCCTGCCCTAAAAAAAACTTAAAGTGTAGTAGGGGAGGTAACTCACATTTACATATAATTCAACTGTAAGTCAGAGTGCGAAAAGTACTATAAGAAAGGTGCAGATTTTTAAAAACTTTATACAATAATAAAATTATAATATAAATGTAAGATATTATTAATTGCATCTGGTAGAGGTCTCCCCTTGAGTTATCCCATCTGAACACAGAGCTAATACGTTGTTATATCCATAGGCGGGATATTTACAACTCCCTTTGTTGGGGTTTTATTCTAGGTGTAATTACCACTAGCAGGACAGGAGCTGGAAGCCAATAGGAAAGGCCGAAGCTGATGCTGATATTTACCTCCCCGTTTTTGGTGTCCCTTGCTTTGAGAAGGCAGGCCCCAACACTGGGTTCCCTCTCACATCCCCCCACCCCACCCCATATTCTGAGTTCCTCCCACCTCTGTTCTGCTCCATCAAAACTTCATTGACAAAGAGCCTCATGGATGCCACTAAAGAGGACAACACATTAACTGGAAATGCTCAGTCTTTCGATCACTTTCCTTACTCCAACCTCCAGTGATACATATTTTAAAAGAGTGTCCTGGAGATGAGTCTTTAGCCAAAAGAAACTCCACCTTAGGAGAAGTGGGGACAACAGAGTCAGGAGTCCTGGATTCTAGTCCCAGATTAGTCACTCAATGTAGTACCCTAGGACAAATCCATTTATGTACCTGAGCCTCCATTTTCTCCATTGTTAGAATTCACCAATAGCAGACTCCCAATGTCCTGAGTATGTAATATGCAATATAAAGCTCTCATGAATTATGCAAATAAATTTAAATACAATCATGAGAGGGAATTTTAGTGAGGTGCAAGGGATCTTTCTGACAGGAACCCTGTCTGTATTACCTTGGGTAGGGTAGGTTTGTCCTGAGGCAAGACCTGTGCCAACAAATGGCATTGAATCCAACCCAACTGGATTGTAATCATTTATACAGTTGTTAGTTGATTTCTTCTTCTGTGTATTAAATCTAAAATATGAAGTCTAATCCAACTTATACTTTATGTAGTCAGGGTTAGGGATGGTATTTTCTATGTAATATCTTACCTCTCTGCTTTAAGGCTAGTTGTGGACAATAGATTTAGTTTTTTTAAAAATTGCTAGATTCCTTCTTTTCTGGTTCCATTTCTGGAAATAGCAACATTAGCAGCACTGAATCAAAGTGGTTCTTCTCACGACTTGTCCCTTGTCCCTTTTTACATTTATCTCCTGTTACGCCAGCACAAATAAAACCATGAACAAGAGTAAACAGCGAATGTTGGGGAAGGAGTTTTCAAAAGCAGACCTTGGTATCACTTTTAAATAGTCCACAGTTCTAAATGAGGCTGCAAGCATCTTGTCTTCCTTCAGTTGACTGCAGGAGAAGATCTGTACTAGATGATGCTGGAAGGTCTTCCTCTATACAGGAAGACGGCTTTCCTCCCACACGGTTTCAGGTGTGCACACATGACACTCGGATGTGACTGTTAGCAGCTGGAAACTTTGAGGTTACCAAGGACCGTAGGAAATGCCATTCTTCTCATTCTGAAGAACTGAATTTGGCCAAATGGTCTTAACCTTTCATAGCCTGATTTCTTTTGTGGTTGTCTTATCGTTCAATTAATTTAAACCAACCATTCCTTCTTTAAAATACAGAAATAATACATGCTGGCTGGAAAAATCTTAAAAAATGCAGTAGTATGTAGAATACAAATCAAAGGAGCTTTTCACTTCCCCTGCATTCCTTAATCCTTCTCTTCTCTTTTGAGGTCAAACTTTTAAATATAACATTTTCTAGGCTACTTTCTGTGCTTTAAATATATGCTTAAATACAGATGCATGTATGTGTGTGCTCACTTGTATTTCTCTTTGCATGTTTTCCTGTGATCATTTCATTTTACTTAATACTATATCATGGATTCATTTCCAAGTCAATATATCTATATTTGGTTACTTTCTAACACTGTTTAGTATTTACAAGGAATAAATAGAAAGGTATGTTACAATATGAAAACTTTATGTCTCAACAAAATCTCAGTGAGCTATTCATATAGGAAAAGAATTTTTTTTTTTTTTGACAGACAGGACAGTATTTTCATTGTTTCTTTTTAAACATACTTTTATTTTAAGTCCAGGGGTACACCTGGTTTGTTACATATGTAAACATGTGTCGGGGGGTTGTTGTACGGAATATTTCATCACTCAGGTATTAAGCCTGATACCCATTAGTTATTCTTCCTAATCTTCTCCTTCCTCCCACCTTCACTGCCTCTTAATAATAATCTGTCATATATTGAGGCTAACCCAGTAAGCAGGAAAGCAGCCCAGCATCTTTAACTCAAGAAACTTGTGAACTTTGGTGAGCCATATGGAGTAAACAACTGTCAGTGATGGTGGATAAGGTCATTTAAGCAGGTGTGTCTAGAAAAGAATGATGCCCCAAACCCCCAAACAATACACTTGAATTTCACCAATAAAAATTCATTCCTTTGGTCTAAACATGGCCAATACTAAGCCTTCTCTTTAAACATGCATATGTGTTTGGGATTAGCAACCATTTAGTTTGTGGGATGCTTTCCTTTCCAGAAACCATGCTTCCATCTGAAAACACTGAGTGTTTCTGGTGAAAGAAGATTCTGACACTAGGGAGAGGCAGACACAAAATAGAGAAGATGTACTGAAGGAAGAAAACAGAAAAAAGTCAAAACAGCAAGGATTCCAAATTAGCCGAAGAATCAGTCCCCTGCCTAGAGATGGCCCCAACTGCTAAGAGGAAAAGTTAACTTCAGGTGAATAACATTATATTTTTTAGAAAGGTAAGTGGTTTCTTTGGTGAACTAGAACAGAGGAAGCAAGTAGAGCAAGCACACCAACACTCCCACTCCTTGTTTACAGCAGACATCACTAATCTATTGTGGCATTCTTGGTACTCCAGGCAGCCACTACCAGTTGACTGCTGTTAGTGCCCAAAATGAAATACAGTTTGTTATTCAGTCATGGGAGTCATCATCTCCATTATTAGCAGCCATGAGTTTGAATTTCACAAGTAGACATGAATTGCATAAGCTTAAAGTTGCTGTCAGCGTTCTTTTTCAGCCAAGTATCTGCAGAGGAGGACACGTCCCAGGGAAAATAGGAGGTCTCTATTAGCTAATGAATTAGGATCCTGCCATACCAGGCTAGAAGTTCCGAATAGGCGAAGGGAGAGCATTGAGTAACCAGCCTCTTAGAGGCTGAGTTGAATGGTCATCTAAATCAACTGTGCTATGGAATAGGATGCATCTCTAGCAGATGCTGGGTACACAGAGTTTTCAAGAATTTAAAAAAGACGTTGCCTTAAAATGTCTTGTTTGGATAGGGCCATTTCTGCATATACACCCCCAAATTAGATTATTTTTAAAAGGTTCTATTATCTAAAAATACTATGTAACATTTTAAAATATAGTAACCATCAAGGAAAACAGAGACTGAATCTAACAGGAAGAGGATGTGAGTGTCAAATTGTTGGATTATATAAGATGGAAAGGTAGGTGCGGGTGAGCCAGCACCTTCCAGATTCCTGAGAGGCAGCAAAGTCAGGGTGCCTGTGCAGAAGTCAGGCCAAAGCTTTTCTCTCTGTGGGAAATCTTCAGCAAACAGCCAGTTCCCTGAGCTCAGGACACACCACATCTACCACCACATTTCAGGAGGCTTACTTGGAGTTTCAGTGTAGAAGTTGTCCTCAAAAAAATTAAGCAAATTAATCTAGAAAGCCTTAACCTGATTTGGCCAGCTTAGTTCAACTGTGTCAGAGGGAGGTTGAGCAAGCCCTTCCAGCTTGTCTGAGATGTGATAATCATTCTCATTCTCTCTCTCTCTCTTAATCACTCGTACATATCCACCCGTGGACAAACACACGTGTACACACACCCCCCTTTACATAACCAACACATGAACACTTACACAACCCTACATACCCTGACACGTGAACAGTTAAACATACTTACAATCACACACACACCCACATACACTCACATACTTACAGCTACGCACACACACGTGCACTTACATGCTTCTATAAAGACTATCCTGTTATCACCCTTCAGAGATGCAGATTCAAATATTGCCCCATACCCCATCATAGTATTTTCTTTCAAAACAAAAACTACTTTCTTTTGACAGAAATCTCCGTCTTTGAAAGGGACACTCTCATAAACATTAGGCCTTGGGGACCGTGTGGAAAATAAGCACACACCTGCTCTGCGGCCGGCCCCTTTATTGCCAAGATGGCATTAGCTTGCTCCTCTGGAGGAATTCTGGCTCAGAACTTTCATAAGTTGGAGACTCAATTATGCTTCTTATGAGTTCCCTAAATTTGGAAATGGAGGTAAATAAGGAAATGCATTAGTCAATGTCCTTCTCAACCTCCTCCCCTACTCATATTTCAATCTTCTCCCCCTGCTTTCTTGGGGTGATTTCTTTGAATTAGTAAAAACTACCGACTGTAGAGGCCAAAAATGAGGCACAATATTGAGATGGGAATAAGGACAGTGGAGGACACAAATGCCAATCTTACTTATGAGTATGACCAGTCTGTGTGGGTAAATCCCCAGGGCATGCAGTTTTTGCGTGGGCTGAGGCAACTCATGTCATGCCAGACTTCACTGAAGAGTGAGCAGTGTTACTGTGAGATACCAAGGAAATAACACACTTTGACGTGAGATCTTTAGATTTTAATTAAAATGCAAATATTAATGTTGTCAATATTGGGGGATTAAAGAGGATATTCCCCATGAATAAGTACTGAGGAAGAAAAAAGACCATGATCTGAAAGTTAAACTGTATGATCTCCCATAAAAGGGGATGGCAGAGATATGCAAAGTCACTTTACTGAGCTTCTGGAAGGCAAAATTTGACTGGAAGCTGCCTGAATTTACAAATCCATCAGAAGGAGGTATGATAATCAAGCATGGCCATGGGAGCAGAGAGAAAAGAGTTATGGAAACAAACGTGGGCAATGGCCTGCTAGGATTTTTCAGGCCTAAGGACCCAATCAGTTGTTCCCAGTGGATGGGAAGTTGAGTTGCCCAACTTATGTGTATCCAACTATCTGCACACAGGTGAGCGGTTAGAATAGGGGCAGAGAGAGAGAGAGAGAGAGAGAGAGAGAGAGAGAGAGAGAAAGAGAAAGGAATGAGATGGGAATGAGGAAAGGAATAAGAAATGAAAAGAGGGCAACAGAGTGGCAGAGTGGGAGGAGAGAGACAGAGAGTGAGATGGAGATGAGAGAGGTGACTCTTAATCCTTCATCAGCCTCTTGAGCTTCTCAGAAGATGAACATCTCTCTGTGCTCAGCAGGATTTTTAGTGTTAATTACAGCTGCTGTTCATTCAATGTGACCCCTAAATCAGTGTTCTCCAACTGAGGTCTTTGAGCCAACAGCATCAGCATCACCTGGAAAATTATTAAAATACAAACCTGAGTCTCTCCCCAGTCCTACTGAATCAGAAACTCTGGAGATGGGGCCTCTCAGTGATTCTGATGCACGATGAAGTTTGGGGACCACTACCCTAAACACAAGCCAACTACCACATCTGGAGCTCCACTGAAAAAACAGCTGGAGAAATCTCTCTTCTTAAATAAACACTGTAATATTCTGATTTTAACACAGGAATGATTATTTTATATATCAGTTTTGAGAGCTTGAGAGATTTGAGTCTGCTCTCTCATCTCTGAACACTGCAAAGACAAGACACGTTTTTGAGTCTGTGGAGCTGAAAGTTTGTCTTTGTAAATAGGAGACAGGCACCAACATAATGGCCCACTGTTAGATTTCTTGGGACCCCGACCTCTCCATGTCCTGCGTGGGTACTTCTCTGTTTTCACACACTTAACAGAAAAGTAGGTTTCCCTGATTTGAGAGAGATCCACACCTTGATAACATGCTGCAGAAAGATACAGTATACTCTTCCAAAAGACTATTCAGCATGGTGTAAATGTAACGGCAATCATGTAGAGACTTTGAAGTGACAGATGGGGCTAGAAATCTCTGTGATACTTTTGGCAATGGCTAACTAAACTGTTTTCCTGCATTTCTAATACATCAATCTGTTATTTGTTTCTAGCCTGCTTTTATTGTTTCATTTTATCTGCTATTTGCACTCAGACTTGACTTGCAGACAACCATGGGCAGCACAGTTGGGTATAAAAGAGAGTTATTTAATGGTGTTATTTAAGGTGTGCACCTTAGCCATGCAGTTTACAAAAGCAAATCTCTGTGAAGTACAAAGCATCAGAGAGCAAAACAACAGTCACTGACATCTCTTCAGAGGAGAGAAAGAAGCTGAGTCACTGAGCCTGCAATTCAAGAGAAGGCAAATATATCACAGAACAAAGAATAAACCTCCACCCTGGGTCACAGGACATCTGCCTCAGAGATGTTCACCAACACAGAAAGATTTGTTGCTTATGATAAAAGACATCTGTGACAAGACATACTGAACAAAGGATTATTTGACCCCTAACTAAACATAGCTGCTGTATAAAAGGTTGTTTTTTTATATAATATTGCCAAACACTATTTCTGTAGCTCTTTTAAGAAGAGGGAGAACAGCAAGTGTTATTAAATCTGTGGTAGACATCATTCTAAACTGTACCTGGGAAAGCATATGACACCTCCATCGTAACTGCCTAATTTGCTACTTAGGGATAGAAACTAATGCTACTTAATTGAAATAAAACCAGATGCGCTGCTGAGAGCCTACCACCTTTAGAATTATGCTAAGCATCACAGGGAAAAAAGGAAAAAAAAAAAACCAAGTTGCACTTCGGCCTCCAGAAGAGACAAGGTAAACAGAAGGTGAGTTCAAAAATGTTTGTATTTAGAGAACTCCATGTGAATTGGAATGTGGCAGGAGAAGCTTTCATAGAAGAGATGAACTTTGCTCAGTGGGTAAAATTTCACAAGGCAGTTTGGCAGGAAACACAAGCAAAGCAGCACAATGGATTCAAGGCTCAGTGGTTTTGAAGATAAAATTCAATCCCTCACTTCCATTTGGGATGAAATATTGGGAAGCAGCAAAAGTGTCACCAGCAGGAAGGTCAACTCACCATTGGAGACAGACTTATTGACTTGACTGGCCAAGCCCAATTTAATCCTCCATCCCCAATTCTAAACACACAGTAGACTAGATGTACCCATGCCCTTCACAACACACGTTTCAGCTGTTACCTCTCCCAATTATCTTGCTTACCTGTCAACTTTAAGGCGTCATCTAGGGATCAAGCAGATGCCTTCAGAAGCCAGGACTGAGTCTAGGGGAGGGGCTGAACAGGTTACAGGGCTGGGGGATTCTCACTAGGGATGTCAGTTCACTGCTGGCTAAGAGTGGGGCCCAGATTCAGTCTTCTCCTTTTTTTCCCCTGGTCCCAAAGTATCCTGGAACAGTGTTTTCTGGTTGGGCTATGAGTTTTCATGGTGGCAATCTCAGTTGGTACAGGAACCTAAGGTAGACGGCAGAGGTGCTAGCAGCATGGCGGGAAGTCAGAGTTATTAAGGAAAATATCCGAAATACAACCCATTCTGTCTCCCTCTTCCAACTAGCAATAATCAGGAAGGCCCTTCAGCTTCAGTAATATTTGAGAAAGGACTCCTGCACCCAGAGGAAAACCTTTGCATAGGCCAGCATTCGGTTTAAGACTTTTGGCCTTGTCCTCTCAGTTCATGAACTCTGATTTGATATTCTGTTACCTGAACAAACTCTGATCTGATATATATTTTTTTCTTCCTGAAAAAGAAGTGCATTGGAGGTATGGTGATTTCCAGAGCATCTCTGAGGAAGTGTAAGTCTGTTTGTGTGGCCCCTGTCTACCATGTATTATAATGATTTATGGGTCTGCCTCGCTGTCCCCTACTAGAGTATCAGCCTCAACACTCTCTACCTTGCTCAGTCTAAAAATTTATACTGGGGAAACATTCAATAAACAGTTATAGGCATCTACGGCCATACCTCCCTGAAGGTGCCCGATCTTGTCTGATCTTGGAAGCTAAGCAGAGCCGAGCCTGGTTAGTACTTCGATAGGAGAATAAATAGATACACCTTGGCTAAAGGAACATAGCGGTGAGAATTCAAGTTCTTGCCACCTTCCCAATGCCTCGAAGACAGAAAACTGAGGTCTTGCTAGACCTTTATTTACCACCGCTCCTTACCACTATGTCCTTTCCTAGAGCCCACCGGTGCAGCTCTTCCTAAATGCCTCAGCATCCAAGTGTACTTTCAGACCTGAACCCCTGCAGTGCCTTTATCCTGGACCATTCTGCTACAACCATTTCATAGCTGTGCATCACTAGAGGGGATGCCAGTGGGTGGTTAGGGAAGGTATCAAATTGCATGGAACAGGAGAGGGTACAATCAGGTGGATCATGTTGTCACTGCTGTTGGACGGTCTCGTGGTCCAACTGCACACAGCCCTTCTGGAAAAGTGATGATGTCTACTTCTACCTATTTCCAGGAAAGGAAGTTCTATAACTTCAGGCAGACAATTCCTATGTCTAAAATTCATTACGTCCCCTAGTAATTGCAGGATGGTGCTCTTGGAAGAGCACCACCTATTGGCAAAAAGACCAATGGAAGGTTAACCTCTAGACTAGTGCTTCTCAGGGTGTGGCCTCTGGACCAGCGGCATGGGCAGTACCTGGGAACTAGGTTAGAAATGCCAGTTCTTGGGTCCCATCCCAGACTGACTGAATCAGAAACTCTGGGCATGGGCTCAGCAATCTGTTTTTAACAAGTCCTCCAAGTGATTCTGATGCTCACTCGTTTCAGAACCCCTGGTCTATAGAATGGGGGCTATAAGCGTCATGTGTATATATCAGTTGTCAATTTAGAATTACCTGTTTGTTTGGCTCAGGTTTCTTCTGTTTATTGCTGCTTGTTAGGAAGAGATATCCCCTGCATTCCATAGATTGTGTGAACTGTCAACTGGAGAGGATGGGATACAATTTTCACAGGCCACTGGGCTCCTGGAAGCTCAGGCTATTTGACTTCGAAGAACTACACACAAGACCCTGATTAATAAATTTGTCAAGAGCTGCTCCTTTTTGTGACAATTCTAGCAGAGACTTCGGTGACAGCCGTCCACTTTTATGGATTTTAACTGAGTAATTAATAGGATAACAGTTACAAGTGCAAGTTAAGTGCGTATTATTTCTCCTGGATTGGGTCATAAATAAGTAATATAGCTTTTGGAAGTGAATGGGAAGAGACGCTTGAAAAGAAAGACCTATTGGGAGCTGAATGAGGGAGTCCAGACTTAATTTGAAGCTCTACCTTCTCATTTTAGTGAAGCAAGCAGTTCCACAAGGGATAAGCCGAGACCGTAGCAGCTTCTGTTTCACTTTGTGCTTCAGCTATAGCCAAACATCGACAATGTACCAAATGGAGACATTTTTGAAACTGTCCTCCTCTCACAGATATTAAAAGCAAAAACAACTCTTCAATATGCCAGAGGTAAGAAGAAAGGAGGAGCATCAGCAAAGACTGAGGAATATTTTACAACACAGTTACACAGACTATTACACTTTTATCTTTTCCCAGATCCCCGGGCTGACTCCTGCCCCAACCACAAATTCCTGGGCTGCTCTAGGATGTAGGGGCCACTCACCTGTTCCAAATCAATTCAGGGCCTCAGGGCCACATCACATCTTTTGTGGGCCCTGGGTGCTTTTGGCTTCACAAGCCCTTTCTCCATAATCAAAAAATAAGTAAAAACTACATTTTATGATATCGTTGGTATTAAGACAAATATAATCCAGGCTGGATTTCATCATTATGTATTCATTATTCTTACATTCATTTTTGTCCTTCTGATTTGAAAAGAAATGAAAATTAAAATAGTTTTGTTGGTCCCTAAAAGTCCTGTGGGCCTGTGGTCGTTTCCTACGACTGCTGGAACAAAGTTCCACTCACTGGTGGCTTACACAGAGGAAGCGCATTGTCTTACAGATCTGGAGGCTGGAAGGCCAAGATCAGGTTGCTGGCAGGGCCATGCTTCCTTTGAAGGTGCTAGGGGAAAATCCATTCCAGTCCTCTGTCCTAGCTTCTCAAAGTCCTCTGTCTTGTGGCAACATAACTCTGATCTTCACAAAGCATTCTCCCTGTGTGCATCTGTCTTCAAATTTCCCCCTTTTATAAGGACACCAGTCATGTCCGATTAGGGGCCCACCCTACTCCATGATGACCTCATTTTAACTTAACTAATTGCTCGGAACAGCCTTATTTTTCAAATAAGGTCACATTCCAAGGTACTGGGGATTATGATTTCAAAATATAAGTTTTGAGGAGGGGGACACAGTCCAACCCATAACCCAGGGCTGTGGCCTTGTATCTAATGAAAAAGTCACTTCTTTCAAGGACGTTCTCTGAGATTCTGAAGGCAACGTAGAAACCCGGGGTCTTCAGTAGCATCAGAAATGTGATAAACACCCAGGGGTGGGGAGAGATACATTTTTGGTTTGGGGCTGGGCGCAGTGGCTCACATCTGTAATCCCAGCACTTTGGGAGGCCCAGGTGGGTGGATCACTTGAACTCAGGCTTGAGACCAGCCTAGGCAACATGGCAAAATCCCATCTCTACAAGAAAACACAAAAATTAGCCAGGCGTGGTGGTGTACACCTGTGGTCCTGCTACTCGAGGGGCTGAGTAGGGAAGATCACTTGATCCCAGGAGGCAGAGGCTATGATGAGCCCTGATCGCACCACTGCACTCCAGGCTGGGTAACACAGCAAGACCTTGTCGCAAAAAAAAAAAAGTTTTTTTTAAAGGAAATACTTCACCACACTTCCAGGAAGATTTTGTGTGGACCAACTCAGTCTGGGGGAAGGTGAACTTCTCTCAATGCCCCACTTCATACAAGTGCCCTGCCTCGGGGACCTCCCAGTCTCTGACTTAGGAGCAAACCTTCCTCCACCTTGAGCTTTTCATCCTGCACATTTACCGCTTGTCTCTGGGAGCTGAGCCCCACTAGGTATTGAGGAAGGAAACGATTTCTTTTTTTAAAGAAATCTGATTTTCATGGAGGCCTTGTACTTCTCGTGCTCTTTTTCCCATGTTAACTTTAGCTTTTTTCCTCTCCTGAAAGAAACACTCAGCTTGCCCCTGGGTCTTAACTGACAATCCAAAACAGAGGAGGAAGAAAGAGAGGTTCCATCCAAAGAAAGAGATTTGTCCATCTCCCCTGGACACCAACCTCTCTTCTCCTCACCTGACTCCTCTCTTCTATTAGAAAGGAGAGAAAGGGAGCGGGGGAAACTGGAAAGGGGACTTGAGATTATCACTCCCTTTTTTTTAGCTTCAGTTTTTTTTAAGTTACTATCAGTCCATGGCAACAAAGGCCTCTGAATTCTTTCTGTCTGTGGCTCAATGGTTTAATTATCAAAGGATTCTATAAACCCCAACAACGTGTGGGCTACCCAGTTCGTTACCCCCCGCACTTCAGAAGAAAAATCACCTCACACAAAAACAGCCAAATAAAGTTGCACAGTCCGAGAAGGCCCATCAAGCGAGAACTGAAACAGTACATGAACTCTGCCTGTCCATTTAAATTGCAAAAGCTCCAGCTCATTCGCAGACACAGAATTCGGTCTGGCAAAACCATTCACAGTCCTGGATGTGAACTGGAGCCTACGACATTAAAGGCACCAAGGACAATGCCAGTGAGGCTGTGTCCAAAGCTGGACTATCTCCATGAAATGGTTCTCTCTGAGCAGGCAGAGGTAAATAACAGTAATTCCTTCGAGAGTGTGCATGCCAGAAATGAAGAGCTTGAAGTTTATGTGGAGGAGCTGTTGAAACCACCCCAGGAAGACTTTTTCTCTCAGCACAAATTATAATAAAAAAATCTCAGTGGCACTCTGAGCTGTAAATCTCTTAGGTTAACTTTTAAAAAAATGTGACATTGTTAGGTACATACGCAGGACCAAATGAGGTATTTCTTTTAACTGTTCTGCTCTTCATAGAGCCTCTCTCTCTCTCTCACAGCTTTGGTGGTTTTATGACCATACTGAAGGAGCTAGCAGAATCCTGTTGCTACCAATAGAGGGTGGGTTGGTTAACCTAACAGACTGACCCAAAAGGTTGGGCAAACCCCAGTGAGAAAGCAGCTGTGGCACTTTTTGAGGCTGTGCAATTGGTTCACCTGTATTTCCCGTGTGGTGTTGAAACAATTGCAAAATATAAGCCTAGGCATTCTTCTTGGGCAGTGGCAATGCTGTGGTTTAGAGTGAATGGACATCCCATGCTCCAAGTCAGTGATAAACCGCTTGAGTTATCCCCAAATCCTCTCCAAATGCTTCAAGCAGCTAATGTTACAACACTGACCATTAACAAATAATGTGGGACAGGAAGAGAAAGTTCAGTGAACCAATGACTCAAATTCAATTCCCAGCCAGAAACTTCATGGTGCACAGAGGACAGTGTCCTAAGGAACAGTGGCTCTTGCTTAATATGACCTTCAGGCTTTCTTTACCTTGCAGGGGCTGCGTGCGCTCCCAGGCTTCTCCTTCCCTCAAAGGAGAAAGACTGTTTACTCTGTTCATATGATCTCTGATGATAAGAGACTCAACAGGCCATGGGCTTCAGGGGTTCTTTCTTGATGCTATGAAAACCAAGATCAGGGGAAAGTGAGATGGGTCTATGCCTCCTTGGGTAAGAGCTTCTAGAGAATGGAATAAAGCAGAGGATAGGGTCAGACAGACTGAAAATTCTCAGAGGGTTGTGTTCCAGGGCAGAGACTGCTGTTGGCTCCTCCCTGTCTGGCCCTGGAAATGTAGAGGTTTACACCTGGGCCATTAGTAAATGCCCCATAATTCCTCATAGCAGATCTAGTTCCCCAACCTTACTGCAGAGGCATGGGAGCCGCACCTCATTGGCCTAATGGACTCCAGGGAGTTGGTCAAGGAGGTGCAGCCCTCTCCCTGGAAATTTAGAGTCTCAGGGAACTTCTCACTGTCTTCATCTCTTCATTATTCAAGTGGGAGGCCTCAACAACCTTGTCTTCTTTCCACACTTCCTGCATGGCCGCATGGCCACAGCTGATCCCCTCACTCGCCTCAAACCAACCGTGCAAATCTCCTTGGGAAGCAACATGCCACTCCCTGCCAAGCCTCCTCTGGACAGCGCCTGCGAGTTCCTTCCCTCTCCACTGGACAAAAGTTTCTCTCACAGCATTTCTGTAACTTCTGAAACCCAACCTCCTCCAAGAAGCCATTCTAGATTGATTAGAGAGAAATGCAAATAATTCCTGTGACTACAACTGGAGATATATCTATATCTATCTATATGTATAGATAGATATATATGTGTATGTATTGGGAGTTATTATCTTCAACAGCCACCAAGTTTCTTGGTGTCTCCTCACTGTCATCCACATTGAATGCTGTTATTCTTTTAAAAAGTGAAAATAACTTCAATGTTTGAGTGATTATAAAAATGTTATATGCTCACTTAAACAGGTAGATATGTAAGTGCAGAAATCTATTCAGAAGAATGTGAAAATCACACAAACCCCACTACACACAGAGTAAACTTTTCTTTATCTGAGAGGTAAAAATGGTATGTGTCTATGGTGTACAACATATTTTGATATATGTATACACAGTCGAATGGCAAAATCACAGCAAGCTGTTTAATATGCATTACCTCACAGACATCATTTTTGTGATGAGAATTCTTAAAATTTCTGATGGCAATTTGTAAGTATTTATTATTATTAATTGTGGTCACTACGATGTTCAATAGATCTCTTGAACTTATTCCTCCCGTCTAATTGAAATTCTATGTCCTTTGATCAATGTCTCCTTGATCCCCCCAAGCCTCAGTCTTTGCTAACACTATTCTCCTCTTTGCTTCTATGAGTTTGACTTTTTAAGATTCCACATATAAGTGAGATCATGTAGTATTTGTCTTTCTGTGCCTAGCTCATTATTTCACTAATGTAATGTCCTCTAGGTCCATCCATGTTGTTGCAAATGACCATGACTTCCTTCTTTTTAAAGTGGAATAAATAGCATTCCATTGTATATTGTGTATATATACCACCTTATCTTTCTCCAGTCATTATTTGATGGACACTTAGGTTGATTTCATATCTTGACTATTGTGAATAATTCTGCAATGAAAATGGGGAGGCAGATACACAGAAACAAGTTATATGATATCCCTATTTATGTAAATGCATTCATTCTATTTTTTTTTTTTTTTTTTTTTTTAGTCTCACTTTGTCACCCAGGCTGGAGTACAGTGGCACAATCTCGGCTCACTGCAACCTCCGCCCCCTGGGTTCAAGTGATTCTTGTGCCTCAGCCTCCTGAGTAGCTGGGACTACAGATATGTACCACCATGCCCGGCTAATTTTTGTATTTTTAGTAGAGACAGCATTTTGCCATGTTGACCAGGCTGGTCTTGAACTCCTTACCTCAAGTGATCCGACCGCCTCGGCCTCCTAAAGTGCTGGGATTACAGGCGTGAGCCACCGCACCCGGCTGTAAATGCATTGACTCATGACTGATACTGGTTCTATGATGCTGGCAAAAATTAAACTTAGGCTAATTTCCATAGCAAAGGTTAAGTAGCTACTTATTAATTGGCCCTGTTTACATGCCTACCATGAAAGAATTATTTTTAGGCTTAAGTGGAAACCTTAAGCTTGACTAAGACCATCATAAGAAAACAGTGAATAGCATATCTACTTGAAGTGGAAGATGAGTGAGCTTCAATCCCATTGTCACTCTGCTATAGACACTGATAAGTCTTATAAAGGCAGAAAACACTAGTTTGAGTGAAAGAATGACTGAGGTTGACAAAAGAAGTATCCACAAGGCATGGTGAGTGGATCTGCCAATCTCTCTGCCCATCTCCAGACAGTATGACTCTGATTCTAAGCCCAAATTTAGTGGGAGGCTCTGCCGCCACATCTTATGTGCTGCTGGGCTTGGTGAAGGTTAGCAGTCACTGTCTCAGTTACATGCATATGTGACAAGGAAAAAGTGATTTACAGCTTCTCTTTCCCTCTTGTCTTCTAGGGAGAAGAGAACTTCCGTCCAATTTTATCCTGGGCCTTATTTTTCCAATCAGAGTCATGGAATGGGGATGAAGGAGAAGAATAAAAAGAAGCAAGACCATTTGGTTGGTTTCCATTGGAGAAACCAGACTCACAGGAGGGGAAATGCTAGATCTGTAAGATAAGGGGTGGGTGAGAAAAATATAAGAATCAGAAAGCACTAGGGTTGAAAAAAAAAAGTTCTGGGAAACTTCCTTTTTTTTTTTTTGAGAAGGAGGAGTGATTAAGGCAGCTGTCATATTATGATAGGTGGAATTTTGAGGAGATAGATAGATAAAGAGATTTTTCAGAAAATCTGCCGTAAGCTGTGGATGGAACTCTTCCTTTAGCATTTTCTGAAAGACTGTAATAAAGATATACGTTGCTTTTAAATTATTTTTGAAAACCAATGTGTGCTTCTTTGGGAATGACACTGTGCTGACACGGGGGACATGAGGCAGCTCCATTTCATACAAATTAGATAGAAACAGCTGTGTCGTTTGCTTAGGGCTCTCAGTTTCCAGAGGACAGACTCCCATACCCATGTAGCTGATTCGGTTATATCCAGGGAGGCATCTTGCCATAGTTACAAAAGCTCTGAAGTAGGAACCTGAAGACCTGCATTTGAGTCCTGGTTCTCCCTCTTACCAGCTGTGTGGCCCAGGACATGTCACTTACGCTCCCTGAGTTCAGTGTCCTCACCAGCAAACTGGGGGGCAAGAATGGTGCTATGTGCCTGCACCCTGGACTTCCATGAGAATCAAGTAAGATAAGGGTATGCCAGCTTGCTCTGAGGACTGTGAAGAGCCACCCAAATCATTACTGAGGAAGGCCCCTTGGACAGCATGATATTCAGCAACTTACTGTCCTGGTGATAACAATGGTGGCTGTGATGGTTCTGAGACTGATTCTGCCCAGGGCCATTAACAATTCTCCTCTACTCCTTCCTGGTATCTTCTCTGAGTCGGGAGCCAGGGAGGAATAAACTCAGTCCTAGGAAACCTACTGGGAACTGGACAATTTCCCCACCTCATTTCACCCGGGGCCTCCACCACTGATTAAATGGAAATGCTGGAGGGCATGATGGGCCCAGGCCAGGATTCTCTTGAATCCAGCCTATGCCTGGCCACCGCGCCCTGTGCTGATGGTGACTTCACCCGCTGGCTCCCATCTCAATGGACGGCTCTTTCTGAAAGGCCATTTTGTGACTCGTCTTGGGAGTGCTTCATTCATGCTGGCTGAAGTTCTTTGCTCAAAATTAACTCTACTCAGCCCAAAGCAGCCAAAAAGAAACCGAATGAGACAGCAGGGAGTGAAGACCTCGCACACTCTAAATTTGCTTCCAGGGGAGTTTTCTCTGCTTTCCAGGATTCCAGCAGAATCTCATCCAACCTCAGAGGCAACGGCTAGGCTGAAGCCAAGAGCCCACCTTCTGTGAAGTCCTCTCCCCATACGTTCCCGTCACTCCCAGGATCCGCATCTTCCTGTGCAAAAGTCATCAGACACATGTCCGGGTAGCTACCTGCTGCCTCAGAAGCAGATCTTTTCTTTTTGTTTTTAGTTGCTGAGACCAAAAACTTGGCCGATTCTGTCTCTGGTCTGAGGCAAGAGTCCTTGCATCTGATTTTCCTAAGAGGCAGCCCAGAGGCTGGTCAATAAGGAGCTGGCCTGCTTTCCTTGGCCTCGGCATGGCCAGAGAGGCCAGGGCCCAAAGCAGCACCAGGATCTTGAACTAAGACACAGGCAACTCATTTCACTTTCCTGGCCGCCTCAACACATCTGTCTTGTTGGCCTGTGTCTAAACCTCTTGAGCGATTCCAGCTGCTGAGCCATGCCTGTAGACATGGCGACATTTGGTTTCTGTTAAAACAGAACAGGTCAGTGTGTTCACCTGCTTCATTTTTTTCCCTCCTGCACAAGGACAGGGACAGAGGCAGCCAAAAACTGATGCTGCTGATTTGGAGATCTCCCATTCTGTTTCAGTGACCTCATGCCTTGGACTGGATGCCGCTGGGTCTTTTAAAGCCGCTTAATTTCCTGTGTATTTCCAGCACTCAGCCAAAAAGAATGTACACTATGAAAAAAATGTCTACTACCCCTCAATTGCAGACCCTCTGGAAAAAAATATCTGGAAGGCTTTTAAATAAAAGAAATAATTACAACCTGCTGAGTGCCTTACAGAATCCATGAAACTCGACCTTTTCCAAAATATCATAGTATTTCCTGTGGCTTCTGTAGGCTAAGCCTTCGTGGATTTATAAGTATGTGTCCAACACAGTCTCTGGGCTCCATTTTTTAAAATCCAAAAGTCAGAGTTGAAAAGCACAAATCCATACTCTTGGAAGACAGCATCCCAAAAGGTGTTAAGTTAAAACCCAGCTGTAAAAATATAGGCTGCCAGCTGTCAGGGGTGGTGGGCCATGTGCATTTTTTTTTTAATTTAATGAATGGAGGTTTGATCTTCCAGCTTGCTGCCCAGTTGCAGCTTTTCAGATGCTGAACATGTCAGGTATGCCCTGCAGGTGTGTATAGTCACCGCTTACAACTACATGGTGGGTGGAGAGTGGTTTATGAGCCCTGAGATTCATAAATTCTAGTCTTTAGAACTCGCAATATAAGGATGGTTAAAAATTGGAAAGGGAGAGAAAAAAAAACATTCTGACCTTCAACTACCTGTGATCAATGATGCAGACTCCTGGTAGCCGGTCCCAAGAGAAAACTGAAACCTTTGAAAGACAAACCCAAGGAGACAGAAGTTTCTATTAACTTTCCAGAAGAGGTAAAGATTCTAAGCCTGGGTTCACTGTACATGACTGTGTCTTGCTATGACTGTGTGTGGACAGACAAGATGAACTAGAGGGTGTACAATTACATGGATACTTCGTCTTGCATAGACCACCTCAAATATGTGGTCATAAAAAATATCTTTCCCTAGGTGTTTTTGAAAAATAATTCAGATTATTATTTCAACTTCATGCTGTAGGTTGCCTGCCTTAGTTAAACCCGAGGAACTAGGGACTTCATTTCCAGTGGGGAAGAGTCGAATTCCATATCAAATTACTCTGAATAAAATAGTGAGTAGAAACTCACCGATCGACTCTAGTTAGTGTCAGCCTCAGGCTGAATTGGGAACTGATTACCATTTGTGTTCACAGTCTTCTGCCCTCCCCTTTTGTTCCTCTTAACCCCCAATGTTAGAGACCCTCTATTAAAGCTTGGCAGCACCCCAGGCTGGGGAATATCCCCCTGCTCAATCTCTTCTCTAAGAAACCAATAAAGTGATTTTGGTTAAGGTGAGAACAGCTAAGTATGGCCCACCTCCCAGATAACAGCAATGTTTTAATCCTTAAGGGAGAGTTCAAAAAAAGTCAAAATTCTTAGAAACAAGGCAAGCTGGTGAGGAAGATCTTTTTAACTGGGAGATGGGCATGTTCAATGCTTCTTATCCACCAGCTTCAAGGGAGTATGA
Source organism: Homo sapiens (assembly GCF_000001405.40). Lineage (NCBI taxonomy): Eukaryota > Metazoa > Chordata > Mammalia > Primates > Hominidae > Homo > Homo sapiens. The sequence continues at coordinate 60,747,339 of NC_000015.10, forward strand.
GAACACTGCCTGAGAGATGGGAGTGTACAGATGAACTTGATTTACTCCATAAATCAAGGGTAGGGTTCGAGTGACTGGAAGTAGAGCAAAGATATCGAAACAGATTTTTTAAAATTGGCATCTCTTTACTTAGCCTCGATCTATTAAATAGAAGAATACATACAAATATTTTTATACAGAAAGAAAAATTCTAACATGCTCCAATCACCTGCCAGAGACACTTTATAAACTTACTACCATTTGGACTTGCTTCCACCATTTCAGAATTTCAGAATAGGTGAGGCTTTCCCATGTGGACCACAAGAATGACTACTGTGCACAAGGAGAGGCGGTTTTGAGATGCACAGTATGTGATTGCTGGAGGACACAAGCAAGGCAAGGAGCAGAATATGCAAACAGGCCATGGTAAGCTCTCAGATGAATTGTCTTGGGCTCCCAGTTAAGCTACAAATCTAGTAGGTAGAACCTTTCTTGTTTCTACGCCTCTATTTTAGGGATCTAATTCTTAGTAAAGCAACTCAGAAAGAAAAAAAATAATAATGCTTCTTTGTTTCTAGGACTTGGCCTTTTGTTTTATAATTAATATAGATTCCCACCCAATGCATAAATGTTTAAAGCATCATTTATATTGCATTGCCCACTTGTTAAAGTTTAAAATGTTGCAAATGGCCAAGAGTCTGTGCTTCAGTTACAAGCAAACTTGCTCGCCCCATGGTCTTAATCTCCAGCAAACAGTGGCATAAATGAACCTCTGGGTCAACTTTGTGTTTGCTGCACATCCTTTGCCATTATAAAATAAGATGAAAAGATTTGCTTTTAAGTCAAAGCCTAATTTAAAATATTTTAAGTATGGACATAAATGCGCTGGCCTAAAATGTGTGTGTTTGCACATGTGTGCACATCTATATCATATAGTTTACATAGAAATGGATGAAAAAAGTAGTCCTAAGCCAATACTGATATAATTAGCGAAAAAAAAAAAAAAAACACACACACATAAGGAGACATAAATTAGTGCCTTCAGACATAGGGATTATTTTGTTAACAAGGGAATGGGTCCAGAGATTGAACCATCTGCATTCAAATAAAGTAAGAGGTTCCTCCTCACGTGGTTCTTATATATGTTAATGTTTCACACTTCTTTGACTTATATGTCAACTCACAGGTGGATTGTGCAGTGGCTTCAAATTAAGGCAGCCTCTTAGTCAACTTGTCCTGAGCTGGGTTCTTAACTAGGTTCCTGACCTTATGACCTTATGACCAACACAGCTCCTGGTTCAGTAACTGAGTCCTTGTTCAGTTCTATCCTGGTTCTCCTTCTAGGCCTCCCAGGTCTCAGCCTGGTTTCTTTGAATCCCACTCTTACCACCCTAATTTTTAGGCAGTATGGATTTCCATTACAGGGTTATAATGCAGGAAGCATGGCATTGATAACGGGAAGTTGGGGTATGTTTCAGCAACACCTCCCTGTTTAAGGGGGAGATCAGTCTGCACTAGTGGGAGTGTTTGTATTCTAGAATATTTTTAAAAGAGGAAGCTCGAGTGTTTTCCAGTACACGGAGGAACTCTAGATAGCTGTGAAGGAGTTTCCCGGTTACCTTAATCAATGTATAAGTGATTGTCAATATTTTGTATAATAGATAATTATAAATTTTAGTAAATATAAGAATCACCCCGGGAGCTTGTTAAAATGCACATTCCTAGAGTCCATCCCCAGGGATCCTGATTCAGAAGTCGTGGGGTGTAGTTTATGAGCAGTGGTCTTTCCCCCTATTCTCTCTTGGATGGAATTTTGAGAAACATGGCTCTATGCCTTCATTGAACAACATCCACCTATAAATTACAAATTTTAATTTCATACAGACTATTATTGTTATAAAAATATTTACTGTCTTTAAAAGTTTAGTACATCCCTTACAATCTCACTTGCACCATTAATTCTTCCAGTAAATTATTTCTCTAAAACATAGATGTAAAACTTAACGTAGCCTGATCCAGATTGAATTACTGCAAATTGCTCTAAGCAGGGATGAAATGTAAATTAATGGGATTTCTGTAAATGCTTATTTTTTTCTAACTAATATTCTATGGTGGTGAGTTATGATATGTAGTCAAATATTGAACTGTTTTAGCTATTTTAGGAGATTAATTTACACTAGCTAAGAGAGGGAGAATAAGTTGATGATCAATTTAAGTAACCCTTACATTAATGGACTAAACTTTGTGGGAAAAAGTAAATGCAAACCAGAATTGCCCAGGTAAATGTTGCAGGCTGTCTGTTAGCACACTTAGACACTGTCTCCTTTTACCAGGGGATATGATGGAGAGAAACTCTGTTCCCTGATTTTAGGCACCTAAAGATCTAAATCTAAATAACAAAAACAATAACGATAATAGCTAATATTAGGGCTGGGTGCGGTGGCTCATACCTGTAATCCCAACATTTTGGAAGGCCGAGGCAGGAGGATTGCTTGAGCCCAGGAGTTCAAGATCAGCCTGGACAACATAGTGAGACCCCGTCTCTACTACAAATTACAAAAAATTAGTCTGACGTGGTAGTGTGCGCCTGTAGTCCCAGCTACTCAGGAGGCTGAGGTGGAAGAATTGCTTGAGTCTGGAATGTCGAGGCTGCGGTGAGCCATGAGTACACCAGTGCACGCCAGCCTGGCAAACAGAGCAAGACTCTGTCTTAAAAACAATATAGCTAATATTAATCAAAACCTTTCTATGTGCCAAGTATTTTTCATTTATTATTTCATATTATCTTCACTACATCCCTACAGATGGATACTATTATCAGCTCCAATTTACAGTTGAGGAAATGGAGGTTCAAAAAGGTTAAGTAATTTGCCCAAAGCCATACAGCCAGAAAGTGGCATAGCCAAAGTCTGACTCCAAAGCCTAGGAGACCCAGGTCATATCTACAGCTGAGAAAGGACTCACTCTCCACCATGCCACTGGTCTCCTCAATCAGTATTTCCTTTGTTTTAGGCATAAACTAGCTAGCTAAAACCTGCAGTTTGAAAAGTTCATGTCAAATGAAGTGACATACAGAGAACAATTGTGCAGATAATTTTCTTTAGAAAACAGAAGCAGAGAAAGAATCCCTTTTAAAATTTCAGTTTCAATATATTTTTGCAAGCATATTTTTGTCCCAGATGCTACCGTGTTCAACCTTGTCTGAGTCTGGTGACCAAACCTCAGTGAGCGTTCTGTCCAGGTATAGCAGCTGTTTTGGGCAGCCTAATAATTAGGCTCTCTATGTATATAATCTTTCAAGGAGAGAGGACATCAAACTGAGATTAGATTAGAGGAAAAAGAGCAAAAGAGGACCATGGATAGTAATCTATTCCCTTTTGTGATCAGCATGTAGAAAACAGTTTCAGAAATGTATTTTCATTTTTCACTTAAAAAATATTTGTATTTTACCTTCAGGGAAGGTATTCAGTATTCTAGCAGTTGCTTCAGAAAGAGGGAATTGGCTGGCACTGTGCCATGCATGCTTCATAGACAAAGCCACCTAGGTCCATAAACACAGTCATCTGAGGGGCGAAGGGCAGGGAAGGATTCAAGCACCTTAGTTCCAACTCCAGGTTGGATGTCCCTCTCGTTACCCCACGGTAAAAGGATTATTTCACTCCACTGTGAGGACTTGGCTGGCAGAAGGCATTTTCAGGCAGGCAGTGAGGAGAGCAGGGAAGAAAGGCAGGTGGGGAGCAGAATCCAAGACAGTGCAGAGGGCCTGGGAGACCAGGAGAACAGGGACAGCCCACAGTCAGAGGCCCTAAGGAGTATGTCTCCTAAGAGCCTTCAGCTGAATGTCCTTTCCCTCCCCATGGCGGGGCATCTCTCTCTACAACCTGTCCATGGTTCACTTTGTTCTGCCTCCTTCAACAGTGATTCTAACCCTGTTGTCATGTATTGATTACTTATGGCAAATAACATCAGGAGGAATTGGCAGTTGCGTGAAGATCAGTGGTGGGAATAAGAAGTGGGACTAGCAGGAAACGGATCACCATCATTAGTATCATTATTATTTAATTAAGCTTTGCTATTACAACAATAAATAATAACAATGAGAATAATAATAATGACGATAAGCTAGCATTTAGTAGACCAGGCGCTATGCCAATCATTGAAAATATGCATGTTTATTTAACCCTCAGGCTATTTTGATCAGTATTTTCTTTATCCCACTTTACAAATGATGTTGAGGTGTAAAGAGATAAGTACCTTGACCAAGGTCCTGGGCAGCTGAGTGGTAGTGCTGGGGCCCAGATCCCAAATTCTGACTGCAGACTCTGACTCCAGCACCTGCTTTCTTGACCACTGCGGGCCTGGCTTTCACAGGTGTTACCTTCCTGCATCCTCTCGGCACCAGGTTGAGCTTGGTGTCGCTATCCCTTCTTATAGATGAAGAAACTGAGGCTCAGAAACAGTAAACAATCTGCCCAGGGAGGAGGAACAGAGCTGAGGAACAAAAACAGGCCTCTAAGCTCCTCTACCAAAACTGCATAGACCACTCTGTAAAACACTCCAAGTAAGGATGGGACTTTATTTCTCACCCCTATGACTCCATGTCTAGGTAGAAGCAGAAGAGTTTGGGAAGAGATCCGACAACATGTGTGAGGAGATAGGGAAGCTGTATGCATTTAACCTATCTCCAGGGTCCCCATCACTTGAGAGAAGGGCCATCAATAAGGAGGTGGAGAAGGATCATCCGAGCTAGGCTGAGTCTTCTTTGACTTGCTAAAAAAAAAATGGGGAGGGAGAAGGCAATGGGCTAGTATGGGAAAGAATAAAGAAGAGAGAGGGCAGACATCAGGAAAGAACATCAGGCAGAGAGAAGCGTCTTAGAGCAGTAATCACAACCAAAATTTTGCGCACCAACAAAAGCCCATTGACGCTCAGACACCTCTGACTTTCCCCATTTCCTTCCCGATGGCACAAATGGAAGCTCTGATTTCCTCTTTCCTTTTCCTTCTGGCTGATGCATCCTGACAAATACAGTATGTAAAGCGCAGGGACGTGTGAAAGGAAAGTGTGGCGACGGTTGTTTTCCATCTCCCAATAATAGCGTTTCAATTTGGTACCTAAATAAACAATCTATTTTAGTGGCTCCCCTTTGATATCTCCAATGTTCCCTTCTGTTATTTCTGGCAGTTCCCAATCCTGTGATGTGATTAGAGAGGATGATTACACTTACATAACAGCATCAAATTAATTTGCCGCCGAGAACAACAGCGGTAGGAAATCATTGGAGTTCTCAAATTGCTCCCCCCACCCCCACCCGCCTCGAGTTTATTTAAGTGACATCAAGGGATTAGAGCGAAGTCGGTCAGTAGAGCACTGCTGGGAAAACAACCAAAACATCGACTCTGACCTTGTAAACGAAAGAGGAACAGAGCAAATAATGAATAGCGCTGGTCCCAGGCCTGGTGCAGGGGCCATTGGATGAATCAGCCTCCCAAACACACATTTCCGTCTGTCTGTGGGAGAAAGAAACAAACTGTACCTTTCAGTGCAGATTAGATTCATTTTCCTGGGGCTATGTCCAGCCATCCAGGGACTGTCAAAACCAAAGATATTTGAGATTTTGCTTATGTTTCTTTGCTTTGCTTTTTGGCCCCTTTTCAAAACAACAAGAAGAATGTAAAAGTTGACTTGAATTTTTTTACTCTGTGAGCCCTGAACAAAAGTCCAGAAAAATAAAGCAGAGGCAAATATTATTGCTTCTGGTTTTCTAAAAGATATGACAATAACAGCTCAGAAAACTGTAGCCCATGATTCCACCAAAGGTTAGAGGTTCAGAACAGGGAGCAGCACGTGGATGGCGTAGAAAAGGGACCCCTTTAAGTCCTACTCGCAGTTTAGTTCTGACACGAACCTTCAACAGTTACTTCAACTCTCTGAGCCTTGGTTTTCTTACCCAAGATAGCAGATATTACCGTCTTTCATCTCTGTTACAGGGTGGGTGTTCACCCATCCGTTCATTCTGTTAATCCATCCATTCAACAAGTATTTATCGAACACCAATTCTGTCTCAGGAACTCTGCTGGTAACTGGGAATACCAATGGACGTGGTCAGCCCTAGGAGCTTATGTCCTAGCGGAACAGGGAAATAAAAACAGCCAGTGTGCTCTGAGGGCCTGCATGGGCAGGCACTGACCTCTCCACCCTTCATCCCTTATCACATGTGAATTTCACAACCACCATGCATGCGTAGGTATCTCTGTCTATTTTACAGATGAGGAAATTGAGCCCAGATGTGTTAAATAACACTACGCCAAATCACACTAGGAAGCAATGAGATTGAAATCCAAACCTAGGTTTTCAGAATATAAAGCCATGCTATATCCCTTTATATTTTTTGGAACCTGACAAGCTCTGAAGCACTCTGCAAATACAAGGAACTACTTTAAGTGTGTTTGCACAAGCTGTTCATATACTAGACAGACATCACAAATGCATGAATTTCTATTGCTTTAGTCCAGTGATTACAGCACTTGATTCTTTTTAAAGCAAATCCACTTCTATTATCCCGTTTGATCCTTGTAACAGCATCACGATACATGTGGAGCAAGTATTATTACTCCCACTGGACAGATGAAGAGACCAACATTAAGCAACTGGCCAAGGCCCTTGACCCAGACCCGGAACACTGGTCCGTGGCTACTCACTTGCTCTTCTTCCTCAACCTCCTCTCAATGAGTCTGAATAAGGATGATGTTTTCAATTTTGGCCTCAATAGAATTATGGTTACTTCCTATATTGTGTTAGTCTTTTGAGTCCTAATGGCATCCCTTTTTGGGTAGAAATCCATATTCACAATATAGCATGAGGTATTTTTATTTGTCTGCTTTGAAAATCATCGGCTGCTTTTCCACCTTGTGAGAACGTGTCACATTTTCCCATCATCTTTTGTTTACATCATTGTTTCACTACCATGGAGGTTTCGTTGTGCATTCTTCTCACTTAGCTCTTTTAGAAGACTGCTCTTAACACCAACATATGGGGTTTCCAAAGTTGGGATTACTCCAGTTAGATGAATTTGACCCTTTGTTCCAAACAAACTCTTGCTAATTCCAGCTGTACTGTAGCATCCATATCATCTGAGTCTGCTTGTTCATACTTCTCTTACTTCATAAAATGGACATCAAAAAATTATTAGGGCTGTTTTAGTCTCATGGCTTAATTCCTTCCTAGTTCTTCTACCTGAAATGCTTGACCCCCAACTTTGACGCCCTTCCCTCATTCTTCAGGGACAACTCAACTTCCACATCCTTGAGGATACATGTCCACAATACCTCTGCCAACATTGACATCCACCTCCTCTGAATTTCCAAATCCCATAGACTGTCAGAGGTTTGCTGCACAGGCACATTGGAGGAGCTCTGGTCCTAGTCCTTTCTTATACAGATGAGGAAACTAGGACCCAGAGAGGGCAAATGACTTTCCAGTTGGTGGCAAAGCTGGAAATAGGGCTCCATTCTCTTGCTTCTTGAAGCTAGCACTTCCCTTCGACTCCTTTCTCTTTCCTTCTAATGTCTGTGGAATGTGGGTTGTGTATGCTCAGTCTGGAATGGATATCTCTCTTATTATCCCCGTAAACTCAGTGCACTTCTTGAAGATGAGAGCTGAGTCTTTTTTTTTTTTTATATATACTTTAAGTTTTAGGGCACATGTGCACAGTGTGCAGGTTTGTTACATATGTATACATGTGCCATGTTGGTGTGCTGCACCCATTAACTCGTCATTTAGCATTAGGTATATCTCCTAATGCTATCCCTCCCCCCTCCCCCCACCCCACAACAGGCCCCGGTGTGTGATGTTCCCCTTCCTGTGTCCATGTGTTCTCATTGTTCAATTCCCACCTATGAATAAGAACATGTGGTGTTTGGTTTTTTGTCCTTGCTATAATTTGCTGAGAATGATGGTTTCCAGCTTCATCCATGTCCCTACAAAGGACATGAACTCATCCTTTTTTACGGCTGCATAGTATTCTATGGTGTATATGTGCCACATTTTCTTAATCCAGTCTATCATTGTCGGACATTTGGGTTGGTTCCAAGTCTTTGCTATTGTGAATAGTGCCGCAATAAACATACGTGTGCATGTGTCTTTATAGCAGCATGATTTATAATCCTTTGGGTATATACCCAGTAATGGGATGGCTGGGTCAAATGGTATTTCTGGTTCTAGATCCCTGAGGAATCGCCACACCGACTTTCACAATGGTTGAACTAGTTTACAGTCCCACCAACAGTGTAAAAGTGTTCCTATTTCTCCACATCCTCTCCAGCAGAGAGCTGAGTCTTTTTCATCTCTGAATCCCATAGCATTTTCCACAAACCCAACACATAGAAGCTGTTCAAGAAATGGTTGTGGGATACATGATTGTTCTTCATGGAAACGATCTGCCTTTTCACCTACAAGGTTGTTTGCTAACTCATCTCCTGTTTGTTCCCTCTCTTGTTCTTGCAGCAGTTTCTCTCCTCCATGCAAATCATGTCCACTCCATTCCATACCTCTGCAGAAAACTCTGACTTCGGCTTAACCTGCATTCATTCATTCACTCATTCATTTATTCACTGAATATCTGCAAAGTGTCTGTGCTGTGCCAGGCACCGTCCTGGTACAGGGGATGTAGCAGTGAACAAAACGAAATCCTTGCCCTTGTGGGGCTTATCATCCCTCAATATCTCCACCTTCTCCTAAGTGACAGCTCCCAAACTGAGGGAAACCCAGGGTTTCACAAAAAAAGTTTCTGCAATGTTCATATCATTAAAGGTGATAATAGCAGATATTTTAATTTCTACTTAAATAACTGGATGAATGTAGTGAATAATTACATATGGTTTTCATTTAAAAGAGCAGAGTTTGGCATCACCTACCTGTGCTCATGACTTCGTCACCCTCCACCATTGGGTGAGGAGCTGAATGTTACCAGTTATTGTGGCAACTGAATGACGAGGCAATTTAAAATGTTTATTTTTGGTTAATTGTTTAATTGATTAAGTTGTCTGATTCTTACCCACAGCGGGTTTTTGGTAATGACAAATAGTAGAAGAATTCTGAAGTAAAATTTGAAAAGTTTATAAAGACTGTGCATCTGATGATAACTTTATAAATATATGTCAAAGTATTCTTCACTGGATTTCAGAATTGCATTTACCTGTCACATAACCCATTAAGATCTCTCCGTTAAGTTCAAAAATCAATGTTAATAATGGAAAGTTTGGTGTTGCTTATATCCAGTTTGGCTTTTAATTTTTTGTATAGATGTGTTTACTAATAGCAGCCAGAAATCCTCTTTTATTTCACTAGAAATAAACAAAGAATAAAAATAAATCACATGTTTTTACCCAAAATGTAAGCTTTTCTAGCATTAGTTGTAAAGGCAGATTTTGTCTGTTTTTGACTACTTTTGATACTATGAGACACAGTTAAATTTCAACCTACAGTTCAATATTTATTTAGTTGCCAAACTAAGCACACTAATAGATGTCATTTTAATGTATGTTTCATAAATGGTCATTTCTTACATAATTAAAGTAAATTAAACCATGGGAATCACTTTTTAGATGGAACTCATTCAGAATTTATTATTATAATCCATGAATATTAGTAAATACTATATTCAATTAATTTTGTAATAAAATCTTTAATATACACTTATCTAAAATGACGCATACATTTTAAAACTTTAACTCATTTCATTTTGCATTACATGCAAAACCATTAGATGTTTAAAAAAATGTTCAAATAATATATATTACTATGAAATGAGTGCATAAGTTTAGAAATGGCTGGGGAACGCTGTTCTAGACTCTTTATATCTGCCCTTGCCCTTACCATCTTTGCACCTTCTCTAAAACAACCGTCCTTCTCAGCACTGTTGATCATCTTTTCTCTCCCTTGCATCATCAGTCTTTCCTTTTCTACTTTCTTCTTTTCCTCAAATCCATAAACATTATCAGGTCTCTCTATTCTACACAGCCAGCCAACCAGCTATACACAGGTTCAGGAAAACTCCTTCCCAGTCCTGTCTTCCCCTCAAGCTGCCACCTTACACAGTCAAACTTCTGCAAAGAGTATTTTTCTGCCATTTTCTCTGTCTCAGGGCCTTTGCACTAGCTGTTCTTCTGCCTAGAATGTTCTTCTCACAATTCTTTGTATCACTGGCTAAGTCCTGCCATACAGGTTTCAGCTCCTGTAAGAGCTGACCAACCATGCTACAGTGCCCAAACAATCCGTCTTCTGATTCTGAGTATTTATTACTATCTGACACTTTCCTTGTCCCAAAAACAGAGCACATCCCTGGATGTGACTCCAGGGTGTAAAATAGTGCCTGGCACATAGAAAGTGCCCATGCTTACTTGTTGAATAAAGGAACAGACAAGTAAATGATGAACCCTTTCAGCCTCCCTTGCTGGTTTCTTCCCTCTCTCCCGACCCCCAAATGCTTGCTTTGTGCAGGAGTCTGCCTTTTAACCTCTTCCCTCCTTCCTTTTCACACTCTCACTGGGTTATCACAGCCACCCGTCACCCTCAGAATTCCAACATTCACCCACATGGAGATGGCAAACACAGAGCACGGTACAGCCCAGCAATGCAGACATTGCTAGCAGATCTCTGCTCTCTTTTCAGGATAGTCTAGTGTGCATGGTGATCCAAGACAGGATCTTCCAATCAATGGGACCGGCACCTCTAGGTGAAGGCTATTTGCTTTCTTTGACCTATATGTCAATGACTTCCCAAATCTATGTTTGCAGCACTGGAATTTTCAGACCCCTTTGTCAAACAGCCTTCTGGACACTTTCATTTGTTCACCTCTACCATCCAGCACAATGCCTGGCACAGGGTGAATGCTCAGTAATTCTCCATGCTACAATAAGCATGTATTCAGTGACACGACCCACTCAGATAGTCTCTACCAGCTTGCTAGGTATAAAAGGGAGGCTCACCTATTTGTGCTTCTCTTCTTTCAGAGTTGTGGTGGCAATTTGCCAGGTCTCGAGCACAGTACCCATTTGTAACAAGTTACACGTTTTGGCCAATAGTTCCACAATTTCACCCTTGAGTTCCTTCAAAACTCTTGGGTGGCTGCCATCAGTTCCGGTGATTTATTTACACCTAGGATGTCATTCTAGGACATCCTGTCCATTTGCCACAACTTGTTCCAAGGCTGGAGACCTCTCTGTTTTCAAATACAGTTGGGGAGTGGGAATTTTCCTCTTCACCTCCATGGTAACAGCTAATGCCAAGGATTTGCCACGACTCTCTCAACTAGTTTTTGCTCATTTTTAAAGTGGTGATGATCAAGTGAGTCCAACTGATATAATGGTCTCTCTCATTTTTTCCCTGCCATCGGTACATAAGAAAAGAATACTTTCTGATTGGCATAGAAATTCCCTGCAAAGTCATCCTCAAATTATCTCCTGAAGCACTGTGCCAACTAACTCTATAAAGTTCCAGCTGATAACTCAGATGGATTCAAAAGCTTTCACACCCACCAGATCATTTAATCTGAATTAAGAATTCTGAAAGATTGATAAGAGAGGCCAGACAGTTACCATTTTACAGACAAAGAAACTGAAGTCCAGAGTGATCCAGAGATCTGAATGCCACATAGCAAGTTAGCACCTGAGCTGAGGCTCAAACCGTTCTTCAGATTTACAATCCAGTGGGTTTTCTCCTTGCTACACCTTGATTCAGTTGAACTGCATCAACCTATTCTAATCCAATCAAATGCTGAATGAATAGTCATTAGGACAACTGGAAAGAACTAACTGACGTCAAAATGGTTGATTCAGTAGCCACATGCATCTATGGCCTCATGTAACAAAAATGCACTCTGCTAAGAAATATTCCCCAAGGAGAGCCTGAGAGAACACACTGAAGAGTCCTGCCTTACAGAGGCCAGCCTGGACTATGTTTGAGGGTGGACAACACAACACACATAAATACATACATAGCTTTGTGCATTTCAAGGCTTAAAAGTTCTTGTTGCTGGATTTTATCTTGAGATTAATTGAATTCTCACTATAGGATCCTCAACTGGAATCCAGGTTGAGGGGGACATGGGGGCCAACTCTAGCAATGAATACATCATCAAACGGGGGGCAACTTTGAGTCAGTAGCAACCACAATTCCCACAAGAGAATAATGAGGAAGCTGAGTAGTTGGAAGGATTAAATACTGGCATTTCATTTTTAGGATCACATTTTGCGTGCAACCACAGCTCCAGACCTGAAAGACTGGCCGTCTCAGATTTGCCCATACACATAGAGAAATCTGCCTCTAATGTAATCTGACATCGTCCCTACTCTCTGATTAACCACTTTTGGGTGGGCCTCAAAGAAGTGCGTGCCAAATGATGCCCTGTGGATCTCAGGAGCTGCCAGTTTCATTTTCCCTTCTACCTACTCTTTTCCCAAGTATTATCTTGCCAGTTGGGAAGATATGATGGAATGGAAAGAAATATTTAACCATCTTTGATACAAAGATAGGAGGGGGAAATATGATTTGCTATCCTATTTTCCCCCATTGAGGAGATAAAAAGTACTTTGTTAGATTTAATTTCTTTGGTACAAAGATTAGTCTGAGAGTATTTTGAACTTGTCAGTCATTCAACTCAGTATTTTAAATTTTTTAAAAGCATAACCTTGAAGTATATGTGGGCTTTTTTTAATAGTTTTAAATTTGAAGCCCCTGAATATTTTATAAAAAGTTCAATTTGTATGTGTGTTTTTTTAAAAGGTTTTAATTTACTTCATTAGAAGCTCTCTGAGCTTTAAAATATTTTTTTTTTTCAATGTTTCTGAGCCTTCCTTTGGAAGAATAAAATGCTCTTCTAAGAAATGTCAATTGATCGTTGGGGTGGAGGAACTGTGCAGAGGATGAATGTGGGCTAAACATTCTCTGGCACCTAGTTGATCTCTCTTCCACATGAAGCGTATTTGCTAACGAAGGGAGCATTGGTATGGGACCGAAGAAAGGATTCCCTTAGTCTGTTAATTTACTTGGAATAATTCATTAGCTGACACTTTTAGCTATGAATTTAGCTGGTAAATCCCAGATCACCCCAATATTATGTGTAAAGAGGATAGTTCAGTCTTTTTGTGAGAACTTTGGGAGGATGGATTAAAGCCCTTTCTCCCATAGTTACCCTGACATAAGGGAGCTTGTTAATAAAGAGCTCTTTGGATCCTTTCCTTTGTACAGGCACCGTATGAATATTTATGGAATATTTCATCTGTAAACAGCATTAAAATATAAACAGAGCATACCAAGAAATAGGAAGGCCATTTTCACCTAATGCATAGCAGTGCTGTGAAAATGCTAGGGTTCCATTCCTGGTTATCAGCTAAGGAACAGCAAAGAAGGAAAAAGTTATTTGTTTAACAAATCAGGGGGCAGCAAGTCGTGTGATCCAGTGGAGCTTTGGTATTCTTGTTAATCAAGTCTTCTGGGTAATTGAATGACGATGCATGTCTATACATGCAGACAGACACACACACACACACACACAGACACACATACAGGTGCCTGATATTTGTAACCACTGTGACTGGTCATATGAGATTGTTGCTTTTGTAGATAAAAAGTGGTCAAATATCAGAGTTTTTGTATGACGCTGCCTAATTAGTGCCACCCTAAGTTTCTGGCCCTTCTCCTTTTGGGCACAGGGAGGGGTGGGAATATGAAATTGCTGTTCACACGTGGGCTCCTACTAGCAAGATGAGCAGGAAAGGGAGGAGAGGGAGGAGTTGAATGAAACCTTCACAGAGACCAACTTCTGCAGATTCCATGGGCGACATTGCCTCTTCGAAGCAGCAGGATGGAGGACGTGGGGGTGCCACCCAGCCTGTACACCAAAGACACTTCCCACTCACCAGTTGTGGCTGTGTGCTCTTGATTGCAAACCTCTGGTACCCATCACAGATGTATTATCAATTTTCAAAGGGATTCGTATACAATAAAATACACTCAACAAGAAAACCACCCAGAACGCAATGAATCATTCTTTGATGATTCAGAAGGCACTTTAGGATCCTGTAGTGCCTTAGGGGCAGCATTACAAACATCAATTATCTTATGGTAAATGTGTAGAACAGCTAGTTCACAAGTTAAGAAAGAGCTGGGCAACTCTCTTTTATGATATGTTTTTTTAAAAAATTATGTTTTATCCCAGGCCTTTTCTACTTTCAAGCTCTTGCCCAGAATGTTGCTTCTATTTTTGCAAAAATGGCTCACTTACCAGCTTGGAGAAGTACCTCTCCTATGGTGTGCCTGAGTAAGTAAAACTGAAGTTGTCTCATTTTCCTATGAGCCATTTCTGGGGGTAGACTTCTGTCCTGTCCTTCTCCCCTAACCATTTAGGTATGCCTCTAATTAAATTCAAAACACTATATGAGAATTTTGGTCTGACAAAGATGACAAATATTTGTTTAGAAAGCTCAGTCAGGTGGCACACTTATGCACGGTTCAGTTTCAAATGTTCCTTAAAACCAGGAGGGTGTGTGATTCTATTGAATTCAGGCCAATTGCAAGCTAAGTTTCTCCCTCTTTGCAAACTACAGTAGTTGGTAATGAAAAAAAAAAAGTCTAGTCCTTGGAAATCAAGTTCTTGAGCACTTTTGAAAACAGACTAATCCAAAACATCTGCAAGAATTTTATCTTTAAAAACCCAGGTGTCTAAAACATAAGGGGAAAAATATACAAATGAGACTTTGTCAACCAAGTTTTTGAAAAACAGGTTTCTAGCAGAAAAAGAAGCATCTAGAATAAAATGCAGCTGGCTTTATGAATCTTTATTTTCCATGGTGATTCTTCCTTTTTGGTCTTCAACAAAGAATGGAATTTCTAGGTGAGTCTTGTCAGATTTTCCAAAAGTACTATTAAACTAAAACGAGGGGATTCCAGGCAAGATAACATCTCTGGGAGGCTCAACTCTGGCTTGAATTTATTAAAAACTTCTGGTTCTTAATTTAAATTTTAATGGTGGTAGACCCAAAGCAGCCAGACACGAAGGTTATGGTATCAGATGTGAATAACTGAAGACAGATGTGCTGTATTTCTATCAAACCAGAGGCCTGGGCCTTGCCCCATCTATGGTGAAAGGTCACCAGAATTCAGAGAAAGGAGGACATATTACAGCCAACTGTGTGCCTTTAAAGAAGTGCATGAAACACACACAGTACACACACACACACCCACGCACACACACACCACACACACAGGGAATAAAGGAGCATCTCCAGGTTGCTTATACACATATTTACTCCTACTATTACAAGGTGAGCCTACACATGATCTAAAGAAATGTCATTTTACTTGAAGCTACTGTGGCTTTGTAGCTACATTTTCTTACAAGTTCAATATCATCTAACCGCTACCCTAAAATTATGTCTGCAAGGGGGACTATTGGTATTTCGTAAACTGCTGCTGCTTCTCCTCTTTCTCTGTTAGACATGGTCTAATGGGTTTAGAAAATGACATTCAAGATGCTGCTTTGCCAATTAGAACTTCCGCTACCTGATTCTTGAAGGACATAGCACGCCTAATTGTGTGCTCAGACATTTTATTAAGTTGTTTTGAGTGCTGAAAGTCTTTTAACCTTCATATAGACCCATATTCATAAACAAAAATGTTTTCAGGGAAAAAATAACAGGGAAAAAGGCATTTAATTACAAATAAAAGTACTGTTTCCAATATGCACAGATTTTTTTTTTTTTTTTTTTTTTTTTTTTTTTAACCAACCTACCAAAGCAAAGGCAGGCTGCAGATGGTGAAAACTGAGTTGGGAAAACTGCACAGATATTTTCCCAAAACGTTCTCAGCGATGCTGCAAATGCCATTCTGGGTAGCCGAGAGGAAAAGACAGCAAGCATCATCTTGCCAGGGGCAGAACCTATTCCCAAGCCACTTTGAGAGCAGGAGTTGAACAAATATGATTTAGATGTTTCCCCCGCCCTGGAAACATGGTCTTGGGTTAACCGGTCCTTGGACAAATTTAAGAACAGTGTCTCCTACCAGGGAAATTATCTCATGCAAGAAAAAAAGTTCCCTTAAGCATCAAATTATTTTTCCTTAACTTTCTTTTAGAAAGTTTCCTTTTCAAAGTTTAGGAGGTTACACAGCATGTTAAACTCTTGACGAGATCTAAGGCAGAGGAGCGAGGAGGTTCGCTGCTGCCAGCCTTCCAAGAGAACCCAGTCATTAAGGAGCCCCAACTGTCACCAATCATACGGATCCCCATGTGGGACACACTTTAGCATGAACACAACCTTGCCTCGGAAAGCATACGTGGGAAAATATGCCAGGGGGGTAGCTCCCCAATTCTCCTGCCCAAAGATGTTTGCCATAGACTACGCTGACTGGCCCATTCAGGAGCCCCTCGGGTTTCCGCTGGACCTACCCTTCTGATTTGAGATCATCCACGTGTTTTCCCACCTCCGGAGGCTTTTATTTTCTGCTTCCTCCCTTCTTAGTACAGTGCCAATCACTGCTCTCCCCCGCCGCCCCCCTCCCCAAAGGCTCTCTGAGGCTGCTCCCTTTGTGATTGGCATCTCATTAATGAAGAAGGGCTGGTGTCTCTCATTACAGTTAGAGTGAGTGAGAGGACCTCAGAACTAATTTACTTGCTCTCACTAGGGAAGACACTTGCCTCCATCAAGAACTTCACTTTCCTGCTGCCTGTGGCAATAAAAGAACCCGTTTTGTTTTAACATTAATAAGGTGAGAGAATAGAGAATTTCCAAAAGAAATTAAGAAAGGCAAGAGGGTAGGTGTTGGCCCATGGAAGTTTCCCTAAAGCAGGTCTGATGGCGGAGTTCAGTGAGAGGCCTTTGATGCGGCAACATCTGGACCACATGAAAAAAAGCCTAGCAGGCAAATGAGAGACTGGCCAAGCAGAGAGGCTGGGGTGGGAAGCGGGGGGTATGGGTTCTAATCCTAGGTCCTAAGTCCCTGAGTGACCTTGGGCGAGTCTTTGATTTTTCTCTGGTCCTCAATTTTACTATCAGTAAAATAAAGGAATGGAATAAAATGGTCTTTTAGGGTTCTCTCAGCTCGAAAATTTTAATATTCTGTAAATGGGGCTCTGGACTATTTAAAACTTTTTTCATGTTTGGAGTGAGTTTTTTTTTTATCTCTGGCAACAAATTAGAAATTCCTCCAGAATTAAAGAGCATGGAATGGAAATCATTTGGCTTCTCCAGCTGAAAAGGTCAACTAGATTCAGAAATGTACTCCAAGGCTGCACTGTCTGCATGGAAACCTAATTAGAGATGATACTTCATTGGCTAAAAGGGATCAAACTTATCTGAGCTTTCATCTGGATATGTATTTTTAAAAAATTACTCTGAGTTACTAATTCATTTATCTTTCTACTTACAGGAAATTCCACTCATTGATAAAGCTCGGCTTCGACGCCCCTGCTCACAATGAAATACCTTCCTTGCCAACCACATTGCTTTATGATCGTGCCCCTTTACCACATTGTACTTGAAATGCCTTGTCATTTAAGAAACCATAAAAACGACGTCTTTAAAAATGGGTTCATCATTTAGCTGGAGATGGCTTCTGTGCCTGGAACCAGAAGCCTGTCCTCTCGGTGGTATGCCTCCACAAAAGGAAGCGAGCTACCACAAAGGACAGCATCATGTGTTGCCTTCATTGCTATTGAATCGGGAAGTTGGTGCCCAGTTTCAACATGGATGACAAAGTAGTGGGAATCTGAAATGCCTACAGTAGAAGTAAGGGTGTCTTTATATTGGGAATATCCTCGATCCCAGGGCCCATTTCTAATTCCCCCTTCTCTCTTTCCCTGATACAGGCTATTTTTGAACGAGAAGGACTTTGGCTCAAATCAACAGTTTGGTTTCTTACTGTTTACATCTATGAGTCAAAGTAGCTTGCTCCCAGGATCCCCCACCAAACCGAATGAAAATAAATTCAATGTGTGCCCACTGAGCCTGGCCTGGGAGTTCTTGAGATCAACTCAGAATCATGGTCTTTCTGTCACTCCCAAAACAATCCTACCTAATTCTACTTGTTCCTAAGTATTGCCTTAGGATACTGACAGTCTTTTCTCCTACTTACAGCTTTTGAATGAAATTAAAGCTAATCCTCTCTGGCTTGGTCGGGTCTTGTGTAAGATTCCCACACCCCACAATCAAGGCCTTGCAATGTGGTGTTAGAAGAGATAGCCAAGTTACCACACCTGTATCACGATTCGGATAAGGATAGTATTTTTTGCCTTCCATGAGACAGCTTTGAAAACCTGAGTCACAGAAGCTGCTTCATGCAAATCCTTCCACTTTCCTCCTCACTGCCAGTACATTGGCACCTCCTTCTTAAAATGAGAAGAGAAGCATAAACAAGACCTCTGTGGACCTCAGAATAAAATGTAAGATCTTCAGATTTCCATCGCATGATTTCACCAGGCCAAGGCAGCCCAGCTTCATTTTTACGTGCACTGTGGTTCTAAGTATTTACAGTGGTGTAACCCGCTCCCCCACCTAACCCCCCAATATCGGTACTTTACTCACTCAGCTTCTAGTGAGAAGAATAAACAAAAAGAATCAAAGAGAAGAAGGCAAGAAACCGGGGACCAATTTTCAGCTCATCCTTTCCTTCTTAAAAGAAGGAATTCGCCTGCAGTGTCTGTAATTTAGAAGGTTTTAATGAATGGCTTCTAAATTATTTATTACGCATAGAAAGCTGTAAACATCCCTCTCTGAACCATTATGATATTATCTGGGCAGGAGTCAAAAGGTTCAAACATTTGGCACTTTTCACTGGACTGTTGTTGAAAATAGTTCTGCTCTGTGAATGTAACTTCTCTCCTTCCTTGTTATATGGAATTGTGTGTGAGCCTGTGAGCCTGCGAGCCTGTGTCTGTATCATTCACTTGAGATCGTCAAAAGGCATCCTGGCTTTGTAATTTGCTCTTTTGCAGACTTTCGACTTAATAAGAGATTCCAAAATTAGTAAAAAAAAATATAATAAAGTAAAATAAAGCCAATTTAAAAAGCCTTCGACAGAATATACAAACTGGATATTCAAGCAGAAGTGTTTGAAATGCCTCAGCCTCATTTCAAAGAGCTTCCTGCTGTCAAGCCCAAACACCCAGACAGGTAGACTGCTGTGAAATATGTAGGCGATGCCTGCTGCCTGATTTTCAGATGGCGAGGAGGCATTTGAAAGCATCAAAGTTCCCTGTATAGATGTGTGTACATTAATCCCTGCCTCTGTGATCTCTGCACTCGCCTATTGTAACTTGCTGTTTAATAGATTGCCAAACTTTGCCCTTCACAGACTGCACTTTTTTTTTTTTTCCCAAGGATCTGCTCCTCTCCCAGGAGCTTCTTGCTGGGGCCGAGTTTTAAAAGTTTTCATTCCTGGGCTTGTGCTATGGCATTGGGTCACTCTTTGAATTCTGCACTTTTGAACACCTCACTTGTTGGCTTGCTTTTCCTCGCCCCTGGTGTCGATGTCTGTATGTGGCTAAAGTCAGTGCCCTCCAACCATGAAGCATCTGCCATGAGCCAGCCCTGATACGAATCATTAACAACCACAGCACTAGCCCTGTAAGAGCCTGTAATGTAGTGGGAGAGAAGATAGAGATCAAAGGCTGTCAACTGGCAGCCCACAGGTTGTGTATGGCCCAAAGACATGTACTGTTTTGCCTACACTGTGTTTTAAATTCAGATTAGTAACTAACACAGAAAAGATGGGAAATTTCACTTAGAAATCTGTGCTTCAAGCTTCTCTTGGAAAATTGGAAGGTGTGATTAAATAGGGCTTCCTGCCTGCATGGGTCCTGTTTTAGTTGGGATATATATTTTTTTCTAGACTGAGGTGGTGGAACAGTTACCATTAAGGACCTCAGCCTTGGCTTTCTTGATATCTTGATGTTACCTGCTGGGACATTGGCCTTTTGAGTCTGTGGTCCATGATAAGGACACACACAAAGGCAAATACTAACTGGAAAATTTGGGGGATACCAGCAGGTACTCTAAATATGTCATCTCATTTGATCTTCTAAACACATCTACAAATCTGCCATTATAATATCCACTTCACACATGAAAAGTTGAGGCTGTTTTTAAGTACCTTGCCCTATTTCACACAGCTGACGATAGAGGAGTTGGGTGTGGAACTAGAGCTATTAGCTTTGAAGCATCCTTCTTTTCAATTAGAAAGGCAAGAAAGTCCCCAGGAAGGGTGCAATATGGGCTGCCAGATCTCACATTGTCTTCTCCCACTGAAACTCAACTCTGCTCTAGTCTAACCACACCACACTTCTCACTGTACCCGAGGTATTCTTGGTCATTTGATCACTTCTTGTGTTTGTGTATTCTATTCCCTGTCCTCACCTTCTCTTTTGTACCTGCAAACTCCCTTCTTGCTTTGCAAAACCAAGAATAATTGTTAGTTCCTTTATGAAGATTTTCATGACCCCTGGGTCAGTTTGTCTAACACTGGGGCTCCTAGAGCCTCCATTTCTACTCAGGTGTCTCGTGGTAAAAGGTCCGTACACTGGTGGCTTTTCACTGGACTGTCAGTTCCTTAAGGGCAGGGCCACATCTCGTTCATCACTCTACACCACCATGCCCAGCACAGATGCCTGATATGCAGGAAGTACTACTCCATGCAGGGTGGCCTATGGGTGGAGTTTTCCTGGCTGAATCACACACTTATCAAGGGCTCCTTGGGGGAAGTGAAATTGAATTGGAAGGGTCAACAGTAAATTCTATCTGTGTTTTCATTTGTTTTCTCATCCCCCATCATGACACCCTCGCTTATCCTCCAAACTTTTTGCTTAACAAGACTTTGCCGCTGCCTCCTCTTTTGCCAGATGGCAATGCACTCACTACTTCCAATACCCAGATACATCCATCAAGCAACTTCAAATTTGAAACACATCAGAAACTTGCTGGGCATGGAACAGGTAATGAGGAAATGGCATATGTGCACTGTGGGATCGTGATGGGGCTGTAAAGTTAATCAAGAAAGAAACAATTCCACCAAGAGCTTGTGAACGTACCTGAAAGGATGGGCAGGTTTGTCCAGGTGTGAGCCGTAGGCTGGCTGAATGTCTCTTTCTCATGTGGGTTATGGGAAACCAATATGCCTCCAAATCACTGGCTGGACCTCAACTGAACTTTCAGTTTTTATTTTCCACTCCCATACTATTTTTGAAAGCGTTAAATAATTGCCTCTACAGCTAAGCACTAAAGGCCTCATTTAACAAAAATCAATATGGAGCAGTACAAGCATGGAATAAACCAAACCAGAGGCCAAAGCTTAAAATCCATCTCACAACTGAATCATAAGTGGTAAAATTAAGAGCAGGTGCACTGACAGACAGAGGTGAAGGCTGGCCTGATAAAATGGATTTTTGTTATTTCTAATGAACTCATCACATGCAGACAATGAGAAAGGACTGACCAGGTGGGAGGGAGGAGCTGACTTTGGCAATGATGTGTCTTCTCCACACAATGATTATTTCAAGAAAGGATGCAGAGTAGAGGCTGTAGTACATTTAGGGGAGTTTCAATCGGCATTATTTCATTTCTCCTCCCTAACAAATCTTCACTGAATGTGTACTGCATGTGTGGTTATTTTTAAAACGTGCACAGTGAACACAGCTTGTGAAACTTCGGTCAACATCCTAATCAGGCAACTAATGCCCTATTCAAGATTGGTGTACGCTAGCGACCACATTTTAGAACGATTTTACCTGGTGTGAACAGAGAGTAAAGAAGGGCCACCCCTTTCCCTTAATAACAGGTTCTTAGCTGTTAGTCCCAGGAAGTAAAGCAAAGGCAAATGAACTTCCATGATAAATATTTAAGAAAAATAATCTTTAATTGAGTTAGAATGAAAGTAAATGTGCAAACTGCTATTTGAGATAACTGTCTCGATAAGCCTCTTGCAAATATAATATGAAGCAGAAAACCTGTTAACTCTTTTTGTCTCGTCTTTATTCACCAGGGTTAGGTGCTCTTACATGGTAGGGGGAATCTGGACTAGTAATATCTCGATGAAGTTGCAAAAAGAACAACAAAAAAAACCCATTTGGTTGAGCACTGTGAGCTGACATATGCACCTGTAAGCCAAGATAACTACAGAGCTGCTCTGCAAATTTGGTTAGGGTTTAGGGGATAATCTTAGACTAATAAAATAAACCATCCTTGAATGTTCTAGTCACCAGGTAGCAGAAGCCTGCTTAGGTCTCAGTGGATTCCTTCTTTCTGGTCTCATTGGCAGTTAGATATTGATGTTATAAACTCTCATGCCACGAGTGTGCCTCTCTGATGTCTGATATCCATTTGGAATCACCTCGGAAAACTCACTATTACCAGCAGTTTCTTCAAGCAGACCACCCTCTATGCTCCTGAATGTTCTCTGACCAGGCTGGGCCTTTCTTTTCCTCTAATAATTAGCCACCCATTGTCCCCCTCCAATTTCTTCCAACCCTGTTTCCTACCCCTTGCATTTTTCTTGCTTCTTTCATTTTCCCTGTGTATGCTGACTGCCTAGTTCCTCTTCTACTAAATTATGCTCTATTATTTCCACTGCCTGAAGAACTCACAGCTGAAGCATTATTTCTAACCTTATTTTGTATTCCTAGCATGTGCTATAACCTGTTTTGAGTTTTATTTGCAGCCAAGATGCTGACACAGCTCCAATTTTGTTTTCATATTTTGATTGGGTAGGAGTGTTCATTACTGTGGGTACTAGGGTAGGGAAGAAAAGTCATTTTAAAAAGGCACAATTTACACCTTCGTTAAAGGGCTTTTTGTTTCTGAATGCTGCCCATTTAAATTCTAAAAACTACAAATGTTCAAAAAAGATATTCCTTTTTTTTTCTTGGAGAAAAGAGATTTTAATGAAAATTATAGAAGTCCAATGTAATTTTCCTATTATGTTTTTAATGTTGTGCCTATTATGTCTGATCTCCTTTTGTGTTTCTTAACTGACCAGCACATACAGGCAGGTGTGGAAAGCCTAGAAGTCAGGGGTTTGTAAGAAATTATGTTTTCAAAGCCCAGTTCAGCTCTACATTAACCAGCCTTCCCAGGGACAACTGCCTCATTTGTGACATTATTGAATTCATGGTTCATATTAAGCTTATATCTCATAACCAGGTAATTCATGAGTTTCAGCTACAGGGAACCCCTTAGATGGGGCATAAAATTTCCAATGAGCTTTCCCATAAA
Organism: Homo sapiens; assembly: GCF_000001405.40. NCBI lineage: Eukaryota > Metazoa > Chordata > Mammalia > Primates > Hominidae > Homo > Homo sapiens. The sequence goes on from NC_000015.10 coordinate 60,770,576, forward strand.
GGAAAGTGTAGGATGAGTGAGGTTTCGTGCTCCTTTACGTTTGTTTGTTTTTTAGAGACCCAGTCTCATTTTGTTGCCCAGGCTGGAGCTCAGTGGCTACTCACAGGCCCAATCATAGTGCACTGCAGCCTCAAACTCCTGGGCACAAGAGATCCTCCTGCCTCAGCCTCCTGAGTAGCTGAGACTACGTGAATGCTTCACCATGCCTGGCTAGTTTTCACGGCTCTTGATGTATGATTCTCAGGCTCCTTTTTGGAAGAGATTTAATTTCATGGGACTCCTCTACTCCAAAATCTTCAAGAACTCCACAGTTAAGGTTGTCAGGTAAAATGCTAGATACCCAGGTACATTTGAATTTCAGATAAGCACCAAATAATATTTTTGTATAAGTATGTCACATGCAATATTTGGGACATAATTATATCAAAAATTATTCTTTGTTTATCTGAAACTCAAACCTCTCTGGGCATGTTGTATTTTTATTTGCTAAATCTGGCAACCCTATCCATAGCGCATAAGGGAACAAGCTTTAACTCTTAAGGTAGGACTTCTGGGTCCCCCATAGACTGACTCTCTTTTCTTTCTGCCTTATTTTCTGCTATATCCAACTCCCCCTACCCTCCATTCCACTGAGTTTGAGTTACTTTCCCATCTGGAATGCCTCCTTTCCTTCTCTCGCCCTGGATTATTCAAGACTGCCTCCTCAGGGAAGCCTTCCCTGAACACTCAGCCAAAAGTAATCTCTTGGTCTTTTTAGACCAGTGAGCTCGTTCTGTGTGGCCCATTCATTGGTACATCTCACACACTTGCCTGGGAGCTTAGCTATCATTTCATCTCTATACTGTATTCTTTCCAAGAGGACACAAGCTCTTGGGTAGCAGTGACCTTGCCTTATGTTTCTTTGTGCACTTTGCAGTGTCCAGCACTAGGCCTTTCATATAGTTGGTGCTCAAGGGATACCTAGTGATAGAAAAGGCCACTATTGATTGTCACCGAGCTGCTCTCTTTTGCAGCTTCATGTTTCTCACACTTCTTTCCCTGCATTGAGGGAAGGCTCAACCTGTTCTCCAGAATGTTAGCACGAACCCCATACATGAACTTCATCATATACCTCATTAAAAACTTGATAGCCAGGTTCATTTCCCATGGACAAGTGAATAATAAGTAATACAAAACACAGTCTTATGTGGGCAAGCCACTTGTTCTCTCTGTAGATCAGTTGTCTCATCTGGGAGAAGGGCCTGGTTCCTCCCCTACCTCTCAGGATCATGAGGATACACGAGATCTTGGAAAAACATAGGTAGCACGGTGCTGCAGTGCATTTAGTGATGAGGCCAAGAACATGGAATAAACTTCTCTAAGTATATTCTGTTTAAACTGGATCCTTGAGTTGCTCATGAGAATTTCAGGGTACATGCCAGCAACAAATTTTCAAATCATGGCTGACAAGGTGGGATTTTTATTTTATTATTTATTTTTATTTTTATTTATTTATATTATACTTTAAGTTCTAGGATACAAGTGCATAACGTGCAGGTTTGACACATAGGTATACATGTGCCATGTTGGTTTGCTGTACCCATCAACTCGTCATTTACATTAGATATTTCTCCTAACGCTATCCCTCCCCCAGGCCCCCACCCCCCTGACAGGCCGCGGTGTGTGATGTTCCCCGCTTTGTGTCCAAGTGTTCTCATTGTTCAGTTCAAGGTGGGATTTTTAAAATGACACAATTGGAGACAAAAGTAGCTGGCAAGCAGGTGGCAGGATTCTCTTGCTAACCTAGGGTACTAAGTCTTGGTCACTGGAAATTTATATTTAAAAACTACCTCGTGATTGCCTGGATTTTAGAAATATGCAAAAAATAAATTTCTAGGGAAAAATACCACAGAGTAATAATGTCAGCTTTAACTTTCTTTAAAAGCTGTTTTAAATGTTTCTCTTTAAAAAACTATTTTGCTTTTCCTCGTATGGGTACCCACACCTACCTTGTGTGAGTCATCATCTCATGCACCAGGGCTTTCAAAACGTGATAAGTAAAGCAAGACGTCTACTGTATATCTTGTTAGGAACTTGCTTTGCCTTTTTGCTCCTGTTGCTCTACAGAAAAGATGGAGCGTTCATGAATGGCAAGGTGAGCCACACGTAGGGGGCCGTCCTAGCCCAGACTGCCCAACACTCCTGCAAAACCTCATTTCACTGCTGGATCTACAGGCAACCCCTGCACTGCGATTCCTCCTCCTCACACCCACATTCCAGGCTCAATTAGTGGAATCCTAGTCTTATATCCACACCATGGCAGCACATTAAAATGTCTCCGATTAAGCCCTGGATTAGCATGTGCCCAGACTTTATCTTAATTGCCGATTAAGATTAATCCCGCCAGGGAGTTTTCCAGGGCTGCTTTATTACCATGGGGTGAATCATTACATAGTTTGAGTTGCAAGTTCCATTTAGCTTTCTTTGACTAAAATGGGAGACCCAGACTCTCTTGGCCTCTAAGGAAGGGGCTCTTTATTGCTTTCTGAAAACCTCCCTTGACAGCTCATTTGCACCTGAAGGTTGTGAGGATGAAGCCTTGATCCATCTTGACAAGTCTATGAAAACTGGAACACAGGGAGTCACAGGCTTTCCGGCGGGCTCTTGGCTTTAAAAATCTACAGTGAACTTTGACTTGAAGAATGATCTTTATATACTCGGTGCTGGCTTTATCATTCATAGTGATTTACTGAAAACCTTTTTTTTCTCTCTTTCTCTTGCTCTACATGGATGTACATATTTGTTTTCTGAACCGTTTGAGGATATAGTATATACATGGTCCTTTAGCTCTACATACTTCAGTGTGTGTTTCCCGAGAATGGGAATAATTTCTTACGCAATCACAGCTGAGTTATGAACTTCAAAAATTTACATTGGTACTTTTTACCAATCCTGATTTTACCAATACTTTTACTAATATTGATTTACTCCAAAATCTACTTCACTAAGTGATACCCCGATAACTATTAAGTCTGGCTACAAAAGAGAGAATTGAAAGCAAGAGAACTCTCCATGTTAGAGGTAAAGTGATGAGACCTAGAAAAGAGAAATAACTTAGTGAAGGTCACACAGTGGCAGAAGAGTCCAGACAAACTCAAGAACTCAGGGGCAACTTCTAGCCACTGAATTGATACGCACATAAAGACTCAAGAAAGGTCAGGTCAGTATCGACTCTGGAAACATCCAGAGCTACCGGGCCAAGCAGACTTGACACTACCCTACCTAGATATGGAAATTTCCCAAGGGCAGAGGCCAAGAACTCTGTTTTTGAAAAGGTGTGCTTCACATTTATGTAATACATAAGAAAGACTTGAGGATAGCTATACCTGTTTCACTGAAATACTTCTTTTCTCCCAGCTTTAAGATGCTAATTGTTCATGCAATTCTGTTTGGCTGTCTGGGGAGGCATAAGTCAGGAGCATTCAGCAGCAGTGTAGAGATCACTAACGTGGCACAGCTGTGAGACCCTTTGACAACAGTACGTGCCTTTGGCCTGACTCAGACTGGAGGACCTGGCGGACACCCACAGCCACGGCTTCTGGGGATTCCTAAAAGGGCAGTTCCCTGCTTTCTACCTCAGGGAACCTGATCATGTTATCGCTCTGAATGGGTTGGCTTTTGTCAGAGCATCTGGGTCAGGTGAGTCTGCGTAGTACTTTTCAATGTCAAGGCCAGTCATGATATTCATCGTCAAATCTGTGGCGCCATTCTGTGATGTCTCCATCTCAGAATCTGTCCTAATCCAAGAGCCAACAATGGAAATGGCTTCATCCTGAGAGGCCATCAACAGAGACTTCAGAAGGATCACAGAGGCCCAATCTCCTTCACAGATCCTCCACCAGACATCCCTTCCTAAGGACTCTTCCTCACATGGCTGTGGGTATTCCCGCTTCTGCTAGTAGAGTGTATGCCAAGAAAAGAGAAAGCCCGTCTCTGGTTTCCCTACCCTGCTTACTGCCCTGGGCGGCTACCAGTCTTAGTGGTATTTGGGAGTCCTAACGGATGCACCCATATCTAGGTAACACAAATACCCACAGTCTTTATCTTCCTTTACACTAAACTCATGAGATACACCACATTGGCCACTGGTATTTCTGAATGGACAGAAGTCATTTGCTGGTCTCTTTCTAAAGGCTGTAGTCTGCCACTTCCATGGTAATTTCATCCTAAAGCAGAGCCTAAGAATTGAGGACGAAAGCTTTCTCTTTTGTTGAACCCACAGCATAACCATGTTCCTTAGATTCTATTACAAAACAACCATTGGCTTTAACTGGAAACTTGAAAATTTAGGGTAATTATAGTATCAATTCATGATTACTCAACACATTTCCTCAACTTCCTTTGTGACTGATATTTTGAGTATGTTACTGTAACATTCGTTGAAGAAAGTGTGTTGTCCTGAAACAAGTGAGGCCTGAGACACCCCACACGTCTAAGATTTCTTACCTATGATTCATGTGGCTGCCAGAATATCTTTTACCTTCTTTCTTCTTTCAACCCTTCTCTCTTAAGTTCCGTAAACTTGTGTCGGGCTTCCTGAATTTGCCTTCAGCACTAGTAGTAACGTGACTCTAAATGGATGGGTTTTCCATGTTATTCTGGTCCAAGCTGCAAAAGATTAGATTCCCCACCGAGCCCTGATGGTGGTATTACTAGGCTTTAACTTGATGGGACTGACTTCGTTAATAGAATTCTCTCTTCAGTTGTTTGACTATGTTAATGTTGCTAGAAGGAAAAAAACCCCTGATTTTCCTATATGTAAGCTGTTTTCAAATTTGCGTGGGGGTTCTCTTGAACAGATCTGCAGTTTTCTTCCTATGGAGACACTACAATTAACACGTTCCTTTTTCTCTTTATAAAAACTAATATCTTGCTAGGCACTCCGCCAGGAGTACTGAAATTTAGTTCTGATAAAAATCCTTCTTGGATATTTCTGGTCTAAGCTTTAAGATCTCTTTTCCTTCTTTCCCTCTTTGCTCTTTTCCCCTCCCTGATTACCCCCTACTCAAGGCACGAGCACACACACGCACAATTCATTTATGCCTACCTTGGAACAGATCTGAGCCAACATATTCCCTGGGGGGAAACAACGGTCTCTTTTCCTATTAATGAACAGTATGGTGTTGCAGATTCACGGAGGGCTTAATTTAATAAACATGGAAAGATGAATATGCTTATGGGACATCAAACCTCTTTAGGTTTAAAATTACTGACATAGAAGAATTGTCTTGTGAAGCACCCCGTCCTTTCATGGCTGGGTCATTATGGAATACAATGCGGCAGGGGAAAAACATCTCCTACCTGGGGCTTCGACTCCTTCTACCCTTTGACTCCATCTCCTCCATCCCTAAGTGCCAGAGGAGGCGTCAGATGTGCAGAAGTCAGCAATAACTGTGTGTGAACTAGTTCAACCTCCAATTCTGTGGCTTAGTCCTTATCGGTAATTCGATGGGAACCTGAAACTTTGTTGAAGGGAAGGTATTTTGCTGGCTCGGCTAGAATTGAGTGTAGACAGCACCCACGATATTGTGATGACCAACCAGCTTGAGATGAAGGCACTCATGACCAGCTTGCAGGAGCAGGCCTCGTCCCAACTCCTACTCCCTTTCTCTCCCCGCCACTCTTATTAGACACACTTCAGACTGAATCTTCTGTGGTTCCCACCTCACTCTTCCCATTCTTGAGCCCCTTCCCCTTCATCTTGGACTAGTTTGTCAGATGGCTAGGTAATCTGGCAAGGTCTTCAGGAGAGGAGGGAAATAAAACAGGCGGAACTCTGTCCAGGCATTTAAAGACGCAAAAGGCTGCCTGCTGGGGAGCAAAGGCCTGGGAGGCTAGTGAGCACCTACAGAGAGCTGGGTGCTGGGGAGAAAGAAAGGAAGGAGCATCAGAGACTTCACAACCAGGCTTTCTTTAAGTACACGTGCTCTTCTGCTCCTTTTAAATTATGCAAACCAAACTGAGATAGGCACAGCAGAGCGTAGATCCTGCACTAAAAGGGTAAGAAGCTTGCAATTGAGCCGTGGCTGTAAAAGGTAAAGACAAGGTATGGGGTCCCCAGGGTTTGGGGTCCAGGTCTGGTTAGGGGAGTGGAGTTCTTGTAAAGAGTCCTTAAATCTTTCTCTAAACCAAGGACTGTCTAGACATGGCATCAGTAACAGTGCAATTACCGTCTTTGGATTTATGCAGTCCTATCCTTACCATTCTGTTTAAACCTGCAACCTGCCTCCCTTTTTCCTTGCCCTATTTTTCCTCCTTCC